>NC_000007.14:131881779-132506779 GCF_000001405.40 Homo sapiens | reverse complement strand
GAGCCAGAGGGAGAGCAGGAGAAGGGTTGGCTTAGGGGTCTTCGCATGGCTGGTGGGTATGGCCTTGCTGGGTTACCCCAGGTGAAGCAGGGGACACAGACTCCTGCCTGTCACAGCCTAGCTCACGTGTGCCCCACCATGAAAAGCATCCCCCTTCTTGTGGCTTGACTCTGTTCCTCTTCACAATGGTCCTGCTTTTTCACTATCATTCTTTGGGTGACTTGGAAGGCTCAGCTATCAGCATCTTCAGTGTTCTTGTCCTTTTCCTTTTATAACTGTGCATTTTAAAGATTATGAACCTAGTCTGAGAACATCAATTCTCTAATTTTAATTTGGGGAGAAGAAGAAAGGAAAATGTATCCATTGGACAGAAGTACGCATCCATACTGATGTGATTCTTGACTCCTTAAACTTTGGTGGAGTTCCATATTAGGAAATGTATTTTGGTTGTTTAAAAAAGTGTAAATTTCCTTTCATAAAGTATAACTATGTGCCAGGCAGATCTCAGTGGGGACTGGCACCCTCCCCAGCCAGAGTGTGGAGAGGCCATCACTCTGGTCTTTGGGATTTGGGTTGGAGATAGGGAAGAGGGAGGAGAAAGATGGTGCCCTGGCATTAGGCTTAAGCTGTTTTCCACTGTCAAGTCTTCCAGGCACTGGGCCAGCTGAAACTAAGAGATGTCGTCTCTTCTTGGAGGTCTTGAAAATCCAGGAGTTCCCTGATGTCACAAAGGAAATAGGAGAGGTGCTATGGACCAAGCAGGGCAGCAAAAAGTTGACAAATCAGAGCCAGACTGGAGAATGGAGGGGACTCCACTTTATCTACTGAGTCTTCCTAGCAGGTGACAACCTTTGGGAATGCCCCTGGAGCCCTTTGTTTGGGGCAGTAGTGGAGCCACTTAAGAGAGTCCATGAGACAGGTCTGTGAACTTACGGGGGTATGGACTGCTTCCAAACGAAGGCAGCTAATGACAGAGGCTGTTCTGGACATGTCTATTAGACACTCAAACATGGGTCTGTGGTGAGATGTATTAGAATGTTGGTGTTGAGAAGGCCTTTAGAGAGCCTTGGCCTAAAAATTCATTTTGCATTGAGTATCTCAAGACTCAGCAAGCTGAATGAATTGCCCAAGGTCACACATCTTAGGAGTGAGTAACAGAGCCACCAATTGAAGAGAATCCCCCTTGCCTGCAGGACACCCATACATGCATACATGTAATAAATTCCCCACGAGCATGCACACATATGCAGGCCTATGTTAGAAGACGGCAAGTTTATACTGTGCACTTACTAAACAACAACAAGTTCTTTTGAGACCAGAGGAGTTGGCAATCTCTGACAGTTTCCTGTAGAAAACTTTCTTAAAACCCTGACTTTTTGGGCGATGCTCTTGGGAGAAAAATCAGCTGCAGGCGTCCGTCTGGCTGCCCATGGGCAAGTGTTCGTGCTGCCGTTGCTTCCTGCCACAATACAAAAAGCCAAGTTCATCATGGAAGTCTGCAGAGCTGCAGGTCCTAACACCGTGTGGTAGCCTTGGAGAGAATAGAGGGAAAACAGCTTTGCAAGACAGGCTAATGCCGGGACGGGGAGTAATGGAGCAAGATAACAAGCTTTTGATTTTTCTTTTGGCTTTAATTAGCCCTTTCAAGTTACAGGCAAGTTCAGGGCCGAGAGTAGAAAGGAGGAGGCCAGAAACTCTGCACAGGCCTGGGGCTGTCTCTCCAGCCAGTCTGAAAAAGGCCAGGCTGGTGTTTAATGCACAGTATCAGTTTCCTTTGATTTGGCAGATACCCGAGTTCCTTTGCTCCCACCCTCCTGTTACGATTCCTTTGGAGTCGGCTCAGACCACACGTGTTTCGTGCGACATCGGCCAGGCCAGGCTCTGTGTTGCCCCGATGGCACCATTTGCAAACCCAGCTCTTCCTCAACTCATTTACAAGGCTGTTGGGTTGGTTTTCTTGTTCCCTTCCTGCCTAGAGGTGGAGGATGAACAAGATGAACTCTGGAGATCTCTCTTGTCACGGAGTCTGACACTCCCTTGAGCCCTGTGAATTGAGAACTCAGTCCCAGATGACCTCTGTCCTGTGGTGTTTCTGTTGTAGGAAGATGACAGAGGGCAGGGCAAGGCCCAGGAGGTTGGCTTTTAGGACTTGTATTTTGTAGGGTAAGGGGTCCCCTGTGGGTTTTATCATAGTTACAACTCTAAAAGCTTGAAGAAGGGATTTGAGTAGCAATGAATGTCAACTGTGCTCCAGGCTGTACCAGCTCTCTAAATTAGAATGCTCCTCCCATGGGGCTCTTCAGGCTTTTCTAGCCCTTTCCACATCCTGAGACCCACATTCTTCCCCCTGAACTCACACCTCCAGAACTCAGAGCCGGGATCCGCAAAACTCCTGGGCCACCTGCCTCCTTCACAAGGTCCCAGCACCTGCTTTGGCTGTGTTCATTTGGGGGATAGGAAGGAATGGGAAGAAGAACCCCTACTACAAGGCCCCTTGTGCCAGGGAGCATCCACAGAGCACTGGGCAGGCCAGAGCCTGAGGACCGCACAGAGGGAAAAGTCTTGGGCCGTTGGGGTAGAACCTGCTGACCTGCAGCCCCCAGAGAGCTCAGCTGTACCTCAACTTCAGGTGAATCAGGGAAGGCCGGCTGTGCTCCCATTGGAGATGAGGGCTGGTTGGCCAGGAGTGGCCTCCTCATGGGAATGTGTTGCTGTGGACATAAACGAACCTGTCACAAATGTACATTCCTGAGTGGGCACCAAGTGTGGAGGCTAGGGAAGCAGCTGGGGCTTTCTGGTGTCAGTGGAGGGTGGGAACAGCAGCTTCCGCCTTCACCCTCTGAGCCATGCTTTACCCCTGTCCTGGCTTTCTCCAGCCTGGGTGGAAAGAGGTCTCCCAGAACAAGTGGGTTAGTATCTGAAAGTAACTCTGAGGATCTCATGAGGACATGGGTATGAGGGGGGGTCCTAGAGGGTCTGTCAGAGCCCCAATTGTCTTGGGACTCAGGGGACTAGAGGTCAAGCTGAGACTGATTTGCTAATGAGCACTCATGTGGGGAATGGCAGTGATTTCATTTCTCAGTTTCTGTGGCTTATCACTGGTGCATCTCTATCCCCAGCCCCTTTTGAAGGCTGCCATCCAGGCTCCCTGAGGCCCCCTGTCTGCAGAGCATGTGACAGACAGTAAGGCTGGGGAGCCCACACCTGTGGCCTCTGTCATGTGCCAGGACCTTATGCAGGAGAAGGTGATGGCTGTCTGTCCTTCTCTGGGGGGGACCTGACACTCCTGACTTGGAGTGGGCAGCTGGCTGGAGAAGATGCTGGGTTTGACCAAGCACCTGGCATCCCAGAATTCCCCAGGCATAGGGTTATCTATACCTTCTCTCCTTTCTTCACCTTCCTGGGGCAACCTCATCCAACACTAACGAACTAGCACCTCTTAATAAACTAATGAATGGTGAAACATATATGGAGCCCTAGGGAAGGGCTTGGCAATGCACTCCCTCCTGGTGGATACCAAGCATTGTGGAATGGCATCTGTCTCCAGGAGCCCACACAGTGGAGGAGAGAGATGCACACCAGCAGGTCATTATGGCCTGGGTGATGGGAACAATGGCTGTGGTCATGGGAGTGACTGTCATTCACTCCACTTCAGTCTTCCCTGACTTTGGAACTGATTGAGCCATGGGTATGGGAGTCAGATAGTCTCGGCCATAGTACTGATTAGGCGGTGTGGAGAAAGGTGGCATGCAGAAGGTGCAGAAATCAGCTTCTCAATCTCCCTGTCAAGCCTTGACCTGAGTGTCCCTCAACTAGAAAATTTGGGTCCTTGGAGCAGAAACTATTATCCAGCATCACCAACTGACACCTGTCAAACCCCAGTAGTGGGAGCAGAGGGCAGAGACCTCCCGGCTGTCTGGAAATAACACACTGGAGTTTGCATGGTACCTGATGGTTAACAAGGGCTTTCTCACAACTTTTCTTCTCCCAACAATACTGTAGGATAATGGAAGGGCAGGCATCCTCTGCAGTTGAGGGAATGGAGGAACACAAAACTCAAGTGTTTCACTCAAGGTCATGTAATTAGTAAACTGAAGGCTGTTCTGTATCCTAATTCTCAGCTTGGTGCTCTTCCCGTGGTGTTTCACAAGAGTGTGCTAGCAGTGTCTGGGGTGGGCAGTTCTTGGTGCAGGGACTGCCTGATATTGTAGGGCGTTTGTGATCCGGGGCCCTACAGTGCTGAGCACCAGTGGAAGTTCCCAGCCACTACAAGACTAGAAAACCTCTCACATTTCCAGAAGCCTCTCGTTGAGAACCATTGCTAGACCCAGCTCCCACCTGACTCTGGAGTTTACCCACCAGCCCTGTGTAGTCCCACAAGGGCCACACAGGCACAGGAGATGGAGCTGTTTCTTTTTAACCCAAAGCTCCCCTTCCTGCCCTGCTGTGTGCATGACTGGGTGGCGATGGAGGTCCCCTTCCACGTGCCGTTCCTTTGACTCACTGGTTTCCTAGGCATGGCAGTCCTGAGCAGGAGACAGGGTCACCCCCTTGGACTTGGGCTGGCCTCACATTCCAGTCTGGGTGGTTACTCAGGTTGGTCTGGCGCCTGAGATCCTGAAACTCCACGAAAGTGAGCATCCGGAATGGCCAGGCAGGCATCCCAGGCTCTGGGGCCTGGCTTCTGCAGGTCTTCTTGGGGTGTTTTCTTTTCCCTGTCAGCAGGAAGCACAGGGCTCAGACTTGATGGGGTTGTATCCTGTTGTTTATGGCATTAGACGAGGCTTGCTTTTTCTGCTCAGCTCTTGTCCTCTCTAGACCTGGAACTCCTCCTCTTCCCCGCACCATCCTTCCTCTCTCATCTCCACTACACTTGCCATACACACCATGGCCCATGCCACACTCATGTCCCAATAAATGCACACATCAAAAATCTAACACATTGGTCTGAGTGCCCACCTCTCATGGCCCATGACCCTGTACTCCAGATTTCTTATTTAGCACTGGGTGCCTGACATATCACAGCCCCAATCTTTATAGAATCAAGTCTTCCCACTCTCTCGGAGATGGCACCTGTCTCAGGTATTTAGGTGAAAGGCCCGCCCACCTCCCTCTTTTTGGCCAGCAGGGTTTGCAGTAAAAGTCCCATCCCAGACTAGTGTGCATGGTGCTTTGTGTGACAGGTAGCTGAGCCCTGGGCGATGTGTTGGGTTTGGCAGGAGCAAAGTTGAGGCTGGCTTCCTAGGCTGGATGTACTCTCCCAGGATGCCCACCCTGGAGGCCATCGGGTCAGCAGGGAGTGAGGCGGGACCCAGGAGTCACACAGGCTGAATTTTAACGCAGACTGCTGCCAGGAGAGCTTAGCACAAAGTCAGGTTTGAGGATGTGTGCTCTCACAATACTGAGACATGGACTGCATGTCATGAGCCCGAGCACAGTGGCGTACACACCCATAGCACACCCATGTGCACACACCCATTCTTTCTGTCCTTGATGTCTGTCCTCCTCGTTGCTGTCTGTTGCTTTCTCTGTTTCTCTCCTCTTGCTCACTCACTCACACTCTTGGTGCACGGTCCTCTCTTAGCCTTTCTCTGTCTCCCTATTTCTGTGACTTGTTCTCCCTCACCCCCACACACTCTGCTCAGCAGCAAGTACAATGAGATTTCTCTCTCTCACACACACACGCCTCATGCAGTGTGAGATAACCCTGCCAAAATGGGAAGCCAGACCTCTTGTTCAATGGGCACATAGACCAGCCCTACTTAACAATCCAGATCTGGACTTCTGGGCCTTCCCTTCAATTCCTTTCGTCCTCACAGGGTGGCGTCTTGGCCGGGTTACTGGTCTAGGAGTCAGGATCTTTGGGTCTCAGCCAGTCCCAGCTTGTGAGATATCACTGGGCAAGCAGTTTCCCTTTTGCTTTGAATCACACATTTTATCTTCAAGAAGGAGATGATAAAAAAGTATCCTTTTAATAAAGAGTCCGGAAGCTCCTAAGGAAAGAGAAATATACAGATGTTAATAACGATAGACACACAGCCCCTTATATTCATAGGACACTCAAACATCTTCATAGCATCATCCTGTGTCTCCTCCTTTAGTTATAATAACCACCCAAGGGGACAGAAAGGGGCGTAATAATATTGCAGTGATTTCATGCTTAGAATTTTTTTTCCTTCACCAATACCTGCTTTTGAGAGATTTGGGCTGTGCTTAATGCAGGTGTGGTGTTTGGTATCTCAGGCCCTAGGATGTGCTCCAGCTGCCTTTATTATTATTATTTCCCCTTCCCCTTCCCCTCCCCCTCCTTCTTCTTCTCCTTCTCCTTCTTCTTTTGAGACAGTGTTTCACTCTTGTTGCCCAGGGTGGAGTGCAATGGCGCGATCTTGGCTCACTGCAACCCATGCTTCCCGGGTTCAAGCGATTCTCCTGCCTCAGCCTCCTGAGTAGCTGGGATTACAGGCATGCGCCACCACGACCAGCTAATTTTTGTATTTTTAGTACAGACAGGGTTTCATCACGCTGGCCAAGCTGGTTTCAAACTCCTGACAGGTGATCCACCCACCTCGGCCTCCCTCCAATTGCCTTCCTTTCTATATAGCACAGGTTATGAATGATAAGATAATGCATTTGGGTGACAAGACACATTTTGGGCCAGTGCTTGCTGCTGTTACCTTCACATGTCCCTTAGTTTTTGTAAGGTATAAGGGAAGGACTGCACATCACCACACCAGGCTTGTTTCTTTTATCAAGAAAGTCAGTGGAGAGAAGGAGAAAGAGACAACTGAGAGAGCTCTTCTCCATCTGGCCTCTCAATTTACATGTTTTCCCTAGTGTGTGTGGCCCTATGGGCAGGAAACGGGGTCAGTGGGAGAGAAGCAGCCCACTCCCTTCCCTGGTCTCTGTGCCATTACTGTGTCTCCGTCAGTGTTCCAAAATATAATGGGATTTGTTCGGCTGATTTATCCCACACGCAGGCAACATTACCCAGACCCACACCTAGACCCGAGGAGCAAGAGAGGAAGATACATTGCCGTGAGAGTGGGGCTAATAAAATTTATTTCCACTAATGAGGGAATGACCTACCCCATAACTCAGCCTGGGGAGCAGGGCCACTGCTTCCCAGCACCCACCAGAAAACACACAAACTTAATCATCATGGTATTTCTCACTTCAATGACAGCCCTTGTGGCTGCTGAGTCTGCCTGCCATAGACTCCAGGAGGGACAGTGGGATTTGGGATTGATGGACTGGTGGCATGGGATTTATCTGCCCCTGACAGGTAGCCACTGGGGTTCTCTGGAGCTAAAGTACAAAAGGAGAGAGGTGGCACCCCAGTAGGTTTTGGTTGTTACCATTCGCAATGCTGAGAAACTTCCCTGGGATTTCCCATGGGTCTGGTGTTGGTTGCTAAACCAGCCCCCAGGGATAATGCCATCTGCAGAATTTCAATTCTCTTGGTAGGCTGGCCTAGAGCTCTGGCCTGTCCAGACTATTCCCAGGGCATGGCCCTGTCTGCTTCTCAGAGGGAGGAACACGAGGCTCTTGGCAGCTAAGCTAATGAGGAGAAGGTCATGGGTTCAACCCCTAGGATTCTGAGCTGAAGCTTGTCTTTGGCTGCTATGCTCAGCAACCCCTAGAAGGGGTGCACTGCTAAAGCTCGCTATTGGTTACAGCCTGGCCTGCAGAATGTGTGCTTGGCTTAATGCCCTTCTCCAGGGAAAACTGCTCAATTTAGTGACATTAGTTCCCTATTAGAAGGATAGCTTGTTTTCATGATGAGTGAAAGACCACTTAGATATCTGGTGGGCTTGGGCCACAGATGGTCCCAAAACACACATAGAAACTTCAAAATGAGTATTAAAAGAAGTGTTGCTTTTAGCAAATGGCTTTCATCATTCCATAGGTAGTTAAATGCATTCATTTAATGAATATTTGCATCAAAATCCCCAGCCCCACCTCCTAAAACACAATGACTTTCTATCCTGTTTTCTGGTCTGCTCTCCTCCTTTTTGAGATGCCCAGAAGCAAAGCTCTTGGTTCTTGAGAACTGGGGCCATATGATAGTCCCCACTTATCCTTGGGAGATGCTTTCCAAGTCCCCCAGTGGATGCCTGAAACCACAGATAGTCCCAAACCCCATATATACCGTGTTTTTTCCCATGCATACTCTCATGGTTTGGCTATGTCCCCATCCAGATCTCATCTTGAAGTCCCACATGTTGTGGGAGGGACCTGGTGGGAGGTAATTGAATCATGGGGGCAGGACTTTCCTGTGCTGTTTTCGTGATAGTGAATAAGTCTTATGAGATCTGAGGATATTATAAGGGGGTGTTTCCCTGCACACACTCTCTCTTTTTGCCTGCTGCCATCCGTGTAAGACCTGTCTTCCTCCTCCTTGCCTTCTGCCATGATTGTGAGGCCTCCCCAGCCACGTGGAAATGTAAGTCCATCAAACTTTTTCTTCCAAGTCTCCAGTATGTCTTTATCAGCAAATGGACTAATATACATACATACCTATAATAAACTTTAATTTATCAGTTAGGCACAGTAAAAGATTAACAGTAATAATAATCATAAAATAGAACAGTTATGACAGTATACTATAATAAAAATTATGTGAACATTGTCTCCTCTGTCTCTCAAAAATCCCTTATTGTGCTCTACTCTTCTATTTTTGGGCAGTGGTTGATCTGAAGCTGCGGTAACTGAAACCATGGAAAGTGAAGCCAAGGATCAGGGGAACTACTATAATTTGTTGGGTTGTTTTTCCAACCCCAATACACTTTTCTCTAAGCCCCTGCAATGATGTGTTTGTCTAACTGGGTTGTTGTGACTGTGGCTTGCTGGCTCTCCCTCTTTCTGTTACACATTCGTTTTCCCTACAATCTCATTGAAAAAGACACCCGAAAGAATCATTCTGAGATGAAGCATTAGTAACTGAGTGTATGAGCCCTCACTCCAGCATTGTTTCCATGGCCTGTGCTCACAACCAGGGTGCAGGGGTCAACTTTCACCTATTATAGGACTTCTCTGGCTTGCTTTCAAGAGACTTCAATCTCATAGGGCCAGCGTGGGTCCTGTGTCTCAATGTCACGTGTCTGAAGGCAGACCTTCTGGGGAGGGCTAGGAGTCATAAAAGAGAAAGTTTAGGCATTACAGGAAAGCAATCAGAGGATTGGATAGTCAGGTCTTTTTGATTTCTTTGTTACAGAATCATCACTCAAGCACATGGAAATATCTTATAGAATAATAGGCTTTCTGAGGAGCTAAACCTAAGCCTACTAGAGACTCCCAGAGATATTTCTACCTCCCTGTGGACACTCTCCACTTACCTCTACCCCTGAGGAGGTATTGTGGAGTAAACACGATGTCATCTCAAGGGGTGGATGCATTTTGTGTATTTATGAACACCTTAGGGGTCAGCCGTCATATTTGAGATACGGTTCCCAATAAGTGGGTGATCATTATCTCCCTGTACTGCAGAGCTTTACAACTGGAGCCTGCATTTAGACATGAGCTATTACAGTTTATCTGATCAATATCTCCCTTTAAAAAGAAATCCCACATGTGTAATTCACTGATTCCCCATTTCCAGTGGAGGTGTGCTATGGTCAGCAACCAGGATATGTGTATGTGTGTGTGTGTGTGTGTGTGCGTGCGTGCACAAGTGTGCATAAGTGTAATTAATGGGAAGAAATTTAGGGCTGCTCAACATGAAGAATATAAAGACCTTTTCTTTTCTGTATCAATAGGCAGCTCATGGGCTTCCCTTCCCTTTTTCTCCTAACTTGAATTTCTTTTCAAAACGTCATTTCTCACTTTCCTTTGGGATGCACAGACCCAGGAAAGGAAGAAGCCCAGCTTAAGTGAGTGGTCAGGGGCCTCCTTGGGAGGGGAGAGTTGGTTGCTTCCAGTTTCTGGAGATGGCAGAGCACTCATCCCTGGTGCTGGGAAAGGGACTGGACACATAGTCTCTTCCCCAGCAGTCCCCTGCCTTCCTCTGATCCTGGAATAGATTGTCTTTGGGACCACCCTCTAACAACCCCAGAGGAAACCCGTGCTTAAGATCAGTTTTTTAGCCAGGTGTGGTAGCTCATGCCTATAATCTCAGCATTTTGGGAGGCCAAGGTGGACGGATCACAAGGGCAGGAGTTCAAGACCAGCCTGGCCAACATAGTGAAACCCCGTCTCTACTAAAAATAAAAAAATTAGCTGGGTGTAGTGGCAGGTGCCTGTAATCCCAGCTACTCAAGAGGCTGAGGCAGGAGAATTGCTTGAACCTGGCGGGTGGAGGTTGCAGTGAGCCAAGATTGTGCCACTGCATTCCACCCTGGTAACAGAGCAGGACTCCATCTAAAAAAAAAATCAGGCTTTTTTGTTTTGTTTTGTTTTGTTTTTTCTGTCACCAGGAATTTGGGGTTTTGGTACCTATTTTCTCAGCAACTTGATAGGTAACTAGGGGAGGCACCTCACTCTCCAGGCCCCAGTGGCCCCTTCTGTAAAATGGGGCTGTTGGATTTTATGATCCTGAGTTATTTTCCGCATCTGAAATATGATGTGTGAAAGAGGGGCAGAATACTGTTTCATAAGCCAGAGAACTTGGACGTGAGCCCAGACCTCGCCTCTTCCTCAAAGTCATGCCTGCTCCCCAAGGCAGTTGGTGGTCCATTCTCTGGACTCCCCCAGGCACATAACTGAAGCAGGGCCCAGATGGCTTTGTCTAGTCATGGCCCAGGTCTGTCCATCCCCACACTGGGAAAGAGGCAGTTCTTTGGGGCAGGAACTGAGACTTTTTCATCTTTCTATTCTTAGGGGCTCACCTAGTGCTTGGGGCTTAGTAGGTTTTTCATAAATGCTCTTAAGCAAATTAGTAAGTGAGGAAAAGTAAATAGCCTTGTCTTCATCTAGTGCCTATTTCCCTTGCTGAACGCAGGGAGTTCCAATAGCCCAAGGAACCAAAGGTTTGGTGGGAAAAGGTTGGTCTAAAGATCCAGTTGGCCCCACCATGGGTGAGCTTGGGAAAATCTCTGATGTCTTCTTACCCTATGCAACGGACAGGAGTGGGGACTTCCCAGCTGTGGAGGAGTATGAGGCTAGATGATACTTTTCCATTCAGGAAGGGCAGGAGAGCTGGTTTTCTCCCAGATGGGAGAAATCCTCTCTCTCCTGGACCACAGGAGTTGCCCACAGAGCAATGGGAAGACCAGATCTGATTTTGTCTTCCATCCTGGGGCTCAGATGGCTGCTGCTGCCCCAGAGCAGCAGGGCAGGTACATAGGTGGCTGGAGGAGTTGGCTGCATGGCACATCCCTGCTGGTCACCTGGTCTGCCTCTTCAGGATCAGCTTAGGATGTTTGTAAACAGTGGATGCCTGCAGTAAGAGGGCAGCCTGTGGCTATGGAAGAGACTGTGTCCCAGAGCTAAGCTAATTGGCCCACAGGGGGATGGACCTGCTGACCTTCACCTCATTAGCACTGCATTTGGGCCATTGAGCTCTGGCTTGGTTCTGACCTTTCTGTAATAAGGACTCAATGTGAGGTTTCTGCAAAGGTGGGGCAAGCCAGGGCCGGGGCTAAAACAGCTTTGCTTGGCAGAGGAGGTGCAATCAGGACTCACACCAGGGGCTGTGCAGGCTGGGGTCAGGGGAGGATTTGGGGATCAGGGGCCCACCCCGCCTCATCACCTGCTGCCTTCAAGATGGATTGATGTGGCTGTCAGAGTGGGTGATAGTTGGTTCCTTAAGAGTGTGTCATTGAGGCCTAGGGTTGGGGGTGATGTCTAGAGTTCTTGGGGAGATCCCCCCACTGTTCCCCAGGTCTACCTCCTCCTCCAGCCCTTCCCAGGGAGTCTCCACAGAGACTACCAGGCACTTCTGGGGTCCTTGGGCAGTGGCAGTGGCTTTGCAGCTCTGCCCCTGAGCCTGGGGAACTGCTGGAGGAAGGAAACCGTCTGCATTTAAAATCCCCTTTTCATGGAGATGATAGAGCTTTTCAGAGTGCCAATCTCTCTGCAGAGTGGGAGCAATTTCCCTGTAATTGGTAAAGTAACCGTAACTGCTCTGTCATTTGTATGTGGCGACACGTAATTGCACGGTAACCTTTGCTGCGGTGCACGAGGGAAGCGCCATAAGCTATTAGATTGTAATTCGGAGTGTCAGCTCCAGCTCCCCACACCACCTCCACCACCACCACACTGCGTGGCAGGCCCCTGGGGAGGCTGCTGTGAGGGCTCTCTGCATCCAGGTCCAGCTCAGGGTCCTGCTCCCGAGTCGGGATGCTAGGCACATGCTGTGTTCTGTAGTGCCCTCAGCTAGGAAGGGCCCTCCATGGTGATCCAGGCCAGTGCTTCTCAAACCTTAGCAAGAGGGGGTTGGAATCACCTGGAGAGGTGTGAAGATGAAGATGTCTGAGCCCCCACCCAAGACTTTTTAATCCAATATGTCTGGGGTGGAGCTCAAGAATTTGCATTTCTAATGAATAGCGCTCAGTCTCCTGGATCTGAGACCATTCCCCTGCTCCTTCAGTCAGCTTTGTGACCAAATGTCTATCGGATTCTGGAAGATATTTGGGAAGAACTACCTTTGCTATTTCATCTTCACAACATTAGCCCCTTTAATTTTCATGATACCTCTGAGATAGATACCATGAATTTCCTCAAAGATGCTGAGAACCGCAGAGGTCATCTGACCCATCTAATGACAACAAACAACAAGAGTGAACACTCCCATAGAACTAAGTGCCAAACATTGTTCTATATGTTTTAAATTATTTAATCCTCACCACAGTACAACAAAGTATGTACTATTGTAATAATCCCCATTCTACAGGTAACAAATTAAGGCACAGGGAGGTTAAGTGACTTTCTCAAGGTCACACAGGATTAAGTGGCAGAGTTGGGATTCAAACCTAAGCACTTTGGTTCTGGTTCAGTACTGTTAGCCACTGTGAAGCTCAGGCTTTTATTTATCTATCTGTCCAACGAACCATCCATCCATCCATCCATCCATCCATCCATCCATCCATCCATCCACCCATCCACCCATCCACCCATCCACCCATCCATCCATCCATCCACCTATCCATCCATCCATCTATCCATCCATTGTATTAGCCTATTATAAGCCAGGCACTAAGCTAGGGGTACAAAGATGCATAAAACGTGGCCCCTGTCCTTGAGCTCATAGTCCTTGGAGCACAGTGGATCAGCCATCTTAATTTGTACCCCATGCATTCTATGAGGACATTTGAGCCAGTGAAAAAAGATCCAGAGTCCTCTGGATAGGGACCCAGAGAGTGTGGCCCTCTCAGGGCTTCTAGGTCTGTCCACAGGGTTGTCCAAATGGGCTCCATATAAATTCTCATTTAATGGGTGCTTATTTCCTTTCCTTGTGAGAGTAGAGTTGCTCTCTAATAAACAAGGGTTATCATAACCATGGCCAAACATTTTGTGTATTTGTGGAGTGACAGGAGGCCAGCCCCAGGCCTAGGGCATGGCTGGGCTCCTGATAATAGCAGAGTCCAGACCTGGCTCCTCTGGCTGTGGCTCTAATCTCACTGTTAATGGGGCCCAGGGGAAGGCTCAGCCAGGGCTGGAGCAAACATTCTCTTCCCCCATCACCCAGGTGCTCAGGAAGCCACATCAACCCTCACCTGTTGAAGGCTTTCACCAATTAGCCTCACCTTCCCGGGCCCAGGCAGCCCTGGCATCTGTTCTCTACATGTCCACCTCCCAGGTCTACAGGCCCTGGGGGACCCTCCCTCCCCCTGCTTCAGGTACTGTAATTAGCTGGTGGTTTCAGCTCAGACCCAGCAATGCATACTGTGTTTGCAGTGCATGCTGTGGTCAAGAGGCATGCTAGGGCCACACCCTGCAGCCATTCTACCCCTGTTCCAGGCAGGATTTCTATACACAAAAAATCAACATGAAATATCTTACATTGAAGTGCTTCCCAGCTCACCAGGTGCCATCGCTCCAATAAGCTTACCCGCTCTATAGCCAAGGAAAGTCAGGTTACAGAACAGTAGGAGCAAGTTGTGCAATTGGGAAGCAGCTGAGCTGCCATTTGAACCCAAGTCCTGTGATTTTTCCACTGTTTCAATCTTAAAAATCCCTCCCCCATCACCCCAGATTCAAGGAAACAAAGAGCAGGGCCACCTCCTGCCACAGCTGGGGACCTCAGCAATCATGAAGACCTGGACGGTGCTTGGTCAAAGGACTCAATGGCACCTTTATCACTTGGGGCCCCATTCAGAGAGAGAGAAGCCAAGCCACGGGGAAACTTAGGGAGAAATCTGTCATTGTCCCAGATCTTGCCTGGGCTTCTTGCTTCAAGAGGTTCTGCAGAGGAAGAGAGTCACAGGTCCCTGACTTTCTGGTTAGTGAATGATGTAACCAGCCAAATGTATACTCTCTTTTTGTACGTGGCTGTTGATGTCCTTCTGTCGTGCCCAGCCAAGGGGAAGAATCGTATTCAGTAATCCTGACCCCTCAGAAATGCAATTTTGGGAGCTGAGAGGCCTGAAGCCTCCTCAGGCTAATGAGGCCTATGTTTGTGGCAGAGGTGGTGGGGAACTGTGAAACAAGGACTCCCTTTGTCCCTGCCTCAGTGTCCCCACCCTGTGCAGTGTGAACAATCATTCAGCCACATCTACTCAGAAAATGGATCATAATGGGTGATGTACAGAGTTTGCGACGCCAGAGGTCCCTGCAGCACAGTTTAGGCCTGAGAAATTTGGGGATGCGAACTCCTTGTGAACCAGAAGCAGGAACATTCAAGGGCCACGAGGACCCCTAGCACCCCAGGCTGCCCTTGGAAGGCCTGGCAGGTTGCCATGGTCATATCCAGCAGGCACAGGGCATCTTCTCCCCTTTGCCTGGATTTGTCCTTCCTTTCTTCTACTCCTCCCTTTAACCCTCTGCCTCCTGTCTCCTTCCCCATCTCCTTATTTAGGGAAAAATGGTAAAGATCAGACTAAATCTTGAACACTCCCTTGTAAATTTGACTCCTATAATTTTTTGTTTGTTTTTTTAGTAGAGACAGTGTTGGTCTCGAACTCCTGACCTCAGATGATCTGCCTGCCTCTGGCGGGATTACAGGCATGAGTCACCATGCCTGGTCAATAATTTTTCTTTTTTTTTTTCTTTTAAGGGAAGGGGAGAGAGCTGTGTTTGGCCTGGGCTGGTGGACCAGGCCACGCAAGAGAGGCCAGAGGCTATCAAAGGCCTGGAGTGGATGTCTGCTCTACACGTGGCCTGCTCAGGCTTGCCCACGCTCTCCCCGTTTTCGCTCTGACTGTCCCTACTCTGTAGGAAGAAGGGGAGCCATCAGAGAGGCTTCAGATGCTGAGCAGGTCACCTTCTCTGGAGGGACAGTGCCTGCCCGCACCTCTTCTGGGAGGGAGTGGAGGAGCCTGCTGGGGCCAGGTGAACGCCTGTGGCCTGGTTTCACACACTCCCTGGCAAGAGCCTGCCTGCTGTTCTCCAGATGCCCTTTCCTTTGGCTGGATTGAAGCCTTTAAAAAAGTGACACCTTGTATTTTATTTCACCCCTTTCTCTGCAAAGTCCAAAGACATTTACAGGCACGAGTGCAATAGGCTTTATGGTAGCCCATCAAAGAGCGGGGATTGTTTCCGTCATCTTTATAGAGCAGAAAATAAAAGCACAGGAAAACGGAGTAACTCTTCTGAGACCACATAGCCCTTCCAAGACACGGTGGAAAATTCACCCCAGAGGGGTGTGTGTGTGAGACCCAAGCTGCTTGTGGGGAGTGCCGAGGGCTTTTCACCAGCTACTACCAGGGTCTTCACCACTCCCCAGCACCCCAGAGCCCAGCTGAGACCCTCTGTTTCAAGGGGGACCTGATGGCCTGGTATAAAAAAGAGAGATTCCACTGGAAATACAGTGGGGGAACTGGCCCCAAAGCTTCCTGACTTCTGAAATTATACTTCCTGGAGTCAGGAGCAAGCGAGTCAGGGTCAGTATCTCACAGGATATCTGGAGAATATTCTCTTTAAGGAACACTAGTAGGTGTTGCAGTCAAAATGGTTTAGCAGCTGGGTGCAAGGGCTCACACCCGTAATGCTAGCACTTCGGGAGGCTGAGGGTGGTGGTTGCTTGAGCTCAGGGGTTTGACACCAGCCTGGGTAACATGATGAAATACTGTCTCTACAAAAAATACAAAAATTTAGCCAGGCATGGTGGCACATGCTTGTGGTCCCAGCTACTTGGGAGGCTGAGGTTGGAGGATCGCTTGAGCCTGGTAAGTCAAGGCTGCAGTGAGCCATTATCATGTCACTGCACTCCAGCCTGGGTGACAGAGTGAGACCCTGTCTCAAAAAAAAAAAAAAAAAAAAGGAAGAAAAGGTTCAGTGAATAAAATGTTTAGGAGAGGCTGAGATAAGGTTAAACATACTTTTTCTTAAAAATACTTTTCAGACCTTTCATGTAACTAATCGTTATGAATCTCTTAGATGGTGTTAAAAGGCTTCCTAGAAATTTGCCTGCAGAGCCCTTTTATCTGTAGAGCATATCGGGGACCTGGGTTTCCATGGATGGCACTTTGGGAAGTGCTGGTGTAGGCATGGCAGGGCCAGGGCTGCCCTTCTTCACAATGCTCTAAAAGACACAGGGAGCCTGAGGTCGGAGCTCATAAAGCACCAGCTGTGGCACATTGAGTTGAATCAGCACATTCCTTCCCCCATTGCTCCTTTCCCCAGCTGATTGCCTGCACATGCCTCTGTTGTGATAGTGCTACTTACATGCTAATGTTTTCAGTTCCCTAGTCTACACTTTTGAGTCCTCATGTGTGTGTCTGCTCCAGATATGGAGACCACATCCCTCTTCTGTATAGATACGAAGACCACATTCCTCTTTGTGTATAGATACGGAGACCACATCCCTCTTGTGCCTGAGCAGAGCGGCCTGGAGCCCCTGCTCATCTGGGCTGACCCAGGGCTTTTCCACGTGAGGCTTTTCCACGTGAGGATGATGATGATAATAATGATGGACAAAGCTCCCAAGATGGCGCTGGGAGGGGTTGGATGAGGGGCAGAGACACACAGATTATGGAGAAAGGAGACCTGCGGACCTGTGTTTTCTGCCATGTCCCTGCACCTGCCCACTCAGGTGACTCTTCACAGGTCACCTAGTTTCTCTGGAGTGACGTTTTTCATGTAAAAAAGAGGGATTGTTACCAGATGTTTCATCTCTAAGGATTCTTCTACCTCCATAGTTTCCTGACTTAATATCTCTGCCAATTTCCTTGACGCTCCCTTCTAATTTTTCTCTTTTTAAAATTTGCAGCTCTTAACCATTGACGATAACTTCTGTGGCCTGGACATGAATGCTCCCCTGGGAGTGTCCGACATGGTGCGTGGAATTCCCGTCTTCACGGAGGACAGGGACCGCATGACGTCTGTCATCGCATATGTCTACAAGAACCACTCTCTGGCCTTTGTGGGCACCAAAAGTGGCAAGCTGAAGAAGGTAGGAATGAGGTGCAGTACTTTTGGTTACTGTGAAGACAGTCTGTCCCTCCTGGGCTGGATGTTATCTTACATCTTTTTGCTAACTTGGGCGTGTGGGCAGGTGATACAGATTTGAGCTAAGGAGATACGCTGCTGTTGAGGTCATGATGATCATCTTGTCCTTTCTCTGCCTCTGTGCTGAGGTTGTGGGGTGAGTGTGTGGATTCACCTCCTCCCTAGAGCTGGTGTGCACATGAGAGGTGTCAGACCAGCCTTGCAGTGTTGTTCTAAATGGTGTATGCTGTGTTCAATTTGGGCTTGTGCCCTTAAGGCAAAGGCTTTATTAGGTCTGAGCAATTGGGGAAGGTGGGCAGGGGGAAGGGACATGCCTGTTCCCCTTGCTCCAGCCCTTCTGGCTGCTGCATCATCTGGAATGCATTCAGGGAACAGATGGAGGAAAGTGCAGACCTATTAAAGTTGCAAATGGGGCCCAGAGCCAAGTTGTGGGCTGAGAAAACCACGGGTGCAATGGGAACATGAAAATTGCTCTGGTGAGGTCAGATGGTATGATCTGGGGACCTGACCTTTCCCCTGCATCTTCCGGAAGCTGGCAGGTTCTGGAGTCCTGGGCGATCTTGGCTCATCAGCTGTGTTGGGAGCAGTCATCCGCCCAGGGATGTTTTGTGTTCAGGCTTCTCATCTCATGAGTTGGAACTGGCCCTATAGTGCATGCCCTTCTTGATTGGGTTAAAAGTCCTTCTAAGGTGGTAGGCAGGAGGTCCTGTTTCCTGTTGGCCAATAATTGCATTTTAGTCCTTTCCCAGGAAATATTGATGATTCCATGTGGAGCTCTTGCTTGCTTTATTTTGGCTTCTTTTGGGGTTCTCTGGACATTGTGTGATTCAGATTGAGTAAAGATTGAGACTAAGCCTTAATCCCTCCATTTCCCTTTGCTGTATTTCTGGCTGCTAGCTCTGGATGGTCAAGAGGAAATGTTCTGGGCATATTTAGAGGACTATGCCTATTTTACCATCCAACAATGTAACAGCCCAGCAATCATTTCTGTTGGCATCTCTGCGGACAGGTGGTGTGTCTGGAATGGGAGCATGTGGAGGACAAGAGGCGGGCACCCCAGAGTGTGTTTGTGACTTGGGAACTTGTGTGTGGAGTAATTCTATGGGTAATGACTGGGAAAGAAAACAATGAGCACTGGGGAAACACCATGGTACTCTGCAAGAATGGTGTCCATGATGTACCACACAGCAGGTGCTGCCCAGGAGGAAGTAACTGCCTAATTTGAGTGGACCGCCTTCAGTGTCACAACTAAAAAACAGCAAAATCATTGTGTACACATTTTTAAGAATTGTATTTCATAATTCCCTGCAAAGAATTGTATTTCATACCTCCGTTCTGTGAAGAAAATGGTAAGCGCAATGGAATCTTTCCTTGCTGCCTCAGACTCCTCGTGATTTTTGTTCACATATTGAACTGAGTTTTGTGGATGCCCAGGGAAGACGCTGTGAGACATGGGCATGTTATCCCCACACAGCTCCTGTGTCTGATTTTTGCTGCCTTCCCGGGTCTTCCTCTCATGCACTTGGCCACTCATCACTTCCAGTTGCTGCCAGGAATCCTGGTTGACTTCAGCACCTTTCCTCCTCCCTCATTCTGCAGCTTCCAGCTTTGGTGGGCTAGGAAACCAGATAGCCAAACTCTGAAATTGTGTCTGACACGCGTCAGTCCACACTGAGGAGAGAAGTACATGAGCTTTTGGGCAGGTGAATCAGATGGCTCGATTCTTCAGTAGGATTTGGCAAATTTGGTCTGCTGGAAAAGTGAATTCTAAATACCGGGGGCATTACTGTGTACAATTCATGCACTGAGACCTGCTTCACCTGCTGCAATGGGTGAATGAGCACCATTAAGAGTAAATAAGTCAGCAAGCAGTATGGGGGATGCTTTAACTCTTTTCTCCGGTGAGCTCAATCTCAGTGCAATGTAGAAGTAACTTCCTGCCTTGCCCTAAAAGAGTCTTACCCGCTGAATTTCCTACCAGCTGCCAGAGGACCATTTACTAGCTGGCAGGATGGAGTAGACCCTGGATGAGGATTTGTGTGTGTGTGTGATTGTCTGAGCTGGTTGGGCAGTGAATGTTATCAATGAAATGAACATTGAGAGTTCAGTGCACATAACAAAACAGTTATTTTCTCTTGGAAAAAGGAAGGTGTTTCCTGACCATGGCTGCATTGTAAACCCAAGATAGTCAACTTGCATTTTTGTGCTGTTTGTCCAAGGGTGGGTTGAGGCATTTGGTGACTGGTACTCTCTTGCCTGTGGAAGCCTGTCCAAATCTGTTCCCCGACAGGGAGGTCAAGTGCAGCACCATGAGTTTGGGATCAGGACACCCCCAGGAGCCTGGGCCAGCAAGGCGCTCAGAGACAACCCTCCTGAGGCAGGTAAGGACAGAGTCCAGCAGTCGGTCAGGCAGGCAGTGACAGGTGACACAGGCAATACCCCACCAAGAGGCTGGGGCTTCATAAACCGCGGCCGGCATTCCCATCTTTTACTTTGGTAGGTTGATATAAGAACAGTTCTGTTTCAGCCACCTGGGATATTCTATCTAATTTCCAGAGCAGTGGTGGGGCTGGTGAGGCATAAACATTTGAAAGGTAAGAGCGCAAGGGTCAGTTGGGGGGAATGAGCCTTCGGTCCTCCCGGGGAAAGCCAGGCCACTGGGGCGGCCAAACTTTCTGCTCTGCAGGCTTGGAGTGGCAGCCTTTTAATGGTTTTGCTCAAGCCCGGCTCCCGTGCCTGCAGACTCAGCACAGCTGGCCCAGGGGAACAGTCTGAGTTGGGAAAGGAAGGCTGGGCTGCCGAGTCTGTTGTTTGAAATAATAAAAAGCAAAAGTGGCCCATTTATTTATTTTTTCTTGAACAATAGAATTCCCCACCCCCACTCACTCACTAAGCACCACTCCCCTTTCCTTGTAATAATTCTGACTTGCTTTTCCCAGAGGTTATCAGGACCACAGTCACCTTTTGGGCAGAGGCCCAGCCGTGACAAGTTGTGGAGCTGCAGGAGGATTTTGCTGGAAGTTTTGCAAGTGACTGAGGCCAGGGCGTGAGAATAATGGAAATCATACTGTAGCCATAATTACAGAGTTGGTTTCTCTGAGCCCTGTAATAATCTCCTGTGTGTATCAAGGACCTTTCAGAGTTCTTTACGGTATGACAAGAGACTGGAAATGGGGGTAGGTGGGCAGGAGAGAGCTTGGGGGGATGCTAAGAGTAAGGGTGTTTGCTGTGGGTTTCAGGGGTCCAGGAGCTAGACCGAGCTATCCGTGGGCTGCTCTCAAAATTACTTTTTATTTTGCTTGAAAGGCATGAGTCCCAATCATTTGCAACCTTGTCTTTGACGACCGTAATTTCACTCCTTTAGTGCACACGTCACATGAAGCGGGGGGAAAGGAGGTGAGGAAAGTGCCAATTTAGATGTCTTTGATGTTTTCTGATGTGTGTGTGTTGCAGATGGTATTGGCAGCCTCTTCCTGTGGTGAGCTTTAAGGGTATGTGTGTTAAGAAATATGACCTATAAATACTACAGTCATAAGCAGGTGTCTAGGAACTTAGCAATAACCTACAGACTGTTAACATTTCCACTATAGGTAAAAATCATAAGGCAAATGCCATCTTGACTGGCTTTAGGGCCAAGCAAACCTAAATCTTTGGCTTGAGTTGGGACAATCAGCTCAGTGTTGTCTCAGAAGCACGAGATTTCTTTGCTTGAATATTTCTGCTGGAATCTTTTCCCTCTCTTGCTTTCTCTGCCTCTTGCTTTCCTTTCACTAAGCGATCATTTTTATGGCTGCTGTTCAGTGGTGAATTACTGCCTGACATTAGTGGGAGAGACTAATGTTCATTGTGAACCAAAACATCATAAACTTCCACTTGAGGTGTGATTGCTCCTCTCGCTGGTGATTGCGTCTTCCCTGGATGTTTTTGCTAGGTTAAACTGTTCACACCTAAGGGGGTGGAGCGCTGTATGGATGTTGGTTAAGCGGAACTCTGGCTGGCCCTGCTATTAGCCTGTTGCGGGACATGCATCCATGTGTCTGTGCACAGACTAATCCATACCAGCCTCTCTGAATAGGTACTGGGTGCACATTCCCATGAAGAGGCAATAGGAGTATATAGTACAAAAACCATTCTTATTGGGAATTGTCATGTAGATTAATTTAATCTTCCTAATTTTTTTTTCTCAAGCCTGTTTTAAAATTAATTTGCTTTTGTTCCCTAGTCCTTCGGCACAGGTCCACAAGGGGGAATCACCCAGGAGTGGATTGGAGTGGAGGGAGACCCACCTGGGGCGAACATTGCTTCTCAGGAACAGATGCTGTGTGTGTATCTTCAGTGCTCAAGTCACAAAGCAATATCAGATCAGAGAGTCCAGCCTCTGCTTTGTTGCTTCCTAAATGTACCTGGGAATTCTTCCTAAAATTACTCTGGAAATTTGAATCCACTTTAACTAAAAATAAATATTCATAGCACAGAAAGCCCTGCAGATGGATGGAAGTGTCAGGAAATCAAATGGAGATACAATGTTGGAACACCAAATAGACTAGGAACATGTGGTTAGGGCAGAGGGCATATGTATTTGATACAGGGTTCGGTCAGGTAGTTCTGTTGTGCTATATGTTTCTCCAGCCCAAGCTGCCATGGGTTCATGTGTGATTGATCACAAGCACAAAGGGAAAGAAATGCAGAAGCATCAGGGCTGACCGATTTCCATGACAGGAAAAGACCCTCTATTTGCTATATTGTGTCTGCATTTTCCATCCCTGGTTTTGCAAATATTAAACCTGCATAGACCTTACCCTGTGGGTTGTGTGAAGGGGAGGCTGAGGTTGAAGGGCTCCAGGCAGAAGATCCCACAGGTGTGCCAGCGTGCCACCCTCCCTCCTCTGATTTCACGTTCAACCACAGACAGACGGCATTCTGTCGTTAGTCTTTCCAGCCTGGGAATTCTAAGACTGGCCCTTCAGACTGATCTTGCCTCAGACCAATGTATCCACTTCTCATGGGCCTTCCTCCCACCTTGTTTCAATCTCTTCTGCTATGTTTTAAGCTTTCTTCCCAAGTTTTACTCAGTTGACTAAAAGAGCAACTAAGCTGGTTGATATCCTCTTGGACATATTTTATATTCTTGAACACTATTAAGCCCTCACTCAATCACCCTTTTGATGTAAGTGTGGCCACACTGGCCCTCTTTTCTTATCTTTTTCCATTTCTCACTATTCTGCCCTTGGGCCCACCCACCTTCCCTGCACATCCCTGGGGGATCTCAAGTGGTCCCTCCTTGCTGACCTGAATAAACCCGGGGAGGTGTTCTCATCGTGAAATTTCTACTGCAGCCAATAGCTAGGCATTGTTGCATTCTCCTCCTGACTTCCTCCTGAAACACACATTGAAATCCCAGCAAAGAGTTTCTCAGGAACACTTGTCATTCTGTTTTCCAAGTGATCATTGCTAGTGCACATGATTTAAAGAGATAGTCTTAAATGAGCTTTGCCAATTCAAGATTTATTGATACGTGTGCCACTTTTTTGAATCATATGTGTGTATATATACACACATTGGTATAGAAAGATCCTGATCATAAATTAAAATGCAAACACATTAAAATTGAAGAAAGTGCTGCACAAACACCCCAAATCATAGAGCGCATTCAGTCAGCTGATACACAAATGTCAGACGCACTAGAGGAATTTATCCAGTGACACATGCAATTGAAGTAAAATATTGTGCTTTACAAAAACATATCATTAAAATGAAAACTAGCAGCATATTAGGAGTCTGGCCATGTAACCAAGACAACAAAGATGGGAAAGGATGAAAGACATGATGTACAGAGGAAGAGGGAGGAGGCAGAGGCAAGAAGAGGGAATGAGCCCCCAACCATAAGTGGTCCTTTTACTGCTGGGCTCACACCTGCTAGACTCTGGATAGGAGAATAGAATCTTGATGTCAATACCAGTGAAGACTCCTAGCGAGGGTAGAGCCAGGGGAGGTCTTTGTTACCGGCAATTGCTATGATTTCCTCAGCCACTCTGATGGGGAAGGCAGTGGCAGTTGGACCAATTCACAGCCCATGAGTTGATGTTCTGATTTGGGGTCTGCTGAAAGTCCATACTTGTTCTTAGGGAACTTCCTGGGAATGTGTCCACTGGGCTTGCTTATTGATGATGTCATGGTGCTGCTTTTCGCAGCAGTTCTGGCTTCTCATAGAAGCATCCATGGTGACTTTTTAAAAGAGGTCTCTCGGCCGGGCGCGGTGGCTCACCCCTGTAATCCCAGCACTTTGGGAGGCTGAGGCACACAGATCATGAGGTCAGGAGTTCAAGACCAGCATGACCAACGTGGTAAAACCCTGCCTTTACTAAAAATACAAAAATTAGCCGGGCATGATGGTGCACACCTGTAATCCCAGCTACTCAGGACGCTGAGGCAGGAGAATCTCTTGAACCCAGGAGGCGGAGGTTGCAGTGAGCTGAGATCGCACCATTGCACTCCAGCCTGGGCAATAGAGTGAGACTCCATCTCAAAAAAAAAAAAAAAGTTTCTCGAAGCTCCCACACTCACTCCATACCTTCTCTCCTGGCCCAGGAGACACAGGTGTATTAGTTATCGATTGCCGTGAACTACTCCAGAACTTAGAGGCTTTGAACAACACTTATTATCATACATACAGTTTCTGTGGTTCTGGAATCTGGGCATGGCTCAGCTGGGTCCTCCGGCTTAGGGTCATGGTATTGGCTGGGGCTGCAGTCATCCCACTGCTAAAGACCAGAATGGGGAAGAGTCTACCTCCAATGTCACTCCCGGGTTTGTTGGCAAGCCTCAGGTCCTCACTTGAGAGATCCCTACATTGCCATGTGGGCCCCTCCATGAGGCCACGTGCACAACAAGGAGTGCAGCAGCAGGCTTCTCTAGAACGATGTCTGAGAGATGGGGGCGAGAAAGAGGCTGAGCAAGGTGCAAGCCATTGTCTTTTTGAAACCTGGTTTCAGAAGTGACACCCCATCCCCTTTGCTGTATTATGTCTTAGAAGCCAGCTAGTGGGTCCAGCTCACACTCCAGGAAGGGACTCTGTAGGTCATGAATACCCAGAGGTGGGGATCACTGGGGGCTATGTTGGAGGCTGCCTTCTACATGAGGGCTTTGTTTCTCAGCCATTGAGGGGACTTGAACCCATACTTTCAAACTTCAAGTTCATTTTTAGTAGTGTGGAAAAGGACACGGCCTTCCTCAGGAACACCAGTGGCCCAGGCACTGAATCCTGTCTTTTGGCTTGTGGCTTTGATTGTGCAAACACAGTAGAGAATCCAGAGGATAAACAGGAGGCTGTGAAGCAGTCGCCACACCCACAGGACCAGGGGTGAGGAAACTTCCTCAACAAGGAGGCCTGGGGGCTCAGCAGGCAGTCCCAGGTGCTCCGTTCATCTGGAGAGAGGGCAGTGCTCGATGATGGACAAGAGATGCTTAGATTTTGAATCAGTAGCTGCCGAGAACTCTGTGTGGCCATGGAGAATCCATATCTTCTGCCTTTGGCCTCTGTGGGGAGGCACCCAGCATCTTAGGAAGGGGTCGTTTCCTTAGTGTTTGGGGCTGGCAGAAAAGAGGTGGTGCAGAGGGAACTACTGAGCTTTGAACACCGTGTAGGCACCAGGATTGTTCTAGATGTTTTCACATGTTACTTACATTGATTGTCACATGTAATCCTCAATGTTTTTTTTTGGGGGTGGGGTAAATGTTACACCTTCCATTTTACCCAGGAGAAAAGGGGTTGGGTAACTCCCCAGAGGTCACACGGTCTAATCCGAGGTTGTCCTGGGACCCGTATCGAGTAATATCACAGACTCTACCTAAGGCCTGGCTCCTGGGCTGTAGGGTAGGTCACCTCCCTGATGGAGGGAGGAGGTGGTGGCTGGACCTCTGGTACCTACCCTGGAGCCTGTTGCTCAGAACCCTCCTTTCATTCCCTCTGTTCTGTCTCTGCCCTGTCTCAGGCCCTGATGTCCATGCTAGGGCGGTTGAAACTGATTTTCCCCTCTTTAATCCATCTTCCTGGGATGGATTAAAGAGGGGAGCACTTTAGGGACAGGAAAATCAGTTTGGATGGATCCTAGATGGCAGATTCAGCTTCCTAAAGCAGTTCTAATCCTCTCACCCTTGTCACCAAGAAAAACAAAACTGGACTTGTCTCATCCACCCTTCTGCAGCCCCTTGCCTGTAGCTTTGCTTGCATGGAAGTGGACCTGACATGCTGAGGACTCAGGTCCCTGGCTCAGCCATTCAGCCTCAGCTGGCTGCCTCGGCCTTCACATTTCGAGTCCTCAAGGGCCCTGGCTAAATTTAAATACCAAGGAAGAGGCTCCCACCTTAGAAACGACGGGACTCCTGCCTCCATGGCTGCTCTCACATCACCAACCTGCCTCCACGGGCAATTTCCTTCTGAGAGCAATTATGCTGGAGCTTGGATCCCGTGGCCGAGTGGGAGGTGGCCACAGGGAGGGGAGGAGGTTTTCCAGGAGGCAGCCGAGCTGTGCTTTTCCACTTACCCCTGGCCTGCTGCCTGGGACAGACTGGGCCCATCTTTGTCTTGGTTTCTCACCGGAATTGTCCCTCCTAGAGCCTGTGGGACTGTGTGCTGTGGTTCTGGGTGATTTTTCCTGTGACAGACTGGGCCCATCTTTGTCTTGGTTTCTCACCGGAATTGTCCCTCCTAGAGCCTGTGGGACTGTGTGCTGTGGTTCTGGGTGATTTTTCCTGTGACGGGTTATCCACGGTCCCTGTCTTGACCCATTTGGAGGATGACAGCTTCTTCCTAATCACGGGTCATTATTGCTTTGCAAGTGCTCTGGAATGGAGGGCCTAATTAGCCAGTCTCCTTGTGACTCCCAGTCACCTGGAGCACTTGTCACCACCAGCACATCCAACCTTCTTTTTCCTTCTGAGTGTCTATCCCCCAAACCTGAGCTTCTCGGCTCTTCTCACAATCCTTTGCCTACTTTCCTCACTTTCACCCCCTCCATTCTTACCTTTTCCTTCCTGTCGCTCTGTAGTATTGTACTTTTAACTTAGTGAAGGTGTGCTCACAAATGTTATCTTGACCAATTAATTTGCTCAGGATGATGTGGAGTTAGGAAGGCCTGAGGCCGTGTTGGCTTTGCTATTTCTTTATAGATATGGGGACTTGGGGTAATAGTATGATTGAATGGGAGGTTAGGGAGACTACTTCAGAAGTGTACATAGTTCTTTATATAGTCAAACCTCTTTTTAAAAAAATGCAAAGAGGCCAGGCGCAGTGGCTCATGCCTGTAATCTCAGTACTTTGGGAGGCCGAGGAGGGTGGATCACTTGAGGCCAGGGATTTCAGACCAGCCTGGGCAACATGGCAAAACCCTGTCTCTACTAAAATATAAAAATAAACAAAATTAGCTGGGAATGATGGTACATGCCTGTAGTCCCAGCTACTCCAGAGGCTGAGGCAGGAGAATCGCTTGAACCCAGGAGGCAGAGGTTGCAGTGAGCCGAGATCGTGCCATTGCACCCCAGCCTGGGCAACAGAGTGAGACCCTATCCCAAAAAAATGGTTAATAAAAGAATGCAAAGAATCTACAAAGAGCAATCCTCTTCCCCCCAAAACCACTCCTGGACACCCACTGCCGGGCGGCATTCTCTCCCTTGCTCATTGTGGGGTCCCGGGCTCACTAAGGTGCGGGTGGAAGGCCGTATTCCCCTTGCCCTGTGTTATGGCACAGCTGCATGGGGACCCAGCTCTATTTTGTTGGCTTCCTGGGTTTCCCTTTTGAGTCCTTTTAGGAAAGGCTCTCCAAGGGTTGCATCTGTGAGAAATGGGTGTTGGTTTGGGGTTTTACCCCACCTCACAGGCTCTCCCTTCCTTGGGGCTGCCCTCTGACACTCCCAGTGCCTCACCTAGTCCCAGTTTTCCTTTTGGGAATTTTTTTTTTTTTTTCCCAAAGAGATAGGGTCTTGCTCTGTCACCCAGGCCAAAGTGAAGTGGTGCTATCCTAACTCATGACAGCCTCAAACTTCTGGGTTCTAGCGATCCACCTGTCTCAGTCGCCGAAGTACCTGGGACTACAGGTATGTGTCACCATGCTCCACTAATTTTTAACATTTTTTATAGAGATGGGGTCTTGCTACGTTGTCCAGGCTGGTCTTAAACTCCTGACCTCAAGCAATCCTCCCACCTCGGCCTCCCAAAATTCTGAGATTACAGGTATGAGCTACCATGTCTGGCCATGAGACTTTTTTGAGCTGCCTTCCAAAAAGTTTCTCCCCTGCTGGAGAAGGCTTCTGAGGCTTTGGTGGCAAGGAGGTTGGAAGGAAAGAGATGGGTTGTCTTTCTGCTTAACCACTTTTACCTCCCCACCAAGATATGAGTATTCTGGGGCTGGAGGTGGCTAAATCTGAGTGTTCCCAGGTATTGTTGGACCTGAGAGGCCAGAATGATGTTGAAGCCACCTGACGACCTGCCCTCATCATTGCATCCAAAACTTAAACAAAATCCTACTGTGTTCCAGGTATTCCCATGGGAGTCTCAGATACAAATTGCCATTTTGGCCTCTAGGCAGGATTCTACCTAAGATCATATATGGGTGCCTTATATACATCGTGGTTTTTTATAATAATGAAAATGATTAGATATCTTCAGTCTACCTTTAAAAATCTATAAGTCAATACATTCTTTACATTGGTCTTTCTGCAACAGACCAACATTTCCTCCAGTGATAATTCAGCTCTGTCCCTTTTGTTCTTCCTTCCCCCACAGAGCATAAAACTTATCCATGATTTTCTGTCTCAGACAGGATTCCTCTACTACAAGTATCACTTGTGATGAGTAAACATATTTTTTTAAATGTTGCATGTAATTATAACCATATTTTCAATGCATCAGGTTAGCATACCTGGAATATTTTATTTTATTTCATCTTTATGATCAAAGTTGTTCTGGGTCTTTTCCCAGACACACCAGACTTGGGAGAGAAAGATACATCTTAAACCTCACTTAGAGAATGAGTCTTTCTTAGATCCAGGGAGGTTTAGTTAGGCAGTGTTGGCTTATGCCCTAGGTGGGCCTGAACTTGTACAATGTTGACCTTAAGTAGAGCTAGTGTGGCAGCTGGGGACCCTAGAGGCTCTGTGACCTAGGAAGGGCCATGGCTGGAGGGATGCTGATAGTACTGATGGCTTCCCTGCCTCAACCAGGCTGTGGGCTTCTTTATCTCTTTTTGGGTAGGAAATGTGGATTCATTGTAGGAAACTAATGAATCTCTTTCTAAAATGGAGAATTATTTTCTAAAATTAATAGCCTCATAATGTATCCATTTTATAAATTTGGTTTTTATTTAGCCACATTTTGATTACCCCAAAATTATAGGCAATAGAAGCTTTCAACATTGTAGCTGAGATGTTTTTCTGAAAGGAATTTGTTCATTTTCTTCACATAGAAAATACAGTTCATTAATATAGCTGGATCTATTTCCCCAGTGTGTTTATACCTTCTTCCAATTAAACTGAAGGTGCCCCCACAGTACTGCCCGAAGGTAACAAATGCTGAATAAAAAAATGTATTTGAAGATGGACCACTGGGGCTTAGGGTCTTCTAGTGCCTGTGTGCATGTGTGTGTGTATCAGCTAGCTTAGACTACATTATGTTGCAGTAACAAATGACCCCCAAGTTTAGGTGGCTTACAACAACAATAACGAAGGCTATTTTCAACTCACGTTCATGTGCACCCTGGGCTGGCTGCAGCCCTGCTCCATGTTATTTATCTGGGAGACTTGGAAGGGCAGCCCCTGTCTGGGACATGTTGATCTCATGGCCAAAGGAAAAGAGAGATGGCAGAACCGTGCCGTGGTTGTTAAAGCTACTGCTTGGTGGTGGCCCACTCCCATTTTTTTGGCCCAGCCAAAGTGAATGGTGTGGAAAATATAACCCTGCCTGGAGCCTGGGGAGGGGGCTGGTGTGTATGTATGCAGGGAGGTGGGAGAGAAGGGCAATGAATATTTTGTGGATAATTCTGTCCATACAGTTTATCATAAGGTTTATTTTTGTGAACATCAACATTCAGTCAAGAACTATCTTCTTGGTCATCTAAAATGCGCTAGGCACTTCTTGACTTAAAGAGCTTGTGATCTCTTCTTTGCTTAGTATTGGAGAAGATGTGCAAAAAATATAGGATATGGCTGATTTTATATCATCAACCCCAGATATAATGTTGAAGATTTTTAAAAAACTAAATCCTCTCTCAGATGATTTTCCTGTGATTTACTTTTTTCCTCCTAAAACTGAAACTGAAATTATTCCTTTTCTTTCATTAGTCAGGCTCTGAATGTTTGTATCTCCCCAAAATTAGTTTTGTTAAGAGTGAGGGCACTTTTCTACTTAAATACAATGATTAGATTGTGTTCAGCAGATGTCTCTTGGATAATTAAATTACCCAAATTTATGGAAGCATTTCTTTTACCTATAATTAAATAAAGTTTCCAAATTAATTTTCCCTAAGTAATTTAAGCTCCAGAGATTCCCCCACTTCCCCTCTGAACCCCCCTTGCCAACCATGGGTTCCAAAAATTCACTCTGGACACAGGCAGGATATTGCCCATTAAATTCCATTTCTCAGGACAAGGAACCCAAAGCTGTCTACTGACTTAAAACAAGCTCACATGCCTCCGTATCAGGGTTCCCTGCCAACCTGCTCCTCTCTGGAAAAGGCAAGAGACTTGCAGAGTCAGAATCCTGAGTGGAGGAAGCTATCCTGCAGATTGCATTGAAAAACATTGATTTTTATCTCTCAAAGTCATTTTGTAGACTGCCAAGTTTTTGGCCAACATGTCTTAAACTCGCATCATATTGATGATGCCTGGGGAAGCATCAGTCATCCATAACTGGGTACCATAATATGTATTTTCATGGCTGAGCTGGTGACAGCAATTGCAGGGGCCTTAACAATCTCAGAAAGCTCTTAAGGAGTTGCCCGGTGGCTATTATGCTAGGAGGGGCACTTTGATTCTGTCTAAGCTCTTCACCTTCTATTTTCAGGTGGATAAGATATACTCACACATGCCTGATTCTGTATCCCCTCTCCATACACACATCCATAGTCATAAACATGCACAAACACCCAGCTGACACACACACCTGTGTTCACCCACGCACAGGGAGGCACCCACACATGCAAGCATAGGAACCGGCAGAGCCTTCTCTGCACTCAAGCCTGGGGCTGCTCCCGCTGGGCTCTGCCTTGCATCCACCTCCCTCATGTTCTCTCTGGGAGATTAGCGGCACACCACCTAATCAGTTTACCTCTGACTCGCCCACTTTGGCTTCAGGATGATGACAGAGTAGAGCTATTTAGCTGTCAAATGCCCTGACCATTGCCCAGATGGACAGTGCCTCAACCACCAGAGTGGCTTCTTTCTCCTCTGGGTGTGGGGGGAATCAGTCTCCCGGTTGCTTTTTTTTAAGTGCTCCTTGCATCTGCCTTCAATTTGCATGTTAATGTCTCTTGCTTGCTGACCTCGCTTCCCGGCAGCCAGCCTAAGTGTGAGTCCCATAATTAGCTTAGTGATAATTTAATCTCTCTGCCTTGAATCTGATTGTTTCTGAGGGAGTTGGGTCAGGGGAAGGGGGACCTTTATTTCTCCCTTGACCTGTGCTTTTGTCTGGATTCTTGTTCTGTGCGGGGGCAGGGGCAGAAGGAAGCAGTGGGATTGGGGGATGCAGTGACAGAGCGGTTCCTGGCATCAAGGGTAGATACCGGGCAGGAAGCTGAAATGAAGTTCATCTCTATCTCTAACATTTTCTCTCTTAGAGGGGGTTCCGTTTCTTTGTCCTCATTTCCCACTAAAACTGTGAACACATGTGAGTATGGGCACATAAAGAGCTCTAAGATGCTTGGAGCTGGGGGGCAGCTTGAAAATGGGAAATCAATGTGCTTCCTCCGCTGGTCACGGCAACCATTCTGTCAATCCCAAGGAGGGCTGGGAGGGGCAACGGGAGCTACTGTGGGCCACCCTGCTGCCTCCCACTACTGCTCCTAGGACTCCTGCAATCTTCATGCCCAGGTGTCTGCCCTGGTCTGTGTCTGGGGCCAGCCATCCCTCTAAATTGTTAAGAGCCAGGCCTGGGTGTGGCTTAAAATCTTGGAACCGACATCCAGGAAATCTTAACTTTGTTTCTGGCTGCACTTCTGGTTTGGGACAAATTCTTTATCCACACGTATGTCACCTTTGGAGTAATGAGCATATTAATGTATGCACCCTCCCTCCATCTCTCTTATGAATGAGCTGAGGGTAGTGAGACTTCATGTCTGTAGAACATTCTTTAATTCACCCAGGAGGAAAAAATTAAAACAAATTAAGAAGATGGCAAGGATCCATAAGACTTTCTGTGTTTAAAAAACTTCTAAGAAGAGTCTTCAGACTCACAAATGCAAACAGCCATGTGAGCCCAGGCAAGGTAGAAATGCAGAGGAGGGGAAGGTCTCCAGAGGTGGGGCTCTGCAGGGGAAACAGCAGATGCTCCAAATAGATGCACTAACCAGTTCTGATAGGATTTAATTGTGTGTGTGTGCGTGCGCGCGCGTGTGTGTGTGTGTGTACATGTGCTCAATATCTCTTTGGGAGAACTTCGGAGACCCCAGTGAAGAAAGTGAGATGTAATTCATCAGAGCCACCCTTGGCTACTCACTGAGTCCCTGTAACATGTGCGGTGTTGTAATTGGGGTGAATAACCTGGGTGATGGAAAGCAGGATGGGCGGGGCAGGCTCAGCTCTGCAAGGCTTAGGTTCACTCCTACTACCTCCTGCAGGCTGGAAACAGGGGCTTTGATTTATGAGCTCACTTTTAATTAAAAGAACTACAGAAAAAAATCTCACGTTGCCTCTACAGGATAAATGTTTTACAATCTAAACTAATTTTGTGTCTTTCCCAAACGCCCTAGTGCTGCAGCTGGTGTGTGCATGTGTGTGTGTGTGTGTGTGTGTGTGTGTGTGTGTGTGTGTGTGAGACAGAGAGATCTGATCTTGGCTCAGCCCTGTGGGTCTGACCCCGTAAGGATTCTTTGCTTCCACTGCTAATGCTGCCTTTGCATTTGGGCTCTGCTGCACAGCCCTAATGCCGCCTTCTAGGTGTTTATTGCCCTGTTTTTTTTTGTTTTGTTTTGTTTTGTTTTGTTTTTTGTCATTTCTGTTTGCAGCTTTCTCTGAAGTCTTCACTTGAAGAGATGCTGTCAGTTCTGTTCTAAGTTGCTTGTTGAACTTTCTTTCCTTTAACCACAATAATGTTCATGCTGTCTTGGGTGGGAGAGGTTTTATTTTGGTGGCCACCCCAAATTCTCAGTACATTTTAATTTCTTTTTTTTTTTCTTGTTTGAGACGGAGTCTTGCACATTCTAATTTCTCTGATAACCCCTCATTACGTTCCCATGGCACTTCCCAGTATGGAATTTATTAGCTTCCTAGCCCTTGTTCTCAGGGAGCTGATCTTCTCTAATATGACTGAAACTGACACAGGAGTGGCCCTGGTGTGCTTGAATATAAACCTGGCCTTTTTAACGTGACAATATTTATTTGCCATCACTATCCATCCCCATTAGCAGTGTGATACGAACCACTCTTTTTGGAGGGTCTTGCCTTCTGTAAGTACCTATGTTTATTTGACATTTAGAAATGTATTTATTTCTTTGTGAGAGGTGTCAAGTCTGCTTTTCTTAGTTATTTTCATACCTTCCTTCTTCACAAAGGTTCATGGGATGCTGTCCATTAGCTACAGAAGCAGGAGACAGGGGTCCCCATCCCAGCAAAGGACCTGCCGCCACTGCCCTCCTGGGACTGCTTTTGGGAAACACTGGGGGAGCCGCTGAGGCCTCTTTGCTCCAGGAACAGGAGGGAGAATCTGACCACCAGACACACTAAGAAACTGCAGGGAAACTGACCAGCAAAAGTGTCCGGCTAAGGAAGCCAGAAAAACCAACTTCAGAGCCATGCAGAGGTAGCTTGAGCCAGTGGCAAGATTTGGGGTTTGCACCTGGTGACAAGTTCTCATCTTTTTCTGCCACTGACTCACTGCAAGAGACAAGGGATCCTTGCCCCCCTTTGCAGGGATTTGGTCTTATTTTCAGTAAATAAGAGGGAATGTGCCCCCACTCTCTCTACCTTCTGCCTGCTGCTGCATTTGTAAATACTCTGCCACGTAACATCCTGATGTGGGCCTGACAGGAGAAGCTGTAACTCCACAATGATAATGTTTAGTACTGTTTGTCACTCATCTCAAACGAAGTGTGTCCGTATCTGTGGACCTGTCCTGGAACTTCAGCTCACTGTGCTTGGGGTTGTGGGGACTCTGAGGAGAGCAGGCTAGTAATGCCCCAGACCCCCCAGCCTGTTCCCCGCTGGCCACGCCCTCACCATCACCTGTACCTGCTCCTTGTGGTCTTGGTGCTCCCTTTTAGTGAGCTGAGAGAGGGGCCCTGTGCCTTTCACCTACATTATGGGACTAGCAGTGACGTCCACTTCCCAGCTTTTCCAGTGATGTTTCCCTGAGCCCTGGGGCTGTTCTGCAAGATGAGATCATCGGTGCTAAATTTGTCTCTGCTGACAGCCTGGAATTGGGTTCCATAGCCCCAGCAGGCTTGGGAGGCGGTCGGCTGGGGGTGTGTCCCGTGCACTGCCCTGGCTCCTGCCATTGCCCCTGCTGCTGTCTGTTGAGAGAGGCTTCCTTCTTCCTCTGAAATTCTTACCTCTCTCTTTTCAGCTCCCAGTTTCCTTGTTCTAAAGATTTGCATTTGTGCCCAAGGAGGGAATTAAAAATATGATAATCATAAGGGAAGCCATGGTAGATATGAAGAATCCAGCAAAATATAGATAATTGATGCTCTTGTGCAACTGACCAGAGCAAGTTAAGAAACAAGCCAAATCCAATAAGGAAAATATTTCTGAGCGAGAAAAGATCTGGATTTTCTTGCCAAAAGACCTTGCTAGGCCCCAAGAAAAATAAATGAAGATATGGGGAAAAAAGTATCAGGGCAAAATTTTTTTATTTTCATGATCAAAAAGCAAGTATGCAGATTGAATCGGAAAGAAAGGTCAGGGTGGGCTCAGATTCCTCAGACTTCTGAGGCTTGTAGACGATAATGGAGCGTGGTTACAAGCAAACTTTACAGAGTGTTTTCTGCAGAGTACAAGTTCCGAGAAATACTCCATCAGAAAAGTGTTTTGGCTTTTGTTTGTTTGATCAAACAAGTTTATGAGGTGCTGCAGGTGTGTCCCTTTTTGGGCAGTTCAATAAAGCACACTCGATGTATTTTTAAATTCTGAGAAAACAAACAAGCCAGAAAGCATACCTGGTTCCAGTAAGAAAGGCCGTGGCCCTGCTTGTTTGTTCTTGCGTGTACTGTTGTTTGGTATGGAAAGCGAGGTGGCTGGTGTTTTACAAGTCCATATGTGGGGAAGTGGGTGAAGGGGGAACCAGAGTTTGAAAGAGCGCCCCTCCTCCTCCTCCCACTCCAAGGCATCTGTGGTCTATCCTTCTGACAAGTGATGTTTGGAACTCAAACGGTCCCAGGGATTAGAAACAAGATCTAGAAGGCCCTTTAAGGAACCAGGGCCATTTGAAACTGGAGAGAGGAGAGAACAGGCTGCTGCTGCTGTCCTGGCAAGGAGACTGATGAGGAGCAGGGCCAAGGTGATCGCTGGGAGTAACAGGTGAGGTGCCCCCATGGGAGGACTCAGCCAGCAGCACTTTCAGAGAAGTTGGGCCATGAAGGGATGAAGGAAGAGGGGCACCTCACCAGGAACGGGCAGTGTATTCCATTCCTAATGCTGTTGTCACAAATGACCACAAATTTACCAACTTCACACAACACACACAACGGTCTATTTGTATTACACCGTTCTTGCATTGCTATAAAGAAATACCTGAGGCTGGATACTTTATAAAGAAAAGAGGTGTAATTGGCTCATGGTCCTACAGGGTGTATATCTGCTTGGCTCTGGGCACGCCTCAGGAAGCTTACAGTCATGGCAGAAGGCGAATCGAGAGCAGGCACGTCACATAGATAAGGCAGCAGCAAGAGATGGGGGAGGTGCCACACACCTTTAAACAACAAAATCTCGAGAGAACTCTCTCACTATCACAAAAACCGCACCAAGCGGATGGTACTAAACCATTAATGAGAAATCCACCCCATGATTTAATCACACCCCCCAAGGCCCCACCTCCAATACTGAGGATTACAATTCAACTTGAGATTTGGGCGGGGACTCATATCCAAGCTATGTCACAGTTCTATAGGTCAAAAATCTGACATGGGTCTCACTGGGCTAATCCAGGCACTGGCAGGTCTTCATGCCTTTCCAGGAGCTCATCCCTTTTTGGAGGTTCTAGGAGATAATCTATTTCCTGTCTTTTTCAGCTTCTAAAGGCCACCCACATTCCTCAGCTACAGTTCTCTTCCTCCGTCTTCAAAGCCAGCAGTGATACATGTTTTTGGCCTTTCTTTCATAGTCAAGTCTCCCTCCCTCTGACCAAGGCTGGGAAAAGTTCTCTGCTTTTAAGGACTCATGTGATATGAGTGTGCCTACCTGGATAGTCCAGGCTCATCTCTCTTTTTCAAGGTTCTTAACTTCATGATATCTTCCAAGTCCCTTTTGCCATGTTAGGTAACCTATTCGCAAGTTCTGAGGATTAGGATGTGGACATCTTTGGGGAGGGGGCATGATTCTACCTATACAAGTGGAGATTCCTCTAAAACATCTGCAAAACTGATTGGGGATAGGTGTGAAGTTTGGGGGATGGCATTTTGGGACCAGATAGGTCTACTGAGAGGCCCACATCCAAAGAGAAGGTGAGAAAGTTTTTACAAAGACTGACAATCCCACCAAACTTTGCCATCATTCCCAACTAGAGCACTTCAGGTCCTCTGATCCAAGCCAGATGGGGTGAGGACAGGCCCCCCCTTGTTTCTGAGCCCAGTGAACTCTACTGGTCAAGACAACTGTCAGCTCTCCCTCTTGGATATTTATTGAGAGGAGCCCTCTGTAAACTTCTCAGTGTCATTGACTTTATTTGAGGTTTCATTATATACAGAGTTTCTTCCCCTTGGTTTTGGAAGAGCTTTGGGCATAAAAAACTTTTGAGAAGTTCATCTTTGTCTTAACTGGACAAGGCAGAGAGGCTTTTGGTGGCTCTGGCATGTGGAGCAGCTATTAGAACCCAATGAGAAGATCTGCCACTGAACCCGACAGTATACAGGGCCAGTTGTGACAGTGGCAAATGGTGTCCTCTCTCCCAAAGGGGAGTCACCACCGACCTTGGTTGTTTACTGATCAAGGGAAACTGTGACTGACCAGGCTTATGTTGTGTTTTGTTTCTGTTTTCCTCTGATAATTTCCTGGCACTACTGCCATCTTCCGCTTAACAGTTACTGTTGAGCAAGATGTGATTTTAGGCAGTATGTGATGATCAAATAAGGAAAAAGTGGTCTTTCTATTCTTGGAGATTTTAGGTAGACAGAAAAATTAGAATGGACGAATGCATTGAGAAACCACAGAGGTATATTGGAATGAAGACCCATGGGCTACTTTCTCACTGGAAGGACATGTTCTCTGCTTGGCTTTGCAAAGCATCCAAATGGAGCCCTGTTTCAGGAAGGCTAAGAACTCCACAATCAAATTATTGAAAGTCAGTCTTCAATCCCAGGGTTGAGAAACAGAACTCACTTCCAGCAACCAGGTGAATCATCAGCTGAGGCTGGGTCTGCTGAAAAAGCGGAAATGACTTCCAATCAGTCAGGGCTGGGGAGAGGAAGAGAGGGAATGGAAAATGAGAAAACAGTGAGCAACTACTCCATGGTGAACTTTGTGCTATCAATGCTTTACACATGTATGGTCTAAGGCCCTCACAGCAACCCTGCAAGGTGAGGATTTTTGCTCCAATTTACCCTAAAGAAACTTAGGGAGGTAAGGCATTTCTTCATCCACAGACTCCAAAACCCATGCCCTTGTATTACATCGTGACATTGTGCCACTGCTCCCTTTTGGATCTAAAATACTTTTTTCTTTTTTTTTTCTTTCTTTCTTTCTTTTTTTTTTTTTTTTTTTTGGTTGGTGTGCATTTCCGAGCTCAATTTAGTTTCCCTACGAGATACCCAGCTCTGTAGGGGTTAGTCTGAGGGATATGTGGAGACTGAGGCTCTGGAGAGGAAGCCCTTGGTACTAACATCTCAGGTCGCCCTCCAGGCTGGAAGCTTTCGAGCATTCCACAGGCCATGTTCTGTGCTTCAGAGTGGGCATTTTCTCAGTGCCTGTTGAAATTCCTAGACGCTCACCCCAGACTTCTATACTTATAAGATTGAGCTCCATTTCAAGTGGGCCTGTGAAAATGAACAGCTGATGTGTTACATAATTCCTTCTCTCCTCAAATGTGTGTATGTAACAGTCGTGCATAAATATTGTGTGTGTGTATTGTGTGTGTGTGTGTGTGTGTGCGTGTGCATATTGTGTGTGTTGAAGGGAGGGAGGTGTTCCTGGAAAAGTGGAGGAGGACCTGTCTGCCATTTTGGATAACTTATTTCAAAGCATTCTTCTCTCTTTCTCCTCATCTCATTCTACTCCTACATCTGCAGGAAGAGTGAGAGGGCCACAGAGCAGTGTTCTAAAAAGGGACGATAGAAGCATTGCCTGCCCCTTCGACTGCCTGTTCTAGTTTTTCACCATAAGGCTAAGACTTCCCCACCTGACCTCAGCTCTTTGGATTCTTGAGATGAGAATTTTTTCCTTCAGGGTTCACTGGGATTGAGTGTGCAAGGTAATAACATTATTAGGAAAAATTATTGATATAGAATACATACGGCATATGTATAAGCACCAATTTACAAAATAGTAACTGGGGACAATTTCTAAATCATGTCCTGTAAATATGAATTATATTTTAAGTTTTCAACAATACCATCTGTCTGTGTGTGTATGTGTGTTTGTGTGTATGTGTGTGTGTGTCATTTAAAGCCTTGGCAGTTTGAATGTACGATTTGTCTATCTCTGTTGTAATTACTTGAGGCTTATCTTAGGCCCAGTTGATACCAGATTACAGGGTTTTTTTGTAAAACTTTCTCTTATTCCAGAGAGCTAAGGACTGGGGGGTTTATTCCAACTCGGTCACACCAGGATGGATTGAGGAGTGCAGCCAGATGTACCCAAGGAACCACCCAGTGAGCCAGCTGGAGCTGTGTGCATGTGTGTGCAAGTGTGAGAGCCATGTGCAGTTACTGCTGATGGCATTAGAGGGGACAGGTGTTTCATTAAGTTGGAGAGATTTGGAACATGTTGGCATTCCAAAGTGAGCCAGCAAAAGGATCCCACAGCCAAGAAGTGTGTTCCTCGGTAGTGCTGCCATCCAGGGATGGTCTGTTTCACCACTTGGACACCACCATCCTGAATAATGAGGTTATTTGAAGTATTAGAAAGACCGAAACAACTTACTCCCATACCACCTATGGGAATATTCTCTTGGGCCATCATGGGAATAGGCTGGGAGTCTGGGTCCCTAGGTTCAACGTCTTTTAATTTTGTGATCTTTGGCAGTTACTTTGCCCTCTCTCTGTGTGTTAATTTCCCACCTTTGAACTGAAGACCAGAAAATGTGCTTGGCACAGGATGTGCTTAGGACATGCACTGGGACATGATGCCCAGCTGAGAGGTGGGATCTTCAAAGAAGTTTTTGGTGAGTACCATTGGTGAGCAGACCAGTTTTCAGAGCCTAGGATGGGACGATCAAGTTGTATGAAGCAGTATAGTAACAAGGCCAAGGTCTTTCACGGGTCCCCTGCAGGGGGACAGCAAATACCTCTGGCCCACGGTCTCAGGCGGAACCCTGAGCTCTTGCCTAATGGGTCACCTTGGCTGTGAGGGACTGTGACGGACTCAGCTCTGGAAAAATAATGCAAACTCACCCCCCAATATAGGTCAATTACCCTCGCACCTCTTTTGGCCCCAAGACCAGCCACTCTGCAGAGCTGTGGAGATGACCCCAGAGAGGTGGGCTAGGAGCTCCTCATCTTATTTTGTGACTTGATGAATTGGGAGACAGGCAGCCTCAGGGGCTGTGGACTCTCAGTCCCCATCCCACCAGTGACTTCTCAGTCCCTCTGAGGCTTTTCCATGTGTGGAGCAAGTAGTGTGCAGTTTACCTGACCGGGCTGCTTAGGGAGTCGCTAATGATCATGGAGGGCAGCTAAGGCATAGCAGCCATGGGAGCTTCTCTAAGAGGTTAGAAAACATTCTAGTCAGGCAGCTTCCCCCAGCAGGAGTCTCCTCTAATCACCCAGAAAGCCCAAGAGCCTGTGAACAGGCAATTGCAACTATGGTCCTTCATTATTTAAGCTTCTTGATAGATGGCTCTGCAAATCTGCTAAAAGAACACAGGGGGAGAACTTAGAAAGTGATTAAAAAGTTAAAAAAGGAGGAAAATGGAGAGAGAAGAGAAAAAGAAAAGATGGAAGTGGAGAGACTGCCCCCGAGGGAGGGGGTTACACATAAAGAGAATTGCTGTGGGGGTGCTGTTCACATCCCACTGCCACCAGGGGAACTTCATCCACCCACCTCCATCCTTGCATCTTGGGAGGGCTGGACCCAATGGGGCTCAGCGTGAAGGGGGTTTCCCCACAGCAGCTCCAGCCAACACTGACTGCAGGCTTACCAAGTGTGGATGCTGCTCTGCGTGATTTACATCTGCTAACTCTTTCAACCCTCAGAACAGCCCTACAAAGTAGATATGCTTATCGTTGCTAAGGACGCTCAAGGAAACTGAGGTCCGGACAGGATAAAGAGCTAACCCAAGGCCACATGTCTCAGGCTCTGGAGGCAGGATTTGAATGCAGGGCCTGACTCCTGGCTCCAGAGCCCATACGGGTCCTCATCATGCCCTGTTGGGCTCAGGCTGAGCTGAGTGTGGTCAGCCACAACTCCTGCCCGAGACCTACAGCCTCCAAAAAATGTCAGACATTGTCCCTCCTGCATATTTCCCCCTTTCACACTGGCCCTCTCTCTTGGATCCTTCTTGCTCTAAGATCTTTCAGAGCCAAGCAATGATAGATGACCCCTTTCTGCCTAGCTGGCTGATGGCTTCCAGCTTCTTCGTCTCTGAGGGGAGAAGCTGAGCTGAGGGGCTTCAGCTTGCTGGCCTCTTGATGTTTCCCAAGTTGAGACCAGGCCCCTGACCTGCGTGGGTACCTGGCACAGTGGCTTGTGTTGCCCATGTGCTTTTGAATCCCTTCGAAGGGAATGTTCTCTGGCTCTAAGCAGGTGTCTCTGTTTCCCTAGCCTCCTCTTTTTCTAAAAATGCGTTTTGAAAAACACAGATGGGTCTCTGTGGGCTCTTCCAGTCCCTCTCTCCTCCAGCTCTGCAGGAAAAGTGGTCTCCTCTGGGTCTTTCTGCTTTCTTTCCTTCCCACCAAACCTGCTTCCTGTCTCCCCTTCCAAGTTTGTGATAACACATTGCTCACTTGAACTCATCTGGCCCGAACTGACATTCCCAGGCCCCATGATCCTGGGATGACAGCACATGGGAGAGGACGAAGGGCTTTTTCCAAGAAACAGAAAATTCCTTGTACTTAGGTGTGGTAGCCACATGCCCAGAGAGATTTTGGATGGTGTTACTGTTGGACTACATTTTCCCACTAGGAATAAAACATGGTCGTTATTTGGATGGGTCCTTAGGTGACTTCACTCCAATCCAAGGACCAAGGTAAGGTCCCCTTTCCCTGGATTCTTATAAGCCCCAGGAACAAAGATTGTAAAACTTTTTAGAGTTTAGAGACAGAACCTTTTCTTTGTATAAAATCTTATGTGGAAGCCAAACATTAAACTGGTAAAAATCATTTCAGGTTGAGGGTGTATGTTGGTGGGTACGAAGTGGTTTCAGAGCTTCCCTCTCAGTTTTCCCAGTGTTCCCCAAAGACTCCTAGGACACCTCGGGGGAGCTCAGGGGACCCAATGCAGCACAACTAGAGGCCCCAGCCTCCACACTGCCTGGTGGGGGGGTCTAGACTGAATCGTGAAATCACCCTATCTATGGGCTGTGTGTCCAGTTGTTGGGGTGAGGTCTGGGGAGTGGGGGATGCAAGTGGTGGAGGGAATGAAAGGAGGGAGGGAAACTTCCAGTGCCTCATCATTCACCCTCCCCATAGATGGCACCTGGGCTCCCCGGGGCTGGGTCAGGCTCTGAGTGACAGCCATTGAAGAGAAGCCAGCCTCCAGGAAATTTCTCCAGCATGACTGGGCATCCTCTCTCCTAGCCAAATATATCAGAGCTTTGAGGAAAATGGGCTTCTGGCCAGGCCACACTCGTCCTTAGGAAGAGCTGTTTCCATCTGAGGAATCTTTTTGTAGACAGGTGCTGGTCCTTGAAGGGTAGGTCCGCTGAGCTTGCGCCATAGAATGCCTACACCACTGGCATCCTTTAGTCCTGCTGAGGGGAGGGACTAACTCCTGGTAATTTTCGTTTTGTTGATCAATAAAGGTTGTTGTATTGGCAAGTGCCACCTGCATCACTACTACAGATTCTTAGGGACCTACCCTCACATGTGAATCTCGGGTTACATTTTGCAAAGCCCTTTCACATATTTTGCAAAGCATTTTGACACATTTTTCACATATTCCACATATTTTGCAAAGCCCTTTCACTGTATTTCGATGCACACCCACCTGAGATGCAGGTGCTGAGAGTCTTACTTTACAGATAAGGAATCAGGTTAAAGAGGTTCCCTGACTCAGGCAAGGTCACAAAACTGGTTAGTGCCAGAGTGGAGACCCAGCAATCAACTCTTCTCATTCCAAGCCGGACGGCATCTCGCCATGCCACAGGGGCCTTCTGGTGGTATAGCTGGTGACTGAGGACAGAAGAGAAGTAAGACAATGGCAGACTCTTAATTTCTAGCAGGTTCTCTGCAGCTCCCTCCTGAATCTCCCCTAATATTCCCACTTACCTCCTCACCCTTCCCTGGTGAGACAGAGCAGGACTCTTCCAGAGCAGATTTCCATTGTTATTTTTCGCATCTCAGCACCACGTGTATTGCTATTTTTATCCTGTACTAGAAACTATTAAGTGGGGAGAAATGTTAATTGGTATTATTACAGCAAACTGTGTCCTAGTAACATTGCAATTCAGAGGTAAGCTCTCCACTCCCCTCCCCTGCCTTTTAGGCAAACATAGGAATTTTATTCATTTTGCTGACAGCCAGCCCTGGTTTCCTAGGCTGGTGTGGGGAGAAGTACTTGGGACCCTGAGATGTATTGGACAGGCTCCTGGGCCTCTGCTCTGTGGCTAGTTTATGAAGGAAGGAAGTTGGGGTGGGTGGAATAGCGATGAATTTAGTTCTGTTTTATCCACTGATGCTGGACTGGAAGGAATAAGATGTCTGCTCAGGAAGCCCTTGTGAGGGGTGGCTTGCAGCATCTTTGTGAAAGAATCAGGGGCATGTGGATTCATAGTCCAGCTGAAAGTAAGAGACAGTGGCCCTCATGGTGTGTCCCCGTAAGCCAGAGGGAAGAATGAGCAGATTAAAAAATAATAGCAGTGAAGTCCACACAAGTTCTGCCTAACTTCCAGAAGGAAGGGGACACATTATTATTAGGGATTCAACAAACGGGCTGGTTTCTAACCCTGGCAGCTTGCCTTCCCATCTATGTAACCTTAAGCAAGTCTCTTATCCTCTCTGGCATCAATTTCCTCATCTGTCAAATGGGCTAAAAATACTTACATCTCTGGGTTGTTGTGAGAATAAAGTACATTGCACAAAGCACACAGTAAGGGCTCTGGAAATTAAAGCTTAATAGTGATTTTTTTTCCTCATGTGCTCTAAGAATACTGAGGGCTGAGTGTGCACTGGTAGATGGAAAATCCAGTTTCCAACCCAGCAGCATCCACTGACTGATCAAACCTAACCTGTGCTGGATAATACCTTCCAAATCCTCTCTGGCCCTTCCTCCTCCCCTGGGAAGAACAATCAGCTTGGTTTCATGGTACCCTACAATTTTTATTTTTTATAATGTTGATTGTTTTTAAGAATTATTACAGGCTGGGCGCGATGGCTCACGCCTGTAATCCTAGCACTTTGAGAGGCTGAAGGGGGGTGGATCACTTGAGGTCAGAAGTTAGAGACCAACCTGGCCAACATGGTGAAACCCCGTTTCTACTAAAAATATAGAAGTTAGCTGGGCACGGTGTTGTGTGCCTGTAATCTCAGCTACTCGGGAGGCTGAGGCAGGAGAATCACTTGAACCTGACAGGCAGAGGTTGCAGTGAGCCAAGATTGCACCATTGTACTCCAGCCTGGGTGGAAAGAGCAAAACTCGGTCCCCCTCACAAAAAAAAAAAAAAAAAAAAAAAATTATAGAAATGTGTGTTATTTGTGGAAAATATAAAACAAGAATAAACAAGAAAAAAAATAACCTGAAATTCTATCATCTTCAAAAAATTATTAATGCTGGGCGTGGTGGCTCATGCCTGTGAATACCAAAGACTTGGGAGGTTGAGGTGGGAGGATCACCTGAGGCCAGGAATTAGAGGCCAGCCTGGGCAACATAGTGAGACCCTGTCTGTACAAAATAATAATAATTATTTTTTTTTAAATAAAAGAAGATACTTGAGTATATCCCTATGCCTTTTTCTCTATGAACCTTAAATACAGACAAAGTTGAGAGTATATATATGTACATATTATGTTTTCATCTCTACTTTTTATTGTGAACATTCCCCTGTGTGATTAAGTACCCTTCAAACATGGTTTTTAGTGGCAGCCTAATATTTCATAGCACAATCCTTGTTTTTCTGTTTTTTGTCTTTAAGCTTCCTGGTTTTCTTTTTGATGCATTTACTTCCTATTTCCTTTTTATCACTTGTTAATTATGCTATGTGGGTTGGACTTTCTCTGCTTTCCTCCCTTTTGGTGATTTGGAAAGTATTCATCCTATTTTAACCTAATAGTGGTTACCCTTAAGTTTTTGAAAGCACATTTAAACCCACATTCCCTAAAGCATCGAAGTTAAGAATTAAACAGTATGATTTTAGTCCTTCTCCTCCCCCTACTTCCAATTTTTATTAATATGATCTAGGTTTTAAGACCTGTATTATTTTTACATTATGATAATTTCAACATGGATTCATCCCTTTCAAACACTGTTTTTGACGTTTCTACTATGTTATAATTGAAATTATACTAAGTATTTGGACAACTTTAATAGCTTTTCATTGCTCATAGATCTGCAACATTGTAAATTTTCCACCTGTGGTTTCTTAATTTTGATTTGTCCCCTAGTAGATCGGCATTTGCCATTAAGACTTTGTTTTTCCCCCATGAAGGGAATAATATTTAAGCCCTTGGATACCTGAGACTGTTATTATGTCAACCTTAAATGTAAATGGAGACTTGACTGAGTATTTTTCTTTCCCTCAAAGTTGTTGAAATGACTCCGCTGTCTTAGAGCAATGAATACAGGAGGGGAGCCTGAGGCCCGTTGGATTTTGATTCCTTTGTAGGTAATCTCTTCATTTACTTTGTCTGAAGGTTTATAGAATTTTCTCCACACATCAGAAACATTTATTAGGATATGGATGTGTGTTGACTTGATTTCTTTTCCCTTGGATTTAAATATGTTCTTTTAATCTATAGCCTCCAGTTTTCAATGCAGGAAAGGCTTTTATTATCACTATTATTATTATCATTCTCATCAAGATGTCTGCTCTGTGATGTTTTCTCTTTGGAGGGCTCCTTGTATGTACATACTGGGGTGTCTGGTTTTGTGGTCCAGATCTTATTTTGTTTTCCTCACTGTCATCTTATTTCTGAGAAAGCTTTTCAAGTGCGTCTGTCACTTTCTTTTTTGCATTATACTTCCTGCTTCTTATAGTGAGGTTTTAACTTCAGCCATTCATGCAACCTTACCTGAGGGCAGCTCCTTCCCTCTGGATCAGAGGAAGAGGCCAGATTCAGTCCCACTCCCTCATTTACATATTGTTTCTATTTAGGGAAGCCTTGTTGTACAGAGACCATGTGGCCTCAAAGCCAAGCATATTTCTTCCCTAGCCTTTTAATGGAAAAGTTTGCTGACCCCTGCTTTTGAGATGCTGTTTACTTTGATTTTTTTCAGAAAAAAGTCCTCTTGAATCTTACTGAAAAACGACATTTCCCAGACATTTTCTTTCTTTTTTCCTTTTGGTAAATCTATCTCATAGGAAAATATTTCTTGTGATTATCCTCATCTTTTTTATTTTTTACTTTTTGGGGCTGCAATATCTTTCTGCTTGCTTGGTTGCTTGCTTCTGTTTGTTCAGCCTTACAAAGAGAGGCTGTGTGCAGAGGTACCATGAGTCTAAGAGAGAATAGTGTGAACACCATTCTGAAACGTTTAGGATCTGCTCCCATCCCCCCTCTGCTTTTGTTTTACTGAAAAACCAAAATCATCCTTGTGGTGGGTGATGTGTGGGATTAGCAGAGGGTAGGATTCATTCTTAGTAAAGGAAAGACAGGGAGAAACTGAGGCTTAGAGAGGCTGTGACCACATATACTCAATTTTGAATTTAAATATTGCCTGCTAGGTTTGACTTTTCCAGTCCCACACTTCTCAGCTGGTGGCCTGATCTCCAGTTGTCCTGACTTGATTTGGTTTCCAGCTGGCAAAACATCACCCAAGGTTCTTTGCCACCTGAACCTCTGGGAAGCCTATGAAGCTGTCACTTGAGAAGTGGACCCCACAGAGCCACAGGAGAGAAGGGTGGGCACAGAGCTAATTTTTTCCATGCAGCTATTTTTGAAAATATTTAGAGAAATTACAATTTGAGGTTTTTTTTTTTTTCTTTTTTTGAGACAGTGTCTCAGTCTGTCACCCAGGCTGGAGTGCAGTGGCAGTGGCATCATCATGGCTCACTGCAGCCTCGACTTCCCGGGCTCAAGGGATCCTCCCACCTCAGCCTCCCAAAGTAGCTGGGACTCCAGGTGTGTACCACTGTGCCTGCCTAAGTTTTTAAAAAACTTTTGGCAGAGGCAGGGTCTCATTATATTGCCTAGGCTGGTCTCAAACTCCTGGGCTCAAGCGATCCCCTCAACTCGGCCTCCCAAAGTGCTGGGATTACCGGAGTGAGCCACAGTACTCAGCCAAATGGAATTTAAACAGTTGTATCTGAATTGTACACAGCCATAAGTATTCTTGCTATCGGTTGCCATCGTGACTGCATTGGGTACTGGTATTATATGCTGATGTGTAGGTTAATTATAGGAGGGGCATGGGGAAGAGAAGGGGCGGGGTGGGGGCACTCTTGTACACAATGAATTTAAAAAATCAGATATTTTCACAATTTAGTCAACTCCAATTATCTACACTTCTGGAAGGGAGGTGTGATTTAGATCATCGAAACCGGAAGGTAATTTAAACTTTATTTTCACTTTGTTTTGGGATATTGTATATTAGGATCGAGGGAGCCTCCCCACTTCAGATCAGGCTCGCTGCCCCCAGCATCCCCACCACCAACAGATTTCTCTTCTGGTCTGTGCCTGCTTGGGCTGGTGTTGAAACAAGCCCAGATTTGCTAAAATGCTGCCCATGGGCCTGAATATCTAGGGGAGCAGGAATATGAATTGAAAATGCCCGAGGGAAATAAACCACACACAAACCCAAGACCTGGACCCCTTCCGGCATCTCTAACCTCCGCAAGTGCTGGCCCTGGAAGAATCCACAAAATCAAATTGACTGTAGCCTGCTCATTGCTCTTTGGTCTTTCCCTGGGGTTCCTCTCCTACTGCCAATCCACTTGCATCCAGCTCCTCTTGAATGACAGATTATGATCAAGAAGGCTATATTTCAAATAAGAAAAGGGGTGGGAGATCGTTTCCCCGAATGTAAGATCTTGTTGGTGTTAAAATTAGCAGTGATAACTATTACTGTTCCTCCAGTTCTTACTTTCTGCTTCTTCAGGCAATTTTTAAATTAGGGGTTCTGGTTCAGAAAACTGTCTGCTCAGGGGAATTGATCCTCAGAGCTGCCGTCTTAGATCAGACAGCAGCCCAAAGGGTCCAAATGCTCCACGGCTGGGTGGCAGGAGGAAGAGCGCGGGCTCTGGTTCGGTCGTGCTCTGTAAAGGCACACGGTTTACCTAGGTCTACGTAGATGTGTGTATTTATACTTCCTAAGCTGCATATTTCAGGCTGTAATTGCATCCTGTGTCCCCACAATATTATAGACATGAAGGGAAAATGAGGGCTTTGCACATTCCCAGAGATGTAATTATGGTAATAGGCAAACCTCATTTGCAGTGCTTGTCCCGTTAGGCATTTCGCCCAGCTCTCCACTGCACACAGCTTGGGAGTGGATGGGCTTGGCAGAGGGACTGTTTCCAAACTGGGGTTTCTTGGGTAACTTTTTATTGCACTGTCATATTCAGGCAGGAATGTGCGTATGTCCTAAGTGTACATCTTGGTGAGTTTTCACGTGCTAAACTCCTCCATGTTGCCTGTACTGAAACCAATAAATAGAACATTCCCATGCCCCAGAAGTCCCCTTCTGTTCCCTCCCACCAGGGACAGCCACCATCCTGACCTCTCATGGCACAGATGTGCTTTGCCTGCTTTCTGCTTGATGTGCCTGGAATCCTGCAGTCCATACTCTCTTGTGTCTCCTTTCTTTTGCTCTACTTAAGTTTGTGAGAGAGATACCCAGCTCACTCTATGCAGCTGTAGTTTGTTCATTCTTATTGCTGTGTAGCATTCCGTTGTGTGGGTACACCAACATTGACTTTTCCATGTTATTGTTGATGAACATTTGAATAACTTTCAGTTTTTGCCTTCTATGAACAGTGCTGCCCTTGATACTCTCATGCAGGTCTTCTGGTGACCATATATATTCACATTTCTGTTGGAAATATACCTAGGAGTGAAATTGCTAGGTCATGGCATGTGTACCGCTTTGGTAGACCCTGCCAAGCATATACTAGATAATTCTAAAGAACTTTTTGGTTCTAGTAGGCTGGTTAATATCCTCACCAGAAAATAGCAGGAATGGGGTACATTGTCGTTTTCAGACTGCATGGTGTAGTGGGTTCTGGAAGGAGATACACCTGGGTATATTCGCCCAATGAGTATGTCTCGAGTGCCCACTATTCTAAATGACACGATGTGTTGGTTTCCTATGGCTGCTGTAACAAATTACCCCAAATTTGGTGGCTTCAAACGACACAAATGTATTCTCTTACAGCTCTGGGGATCAGAAGTCCAAAATAGGATTCACTGGCCTGAAACCAAGGTGCGCACAAGGCCACATTCCTGCTGGAGCCTCCAGAGGAGAATTCATTGCCTTGCCTTTTCCAGCCTCTGGGGCTGCATTCCTTGGCTCATGGCTCCTTTTGCATCTTCAAAGCCAACGGCATAGCATCTTTAAATCTCTTTCCTCTGTCTTCACACTGCCTCCCTCTCAGTGTAGTAAAGTCTCCCTCTATCCTCTGTAAGTGTCTCTCTTAAAAGAATACTTGCAATTGCATTTAGGACCTACCAGATAATTTAGGGTAATCTCCTCCATCTCAAGGTCCTCAACTCAATCACATATGCAAAGTCTCTTGCTCTAGAAGGTAATGTATAAGGGATTAGGACATGGGTGTCTTTGAGGACTATTATCTGGCCAACCACACAGGGAGGTATTTTCTCTCCACTTTCACCATGTCATCCTCAGAACCTACCTTCATGAAACATCATAAATGGCACCACAAGCTGCCCAGTTGTTTAGCTCCTCTCTGTGATTCTTATTACATTGTGAGGGAAGGTTGATGGATGCAATGGGGGACATGTGCTTAAAGGAGAGATGACTTAAGATGTGTTTCATCAAATTGTTGTTTACTTTCAGCAGTAATGAATAATCTGAAATGGATAGGAAGAAAAATATCAGTGCAGTGTGGGATCTTGGATTGGATCCTGGAACAGCAAAAGGACATTAGTGGAAAAACTGATGAATTCCAAATATAAGGCTACAGTTTGGTTAACAGTACAATGTTAATTTTGTTTCAATAATTGTACCATGGTTACACGTAACATGTTAACACAAGGGGAAGCTGGGTGTGGGATAAACAGGAATCTTTGGGTTAACTTTGCAATTGTGCTATAAATCTAAAATTGTTTTAAAATAGAAAGTTAAAAAGAATACAGGTACTCACTTAGGTACCAGAGAAAAAGCTCCAAATACCTTATGTCTGTGTGACATGGGAGACAGGGTTCAGTGTTGGCAGAATGAGTTTAGATCTGAAAGGTAATGATGAGGTTAAAAAAAATACAGAACCATTAAAGTGTAAATGGAAACTGGGGAATGTGAGACAAATCAGATGGTGTCGGTTATCTCTATGGGGATGTAGGAACCAGTTCCATCCAAGGTCTCCCAGGTGGGCTGGGCTGAGGGTGGTCTTTGGGCATGAATGGAGAGGGAGCCCTGCCCTCAGCCTTTCTGATTGATTCGTCAACTCCTCCCCAGCCCTCCTCCCCTCCCCTCCCCTCCACTGCCCTCTTCTCTTCCTGGCCCATCCTGGGCTCAGTCTGTTAAGGGCTCCCCAGTGGCTGCCGGTTCGCAGCTGAGTCGTTATCTTCTCGTCACACACTTATCTGGGCATGGTTAGAGCTCCATAATAAAATTTGTCACTGACTTTAATCCTATCACTGTCCAGACCCGGTTGATTAGTCCCTCTGGTTGTTTTGGCTTAGTTCTGTACCTCCAGCCTCTTCTAGGAAATTGGTTGAGATGGAAGTTCAGAGCACGCTCTTGGCCTTATAAAAAGAGAACAGAGGCTGGGTGCAGTGGCTCACACCTGTAATCCTAGCACTTTGGGAGGCCGAGGCAGGTGGATTGCCTGAGCTCAGAAGTTCGAGACCAGCCTGGGCAACACAGTGAAACCCCTGTCTCTACTAAAATATAAAAAATTAGCCAGGCATGGTGGTGGGCACCTGTAGTCCCAGCTACTCGGGAGGCTGAGGCAGGAGAATCGCTTGACCTGGGAGATGGAAATTGCAGTGAGCTGAGATTGTGCCACTGCACTCCAACCTGGGTGACAGAGTGAGACTCCATCTCCAAAAAAAAAAAAAAAAAAGAACAGAGGAGATGCGAAGAGGGACCCCCAAACATGTCCACCAGAAATACATATAAATGGTTTTGTCTCCCTCCTGCCCTCCCACCGGCGCCCTGTCAGGCCCATCAGGGCCAGAGACAAGGGAGGGGCACCTTCTCTCGTCCATCCTGTGAGCTGCAGAAGGCTGGCCTCACCTGCATTCTCCTGACAACTTTGCATGCCCCACATCTTCCTCCCAGGCCTCCAGAGGTGGGCAGAGGGGTTGATGGTCAGGTCTGGGCAGGGGAGGAGAGGGACTGAGACTGTAAGTCAGGTCACTGGGAGCCAGGCACCCACACCCTCAGACTGGCTGAGGACCATCTGGGCCCCACTCCCCCACCCCTCCGCTAGGCCACATGGAGCATCCTGGCAGGCTTCTCTGCTTGTATCATTCTTTTCACAGCTGCACGCTTGATGCACAATTTCGAAGCCCAGAAAGAAAGGGTGTGTGTGGAGAATGCAAACGGAGGATTCTCCAAGGAGCATTTTCACTCAGCAAACATACTGCGCGGGCTCCCAACAGACAGGAAGACTGTGCTTGTGTGTGTCACCCAGGGTCTGCATGCAGGCATATGTGTGAGTGAGTGCATTGGGGTTTGGCATGTCTCCAAGTGTCAATTCGAGCGGCCCTCACTCTGCGTGTGTGTGTGTGTGTCATATACTTGGGCACACTTGAATGTGGCCTGGCCCTCTCCTCCTTCTCATGTTCTGCTTTGCTGCACACCTGATACCTTCCTCTCTGTCATTCCCTCTGCACCATCCTGAGAGCCAGGCGCCCCTCCCCACCCCTGAAGTTGAACCTGTTCTCTGCAAATACGTGTTTTGTCTCAGCTCCATGATTTTCCATCCTTGGGCTGTCTGGGCTTCATGCTTTATTTTCAGGCACCTGCCAGGAGGGAGGCAAACAGCGGAACAGCCACCGTGATGACCACAGATACCTGCCAGTGTGTGTGAGTGCAAACAGCGTCCAGGCGAGGCTGCAGGCTGACAGCCGGGGCTGCCTGTTTCCCAGACGTCTCCCAACCTCCTCAGTCAGGGTGGTACTTCTACAGCCTCAGGCTGCCACCCAGTGCAGGGATACACAGAACCTGCTTCTCTTGGCCAGCATTGGCCCCATCGAGGATGCTGAAGGAGCTGTGGGAAGGTGGACAGCCCACCGTAGGACAGGAAGAGATCTGGATGAGTTTGCTAAGGCTGCCATAGCACAGTACCACAGACTGGGTGGCTCCCACATTTATTCCTTCGCTCTCCTGGTGGCTGGATGCCCAAGATCAAGGTATAGGCAGGGCTGGCTTCTCCTCAGGCTTCTCTCTTTGGCTGTCTTCTCCTTGTGTCTTCACATGGCCTTTCCTCTGTACCTACTGGTGTCCAAATTTCCTCTTCTTATAAGGACACCAGTCAGTTTGCATTAAGGTCCACCCTAGTGATCTCATTTTAACTGAATGACCTCTTTAAAGACCCTATCTCCAAATACAGTCACATTCAGAGGTACTGGGGGTTGGGACTTCAACATATGAATTTGTGGAAAGGCAGTGACATGGTTGGGGGGGCGCACTTCAGCTCAGAACAACGTCCTTTCTATGCCCTACTCTACTTGGCCTCCTTTTGTAGGGCCATTTCCCAGGCAGCTTCTTGTTAAAGCCAAGAAATGCCCCTCACAGAACCCAAGCCCCTTTTCTTGCAAGGGTGATAAGTCAGCTTTTGGCTTTGTGGTTTGCAAATTAACTGCAAAGAAAATGGAGAGGCTTCTTGTTGTTGTTCTTAAGAAGGCAATGCAGAAGCAGGAACAAGAACTTTGAGATGAGGCTTAAGAGTCACGTGGCCTTGATGAAATGGCTTCACCCCTCTGAACATGTTTTGTCTATACGATGGGGCTGTTGTGAAGATTGGATGAAAGAAGGCATATCAAATGCTCAGGACAGTGCCCAACATGGGTGCTCAAAGCTTACTTGCTTCCTTTACTTTCATTGACAGCATTGTTGCTGCTGCCATTCCTGCACAGGAAAGTGTGGTGATGACAGACACACTAAACCCAGTGGGCTGCTAGGCTGTTGCCCACACCAGAGAGCAGGGACAAGGGTGTGCTCAGCATGTGGTGCAAACCTCATTCTGCTCTTTCAAAATAGACCACACTCTGATGTCCTTTCTGCTGACGGTGGGTCAAAGACTACATCTCTGGAGAGAAATGATTATTATAGTCACTGAAAGTGATATGAGGTCTTGAAGGGGAATTTGGAGTTTAAAAGCACTCATTGGCTGGGCGCGGTGGCTCACGCCTATAATCCCAGCACTTTGGGAGGCCAAGGTGAGCAGGTCACAAAGTCAGGAGATAGAGACCTTCCTGGCCAACATGGTGAAACCCCATCTCTACTAAAAATACAAAAATTAGCTGGGCATGGTGGCACGTGCCTGTAATCCCAGCTACTCGGGAGGCTGAGGCAGGATAATTGCTTGAACCAGGGAGTTGGAGGTTGCAGTGAGCCGAGATTGCGCCACTGCTCTCCAGCCTGGTGACACTGAGACTGTCTGGAAGAAAAAAAAAAAACCCTCACTGTGGGCAAAGGATGCAATGGGAAACTGGAATTCCTTTTCCTTCTGGGGACTGTTCTCAGACCTGAAGGTTAATCGGGATCACCTGGGGAGCTTGTTAAAACACACCTCTATAGTTTCTGAGTCAATAGAGCTAGGGTGGGATCCAAAAAGGGGTATTTCTCACAAGGGCTGAGTGATGCAGCTGTAGCTAGTCCTAGGGTCATAATTGGAGAACCATGGCCCTGCAGTCTGAGTCCCTGTGTGGGGTCTGTGTCACCTTTCTCTCCAGCCTTGCCCATCTTTGCTGCTCTCCCACCTGCCTGATCTGACTTCTCTCTCTTCTTGGGAGAAGGGCAGGTTTGTTGACCTGCTTCCATCCTCTCCCTAATTGACATAGGATTTGCATTTGTTCATGGGCAACTGTTTTTTTGGCCCTTATCCTTCTCTCCTCCTTTTCCTCCACTTCTCTTGTCATTTTGGGGCCTCTACATAATTCCCCATGACCAAAAACTAGAACGTGGTGCGTGGCTCCCTAACTGTTGCCTGCAGTGACCCCAATTAGGAGGAGGCAGATGCAGAAGGAGCATCTTTGCCACTGCCATCCTCATCTTCTGAACCCCCAGGTTCCCGCCTCTACCCCAACACATATCCATTCCCTGGTTCCAATTCCCTAATCACTTTGCCAGAGTAAATAATTGGTGTGTGGTGACCCAAGGTCATAGCCAATGGAGGGATGTAATTAGGACCTGCATTTCTGACCATCTTGGGAGCTGTCTTGCAGCTGATACATTTCTCTGAGCCCTTGCACTGATGCTCATGTCCAACCCCATCTCTCCCCTTTGAAGATCAGAGAGCTTGGGTTGGAAGAGAGTTGCCCATGAAGAGATGGCCATATTGCCTTTCTTTGCATCTCTCCCCACAGAAGCGAGAGGGTAGAGTATCAGGCCCCCAGGGAGCTGGGAGCTGGACCCTTACACCTTTCAGACCATATCTTGCAGTGTGTGAGGGCTCACTAATGAGCCTTGCAGGGAGAGATGCGAGACTAGAAACACTGTGTGCCATGTTTTTTTGGATTTCCCAAGACGTCATGGCCACCATCGCTTTCCTTGTGTTGGACACATTACTTCTTCTTTTCCTGGCCTTCTGAGCTCTGCTAACATGTACTTGGTAGAGATGGGCATGCCACAGGCTCCCTGGGTCTGAAGTGACTTGGCATGCTTCCTGATGGGTGGGACGCTAATGTGGGAGGCAGAAGCCTGGCCTTTTATTGCTGTCTCTTCCATCTCTCCATGCTGGAACGATTTCTCTTTCTATTAAATGCATGGTGCTGGGATGCCTTGCTGGGGGAGATGATGACAGATAAAGGTTTTTGATTTCCTTTGGAATTATCCTCCTGGCCAAAGCAGGGGAGGAAAACATCTTCTTTCTCTACTCTGACTCCCATGGCTAAGCCAGACTTGAGACAAAAATAAAACCAAAAGAAAAGGGCAAGAAACTCTTGTGTGTCCTTCCAGCATCCCTTTTTGGAATAAGAGAGGACTCTTGGGGAAGGAAGTGGGCAGGGAGTGTGATGTAATATTTTGGTGTCTGATACTTTGAGCCTCCTTTTGGGAAGAGCTTCCAGACAGACTGAAGGGAGCAGAAGTTTTATTGATTGAAGAAAGATGGGAATCGTTGGCTGTCAGGGCCAGGAGGGCCCTGCCTACCAATGAACTTGCCCTTCCCACACAGCCCCATCCCATCCCTGTGCCAATCACTCCTGGGCCACTGGGGTAGCTTAGGAGTGTGAGCTTGGTCTCTTCCAGGGGCCGGCACTGCCTTCTCTTTTTGGAGTCTCATGGGAGTCCGTGGACCAAGCTCTTGCTTCCTTCTAGAAAGACTCTCTACATGCAGGGATATTTCAATGACAGCTCAGCTCACTGCCCTTTACCCACTGGGCCCATCAGGCAGGGCTGACAACAGAGTACAGGAGACCCCACAAAGGAAATAGCCTTTCCTTGCTGGACATCAGTGCAGGCAAGCCCTTACTGAAATTTTGATTTGGGACCAGGCTTCTGTCTAATTGTATTTTCCCAACTTCCCGAGTACCAGGCCCATCTGCCCTTGTGGACATGCTTCCTCAAATACCCTCTAAGCTGCTCAGCACATTGGCTCTTGGTGGTGAAGGGGATACTGATGTGACGTCAGCAGCCGCTGCTGCCTCTAACCCTTTTCCTGTGATAACCTCAAGAAGCCTCAGGGCAAGGATGCAGCAAAGAGGAGGCCCAGGGTGCAGACATCAGCCAGAAGGACTGGAATATAACCCAGCCGCTCCTTAAGATGAGATGCTTATGATGGGAAGACTTCTGGACCAGCGTGGATGAGGCCTCAGCTGTGAAGGGTGGGCCCTGAGTCCCTCGTGGTCTAGACTTACCACACCTGGCCTCACGCTCCTTCCTTAGACACGGTCTTCCATAAGGCATAGCAGTCAAGTGCCATTTTCACAAAAGTGGCTGGGGGTTAGTGAGTAACTAGGACTTCTGGGTTTGTATAATCTACACCTTGAAGGTGTGGCTACAGAAGAGAGGGTGACCTGGAATTATTCTCTGACTTGAATCATCTTTCTGGGCTCCTTAGCCTTGGGTCAAAGATTCCACCCCTGCAGAGGACCTTGAGCCATAAAACAAGAGGACTAGGGACTGACTCATCCATGTGGGCCTCCTGGGCCTCCGACTTGCTCAGGGAGCTCCAGGCCATAGTGGGACAGAGTGCTCCCTCATGGACATACAGAAATACTCCAGAATCTCAGAGAGAAAGAGGGCTGAAGAGGCCCACTAAGGGGGCTAGGAGTCCTGGGGACACAGCTGCCTCCTTGGCCATTGTTCCTATAGCAGGCTGAGCAGGTTCCTCTGCTCCAAGAATTCTGGAGTGATGCCACCGTTGACTTCAGTTGAGGGCAGGGTCCTGGCCTTTCCAGCCTTCCCAGTCCACCCTTCTCAGTAGCTGAGTGACCAAGGAGTTGGAGAGGAGGAGTGAAATGAACATGATCACTGGCTGCTGATAGAACAGTAATGAGATTAATGGCTCTTAGAGCTTTCTCATTAACAGTGGAAACGGTGTGTCAGAGGCATTTACGGTATTGGTTCTGAAGACATCACCCCAGTACACACAGAGCTAATCACGTGTCCCGCCTACCTCTGAGCAAAGACCTACCTGCTTCCTTGGAGGAGCACTCCCTCCCATTTTGAAACTTCATGTATGAGGTTTCATACCTCCTTCATAGCTGAGGAAGAGTAGAGGCCAGGGTTTTGATGTGGTTGCTTCTGAGATCCACAAACACAGCACTGTGTGGCTGCATTAAATTCTAGAAAGAGCCACAGCCTCCTGGACCTACATCCCGATCCCATCTCTCCTAGTAACTTCTGTGCGAGCCTGAGCAAGTTGCATGGCCTCTGTGGATATCAGTGTGCTCACCTGTATGTGGAGGTGTACCATAGAGCAGTCATCTTCCTTCCTGGAGGACAGAGGGGACTCGAGAAATGAAAAACAGGAGCTGGTGTCCAGGAAGGAAATGGACAGTGTGACTGGGAGAGGCATTTCATCAGAGGCCATTAGCCCAGGGCCCCCAGGGGGACTGTCACAGCCGCTGAGCTCTGTAAGTTTGTCTGTAAAACAATGGATGCATGAGCATTTTCCAAAATATTTGAGAAGATTCTCAGAGAGGTCTTGGTTCCCCCAAGGCGAACACCCATTGCCAGATTAGGGTGGAAGTAGTCTGGACTTCTGCCACTAGGTTGGGGAGGATGGGCCTCTCTGTTGAGGCAGTGCCCCAGCCCAGCAAACCTGGGCTTTTGTACAGGGCACTGAAGGTGCTTTGCCTCTGGTTCTGGAGGAAGCTGTCAGGAAAGAGAGAAGCATGACCAATGGTGGCAGTCATGTGTGACAGTGGCAGTCATGTGTGACAGAGGATCCAGAAAAGGACAGGTTTCTAAATAAGGTACCTCTGCCTCCTCACCCCTTTATGGGAGTAGAGCTGGTGCCATGTGACCAGGATCTGTCCGTTCATCTCTTTGGGCATGGTTTCCCTGAAATGGATCATCTGCAGTGGGAAACACTGATTGAGTTGGGGGTTTGGAGAACATGGTTCCTCCTGCCTTCTGAGTCCACTTCTGAATGTGGACATGGTGGCACCAGCTTCATTGTCTTGACCTGACTAGGCTTTGGATTGTTTTAATTTGGGTTGTTCAAGGTGCACAGTTGAATGTAGTCAGGGGCCAAGTTACCAGCTTACTAAGAACCAAAAGCCCAAAGCACATGGATCTGAGTAAGAGGCCAGGAGAACTGTGGAGAAAGAAGCAAAGCCATCCAACTGGACAATACAGGAATGAGTAGAGCCAGGGGTGTGAGCTCAAGATAACTTATAAGGTCATGTGTATGCCTAATCAGTGTCTATTGGTCTAGCCAGCCAGCCAACCAGCTAATTTTTACCTCTTAGAAAAGGGATTTGAAAAGTCTTGACATCTGATCATAAACCAGTGGTTTGCCACCAATCCAATTCAATTCAAAGTGATTCAATTAATAAACCAAAATTTTATTCATTACCTGTTGTAACATTAATATCTTACCAGGTACAACCATGGTTATATAAGAAATGAAAGGTACAATCCCTGATTTTGATGAGCTCTACAGTTAGCTGTTGTCTTGTATAGATATTTCTACATAAGAAATCTCTAGAGACAACTAGAACTGGGCTATGTATAAATGTGCATATAGAATTCAGTCTATAGTTCAGAGCCCTTTGTTGGTTCTTCCTTCTCTGACTCATGGCTTCTGAGAAATGATAGGATCCAAAGTTCTGTCTCTAGTTTTCTCCACTTTAGGTCTGAGAACAAGAAACAATAACTGCTTTCCTTAGAGAAGAAATAACATATAGCTGCAGAGGGAATAAGATGTTTCCTAGTTAGGAAGGAAGGAAAGGTGATTGTTTAGAGTTTGCTTTTCCGAGGATACTAAAGAATGTGGTTTCCCTGACTTGCCTCCACCTCGTCCTCCTCACCCCACCCTTTCTATGCCTCTCCCTCTTTCTATGTTGACCACATGACTGGGCACCCTCTTCATGAAACTCTTGGCTCTGCAGAAAAAAGAAGCCCTAATTTATAGCAGATGCCAATTTCTATGGTGTAAATACTTCTACCCTGGTGTTCGCAAACTACCAATAGTTTAACAACTGGATCACAAACTTCCTAAAAATGTAACAACCAGCTATTGTGAGCTGGCAATGGCCACTCTAGTGTACCTCTGTGAGTTGTCTTCTCCTTGTGGAGCTGGTCACCACTGACCACTTCACAGGACACTGGGCCTATTCCTTATTGACAAAATGGAAGCTTCCATAAAAAACCAACTTGGATACCCACTGGTCAGTACCCACTGGGAATGGGAAGTCCTGGGAGGAAAACGTAGCTCTGTTTGGAACCTAGTAGTCCAATGTACTTATCAGAGACAGAAGCTAGAAGGTGTGAGAGATGCTATACGTTTTTTTTGTTTGAGGTGTTTTCTGTTGTTGTTGTTTTTTAAGACAAGATCTCCATCTGTTGTCCAGGCTGGAGTGCAGCGCCATCATCTTGGCTCACTGCAACCTCTGTCTCCTGGGTTTAAGCAATCCTCCTACCTCAGCCTCCTAAGTAGCTGGGACCAGAGGCACACACCACCACACCTGGCTAATTTTTTTAAAAAGTGTTTTAATCTTTTTTTTTTTTTAAGTACAGGTGGGCTTCACCATGTTGTCCAGGCTGGTCTTAAACTTCTGTACTCAAGTGATCTGCCCAACTCGGCCTCCCAAAGTGTTGGCATTACAAGCATGAGCCACTGCACCCAGCTTGAGTTCTTAAACTTAGGAGAGATGCTCACCTTCCTAAGATGTGCTGTGTGGTGTGGACAGAAGACTGACTTAGATGACCTCTGGGGATTATTAAGTCCCATTTTAGATAAGTGATCATTCTATGAGTCTTCTGATGGATTAAGATATGAGAGATCCTCTGTTTGTAACATGGTATCCCAGTCCCCTTCCCACCTCTATCTCTCAGTCCATTTGGTCTTCCTCATAATCCCCTTTCTCCTCCACAAGAGGTCCAATTACCCCAGCTATGGCTGAAAACATCAGTACTTAGGAGATCAAAATTCACCTGGTCCCACCTCCCAGGACATTTTCCACAGTTTTCCCCTCCTTCCCTTCCCATTGAGAATCTTGAAGGACTGAGGTATGCATATCCATCAATCGGTTAATGGGGACAGAGTCTAGAGGGCACTGAGTTCTGACACAGTGAGAGCACTGAGAGCAGGAAGTAGGGGATGAGGTCCAATTCTGCTTATCCAGGTGATGCGCTATTCCATTCTGGGCTCTAGTGGGAGCCTGGTGAGCCAACTGCAAGCCTCTAAGGTGAAATCAACCGGAAATGTCAGTTAGGCAGTGGAGCGGGGCCAGAAAAATCAATGCTGAATTTCAGATGTCAGGAGGGCAAGAGAGGGGATAGGAGGATGAAATGAGAGCATTTGTTTGCAATTCTAATATAACAAATCAGCAGATCACTGGGCAAAGATGCCTAATGAAAATGCGCATTATGGATGTGGGCGGGTGGGGAGAGGAAGGGAGGATGGAAGGTCCAGGCACAGGCCTGTCGAGGAATTCAAAGGTGTGTGTGTCTGCTGCAGGCCTGCTGCAAAGGGGAATGGTGCCAAAGACCAGCTAGCTCTAGGCTGGAATCCCAGATCTACCGCTTACTAGTTATATGGCCTCAGACTCATTACCTTAGCTTGTTGACTCTCTATTTCCTCCTCTGTAAAATGGAACCCTTGGGAATTCGGATAGGGTGGGGTTTTTGTGAGGATACAATGAGGTAACATAGTTACCTGGATAGTTGATGCTTGATATAGGGGAAGAGCTACTCTATGTTCTTGTTTAAAAGATGCATCTTAGTGTCTGGTTTATAAAGTTAAGTTTCACTTCTCTTCGAGGAGGCAGTTCAAAGGCTAAGAGAGATAGAGTCAGAGTTCAGATTTCATGCATTGTCTGGGCAGCTGGGCCATTTGAAAACCTTTACCAGGTTTCTTCTCTGGGCTCCTCCAGTGGAATCCATGAGTTCCACCCTTTTCAAATTCCCCTTTCAATTCCTCTTTTAGCAGTGAGACTTGGGGCAGATAGTTAATGGCACACGGGCTGGACTTCCTCTTGCATAATGGGATGGTGACAGTGCCTGTGCCTAGTTTGTTGGGCTGTGAGGTGACAAAAAGAAGTATAATGGGGTATTTGTTGTTGTTCGTATGTTGTTATTAATATTACCTAACCTTTACTAGTGGGGATGAAGTGCAGCCTCTGGTCTAAGCACGCTACATGCAATTTCTTGTTTAACCATCAACAACGGTAAAGGGTTTGCACTGTTATCCACGTGTAGCTCAGGGAGGTTGGGGGTCAGTCTACCTCTTGTGCTCAAGACCACACCTGGCTGTCTTAGTCTTGCCCCGCCTTGGGCCTTCCCTTCCTCCATCGGGGCTCCTGGGCTTGTGTTAACTTGGAGCAGAGCTGACCTAAGCCTACCAGGGAGACATCAGCTCAACTTTCAGGGCACAGCAAACAACCTCCTTCATCAAGGTCTCGGGAGTTTTTGCTCTTTAACTTTGACCTTCATTTTCCCACCTTATCACGTGAGCCTGAGAGGCTGTGTGAGGAGCTGGAATCCCTGAGGGGGGACACAGTGAGGGCTGAGCAGAGCCCCCAGAGAGAAGAGCTTCCTGGCACCCTTCGGTCCCATCCCACCCTGCCTTCCATCCACAGGGTGGGGTCAGTGGCATTTCTAGGACTGCTTTTTTGTATTTCTCACTTTTATTTTTCTGTACAGGGAAGTGAGGTGTTTCAACTGGTCTGGTTGTGGAATGAAGCCAGATCATATATTTGCTTTCAAAGAATTTTGGCGTGAAAAATGCCATTATCTATCTAGAAGTGAATGTCAAAGCTACATAGCTGTGACCATGATTTGCTCAGATGCAATAAATTCTGGTTCACACTATGGAGACAAGTCTCTTATCTACTGTACCCCATGGCAGTAGGCAACTAGATGTGTTGTGTGAGATGCTTTCAGGGGGAAGACCCACAGGGGCACTGATGATGGTCAGATGAGTGGATGCCAAGGCAGGGGCGCTCACTCGGCTGTGGCAAGGAGAGGGCTTTGAAGACCCCAGAGACAAAAATCAAGATGGTGTGGGGTGTGAGTTGCCCCAGACAAGTCTCTTTGCATCTGCTCGAGAAATCACATAGAAGGAGGAGCAGGTGGCAGATTGGGAATATTAACCTACACATGGAAGGGTGGATGTGGTTGGCTAAGCCAGGAAGTTCATGAGAACAAATTTTTTTTTTTTTTTTTTTTTTTTTTTTCCTGAGATGGAGTCTTGCTCTGTCACCCAGGCTGGAGTGCAGTGGTGCAATCTCGGCTCACTGCAAGCTCCGCCTCCTGGGTTCACACCATTCTCCTGCCTCAGCCTCCCGAGTAGCTGGGACTACAGGGTGCCTGCCACTGTGCCCGGCTAATTTTTTTGTATTTTTTAAGTAGAGACAGGGTTTCACCATGGTCTGGATCTCCTGACCTCATGATCCGCCCGCCTCGGCCTCCCAAAGTGTTGGGATTACAGGAGTGAGCCACCGCGCCCAGCCGAGAACCAATCTTAAGGGTTTTAACACACCTGACAGTGCTGGTTTTCAGTTTCTCCTGCACGTCCAGAAGAATGATTTTGCATGCATGGTCTACTGACGGTGACCAGCAGACCACTCAGGTGTGGGGAAAGTGGAGAGGGTGCATGGTTGCACACCCACAGGTTGGCACAGCTTCACACAAACCCCACACACCCTCCCACACCAACACACACACCTTAACACAGATGTGCACCAGGCTGCCTGGGGTTACTGGAACTTAGGTCCCTTTACATGTTCATTAGATGACACCTGCCATTCAAGATACTCAAAGGACAGAACTGGGTCCTCTTTGTCAATAAAGTAGTTACATTCAGCCAGGCACAGTGACTCACATCTGTAATCCCAGCACTTTGGGAGGTCAAGAGTTCGAGATCAGCCTGGCCATTGTGGTGAAACCCCATCTCTACTAAGAGTAAAAAAATTAGCTGGGCATGGTGGCACATGCCTGTCATCCCAGCTACTCGGGAGGCTGAGGGAGGAGAATCGCTTGAACCCAGGAGGAGGTGGTTGCAGTGAGCCAAGAGGGCGCCATTGCGCTCCAGCCTGGGAGACAAGAGAGAGACTTCTTCTCAAAAAAAGAAAGAGAAGAGTTACTTTCTGACAACAACACCTGAGCCAAAGGGCATCATTAAAATGATGAGAAGGTGAGTATCTGGTTTAATTTCCAAATTTGAAGGACAGGAGTAAGTGTGGACTAGAGTTTCAAGACAAAGGACTTTCAGATTCTAGAAAAGGGTATTAATCAAGGCTGAAATTCAGCAAGACAATGTTCTTAAGTTGGTCTGCAGGTTTTCAATCAGGCTTAGTTTCTAAGCCAGGCATTTGCAGAGAAAGAACAAAGGCAGGGGGATCCCACCCAGTTCACTGAGGTGGATGTGGCTTTGTTGGACAGTGTTTTAGCACTGAATGGCAGCAGGGGAGCCAAAGGAATCCATGGCCCTCCTCTGCTCACTGATGGGATTGGTCTATTATTATGTTGCTTGGAATGGAAGCACACATTTTTTGAAAAGAAGTTATGCCAGAAATGTTTTGAGTGAAGTACCAATTTAGAAAATGAAGGGGAACCCTGGAGATGCCACATGTTGGTCTTTGGAAATTTTCTCTGCTGAATCCTTCAATAGCAATATTTTCACTTATGTGTAATAAAGAAAGGATGCAGACGTGAGGTTAATGAAGAGGGAAGTGTCTAAAGGAAGACCAAGTCCAGGGCAATCCAGGGGAACATGGTCACGACCACGCGCAGTGTCGGCTCATCGTCTTTATTTGTATTGACTGAGCACGTGCCAGGAAATGGACAACAGGCCCGGTGGCAGCTGGAATTGACTCTAGAAACATCTGGGAGGAGAGGGCAGAGAGATCACAGTCATGAAACCATCAGTTTCTCGTTTGCACTGAGGAAAGAAAAACTGTACAGAGTATCGGCAGACTTGAGTTCTAGAAAGCAAATTGCCTAGTTGATTTAAACTTCAGGCAGTGCGACTGCTCTCTCTGAAGGCTTGGGATTTTGGAACCAGATGGAGAACAGCCCAGAAGCCGGGAAAGTTCCCCCACAGAGGACGGGGTGCAACAAGGATGGTACTGCTGATTGGATTTGCCTTGGCTGTAGGAACATGGCCACAAAAAGGAAGGAAAACCTCCAAACATCAGCAAAGGAACATCCCTCAGTTGGGCAAAGCTTCTTGTTCCCCAAGAGAATCTGAGGGAGCTAGGCCCCTGAAGACACAGGAGTGGGAAAAGCATGGAGAGGTCTGACTATCTGCATGGCTGTACCATGATCTCAGGCTTCGGTTGGTTGGTCTCCTTCGTGATAAAACCAGCAGGAGGGGTGTTCAGATGGAAGCTGGTGCAGCACGGGCTGGGTAAGCAGAGCCGACTCTATTTGTCAGCAACCAATAGGACCCTACTGGTGCCATCCCATCAAACGCCAGCCAGCCTTGGGCACTGTGTCCCGGGGTTTGACCTCTCAGGCCGTGCCAGCCCCAAAAACTGATCCCTTTAAGTCTGCTAGATCAGGGCAAGGTAAATCGCAGAGACAGAAAAATCAGGGGCCAGAAGGTATTGCTGATGCGGGCAGCTTGGTTACTTGCTTAATGCCTGACACTGTGAGGTCAGGTTGGCCTGGGACTGTTTTTTGTCTTGGTCAGTTTTCCACATCTCGTGCTTAGCCCAGGGCCTGGGCACAGAGCACACTTAAGTGGGGAAGTTTGCGGAGGGGGACTTCTCTGAGTGATAACATTTGGGAGGACAAAGGTCAGCAAAAGAAAAAAGAAAAAGAACAGAAAGAACCCCATGGAGAAGCAGCAGATTGGAATCTAGAAAGAACACGTAGGTGGTGGGGAAAGTTGCCCGTTCGAGAAAAGTAAGAATCTTGAGGCATTCCCAAGAAAAAAGGGAGTGGAAAGGACATCTGTTAAAACTTCTGAAAGTGGGATGGGGGTTGGGAGTTGCCTCATTTCCATCTTTACAGGCTTCTCTTTCTTGTTTCAGTGCTTGCTGGCATCAAGCAGTAACTTCATACGCAACTTATATGCAACCCACAGGCTTATCCCAGCTTTTGGCATCAGGGACCTCTGTGGCCCTGACACAAGAATCCAGGCTAGTGACACTTAGCATGTTCCCTTAATCTCCCACTCTTTGTCCCTGACTGACAACTCATTCTCTGCTCTTTCAGATCTGGATCTGTCTTCTCTTTTTGTCTCTGGAGTGCCTGGGTGTCCCTGAAGGCCACGTGAGATCATTAAGGGCTTGGGGCTCCTCCCAGATAGGGTGAGCACGTGGTTCTCCAGCCTCAGAAGATCTGTGCCCTTGTCTTGCCCCTGACTCTGATCAACTGGTGATTTGAGGTCAGGAGTGTCACTCTTGCATGTGATTTTGACCGAGCATTGGTGGCATGCCACTTCACAAAGCAGTTGGCACTCCTTACCCTGAAGGACTTCTCCAAAGTGAAGCCCCAACAGACCTCTGGCCTCATTAAGCTGAGTCTACCTTTGGGATCATCCTTCTCTGATATTCAGTCTTTGCTGGCCTTGGGCAAATCACTGTTTGTGAGACCTTCATTTCCCTGACTGGCAGCCAAGGAATAGGATTATTATTTGACTGAATAGGTTTTTAAAATGTGTAATGTAAAATAGGTAATGATTTTTAAAAATATAAATATAATGTGAAATGTAAAAAGGCATGAAATAGACTCCGAATGCAGGGTTTAAAAAAGAATTCCATTCATTACTACCTAAAAACACTGAGCTTAGTGCAATGAGCCCATGGAAATGCTAAGTCCTATAGCCTTGGGATCTGTGGGCAATGTCCTGTGCTTCGGAGCGCAACGTGCTCCTAGCTAGGGAACATCAGTGGGGGTTAAGAGAATTTTGTTGTTATTCTCAATTCAATGCAGTGAGCATTTATGGAGGATATATTGTACTCCAGGCACTGTGCTGGACACTGCCACCCAGAAAGAACTCACGATGATCTGAGGAGCTATCAGCCTCCCCTTACTGGTCAATCTTCCAAAATACTAAAAAGGGAAGCATCTTGTCCAAGATCTTATGACAAGTTCGTTGACAAAGGCGAGTTTAAAAATCACCTACCCATCGAATTTACCTTTTGTTGCAATGCAGATCTGATGCAGTCACATGGGGTGGGAGCTAGCAGGCAGAGACTAAGAGTTAGGAGACTTCAGTTCTAGTTCTATTTCTGATGGGAGCTCACCATGCAAAGTTGTGATTTACCATTGGGAGGGACCCAGGGTCTACTGTTCCTATATTATATTTGAGGAAGCTGAGTCTTCAATATCCTAAGCCTTGGTTTTTTCATATGTAAAATGGAAATAATAATACTTACTTTGCATGGATTTTAGCAAATAAAATGTGAAAATAACTATCATATTATTTTGGAAAAATAAGTGCATAGCGGCCTTGACTTTGCTTCTAGAAGCGGATGTTGTCCTGTTCACCAACCTTTTTTGCTCTTCATCCCCTTCTCTACCAGGTGCCCAAGTGAAACCTTATAGATCCCAGCAGGTTTTCTGCCAAGAGAGTCAGATGCAATTTTTAAAAACATTTTACTTGTGGGCAAAAATCCCATAACAGCAGCTAGGCCTTGACCCCTTCTGGTTGACTCTTTTCACAAATAAGTGTTTGATAATCACCTTTCGTGGTAAAATATTTGATTTATTTTATGTCAGTTCTTTGGAGGGCCCTTAAAAAAAACTGCAAAAGCATTCACTAGCAGCTTTAGGGAAGGGGAGGAAAGAACAGGAAGAATTATGAACACACACCCTTAGAATCGTTATCATATTAAACCTGTGTTCCTTGAGAGTACGGATTTTCTGATATAGTTGGATCTCTTGCCTCTGGACAATGAAATTGCTATCCTCTGCCACAGAATAAATTACCTGTCAGGCTCTTTAAAGCAGTTTCAGGATGGTTAGTTTGAAGACAGCAGCCCACGCTGGAGAAGGCAGACGGGGCTGGGTGTGGGGAGAGTATACTTTCAAAAGTTGCTGGTTGCGTGTCGTAGTGTTATTTGCTGTGTCATGTTGATGGGGTGTGATTTGACAGCTGCATGTGAGAGGCAGCAACCTCAAAGAATTGAGAAGCACCTTCCAGGTGTTTGTCTGTGCAACATATGTCTGTGCAAGGCAGGGGGAGGGTAAACCAAGGCTCCCTTTTTCAACACAGAGATCCTGGCATTCTCCTGCAGGTTGAAGCTCAAAATTTGTTTTTGTTGCCTCACTTGTGGGGAAATCGGAGAATGTAATTGACCCTATTATGAAGATAAATTTGTGTTTTATGGCAGCATGGCACAAGCCCACACAGATCACACACACACACATACACACACACACACACTCACACATGCACATGCACACATGTGTGCACATGTGAAATAAGGTTTTCCAATAGCCAGAAGCATTTATCCTAATTCCATAAAGCTTTACAAAGTGCCACACTGCTCATTCACCACTGGGAATTTTTGAGGTCAGGAACCAGGTGCTTCTCTCTCTAGTAGTGCCCTACTCAGCAGGGCCTAGAGGACCATGGGTGCAGAGGAAACTGTCCTAGGGCCTTTAGGGAAAGGGAAAAGAGAGTAGAAATAATTAGGACCGCAAACTTTGGTTGGTCACCTGTTGTGCGAACCTCTGAGTTCAGGTCTTGCTCCTTGAGTTCAGGTCTTGCCCCCTAAACAAGTGGTTTGCAAATGTTTTGGTTCCAAAAGCTATTTGAGCAGCAGAAAATGCCCCTCCTTCTCCCACAAAGATCCCCAGCAAAATGTGTCACCCAAGGTGACTGGGAAGGGTAGCTATGCATGGATATACACATTGTATGTGTATGTGTGTATGCGTATGTATATATATGCATATGTGTGTATATGCATGCACATGTATGTATGGATATATTGTGTATTTGTATATCCATGTGTACCTGTGTGTATACATGTATGTACAATGTGAATCACCAAGTAAATTGCTTGTTCATGTATTCTAAAGTGTAGCTGGCCACACATTCTGAGAGACCAGTTTGCAGATAGCCTGGAGAATTTTCAGAGACCCCCAGGGATGGCTTCATTGGCCGGGGCGGGACTCTATGGTTGCAGAGCCCAAGCAAGGTGGGTTTGTTGCACCTGTGGGCCACGTGTCTGAAGCTCCGGCACCTGCCAGCTGCACTGCAAGTGTCAGGGCAGCTGGATCTGCCTGAGATTATTTTCTGCTTCTCAATTCCCTCCAGGCCTGAGGAAAAAAAAGAGAACTGCAGTTTGTGAATGATACCAGGGCTGCTGAATGAACCAGGGACTGTTGACGTTCTTGCCAATTGTAAAGCACGTTATACACGGTAATAATTGCAGGTTAATACTTGCTGCCTGTGATGGAGTTTAAAAGGGACGTGACAGTTCATCTCAATGTGGGTTGAAGAATTAATACATCCATATGTTTCATATAAACCTGTGAAAGTCCATCGATGACTTACTGTCTAGCAGTGGGCAGTTGATATGGAATAAATCTTTTTGTTTTGATATGTTGACAATCAGCTATAAGGATGATTGAAAAAAAAAGCTATTAGACCAAGAACAGAATTGTCAATATTAAGCACATCTAAAACTCCACAGAGCTGTAATTTTTAAAAACAGCTATTGAGGTGTTAATATGTGCAGGGCATTAGGCTAAGCCAGCCTAATTACCAGCAAGTGGCAAAAATAGAATACTCCCATAGTCTAATATCAAAGTCCTTGCTTTACAATGACACTATGGGATACTTTTAAATATATGTTAGACTAATACTGAGATTATCCAGTTAGAATTATCATCCTATCTTGATATTCAGTGTGTGGTTGAGAAGTTAGCCATTCCCTGTTTAACTGGGTAATATGAACTGTGGCTTTCTTGCAAATAATAATGTTATGTATCTACCTACCCTATTTTTGCTATGTCATTTTAGACCTGAGATCATGGGGAACATCAAATAATAATAAACCAAATTAGTATTTATTGAGCACTTACTACATGCCAGGCCCTATGTCCCGTGCTTTATCATGGATTATGTCATCAAAGCAACCCTATGATAGTTACTTACTGTTATCTACACCTCATAGATGAGGACACTGAAGCTCTAAGTGGTCATATACTCTAAAGCTGGTATTTTAACCAGAATCTGTGGTCCTAACCAACCTTTAACCCAATTTATAAATATGCTTTTGGCATGCTGCGTGCAAACCCACACACATGCTTATACACCTGTAAGTCGTGCTGAGGTTTTCCTGCATAGGGTGTACCAGAGACACACTTCTCAAAAGCTCCATCCTCCCAGAACCACAACCGTACACAACCACACGCTGGATGCAGTTCCTGCCCCTCCTCTTGACTTTCCTTCCGGCCTGGCCTCCACAGAACCCATGGGCGTAATCTTGGCTCAAGTTAATTTCACTTTTCACTCCTCCCACCTCTTCACCTCTCTTTCTCAGTGGAGACAGTGTTTTCCACTTAATGTGGAGGGAATCACATGGGCTTGTCAGGCTGCCCTCTGCAATCACATGACCCTCCTGCTGCTGACAGTCTGCAGTGTGTGTACTCATGTTGCTGTGGTCACCACTTCTGGGTTTTGCTGTATCTTCAGGTGGTGTGTATTTAGTGGTCTGGGGCCAACCTGGGGTGGGAGAAACAAAGGAGAGTTTCACTGAAAATAGGAGAGGCTGAAGAGGCCAATGAGAGTGCAACAAGCTAAGGATCTCTTGGTGCGGAGGGTACAGGGCTGGTGGCTTTTTCTGTTTTTTTTTTTTTTTTCTTTTTTTTCCTCAGATGCAGCTCTCCTTCCATTTGTGATCCCGAGCTTCACATAGTCACATGCACAACCCCCTAACTCTCACACATACACCCACACATCACCAGTGATTGCAGTTTCATTTGTAAGAATGTGTGTGTCTGTGCACGTGCTTGCATGCAAACATGCACACACACGTGTGGTCACATCCCTCCTTGCTAGATTTCTGCCCCTCAGGAGTCAATTTCTTCGGATACTTTAAGGGGTTGCACTTAGGACCACGAAGGGAGGCAGCTGGCACAGGCCTGGACTTTTCAGGATCTTCCTATGCGCCATGTTCTGACTATTGCACTTCTGATTGTCTTTGAAGAGCAAAGTGGATGCCCTGTATTAGTTGGTGTGGCCACTGAATTGGATTCTCTTCTCCAGAGCATCAGCTTGTAGCCATTTTCATCTGAGGACTCAGGGAACAAAGGAAAAGAAAATATAAGGCTGCTCCCTGGGCATGCTCCTTCCCATCCGTGTTTTGGGGCCAAGGTCAACATGGGCATGATCCCTGAGCAAGGCATGTGTATATGGCGATGGAGCATCTGTAGGGCATTGCAGCAGGAAAGCCCAGTCATATCCAAGTCAGATGGTTCCACATGCTCCTGCAGGGGTGGCATCTGAGCTGGCCAATAGTACAAGTGTCCTGGAGCCCTGAAGCAGCCTGCATTGAGTGGGGTATAGCAGCTGTGAAGCCACCAACAGGGACCGCATCCCAGCTTGAGGGAGTGGCTGGGGATTTTAATAGGTCATTCCTAGCTTGCGGCAAACATCTTTCAGCTTCTCCTTTCCTCTCTCTCGCTCACTGACCTTTTCACTATCTCTGTCCTATGCTGATTTTGGGTCTTCCTTGTCTCTTGGCTCAGCAGCCATCACCGAAATTCAGAGCTCTGATTTTCCATGTAGCAACTTGGAGGAGGGGTATGCATAGGGACTTTTCTTTGCATTTCTCCAACGATTGGAAATTGAGGGACAGGTCATCTTGCTTTGATTGGGATCTCCCACTGCATTGGTTCCTTCTGCTGTGTTTCCATTTGCAGTGAAGGTGCAGGTGGAGGAAGGGAATTCCTAAGCTGGCTGGCCCTGTCTCATTGCTCATAATCTATGGGGCAAGGCTTCCGCCGCCTGGCTCCAGGATGGCTGGGCGAAGTAATTATCCTGGATAGTGGCATGGTGTTCGTTGCCATGGCCTTACCTCATCACTCCCCGTTTTTCACTCTAGCTGCTTAAAATATAAACCAGACCCATTGTCCCCATAGACGGACTCCCTTCAGAGTTGGACGGAGTGTGCAGCATGTCATATGTCATCTGATTTGCAGCGTGTTTGGGTGATTGCCAGATGAATACAGGAAGAAGGAGAGTGCAGCCTGGAGTATGCAGGGAGATGTGTGGCTTTCCAGGGACAGAGTCTCCAGGCTGACACCTGACCCAGCAGGTGACTTTGACAAGTTGCCAGCCTCTGAGGTCTCATATGTGGATTGGAAGAAAACCTAGAAGTCACCCATCATTTTCTGGGAACTGGAGAAGTCTGTGAGGAGCAGGGTTCGGGGGTGCCCCTAAGCCAGAAACCTCTAATTTAGAGAATATTAGTACTATTGTTCTTTCTATCCCAACAATTTGCTGAGAAATTGTTGGAAGCTGCTGGTACCTACTGGCTGGCTGCTGACCCTGGCCTTTGCCTCACAGGGGTTATCCTTGGACTACAAAGCTTAGAGCTTTGTAGGGGAAGAGAGAAGAGAGGAAGCGGGTACTCCAATGTGTAGGAAGGGGAAGGGAGATGGGCTCAGTGGACGTGCTGTGGATGGTCACACTCACGCTGGCTACAGCCTGTCATGCGTCTCATGGGTGCTCACAGGCTCACCAACACAAAGACAAGTGTTGCCGAACACAGGTGGCCCCAGCAAACATCCACAGACAACCCCCCGGATGTCCGGCTGTATCTCTGACTCCTTCCTTTCACTTTCCACTTTCTTCAACACTCCTCATTGTTCTTTCTCACCTCCCCTGTGAGCCTCACCCCTCCTTTGCCCTCTGTTCTCTTTGTAGGAGATTGGGGTGGTTGGAGGATGGTGGTGGTCCTCCAGGCTGCTTGGGAGCCCCGTGGCTGGAGGCCATTTCTGGGTCTGCAGGCTCCATCCACGGGGCCGATTAGAACAGGCTGCAGTCTGAGCAACTGTATTAAGTAGTGGTTGTCATGGAAACAGGGCTCTTGATGTTGTCTAGATTCCAGAATCTCTCCCCCCTCCCCACCTTGGTTATTTTCTTTCCTCCCTTGTTTTTTCCCCTGGGGCTATGGGTACGTGTTCAGTAGGAGTTTGTGGACCCGCAGCTGACACTGAAGACTGCAGATCTCAGCCGGCTCCATGATGCCACCATTCTAAATGAGGACGTGGGTCTGTGTGGCCAGGAAGCCCGAGGCGAGGCAAACATACTTCCTGCTCGAGTCCTAGAGATATAGGCTGATGTGTCCAGATGCCAGAAGCGCAGACTGACTCCCCAACAAGTGTCCTTTATGCATAAAGAAGGGCTGGGGAGAGATGGAACAGACTGGGAACTTGGATCTCAGCCCTGTGTCTCTTCCCAGGGTGGCCCCAGAGCAGAGACCTGGAAAGAGGTGTTGAGCCTCTGGACTTGGGTTCCTCATCCTGGGTGAAAAATTAGAGTGGGGACTTTGGTAAATCCCTGGCAAGGCTAGTGTTTCATCCACACAAGAGACTAATCCTCTAACTCTCTACATCTGTACCCGTCAAGGCTGTGCCAGCTTATGCAGCTGAAGGTGGTCAGAGCAAAGTGGAGCTCACCGTTCCACACTTAGGATAACATCATTCATGGTCTGTGTGCCTTGGTGTCCCCAAATGAGGCAAGATGGGGTTCATGTTCTTTCATCTGACTACGTTTCATCCCAAAGATGTTATGTGGCTAAAAAGAGATAGCAGATGGCAAGCTCCTTGGAAAGAAGCAAGTATTATACAAAGAAAGCAATAGTTGTAGTCAGGAATCTACTTTAAGATAGACTTGAAACAGCATGACTTAAGAAAAGCCACAAACTGGTTTGTGTCTTGAGGGAATCTGAACTTCTAAGTCTGAATTTTGCTAAACATCAGGGAGAGACAGGATAGCATGCACAGAGTGTTCACCTACCTCTCTGCCCTCCTTGCCTCCCACCCTGGGCAGCTGGGACAGGCATGGCAGAGATGCCAACCAAGATGGATAAGGTGAGCTGGGCCCCAGGGACAGCAATGTGGGTACACTACGGTGGCCAGAAAACCATGGAACCGGGAGCTGGGTGCACACTGTGGCCAAAAGAGAGCTTGGAAAGCCAGCACCGGAGTGCCAAATCTGATGCCAGTGAGGGCACTGGGGAGAGAGAAGGAGAGACAAAAGCAAAGTGTCAGAAACTGAGGAAATAGGAACGGAAAGGAAGGGCAACCAAAGGCGGGAAGCGTCCTTGGAGTCAGGCAAGGCTGCGCAGTGGTGGGCAGACCAGCCTGGTTTCAAGACCCAGCTTGGAATAGTTGCATAGTAATGGCACCTAGTAGGTGCTGAACATGCTTTCATTGATGGGCTGACACTGGTTCATCCATCTCTAGGGACTGGGATCATCAACTTTTCCTTCTGTGAATCCTTAGCCTGGTGTTAGCATGTCAGGCACTTTTGTTTCTAATTTCCCCCCTCTGCCTACTCAACTGAATGGAATGAGGGTATGGAGGGAATTTTCCAATATGGTGATTCTTTCTAGAATCCGAAGAGGTGCCAGATGAGGTTAGGAAGTCAGGGCTGACCTGAGTCCTTTTATCTCCTTGCTCAGGAGGTCGCGGATATCACAGGTATCACAGGTCAGGTCTTCTGTTTGGGGCCTCTCCTTCTAAGGGGTAAATTGTGCAGCTCTCTAAGTAGGAAATGATAAAAGATAAGATGGTGTCCAGCTGGTTCTCTTTTCTGAGAACAGAGAGGAAGCTTCATGCACAAGCCAGCTACTCTCTTCCTTTCAGTGGTGTTTCTACTGTCTCCAAAGGGAAATGAATGCTGAGCACAAACCTCAGAAAGACGCCCTATCTTAGAACAGTTCTGCTGTGGCCGTGGCCACATGTTTTCTCTTGCAGTTGTGTTTCATTGAGTGTCTTTTTACCTCCAGCCACCTGTGTTTGGCACTAATGAGCAAGGGTGGCACTGAAGCCTTTGCTGGGTATGTAGGGTAGAAGGCTTCCTGTCCACTTCAGGGACCCCCAAAGCATGTTTTTGGTATTGCTTTGTTACTGTGACAAAAGGTGACATCAAACCAGTGGCTGTAGGAAAAGGTAACATCACAGAGTTGTCAAAAGCGGTGAGTGATCTCAGAGTCAAAACTATTGATTTTTCCCCCCAAGTTTTACTCTAGTAAAGGAACATTTATAGAATTTAGGAAATTAAATATGGCTCCTAAGTTTTCCAACGCAGTCAAGTGCTTTAGTCTAGTCATTTTTGTTGGCCCTGTTGCCCATTTGGTGTGTGTATCAACCGGAACTAGACAGAAACCTCCTATGTGTAAGAGCCACTGTAATGCACAATGTAAGTATAATGAGAAACACTTACAATGGTGGGGTGGTAATGCATACAAGAGACATGATAGCTCCAACAATGTACTGTACTTGTTTGCAGAGATGCTGCGGGAAAAAAATGCTAAAAGGGACTCGAAAGGCCTAGGAGTTTAGGCAATGTCATTTCTAGTGGTGTGTTTCTGGAAAGATCCTTTACTTTTGGGGGCTTTGTCTATACGATAAATGAACCTACTTTAGAGGGATGTTGTAAAAATTAGATGAGATTTTTTTCACTTTTATTCAAAAGTGAACGCACTATCCAAATGCAAACTGCTTTTAGCAATACTGTTTTCTTAAGAGATGTTCCCACAGCCTCCTTCTTACCCATTCCCTCAGTTTTTCCATCTGTGAAATAGTCCTTCCCCACACCCCATCAACAAGCAGACCTCCTCCCCTTCTCTCCCTCACGTTAGTGAAGGAAGAATAATAGATGTGAAAATCTTTGAGTTCCTTGGAACCAAGGAGTGGGATAAATACCCTATATTGATTATGATGATTATATCTGGGACTAGAAAAATATGATTGCCTGGTTGCCAGTAGCAACCAGATGGCAATGCAGGAGTAGGAAGTTGAGCTGTGTTGTGTGGAGAGCTTCCCTGAGCACAGAAACACATTTATTTTCTTCTTTTTCTCAAATCCCCATTCCTGCTTTCTTGGACTGGCATTCTTGCTTTTGGGAGACTGGTCACTCATAAACGGGATTCGAAGGGAGTTGCAGAGAGGACTAACTAAAGGCTTCTTAGAGAATGCCACGAGTGACTGGTGAGTCGTCCGTCACCAGTTCTGGTACCCCGTTAGATGCAGGGATGGGATACCCAGCTTCTTGGAGTGAGGAGGGTGGGCTGTAATTGGACCAGGGAAGAGAAGAGACTACTATTGTGGAGAAACACAGAACCTCCACGCAAAGGAAGACAGAGGAGCCATCTAAAAAGGTGTGGGGGAGAGCTCATGACAGAGGCCACCAGTAGGCAGTATGAGGAGGGTCTGAGCCTGGTTAAAACCACTTCCACCTAAGCAGAAACCAAGGTCTCAGGCAGGCATTGATTATGAGAGGCGAGGTCCTATCCTCGTCTCAGGTGTGAGCAACCGTGTCTCCAAATTCCAGATTCCTCTGTAGCACTGGGCTACGGTCTGTGCTGAACACACATTATCTCACGTACCCTTATTTAACTGATGTCCTTATTTACGTAGTCACATGGCCAGGGAGCGCTGAGGCCAAGACCAGAGCTCATGGCTGCCTGGATGCAGGGCCTGTGCTCTCTCTGCCAAGATGCTGATCATGTTCCTAGCAGGTCAGAGGCCTAAATCGTGAGCATGAGGGTTCCCAAAAGTGAGCCCTCTTGCAGGTCAGATGTCTTGCAGGTCAGAGGTCTTGGCTTGAATGCTGTGACACTCCTGTGTTCTAAGAAAGAAGGCATTTAACTTCTGAGTCACGTCTTCCCCCTCCCTTCCTCCTTCCCTCTCACAGTGTTGGGGCTATGAGTTTTCTGTTGAGCACATTGACTTGCCTGACAAAGGTCCCCACATGGGACTGCACATTTCTGGTTGTTGGTTTTCACTAGCTGGCTGAGGAGTGACGAGGAGGGTGTATGTCAGCTTCCTGAGGATGTGGTGTGTGCCTTACCACCCAGGATTGGGAGGGGGAGAGGGGAGGTGGGGAGTGATTGTGGACTGTGGTCAACTACCCTTCCACCTCTCTGGCAAAAACAAGCTTCTCTGGCCTGACTGGGACTCCTGGCCAATGGACAGAATTTGACCAAGATTAGCAAATTTCTATTGAGAATCTGCTCCATGCAGGGCACGAGGGTAAGCACTTCACATGTTTAACCACATCTCAGCTTCACATGGACCCTGTGAGATGATGACTCCATTTTATTGCCTCGGTTTTACAGATAGGGAAACTGGGTTCTAGAAAGGACTGATCATTTACAGGGAGTAAGTGCTGGAGTTGGACTTGAGCCCAGTTTATCTGATTCCCGGGTCTACACTCATAACCATGAATCACTTTACAAGTCCCACCTCCTCCCGCTGGCCCACAGCCACTCTTCCGCTTCACCCAGCGGTGTGGCCGAGGCTGCTGCTCCTGTCCTAGTTTAGGGTTTCTTTAAAGAGACTCCTTGCTTATCCAGTCCTTATGTACTCTGCCACCATGTTCACTTTCCTAATCTCATTGCCACCCAACCATCTTTGCTCAGAAGATTCAATGCCTCCTACCACCTACAGATGTTTAAACTCTTTTGCCTGACTTTCTTGGCCCTCAACAATCTAGAAACAGCTTAACTCTGGGTTGTTAGCACTCAAGCTATTACTCCTCAAGAGGCATGAAGACTGCAACCTCAGCTATGCATGTTCTTATAGACACCATCATGCCTTGCTAGTTGTTCTTTCTGGCTGGAATTTTTCTCTCCTCTTTCTCTGTGCCCCAACTGTGCATACCCTAATCCGACTCATCTTGTCAGGCTTAGCTCAACTGCCCCCTCTGTCATTGGCCCTTTCTTGGCTTCCTCAGCTGGACCTAATTCTCCCTCCTCTCTGCTTGCATAGGATTTGATCTGCCTTGTGCTACTTAACCATTTCCATCTTGCACATTGATTTACTAATTCACTCAGCATTTCCTGAGCTTCTCCTGTGTGCCTCATGCGGTGCTGGGTGCTGGGTGCAGAAGAGGAGTAATGTCCCTGCTGTCAGGGTACTAACCGCATAGAGACTTGATGTCTGTATGTGTCTGATATCCTGTGCCTGATTTTCCTCTGGCATGATGCCAGAATAGGCATTCACTCAATATGCTGGTTTTGAATGAATGAAGATACTTGGTACTCCCTGTTGCTAAACGGAGAGGCAGTAGGAGAAGACAGTGGTAAGTTAGGTTGTGCTGCATAGAAACTCAGGATGTTGGTCTCTTATTACCTCATATGCCACAAATACCCTCTGCATAGAGAGGGGCAGATTGAGACGCAATTCCTCTTCCATATTCTTCTGGGGAGGGATTGTTTGCCCATCTAGGGAAAGCTGTCATCCAGCTGCCCACTCTGCTCCTGGGGACTGGGTTCTCACAGACGTCAGAGGTGTCTTGAGTAAACCTCGTAGGATGATTTCCTGAGGGCTTGCATAGTTGGTAATAGCCTGGCCTACCACGGCAATGTGACCTAGAAAAGACTGACCATCAAGCCTTGTTCTAAATACCATGCTGGGTTTATGGAGTCAAGGAATGGTTAAACTCTGGGTGTGGAATAATCAGAGAAGCACAAAGTCTTCTAGCAACATCCTAGAGCAACAGTCGGCAAACTCCAACCCATGGACTGGATCTTGTTTGCCACTTGTTTTTATAGCTCACAAGTGAAGAATGATTTTTATGTTTTGAAATGGTTGAAAAAAATCAAAAGAACAATATATCATGGCATGTGAAAATAATATGAAATTCAAGTTACAGTGTCTGCAAATACAGTTTTGCTAGAACACAGCCATGCTTACCTGTTTATATATTGTCTGTGCCTGCTTTCGTGGTGTGATGGCAAAGTTGAGTTGTTGCTACAGAGATTGCATGGCCCATAAAACTTAAACTATTTATCTGACCCTTCCTGGGAAAAGTTTGCCCATCTTTACTCTAGAGGGCAAAGTTCTTCCTATACCCATCCATTTTGGTCAAGAAGGTAGAATTTCCCAGCTGTCCAGTGGGTGGGACCAGTGAATTGTAACCCAGGGACCAAAGACAGAAGTTAAGGAGCCTGCACATGGACAAAGTGTTGGCCTGGGGCTTGGAGTCCTGAGTTCTGTTGGCTTGGGGCAAGACCTTTTCTCTCTTGGTCTTTCTCATCTTGACAATGAGAAGTTTGGGCTGCATGATCTTGAAGGGGGACGTGGTTCTGTAGTCTACATGGCTATTCCACAGAGAGGTCTGCATTGCATGAGGACTTTCTGAGCCGTCCTTTGAGGCCCTGAGCTGGAGGCAGCCCCCAGCTGACCAGCAGGCAGACATAGGAGTGCCTTTGTCCTTCCCACTCTCCTTCAGGGTCTAAGCCCTTGCACCCCGAAAGCTTTCCAGAAGTACCATCTTTTCCTCACATTGGTCCCTGTTTGGACTCAGTTCAGCCTTTTTCTTTTCCCCTGAAGTGCCTGAGATCTAGGAGAACTGTAATTATGTAATTCTTCCTCGTTATCTTTTCTAATTGTTCTCAGAGCTGTTTCCTAAACTGATTGGAAACAATTGCAGACAGGGAATGGAGTGGGAGGTAGGCGAGGACCTGGAGGCTGGCCAGAGCTTGGCCGTCTGATGGAGGCAGTGTCTTGGCAGTGGTCTCAAGGACCGGGACAGAGGGGACCACCGGGAGCCAGGCTGCCCCATACGGTTCCTGTGTCTGAGTAGCAGGGGTAGCAAGAAGGAAACACTCACTGAGGTGTTGGAAGCTTCGGTTTAATCACCCCAAAATAATAAATCTCCCGCCTGCTCTCGGGCCCTAGAGACCCAGCTGTTTTCCCTTTCTCTGCTGACACTGGTAGAGCTCCCTGGGGATTGCACCAGGCGCCAACAGGGAGCAAGGTCCTCGCCTCCTGGCATCGGATTGTTTGTGCTTTCTTAACAGAACAAAAATTGCAACTCTTGAGCCATCCATCACCCCCAGAAAGCTAGGGAGAGCCAGATGGGGAGAGCATAGGGACTTCCCACTGATTTCAGCCTGAGTGGGTAGAATGGGGTCCCTGCTATGAGATCTTTGGGAAAGCATCAAAGGTGCTGGCTCTTTGGGCCAGAGCCCCAGGAAAGGGACCCTCCTGGGACGTCCCCGCTATTAGGAATTTGTCCCTTCACTGCAGGGTTCTCTGGTGGGGGCAGGCAGAAGGCAGCTCATGCAGGGCACTTGGGGTACATGGGGCCTCCCATGTCACCTGGAGGCTTTCCTGCAGTGTCCCTTGGTTTCCCTGTCTGTGCCGATGTCCTCCCCTCCCCCATGCCTCGTCTCACCTGCTTTGCAGAAGCATATGGGTTTTCTAGCAAGGGGAGAGGAGAGGGGATGTGGAGGGGATGCCCACCTTGCCTGTTATGCACACGTTCTCCCTGCATGTCCGCACCATCTCTTTAACATTCCCAACAACCCCCTGAGGCGGGGAGATGGTCACTTCCATTTTCCTTTTGCAAAAACATTTGCAAAGGAAGGATCACATTGGATTCTGCAAGCATGTATGAAGCACGTAGTGCATGATGGGTTCTAGAGAAGGCATCGGGCAGGAGAATAGGGTAAGTCAGAGCCCCTTCCCAAGAACCAGACTCTCCAAGATCACAGGGACAGTCAGACCATGACTTGCTGGTGTGCAAAGCCCAGCAGGTCTGACCCCAGAGCTCTTTCCACCAGCCCCTGAAGCTGCCAGTAAAGATGGATACTTGTTAGGCTGAAAGCTGTACTACTCGCTTAGAGGAGCTAGCCCAGGTTCAATTCTTTTAGGGGTGGAGGTGAGGGCCCCCACAATTGTCACCCATGAGTTTATGACTGGGTGGGTGGGGGCCTGTCCATTCTGCTGTGTAGTTATTTCTCTTCCCTCTTTCCCAGCCTCTGGAACCAGAGAGGGGAGGAAAAAAGGAAGAGTGTGAGGGGCTCTGATGGGGCGCTGTAGACCCTAGTCTTCTACTTGGGGCACCCCAGCTCCCCTGGCTGTTTTTAAGGTCATGAATCCTTCCAGCCCTGCACTCCAATCCTGCCCTCAGTCAACCTCCTGGAGCTCAGACGTCCAGTGCGCCATTTCTCTGAAGGCTTTAAGGTCTGGGGTGAGGAGCAGGAAGAGGCCCCAAGGTCTTTTGTCTCCCAGAAGCTCTTCCCTCTGCCCTGGCAGAAGAGACAGCATTGCAGTGTCTTACCCAGTTGCCCTGCTAGGTTGCTCAAGTCTCCCACCACTTTTAAAGTTTGTGAGTGTCTTCAGTAGGAGTCACTGACTAGTTCTGGGGAAGAATCCCCTCCTGGGCCCCATTTCTTGTTTCATATGCTGAGCTTGGTCCCAAGGGGGTACAGGTGAGTGGATCCAGCTCTGGCCTGTGGGACTCTAGGACTCTAGGGGCTACTGCCCTAGGTCAGCATTTCTCAGCTTTTTAAAAATCACCTTTTCCCCCTTAGAGACAAGTTAAATTTAATTTAAATTCTCTTTAATGAGACGACATGTGAATTTATTGAGTAATGTTGACCTTTGGAGGGCCACAAATCATTATATCTAAGATTTTTTTTTCTTTTGCCCTCTAATTTTCACCCTCTGGGGAGCACTCTTGTACCCATTGAGAATGCATGTTCTGGGCTTTCCAGAAGACTATATGTTTTGAAACTGTCTGTAATTTCTCCAGACTCTCACTTAAGCTATAGAAAGGAGGGTCTCAGTGAATGAAGAATGTGCCTCCCAGGACTTTAGATGGTACTAAATCTGCTACTAGAGCAAATTTGCCTCAGTGTTTCTGGGCCTCTAAGTTTCCATGTATAGAATGCAAACACCTGCTGCTGCCCCTTCAACCAACAGGGAGGCCACACCTAGTGTCAGGTGGGCATGACACTGAGCTAGGGTTGGGCAGACATGACAGCGCTGGTCACACTGTGTGCCTCAGACAGAGGTGGAGACAATACATCTATACTGTCCTGTTCCTACCCTAACTCCTGCCCGGCAACCCAGCCAGTGGAGGGGTGTTCCTGAGGGAGAGGACCCCCACCCCCATCACCTTAGCCGCTCTACTGGGTCATCACCGGGGGCCATTGAAGGGCTGATGAGCCATGGCGGTGGGCTCTGCAGGATGATGGAGGCCCTGTGCAGTTGCTCTGGGCATCTTCTCTTGCTTGGCCGCACTTCTTGACACTCCTCCAGTTGTACACTGATCTCCCCCTGGGAGAGGCCCTCTTTCCCCTTTTCTGAGGCAGGAATGAATCCACAGCAGTGGCAGAGGCTGGGAGCAACCAGAAACTGCCCTGTGCCACCTTCCTCCTAAATGAGGCACCCCAGAGTCCTGTGCCTGCACTTTATGAAGAGTTTTCTCAGTTTCAGGGACAGGGAGTTGGGGCCACTGAGCAGGGTCAGGGAGCCTGGGCAGGAGGCCCGAGGGCTGCAGAAGCCCCTGTCTGCCTCCACTGGAACTGTCTGAGGGAGGCACCATGTTCAAGAGCAGGCCAGAGCCCCCAGCTCCCGCCCCCACCTCGATGGAGAGTTTAATAGGAAGCACAAATGAGAAACAGCCTTCTGGAATTTGGCTTTGGTTCCTTTCTCTCAGTTTCCTCAAATGTTTCTTTCTTCTCTGTTTCCCCTGTCCTTCTCCTCTCTCTTTGTCCTCTGCCCTTTTCTTCCTCCTTGTATGATTTTCTGGCTGAGTGTGTGGCCCTGTCTGCCTGCCTGCCTGTCTGCCTTCCTGTCTGCCTCTTCTAAGGCAGGTACCCCTGACTGGGGTAAGGCAGGGCTCAAGGTGGGGAGAGGTGGGGATCTGATGAGGGAGGGTGAGGAAGGGGAGGAGGAGCCAGGAGGGGCCTGGGGTTCCGGGAGACAGACATTAACCCTTTCTTGGCCTAAGGACGTCATTCAGCCTTCCCCTCCCCTTTCCCACCAAGGTCATAAAATCGGTCTCTTACTTTCACCAATTCCCCTGTCAGTGCCAGAAACACACAATTAGCTTTAAAAGTGTCTCCAAGCTGTGGCCAGTTAGAAATTTATGACTTTTTTTTTTAAAGCTTTCCTTTAAAGTGGCTAATTAGGTGTATTTCTCCAATGGTAATTTAAAAAATGCTAATTGGTCTGCACTCTGGAAGGAGGAGAAAAAAACTTTCCCCCTTATTATCTTGGCACTAGGGAGACGTAGAAGAGATTGACATGGCCTGAGCCTCCAAGGAGAGAGGCTAGGCGCCTGCTCTTTTACAGACTTGGCAGTGCGGAGGGTCCAGGAATGGTTTTCTGTGTTCCAGACTCCAGACAGTGGCCTTGCCAAGGGGACGTGGCACAGTGGGGCTAGAGAGGGCAGCTGGGGTAGGGCGGGGCAGTGAGCGGCTCACCCACCCAGGTGCCGTGATGCTGACACCCAGCAGAGGGGTGGCCTTCCTGGGAGGATGGGTGAGCTGGACGATGCGTGGAGGGCACACCATGGTCAGGACTCGGCTCTAGCACAAGATTTGACAGCTGCCAAACCACACGCTAGCAGAACCTCGTTTTTTTCCTATTTATTTATGTATAAAATTGTTATTGATTATATAATGTGATGTTTTGGTACATGTATGTAATGTGTAACCATCAGATCTGGGTAACTGGGATATGCATCACCCCAAACATTTATGTGAGAATTCACCATTTGAGGGAGGCTGTTTCTGCCAGGGACAATTACAAATGGAATGGAAAGGGGACAGTATCCAGGGTGTATAGTGTCCTCACATGGGGGAGGGGCAGGTCACAGGGAGCCCTGGGCAGGAATGAGGCTGGGAAAGGAATGCTGGCCTGGGGGGTTCTACTGACCTCCTGACTTGCCAGGAAGGGTGGGGGTTCCACCAAGATTTTGGTCCCTACAGAAGGATGAAGACGACATCAGCCTGGTTGGACGTCCACAAGGAGCAGTGCCCCCTCTACTGTCTTGTGGGCCTGGGCCAGGGCTCTCCAGCTGAGCTCCCTCCTCAGCCCCTTCAGCCATAGAGTATATTGGGACTTGGTATGGATTTCCTAGATCTGCCTCTTTTCCAAAAGTTGCTCAGAGATGGAGCAAAACCCAGGCCAGGGAGCGGGGGGCAGACCAGCAGCACCAGCATGTGAATCCACAACCCCTGCGTTTCCAAGACATGGGCCTGATGTTGGGTGAGGGGCTCCCTGCTCCTCTTCCTGGGGCTGGGGAGTCACTGAGACCCTGGCGAGGAGGAGGCGTGGGCTCATGCCTTTCAACGTCTCAGCCTTCTCTGTGGGAAAGCTAAAGTGGGGCTAGAATCAAGGGCCTCAGGTGACCCCTGCTCGTGGTTAGAGGCAAAGGGCATGTTCTGGGAGCTGATCCAGAGGGGAGGGCAGCCCTGAGAGGCATTGACCTCCATGCAGCCCCGCCTGGTTCAAGGGGGCCTGATGGGGAGTGGTGCGTTCTCCTAGAATGCTGTTGCTTTCTCCTTGTGGCCCCGATGGTGGTGGCTGTAGTGTGGCCATCCCCATGTGTTGCTATGTGAGTAACGCAATTACGAAGACACAAAACAGGGATGAAGAAAAACATTCTGCAGGAGAGAGAAGGGGAGGGAGGACCAGTCACAATCAGCTCTGTTGTTATCGGATCATTTCAGGGAGGAGTAGAATTCCAGACAGGGAGCCCAGTCCCATTTAAAACCCTGTGCTGTTGTGGAAGGGAGGAGTGATGATCAATTAAACAGATTCCTCAGCTTTTTTGCTGAAATGAGCTTTTATTAAGGATGTCACTTCCCCTCTTTGGCTTCATGACCATCTCTAGAAAAGCTGGATGGGCATACATGTGACTGATATTCTGGCCCCAAATCTCTGCAGCTCTCTGCAACTTCCTGCTCTCAGACTCAGTTTATCCATCAGCAAAATGGGAAGAGGGAAACCCCTTCATTCTCTCTGCTGCAGTGTGACAGATTGTTTGGAGCCCTGAGGGAGGACAGAACAGGGCCTAGATCCTAGCTTTCCACTTCCCAGCTGAGTGGACTTGGGAGCGTCCCTTCACTACGTAAGCTTTGGCAGGTTGGGAAAAGTTAAATGAAATAATAACATGAATTGTGCAAAATAGAAATATGGACTAAATCTGATTGATGTAAAAGTGAAAGATGAGCAATGCAAAGTACCCAGCACAGTGCTGGGAATGCAGAGCCTCCGCAGGGCAGATCTGATTTCTTTGCTACCCCTCCTGGCTAATTCCACGGTGTTCGCACAGGAGGAGGCTGGAGAGGATGAACACGGTTCAGGAGTCGTGTAACGAATTCCATGCCACCCCAAGGGGCTAGCGGGGCAGGGATGATGAATGTTCTTAATCAGAACCTGCCACACCATCCATTCTGCTCTCCCTTGACTCTCTGCCTCTGATGAGGTGGAGAAGCCTGGCTCCCTCGGCTGTGGGAGGCTTTGCTTGGCAGATCTCGCTTTCAGAGGTTTCCCGAGGTGCTAGGCCAGCACGTTTGTCCATCTTCTGGGGTTATCCAGAGTTACTTAATCTTTATGATCCTCTGCCCAGTGGGGTAATAATACCCCCTTTATAGGGATATTATGAGGATTAAGAGAGATTATGTATGGCCAGGAGCTCCTGGAACAGGGCCTGGGCCTTGGAAAGTGCTCAGCAAATGTTACTTCCCTTCCCTCTGCAAACCTAATAGACAATAAACTGGCAACTGGACATCTGACTAAGCACATCGTGAATTAGCTTGAGTCATAAAGGAGACAGAAGGGGACCGAGAGCCAGGCCATTAGATATGGCCAACACGAATCTGTCTCTGGATGAATTACTGCTGGACAATTACGATGGCCCCTATTAGCATGGCTGCTTGGAAGGGTGGCACATTCATGGATTTTGGAAGTCGGCAGCCGTACTTTTGATCTCAGCTTTAATGATGCACCAGCTGTGTGACTTTGGGTAAGTTGCATATCCTTCCGTGCTTCTCTGTGTGTGCACATACATGGGAAGAATTAAATGCCGTTGTGGCTGTAGAAAATCTGGAGGGACCCAGTAGATCCCAAATAGATGTTCATCTTCTCCCCTCTTGCTCTCTGAGGTGAGAGATCAGTTCTGTCTGGGTAAGGCACCCATTGTTCTGCAGGAAGTCAGATTCTTTGCATCCCATCCATGCAGAGCCATACAGGGTGAAGGAGGGTGCTGGGCTCACATGTTCACCCTTGTTTTCCAGCTCCTAGGGTGGGGCTTGCATAAGGCATAGACTCAGACCATTCGGTAACCAACTGAGCAAATCATTCCCAGAGTATAACCGTTTTTCTGTGACTACAGGTGTCTATTTGACAACGACTTCCCTGTGAAAGGCTCAGGGCACTTTGAAGACATTACCTCATTGTTGGGAGAATTTTAGAAGCATCATTTGATCTATTTCACAGCCAAGGAGGGTGAAGAATACAGAAAGACATTGGCTTGCCCAGGGTTGCAGCGAAGCAGTGATGTATTTGACATCTCAGTTCTAAGCTGGGGTTCCCACTGCGATACTCTTGGTAACTAAATTGGTGTCTCAAAAAAGAGGTTCTGGGATGCTCTTGGGGATCTCTAGGGTTTATTTGGGATACTAGGACCAGACTGTGACCCTGGAAAACATTATTAATTGGGATAATAATAATAATTACCATTTTGAGCACTAAGTTGTAAGTTTTGTGTTTGATATTTTGTATCTTTCATCTTATTTCTTCTTCACAACAGTCATTATATAGAAGGTAGTTATTTTTGTTTTGTAACTGAAGCTGTGGTAAAAAAAAAAAACTTTAGCAATAAAGTAAAGAAGCAGCTAAGATTTAAATTCAGGGATGTCAGCCATAAATAAAGCCCACTCGGTTGCCCTGACACCATAGTAGAGAAGACAGAGAGGGTGAGCAGAACGGGGGAATTTTCTAGGGGCAGAGTGATGATAAGAAGATGGAGTGAGATCCATCCTTGGTATTGTTGGGGAAGAGATGAAGAGAGTTTGTTGTCAATGTCATATGTTAAAACTCCTCTTACATTCTAGGGCAATTTGGGAACCACCTTTTAAAAGTGAGTGTTCTCTTATTTAGCCTTTAAAAAGAAGGACATTCTGACACATGCTACAATGTAGATGAACCTCGAAAACATGAGGTTTAAGTGAAATAAGCCAGACACAAAAGGACAAATGCTGTATGATTCCACCTACATAAAGTACCTGGAGTAGTCAAATTCATAAAGACAGAAAGTAAAATGGTAGTTGCCAAGAGCTGGGGGACAGGGGAATAGGATCATAGAGTTTAGCAGGGACAGAGTTTTAGTTTGGGAAGATGAAAAAGTTCTGAAGATGGATGGCAGTTGTGTTAGTCCATTTTCACACTGCTGATAAAGACATACCTGAGACTGGGCAATTTACAAAAGAAAGAGGTTTATTGGACTTACAGTTCCACATGGCTGGGGAGACCTCAAAATCATGGTGGAAGGAAGGTGAAAGGCACATCTCACATGGTGGCAGACAAGAGAAGAGAAGAGAGTGCATGCAGGGAAACTCCTGTTTTTAAAACCATCAGATCTCGTGAGACTCATTCACTGTCACGAGAACAGCAGAGGAAAGACTTGCCCCCATGATGCAATTACCTCACACTGGGTCCCTCCCACAAAACATGGGAATTCAAGATGAGATTTGAGTGGGGACACAGCCAAACCATATCAGTGGTGATGGTTGCACAACAATGGGAATGTTCTTAACACCACTTAACTCTACACTTAAAAAAATTGTTAAAATGTAAATTTGAAAAGAACTGAGTGTTCTTCTTCCTATTCAGGTGCTTAAAGGCAAAGAACTTTTTGTTGTGCAGAGGCACCTGTGGGGCAGGTGGGAGCCCTGTGGCTTTAGTTAGCTGAGGAGGCTGTGGAGGCTGGAGCCTGAGGCTAGGTACCAAGGAGCACCAGAGGATGAGCCCAGCCATAGATTCTATGCATGAGCCAAGAAAAGTATTAGAAAGGGCAGAGGCTCTCTTGCTGTCCCCTGGACCAGCAGCTCAGGAATCTACTGGATCACAGTCCCATGGGTAGACAAGCAAAGAGACATTTCAAGGCAGAGTGAGAAACGTGTGATACAAGAAGTGCATCCTCTTGGAGGACACAGTTCAGGGGAACAGAGACCATCAATTAAATACATTAGAATTCATGCTCTAATACAGAGGCACAGGAGCAATGTGGACTTGACCTTGACTCGTGGGCAGGTGTGGAAGAGGTTGGTGGGGATCCCCTCACTCCCACCTATTTGTAGATGCCAGAAGCCTTGAAGAGAAGGACTGGCAACATGCTGCAAGCGTTGGTTGATGTGGTGTGGTCTAGAGGGTGACAAACTCTGGCTCCCAGGCCAAATCCAGATCACCTCTGATTTTGTACAGCCCATAAGCTAAGGATTTTTTTTCCGTATTTAATGATTTAAAAAAAAAAGAAGGCTATGTCATAGCCCATGAAAGTGACATGAAGTTTGAATTTTACTGTACATAAGTAAAGTTGTGTTGGAACACAGCCACATTCATTTGTTTATGTATTGTCTGTGGCAGCTGTCATGCTGCAACGGAAATGTTGAGTGGTTGTGACAGAGACCATATGGCCTGCAAAGCTGAGAATATTTCTTATCTGGCCTTTACAGAAAAGTTTGCTGACCCTTGGTCTAGTCCAGTATTTTTTCAAACTGTGGGTCACAGCAGGCAGTCATGAATCAACTTAATGGAACATGACCAGAATTCAAAAAAGAAAAACAGAAGAATGGACAGAAACTATCAGAGTGTATCACTTGTTGTAAGGCTGTGTTTCTCCTTAAATATTTTCTTATTTCCTTTAACTTTTATTTCAATTAAGCATGTATGTGTATTCTCAGTCATGAGCTGAATTATTTATCTTACTTATGGGTCTTGATCAAAAAAGTTGGAAAGCTCCTTGTCTAGGTGAACCCAGGAAATTTCTAGTTGTTCACCCAGTTATCTGGGATGAAATTTGGATGCAGGCTGCTCAGCTACCTGTGGTCAAGGGAGCAGTTCTCTGCTCCTGCAGCCCAGATCCAAGCTAAACTGGTGGGTACAAGATTCTCTGCTGCATTTTTCTCCCCAGAAGAACTGTGGTTTCCTCTGCCCAGGACACGATGCCTGGCCCCAGGTAGAAACCTTTCCTTGTTCTCGCCCAATTTTCTCCCACTTAAAGAGGAAGGTTTCCATTTTCCCTCTGGGAATGAATGAGGAATGTTCACTTCCAGGCAGAAAGACAAAAAGAAGCAAGTCCCAGGACCAAGGACACAGAGCTCCCTTCCCAACCCTTTGATTGACAGCTAATACTCAGTGACAAGGAGACGGTGCCTGTACGTGGTGACAAGAAGTGAGATCCCAGAAGGCTCTGTGTTTACAAACATATTGCCAAAAGTGTCACGGATACAATTGAAAAACATCAATAGTGATCGATGGGAACAAATCACTGGCCCCAGCCATTAAAAAAGAAAGTGAATCCAGGCCTGGAGGAAGTGAAGGGGAAGAATCTGTAGAGGATGGGAGCATGGTTACACCCTCTGCCTCTCACTTCTTCCCCTCCTGCTTACTCTTTGTTCTTCTTCCCACACCCCCTGCTCCACCCTTCTGCTCGTCACTGCCAGTTGCCCCCTTTGCAATGGAAGGAAAACCATTGATTTCTACAAAGCCTCTGCCTTGGTCTTAGAGATGGAATCTGAGCAGAGCTCCCTGCTTTCCTCTTCCTTTCTCCAGGCGGTGCCCAGGATGCCTGTTGAATTTCAAGCAGTGAGTTTGTGAACCAGTTCTTAGCCAAGCTTCATGTTCTCAAAGACATTAACAATAGGCATCCCTCCACACAGAGCATTAGGATGTGATATGCTTTGTCTGAGCAGGGGATTCTAGGACTTGAGAGCTAAGCTGGGCTGGATCCATCTTGATCTGGAAAGTTTTGGGAGGCCAAGGAACTATGTTCAGCAGAAAGTTTCAATCCTGATATTATGGTGGAAAACAGGAGCAATCACAACTCCAAAAATTTGAGGTGAATTTGCCACTGGAGTCTGAGGGACTGGAGTAGAAATCATGGAGAAACTTGGGGGAGGGATGAATGAACTTTGATGGATGGAGAGGAGAACCTTTCCTGAGTTCAGGTCACTTTAGAGCCTGGAAAAGGGGTGTAATCATTCTTTTAAAAAATAAGATAAAACATACAGCAGCAACAAGAAGGGCAGTGCTTGTGCCAGAGCTGCAGAAGAGTCTAGAAGGACTCAGCAAAGAGCTGGGGTTGGTTGGCTAGGTGCTTGTCTGTGGATGGTCATTAAGACTCAGTGCCCAGAATGCTAGTTCTAAATAAACTCAAAAAGTCTTCCACAGGAGGAATAATGAATTAGAAGCGTTTTGTCCAAATAAACCAAAGTGACCTAAGAAGAGAGTCTTTAGAGGACCAGGTGGTTGCAGAGAAAGCAATTTCCCCACAAAACTAAGGAGGTAGATAGGGGGCCCAGAGAGAAAGAGAACAGAGACCCACGGACCAAAGAGTAAACCAGCTTTCCTGGGATGAAATAACAGCAGCCCAGGCAGAAACCAGAGTAACAGATTGGGCATTTGTTGATCTCCTGCTCCTTCTCTCTCCCTCCGTCTCTCCCTCTCCCCTCCTCCCCCACCTCTCCCCCTTTCTCTCTCTCTCTCCTTTTCAGTCTTTTTCTCTCTCTCCTTCTCTCTCTCCCTCACACACATATATACATTCATTCATTAATCTATTGTATTGCTTATTTATTTTGTGCAAGGCATTTTTCTGTACACTGGGAATTCAGATTTAAAAGATACAGAAATAAAATCTCTGCCCTCAAGGAATTTGTGAACTAAAGCATTACCTCATTCCTTATCTACTGGACAAAGTCTATATCCTGAGATTTTTCACTGAGTCTCAAAACAATTGCGTCATTTAAGTGACTGAATATGTAGTTTGAGGGAACAACCACGAAGCAAGGGTCTAGGAAGAAGCAGAGGAGGCAGCCCCAATCCTAAGCGCAGGCCTCATGACACAGGGATCACACTTGGCCATGGTGACAATAATGTGGCGGGTAGGAGATGCCCAAGAATGTCCAGACAAGGAGCCCTTTCTGCCATTTCATCTCTGGCTGTCAGAGGCTCCCCCACAGCCCTGGTCCGTGGTAAGTGAGCTGTCAAGAGGATGGATTGGCCTCACGCAAAGAGGTAGGTAATGATCTTTGAGGCCAGGGGGAAGCGGGAGTCCCTGTAGAGTGGGCATACACTTAGCTTAAGAGAGTGTGAATTTCTAGTGCAGACAAGAAGGCATTCAGCAACATTCCGTTGCAGGACTTATATAGGCATGGCAGGATATAGTCACTTTTTTTTTTTAACTAGAATCTGAAATGCAGTTGAATTTTTCCACATGCTGAGATGTTTTCCATTTTAGTAGCTTGTAGAGAAGCAACTGTGAGTTTGTGATGAACAGTATGGGGGTGGGAGAATGGGGCACTAGTCCATAAAGTGGTTGAAGAACTGTTAGGTGTCATCCATCCACTCTTCCATCCAGCCAAACATCCATTGGTTTATTCAAGAAGTATTTACTGAGACTGAATAGGAAGACAGTCCTACTGGGCTGCTTCCCAAACTCCAGGTTTGCCATTTATCTTTTCAATTGCTGCTATTTTACAAATGTTCAATGTCTCATTCTTGGACAGCCCTGTGCCATTATAAGAAAGGAAGATGCAGCAATACAGCTAGTGATTTACCTGTCAGGAGTCATAATAGTGTGAAGACGTGTTGGAAATCACCTCTGAGTACTCTGATATTTTCTGTGCACATCTCAGAAGGGATCAAGGATGAGGATGATGGGAAAAACCCAGAATGACAGGCTGGGTGGGATGGGAAGAGCCTTCGACATAACTGGCTATGTGACCTGGGCCATTGGCCTCCCCAGTTGTCACTGGCCTTATTGTAATGTATGAAAAGAGGTTGAATATGCTAATCTCCAAGGCCCCTTCCTTCTGTGGCATTTCTTGAAGTCTCACTTGTTAATAACAGCAACCAATTGATCCATGTCATGCTGCCCTAGGTTCTCCTCTTTGCTCTTCACCCTTTTCTTGTCCTTTCTAGATGGGAAGAACTCACATGTTAATGCCATCCTTCCTCCAGCTGGTTATCCTGAAAAGTGTTTCTATTTGCCATCATCTAGCCTTATCCTCTAACCAGTGTTACCTAGTGAATTTTCAGTAAAAATGGCAATATTCATATCTGCACTAGTCATTCTGGTGGCCACCAGCCACATGGGACTACTGAGCACTTGAAATGTGGCTAGTATGACTAAGGAACTAGATTTTAAATTTTACCTAACTTAAATTTAATTTAATTTTAAAGAACCACGAGTAGCTGGTTATCAGACAGCATAGCTATAATCTATTCTTTCCCCAGTGCTCTCTAGTCTATATCAAACTTATCTGTTCATTTCTTCCTAAATCATTGGTTAAATTTGGTATCTGTAGTGAAACTTCTTTGGCTGGAATTCTCCTTGACCACTTACTAGCTGCAGAACCTTGGGCAGTTTACTTAACCTATCCAGACCTCAGTTTCCTCACCTGTAAAATACAGGTACTGATAGTCCTACCTTGTGGGTTTGCTGTATTGATGAAAATAATTAATAAAGAACACTTGGCACAGTCCCTGGAACTTTGTGTTGATAAAGGTTAGCTGAGAGTGAGGAGGAGAAAGAGGGAGAAAGGGAAGTGTATTTCCACCATCTATCTCCTATTAGAGTTATGTTTTGCAGGCTGACTATCTAACCTGTAGTATTACTAGTTAGCATATGGAGACAATACCGTCTCCCAGGGCCCACATGTGTATCATTTTTATTTGAGTCTTATCTGTTTGCCCAGCTCTCCTGATACCTCTGTTCCCTGCACCAGAGCAGATACAAATCTCCTAACAGCAGCTACACTGACACAAGCTGAGAGGCCATATCCCTGGTCTCGCACACACATACATGTGAACATACCCGTGCACACACACACGTCTTATAAAGCAGACAGACCTGCAATCTCATTTCTTCAGACATCTGTGTCTTCTGGCTGTGGCTCCTCCTCCTTTGGGCGATGGGGAGCAGGGCGATGACCCCATTAATTCCAGGCAGGCCCTTGTTGCTCTGCAGGCCGCCAACTCCCTTCGGACCTCCCCTCTGGCCAACTTGATCTCCCAAGGGACATCTCTCAATCCTGCCCCAGGAATCAGATGTCTAAATAGCAAATGAAAGATTAATGCCAGTGGCCAAGATTAGGGTGTGAATACTTTGAAGGGCAGAATAAGAGACGGCTCTGCTTACCAGCAGGGCTGCCTGGTAGAGGTCGGGGAAAGGGTAGGGGCCTGTGTAGGGCCAAGGATAGGAGGTTGTGGATTCCAATGGATTGATTTGGGAGAGGATTTGTTGTCCTTGGCGTTGGAAAGAATTTGTAGTTACAACTAGGAAATGGATCCTTTGGCATTCTTATCAATATAGGGATTGCGGGTTCCATGAGGTGTGTGGGAGGTTTTCGTGTGGGTGCCATGTTTCCATGGAACTCATAGCACATCCTATGCCTCTCATGATACGTACGCCTCTTGCCAGTGTCTCTGTTCTTCTTGCCACCTTGAACCTGTTGGGCTATAGGAATCCACATGACTGGGGACTGGGGGCTGATTAATTAGCCACCCTCATAATCAGTGGAGTACTTTCTGTGGTTATGGGATGTGAGGTGAGGAGTAGCCTGATATTTGTGAAATAAGCAGATATTTTACAGAGAGTATGGCTCTTGTCCAAGCATCAAACCTCTGTGTGGATATTTTTTTCTCCCCTCCCTACCATCTCGGTCACCTCTCTGCCACCCCAGTCTCCTGTTAGGTTTACCGCAGTCTCTCCTCTGATGGTTTGGGGTTTGATAAATATTTTCCCCTCCGGAAGTCTTTAGCAGTGCAGCAAAAAGGTTACATGATGGATTCTCCCCATCGCTTAATTGAAGCCATAAAAAATGAAAAGAGAGTTTCCAATAAACCAAACCATTACTCACTGGTGGATGAGAGGGGATCCCAGAACCAGGACCTGGAAGGCACAGCTGGCAAGCCCTCCAGCTGACTGTCTATTATGATTATTAATCACAACAGCAACAGGGTTCATCTGTACCCAGCTTCTTAATGAACTTGGACTCATGTCCTTACAAGGTTGTAGCCATTACAGCAACCGGGGCTTTTCCATTTAAAATCCCTGAAGGCTGATTTGGATGGATGTCCAAGTGGGTGCATATGTCCCAGTGCTCCCCCAAATTATGAGATATGTGTAGTCGTGTCTAGGCCCGAATAGTGGAAGAGAGATAGCTCTATCTGCCATGATTGGGAGACTTGTGTAGTGACTAGCAGTGTAAGAGTATGACTGGTGGCGGAGTGCATACCTTTTTTTGTGAGCACAGCTTGATGGCTACATGTTGTGAATGGGGTGTTGAGAGTTTTGTTTACTGGATGGTTGATATGGGGTTGGGAGTGAGGAGTGTATAGTGGTCATGGGTGTATATACTCTAAAATAGCATCATCTCTATGTAGATTCCATAATATATGGGTTTCCAGGTACATCACAAGTAGGAAGACCCTGGAATTTATTTTCCAAACTGGAAGAGTTTTAAAAAGTAAAAGAGGGCATTGCTAATATTTTGCCTGGGCCACACACATAAACCAGCAGTTTCAGGCAACCAGAACCGTGGAGTAACTCCATTTGTAAGGCACCATTGAATTGCTTAGGTGTGTTTTCCATTGTGTTTTGCTCTGAGTTGGGTTTAGGTTGAGGCCATGTCTGTTGGGGTTGGTGCTTTAGGGGAGTGGCAGAGGGTGCCTCTTTGGTGGCAGAATAATCGTGACATCTGTCACATGTTGGAAAAAGCAGCCACATGGTGGAATAAACAGCCCCCTGGCTCCAGGGTCAGAGTTGTCCTGGTTGTGTGCCCCTGTCTTGATGCTGGGGGACTTTGGTGTTCACTCCAGGAGTTACTGGAGACAGGAGGCCCAGCCAGTGAAGCAAACCCCTGGGCTGCTCCAGGGAAGGAAGGAAAGACCCCATCGAGGAAATCTTCAGAGTTGCTTCCAGGCTTTGCTGTGTGCCTGTGCAGCGAGTCCGGAGGCAGACTCTGTTCCAGTACGATTGGGTCTGTCCTGGACTTGCCCAGGCCTCAGTTTACCTCTGTGTAACACTCAGGGAAGAATAGTATCTAGTAATGAGAGTGTTAATGCTTGAGACAGTGTCGGGAATGAACTGTATAAGAACAGCATGCCTTCTTTTCCATTTTCCTCCTTCCTTCTCTCTCCACCCCCCATCTATCAAGTGACTTTGTTTCTAAAGACCTCAGATCTTTGTTTCCTAGTCACTAATCCCTCCACATCAGCAATAGTTTACCTCTGTCATGGCACCCCAAGGTTTAGGAGGAAAGGAGAGGGGTCGTCCCTCCAAAGCTTGGCCAGCGTGTCCTGCATGGAGGTCCCTCCCCGGTGCTCCAGGCCCTGGTTTTCTCTCCAGTTCACTCTGGGATCCACAGCAAGCAGTGAGCTCTCTGGAATAACACCTACAAGAATTGTGTCTTGGCTGCTTTCCCCAGAGGTCCTCTTTCCCACCTCCTCCCTGAAAACGAAGAACTCCCCCATGCTGCCAACAACTAGATGTAAACAGAAATTAATCCATCTGTGCCAAACCTCAACATGTCACCTGATCCTTATCACTGCCTCATAATCGCCTCCAAGGAAGATCTTATTATATTAAAAAGCAATTGCCCTCTATGCTGGTAACACTAATAGATTTTTGTGTGATATTTATACAGGATTTCGTTGTCAGCTCACGAGATGCTGTTCCCTTCCTTCTGCCTCTTTCCTGCTCCCTTCGTCTTTGCCCAAGTCTCCTATGATTTCAGTTTCCTGCAGGTCGCTGTCTGCAAGGTGATCGGCTCCATGAGGGCAATGCACCTGACTTCTTGACTGTTGTATCGTCAGCATGGGAAGCATGCTTGGAGCATAGTAGGCATACCATTTCATCTAGCAACTTCATTCATTCATTCAACAGATGGAGCTGAGGTCTGGAGGGGGAGATATGCCAAAAACCAAACAAATAAATAAAATAATAAACAGTTATCAGGGCTTTGAAATAAATAAGTAGGGTTTTGAAATAGAGGATAATCAAGTTTTGGGGGTCTACTCAGAATGGAAGGCTGGAATGTTTGCTCTGAGACCTAAAGAATGTGAGGAGCTGAGGTGAGGGGAAGAGTGTTCTAAGTCGAGGACACAGTCCTACCTGGGGGTTGTGAAGTGGAGAACAAACTCGGCACCTTTGAGGGCCTGAGAAAGGCTCCCTGTGGACAGACCTTCATGAAGGGAGGCAGAGGGCATTGGTCAAGTTTGGAGGGGCAGGCAGGAGCTAAGCCATTTCAGAAATGTCTGGGGTGGTCAGAGCATTCAGGGATGTGAACATGTGATTGGACGTAGAATTTGGGATCCTTCACATTCCAAGCATAAATATCGATGTGAATGAGAGACCAAGCTCCTGGGAAGTCTGTGGTGTGGAAATGCAAGGTGAAGTTGGTGAAGAGTGGAATTTGAACTGGGGATGCCAGAATTTCTGGGCCTTTTCTTCTCCCTCACACGGACTGACACTCATTTCTTCATGTCCTTTGTTCCTCAATGTTTACTGAGATGATATCAACATATACAGGGAATTTGGACTCAGAAGGCTCGTGCTCAGATGGTGGCAGAAGTTGAAATCAGGGCCTAGCTGAAGCCTTGTGATAAGTTGAAAAGACCCAGGTTTCCAAAAACAGCCACAATCGTAACAATGGCAATGACAGCCCATTCTTACCTTCTGGGCTCTTTGGTGTCAGTAAATTCAAAGCAGTTTCAACTGAAAATAGATTTGATGGTGAGAGCCAAGCCCGTAACATACCCTTCATCAGCTATGGTCTTGTCAATTACGCATCAGAAGTGGCTGCTGATGAGGGATTCCAGGGTGAAGCCCGAACAGGTGGCGAGGTGCCAGAGCCCAATCTGATTGGTGGAAGATACCCGTTCAGAGTCTGGGGAAATGTAACCTGCACAGAGAATCACCCAGCTCCAAGAGAACTTGGGCTTTCATCTGCAGTGAGGGAAGAGATGGGAGAGTTGTTTGGACACATGGAGCAACTCATTAATTAGAAGTTAAATGTCCCCCTTTCTCTGCCAGCTCTGAATACATTAAAGTGAAAACATGAGATCAAGCACATTCTTTTCGTTCTCTATTTCTAAACATTCCTTGCATTGAAACCCTCATGTTTCTTTATTCCATGACAGCCGGATCATGTCATGGGCAAACGTAATCGGGATGATGGCCAAAGCACCAGAACTTTTTCTAAAAGATGCTACTGAGGACTGGGGCTTGCTGTACAGGCTGGTATCTCCTGGGGCTCACGTCTGAGGTTTGGGCTTCCAGTGGAGTTTCCACCTAGAATGGATGCTAGCCTGCTGTGGGGAATGGACAGATGGGTGGGTGCACCGTCAGAAGGGGAACTAGCTGGAGTCGAGGCAGGTTTGTGGCACCTTCCACACCTCCTGATGGAGATGAGTAAAAGCATAAACGATAGCAGTCTTCCCCACCAGCGCCTTGGGGAGGGGAGTGATTGCATGTCTGTTTTTGGCCAGAGTGCTTGGAGACAGGCAGCCTAGACAGACGAAACCTTTATTATCAAAAGGCAGCACTTGGTAACCCTCCTTCCTCTATGACACCAGCCTCTCTGGTTGTCAGCTCATAAATGTGTCTCCCAGTTACAGAGCACATGACGTAATCCTGTCAGATCTCCTCACTGCCCGTTGGGACAGAGTTGGCAGTTCTAACGGTTATCCCTGTGGAGGGGGGAAGGCTAGGCTTGGGTCTGTCTCAGCTGTGCGAGTGACAAGGCAGCTTCACATCTCTGTGCTTCCTTCTCCTCATGGGCGAAGTCAGGAAAAGTGTCTCTCCTTCCTGTTCCTTCTGAAGGTGCTATGTGTGAAATGTACTTCAGAAGCTCAGATGGAAGGCACTGTGCTGCTTCTGGGATTCTACAGTGCTGGCTCAGAGGGTCTCAGTCCTGTCTGTAAAGAGGAACTGTGAATGCTGAGAATAGCATGGGCTGGGGGAGGGGGGCACGGGGAGGTGGGCACAGTTTCCCTTTCCTACCTGTTTGCCCAAAACTGTTGCCATCCCCCAACTTTCACCCCTAGAAGCAGGAGGGAGAGTGTGAGGATCCAAGCCTAAATTCCTCCTTATTACATTTCAGCCATCGTGGTTATCCCAGGCAACTACAGTCAGCTTCTCTCAACCCAAGGGACTCAATTCCAAAGAGGGAGCAGGGAGAGGTGAGATTCAAAATATTTAAACTTCAAGGGCACAAAGACTTAATGCTGGGTGAAGAGTCTGGGGGCCCCCTGCCGGGCCAGGCATTAACCCTTTAGGTGACACATCTTAGGGAGGTCACTGGGGGATCTCCCGGAGGACGAGCCAGCCTGTTGGGACTACAGGGGAGGTATCCGCAGGTGACGGTAATTTACCAACCAGTGTGGAAACATTTCAGTATTTTATCTTCCATCCATCCTGGTGCATGCTGGATGAATATCAGGTCTAGAAACAAGTCGTATTTTCTCTGAACGGTGGGAAAGATGGCCAAAGTCCAGGGGAGAGATACAGTCCCATGTAATTATCAAATCATGGAATTCCACCTTGAAAGAGTGAAAAATCCAATTAACCCCCTCATCCAGGGTGGGGAGCTGGTTCAATGTGTGGATTCTCATTTCCCCTCCCCTGTGAACCACTCAACCACTCTGGGATGATCGAAGGAGGGACAGACTTTCAAGGGGTGACAGACAATGTCCTTGAGGAAATGGAACTGGAAACCATGAGACCATCAGATGATTTGTAAGAAGGTGCCCCATGCTCATAACGGACAAAAAGAATCCCATGGAGTTTGGTCAAGGGAAGACGTCTCGGGGCTGGAGCTGCCATAGGGGGTTATAGGACATGGGATCTGTCCTGCTGTGCCTGTGTGGGCCACCAAGCCATCTACTGCAGTACCCTGGAAGGTCAGCTCCAGCTAGGGCCTGGATGGAGGCACAGAGCTGAGCCCCCACCTCCCTAACCTGGATTTCTGGCTTCACAGGGCAGCTGCCCGCGACCCCATTAATTTGGATGTTTGGCTCCAGATGTTCAATCCCAAGGACATCAAGTCAGCATTTTTCTCTGAAGACTGTAAAAGAACAGCTGCATCTTCTAGAAGACCATCCAAGTCCATGTCTTGTTAGGATGATTACAGTGTTTTACTTGTAGCATAGTTTCGCTGCTTGGACCCCTTTTTGAGATCCCATTCTCAGTCTCAAACACAGGGGGATGATATTTCAAGACACAGAATGTGAGAGCAGAGTGGGTTTTAGAGATCATGTGATCCAACGCATTCCTCTTAGAGAAGATGACATGGGGTGGGGGGCGGGAGGGAGGCAGGCAGAGAGGGCACTTCTCTGCAGTCATCTGCAGAGGTAATGGGAGAGATGTGACTGGACCTCCTTTTATAAATAATGTGTTTTTAGCCAGGTGCAGTGGCTCATGCTTGTAATCCCAGCACTTTGGGAGTTTGAGGCTGGTGGATCACTTGAGGTCAGGAGTTCGAGACCAGCCTGGCCAGCATGGCGAAACCCCATCTCTACTAAAAATAGAAAAAAATTAGCCAGATGTGGTGGCACGTGCCTGTAGTCCCAGCTACTCATGAGGCTGAGGCAGAAGAATCACTTGAACCCGGGTGGTAGAGTTTGCAGTGAGCCAAGATTGCACCACTGCACTCCAGCCTGGGTGACAGAGTGAGACTCTCTCTCAAAAATAAATAAATAAATAAATAAATAAATAAAGTGTTTTTGTGTTCAAAGCTAAAAAAGAATTGAAAAATACTTGTTTATTTAAAACATTTAGAAATCTATAAGAAATGTAAAAACTGCACCCCCAGAATGCCACCGCCTGCAGCTATCATTAATATTTCCTTTCGATGTTTTATGTTAATCATTTTCCATAGATAAGATTATACTCTATGTCTCATTTTTTCCTGCCTATTCAGTGAACCTTGTAACTCAACTAACTTCCCCACTTTTTGTAAACTCTTCATAAATATAATTTTAAACATCTGCTTAATATTCTATTATGCAAATACATTGTAGTTTACTTACCCACTCTCCTACTGTTTTATATTTAAGTTAGTTCTCATTTTTAAATTATAAATAATGCTGATATGAAAATTATTGTGCATAAAGGTCTTTTTTTTTTTAAATCCCTGTATTTCAGACTATTTCCTTTGGCTAGAGTCCCAGAAGCGGTATTTCTAGGCCAGAGGGTATGAACACATTAAAGATTGGCTATCTGTTACTAAATTGTTTTCCAAAAGTATTGTTCCAATTTATGTTCCCACTAGAAAGCTATGAAATTTTATTAAGTCTTTGCTAATGTGGTAGACATTTCTTGTTTCCGATGTATAAAATCTGTGTGTTCTAAGTTCATGTTCTGTGGCATAGCAGAGATTGTGATATGAATAAACAGTTTCATTTAACATTCTTCACAATTCAACAAAGCCCTGCATCCACCCTGGAAAGCAAAAGAATTGGCCCCATTTAGCCCAACTGACTAGGACAAGCCCCTCAAACTGATGCCCACCCTCCACACCAGGAGAGATGTATTGACGTAGTCCCAGGAATAAAAATAAAACAAAGTAGGTTGGTTTCCAGGGGGCATGCTGGGATGCAGGACCTGAGCAGCCAATTTGTGTGCACATGTGTGTGTGCAAGTGTGTGTGCATGTGTGTATTTGTGTGTTGGTGTATGTGCATGTTTGTGTGCATGTGCATGTGTGCATGCATGTAGGATGCATCTACATCCCTGGAGGAAATCCAGAGTGCCGGATCAATGGACTCAAAAACACACTTCTCACACTAGAAACTTCTCACACTAGAAAATGGGTGCCACACACCTCTCTGTGAAAATCACCAGAGGGCCTCATTTGGCTACTATGATGATCCACATCAGTCCATCTCATCCCTGCTGTTCAGAGGGCCTCCGAGTCCCAGGGGTGGGGTGTCCCAGAAAGGGTTGGGCCATTTCCGCCTTGCTTAAGGAGAAGGCCAGCTGAGATAATGAGCTCCTGCTCATTTTAGGGCAGTCTGTCAGGCAGGACTACCAGAATAAATGAGAGCGTCAATATCTGTCTTTGCAGGTGCATCAGTCAGGGCCATCAGTGTAGCTATTACTAGAATGCCCTTCTATCCCAGACTCCATAAGGCAGATGAGGACTTGGGAGATGAAGGGTTCTTATGAAAGTGGAAATCCCGTTTGGGCTTGTTTTCCTTATCATTAGAAAAGGGGTAAATGAGGCCTAGAAAGTTGAGTTTTCCCCTCAAAATGAACACCTACTCTATTTTGATTCTCTCGGTGCCCACTCAACCTTCTCTGCAAATGCAGAGTTGGGGAAGCACAAGGACATTCGAGATTTGAACTTGGCCCTTCTTACCTTCATTCACAGAGAGGTTGCGTGGCTCCTGGGAGACAGGTCACCCAAATTCTAGCCCTCACTCTTAACAACCTGTGTGGTTCCAGGTGAGTCGTAAATGCCCCTGGGTCATGCTCTTTTAACCTGTGAAACAGAAGGCTGGATGAGGTAAACCCTGGACCTTTTCTTTTCTTTTTTTTTGGTTTTATAAATTTGAGACATGATAAAAATCAGATATGCCTAAGTAAGTGATACTTGGCTAGGAGGGAGCAGATGCTCTGAAGCTAGGAGGCCAAAGGAGAAGCCCTATTCTTTTCATTCATGTGGTCAGGAGGCTCCTGGGTTTCCCATAGCATCCAAAGATGGGAGAGTTAAAGGTGAACAACAGGTGAGTTAGAACGCGCTCTAGTTTACTCAATTCCTAAAAATCTCAGAAGTGAGGAAATAAGCCACAATTGGAGTAGCTGAGTAACTGACTCCAATTTTGAAGAAGTTCTTGAAGTGCGTGAGTGACTTATCTAATGTCAGCTTCATTTATGGGCCACGGAAAAAATACTCAGACCATTGTGTGGCAGGAGGGCATGCTATCCCTTTCAAATGAGCCAACTTCTGTCTGGGCTGAGAATTAGTCATTGGAAGGATGCAGAAATCCTTCTCTGTGAAGAGGTTCATGGATCTGAAAAGTTCTTTTAACCCTGCAGTGTAAGCCTGGAGACACTTGGACTCTGACTTTGTCAGGCAGTCTGTCCCTTTGCAAAATGGGATTTCTGCCTGCACTGAGGCCACATTGAGTCATTGTCACTGCCCTGCTGCTCAAATGGTGCTTTCCAAGCCAGGGGGCCACAAACTCATCGTATGGCTTTAAGTCAATGTAGTGGGCTGTGGCCAACCTTCTTTTAAATGGAATAGAGTAAGAAAGAAAAATATCTGAGTGCATTACAGGTAGCAAGGGGAAGACTTGTTTTCCTGGGTTTCATCCTGGTTTTCAATGTGAGTAAGATTTCCTGGGTAGGCCTCCAGCGAAACAATTTTTAAAACTGCCCTAAAGGATGGGGAACCTGAAGTCTAAGGAATCCAGATGCTCTCTGCACATCCTCACAATGTATGTTTTGTGCCACATGGGTATGTGTAGTGAAAACCAGAAATACCACCTGGCTCTGCAAGTGATGGGCTGTGGGACCTGTGGGGCATCCACTCAGCCCAGCGTCCCTGGCTTTGCAGCCTGGGCTCCAGATTGAGGAGGCCTGCTAAGCCGACACCTCCTCCCCTGGGAGGACCGAGAGCTGTCACCCATCTTTCCAAGGCTGGCAGTAACCAGGACTCTCCATTTCCTGTGGCCCCTGCTCCTCTGACTGTTTTTCTTGAAGACCAGGGAAGTTGAACCAAGGAAGAGTGAGATCAGAGAGAAAAGGGGATGGCTGGCTCAGCATCTCGTGGTGAGTCCAATGTAGCAGGTATGGAATCACAGTTCCTAGGATTTCCTAAGTAAGAGCAGCTGTAGGCACAGCCTAGTCCTGCCTCATCAGTGTACAAGGAACCCAAAACTCGGCATTGCGGTAGCCCATTTCAAACCCAGACTTTTAATCACCAAGGCCCAGGCTCCACTGCCCTGCCTCCCGATTTCAGCCAAGCTGGGAGTACCATGTTTCAGCAAACTGCTTCTGAGAGCTATGGAGTAGAAAACATACATCCCTCAGAAGAGAATGTGTCCAACACACACACACATGCATACATGCACACACACACACACACACATACACACACACACATACCCTCAGCTGCCCTCTCTTATTATTTTGCTGAAACAATGGATCCCCTTGATGTTATTTTAAAGTAGAACGTCAGACTCAGATCCTTCACAACAAGGAGGACCAGCCCTGGGGAAGCCAGTGGGAACACTGGGGTGACAGGAAGGCAGTAGTACCCCACCCTGTGCAGTACTCCCCCTGAAGCTTCGTCTTTCCACCCTCTATACCTTCTGGTCTCCTGGGCCACAGGGATAATAATAGTAGTAGTAGGCATCAGAATAATAATCACAACCTACACCAGCTTGGCACTGTTCTAAGAACTTTACATGAATTATCTCAATCTCTATACCCCTATGAGGTGGCGCTGTTACTATCACCCCCTTTAACAGGGGACAAAACATGGGAAAGTTAAATAACATGATCATATTGCTCATTAGGATGCCAATCAAGCAGTCTTACTTGGGAGTCCATTCTTAATCACTACCCTGTAGTGTGTGGCCTCCATGTCACCTGGTGCACTGCCAGGTCCATGTAACAGGGACACTGTGACACCAGCAAGCCGTGTTGGTTGTGTGGCCATCCTGTTCTGCCACCCAGTGGGAGGCCACCTGCCCACTGCCCCCTGGCTCTGGGCCTGTGAGGGCTGGTTGGTGACAGTGGTGGAGGCTGCGCACCAGCCTTCTCCTCTGCCTCACAAAGGCTAAGGGGGCTGCATATCGTTTTGGTTGTGGTTTGAGTGATGAAGTCACTGGGGGGAGTCCCCCATAGTCTAGGAAAAGGGGTCTTTGGAAAGCTTTCTTGGGACATTTCCTGGAGTTGTGTTGGGCGGGCCCATCAGAGCTGGTGGCATTGTGTGTAGCCTCACATCAGCCTCCTGGAGGGTTAGTAAGGTTCAGCCTTCTCATGGAGCTATTTAGGGTCAAGGCCTCTGGGTTAATTCCTCAATGGGCTCTGACCCATCCTGTGTTATGGAGGTGCTTGGGGACCCGTGGAAACAAAAGAAGTGAAAGAAAGAAAGCCTTGTCTCCTGGCCCACCACAGAGCCCAGGTGAATATCTGCTCCCCAGAACAGCAGGGCCAACTACAGACCCGTTATCCGGCTCTGACCTTCCCTGTTGCACTTCCTGAGTCCCGCCCCTACTGAATGGAGCATGTCTGTTGCAGACTCTCCTGGCTGCCCTGGGGACTGAGAAGGGGTTTACTTGGAAGGAGGACAGGACACCAAAAGTCGGCAAGTGGGTCCAGATGGCCACTTTCTCCCTCCTGATCCCTCAGGTCCTGTCCCCGAAGTAAGCCCCCAAATGCCCTCTTCCCTGCTCTCTGCCTCTTCCCTCCCACCCCACAAAGTGAAGCCACAAACCTGCATTTTGGAGTCCGCAGGCAGATTCCTCTGTCATCACTTCCCATGGGGTGGGAGGAGGTTGGAGAGAGAGAGTGGAGGAAAAGCCAGGCCAGGAAGGGAAAAAAAAGTCCCAATTTAAACCCAGGCCAATTTGGGAATTCAGCTGACACAGCAAGCAAACGCGATCAGTAAGAAGTGAGAGGGAGATGATTTATGTTTTGTGCCTGAGGATCCACGGAAGACTTTCAGGTGTCATCAGGGTTACCCCGTGATCTTTAGCAGCAATTAGGGCCCCCTCCCGTTACCTGCCTGCCTGGTTTTAGGCTCACGCTGCCAGCTCCTCCCCTGAGTAGGGGAAATCTTAAAAGCCTCTCTCCCTTGCCTGACTTCTCTTTTTCAACTTTCACATTTGGATGAAAATGGGACACTGGCATTCTTTAGAGAGAACATGATTGAGTGCTGGCTCCTGAGGGGGCAGTGCATTGCCAGCATCCATGCCCTTCCCTGCTGCTTTTGTGGACCAGGCATAGCAGGCGTCAGGGCCTCTGAGTCTGGGGCCGGGACCTGGGCTCTGTGTAGTGGGAGAGATCATCTTCTCTCATCTTCCTGCTCCAAGCACTGCCTCCTGGGATGTTGGCATGGAAGTGGCTGCCCAGCCTGCCCTCTCTGGCTCTGAACCACACAGAGAGCCAAGGCAATGCAGCTGGCCAAGAAGAGATGCTTGAGGTTAGCTGTGGGGGAAGAGAGATCCAGTTATTACGCATTTGCATGGTGGCGGTGCGTCAGCTGAGTGTTTTGTGTTTTGTTAATGAGCTCTTCAACACTAGCTCTCTGGATTGGGGGTCAATGGGTGGGCGTGCTCAGCACAAGAAATGAAACAACTGGGTCAAGGACACGCAGTTTCTGTCCATGCTGGAGGTGGCGTTCCCAGCCAGACCTGTCTCATGCAAAGTGATGGTGCTGTGGTAATAATGTAGGAGGTGTTTCTCCTGATCCTCGGATGCCTCCTTGTTAAACCTGATTGATCCGATGGACTGAGCGGCTCGGGAGCAGCCTGTCCTTTGCTCTGCATACCCTGTGATGGCAGTGGCCAGTGCTACAAGGTGAGAAAGCAGGCTTTGAGAGGGGAGCTGTGTTTTTGGCAGGGGGTATTTCCTGCAATAAGATGATTAGCCAGCTGCCCCTCCCATAGTGGCAGCCTGCAGCAGCACACTGCCCCTCTCCCCTGTGTGTATGTTGGACTAATTAATAACAGGAAAAGGCAAAGAGATGTTCTCCAAGGCATTTAGAACTTGGACTTGAGTATCTTAAAGCTCTTTCTCCACCTTTACAATGGAGCCCCTGTGCCTCGCTAGGGTGGCTTCCTCATGTTAGGTGAGTGCCCCAAGTTACTTTTTATAGCTTTCTGTCTCCCCGCCTACCGTCAGGGTGTCTGGCACCTGTCACTTCTCACTGTTGTCACTGATCCTGTCTGATGCAGCTCTCCTGCTGCCACTTAATTTGTTCTTTTTAATTTGCTACGGGCTTGGAAACAGATACTCAAGCTTATTAGACTTGTGTATAAAATAAGAATAAAGAGGTGTTGCATGATTACTCTAGGGACCTGCTGAGTCAAGTGCATTCGCTTTGGTATGTAGGCTTGAGATTTCCATTTTACCCTTTCCCGGGTCATTTCTGGTATTTTCTAGCACCTGGCTGGGCTCTCGACTGGGGAATCTAAGGCCAGCTGAAGTGCAGTCAGGCAAAGTGACATGAACCATGACAAGGACTGCTTACTTTTATACCCATCGATACTATATTCTGAAGCCTCTCCAGCCTCCCCCTCTTTTGCTTATCTGAGAGATGCCAAGTGCCTTCTGGGGAATTGGCTTTTTGCTGAAAATTGCTCTTGGCAATTTGCAGGGACTTAGAGCTGGTTCAGGTGTTTGAAAGATCCACTCGTCTAAGCACAGGGATAGAGCCAGTTTATTATGAAAAGTTTTATCCATCTTCACTCCTCAGCTGTCCCCAAGTTCAGTTCTTCCCCTCCTCCCCAGTATGGCCACACAATCTCTGAGCCCTTCTTTATTGGCTTAGAGGGCCCTTTCCCGTCCTCTGAATTCTCCACTTATGCCCCGTCCTGATTAAGTTCCACTTCACCATGAAGTCTTCCCTCATCCTACCGGACTTCCTCTAACCTTATGCGTCTGTTCAGCAGTTCACTGATTTGCTCCACAAGTATTCATGAAGCTTTTGGTACTGTATCACATGCTGATTGTTTCTGGATTTCATGTGTGTGTCTCACCTTCCCAACCTTCATGAGCAAAGGTTCTCAGCCTGGGCTTCACATTAGAACCACCTAGGGAGCTTTTAAAACTCTGATGCTCAGGCTGCAACCTAGTCCCATTAAATCAGACACTGGAAGCGCATTTTTTTAACTTTGCCTTTTGAGATAATCGTGAATTTGCATGCAATTGCAATAAATTGTACAGAGGGGTTCCTGTACCCTTCACTCAGTTCTCCCCTCCACGTGGCATCATTTTGCATAACTATAGTACAATATCACAAATGGAAAATTGACTGGTACAACCCACCAAGCTTATCCATTCAGATTTCACCAGTTTTTTGCATTGGCGAGTGTGTATTTAGTCTTGTGCAATTTTATCACATGTGTAGATATGTGCCAGCCAAAGGTCTCTCCCTTTTTCACAGGCCCTAGAGACCTGATCTGAGATCGTGCATGTCAGGTCGCTGGAGTCCTCTTCTGGCCTGCTTGCACAGATAGCTATTTGCAGGGCTCGGGAATGAAATTGAAAATAGACCAAACAATGTGACAGTTTTCTCCTGCTATTTTTTCTTCCACGAACAGAATGTTCAGCATTATTTTTTTCTCTTTGTGCAATATTGCAAGTGAGAAATAATCTGATTGGAATGCTGGCTTATGCTGTTTATGAGCCTGCAGTCTCCCACAAGCTGTGCGCAGGGAGCTTTCCCGAGGAGGACATCTAGGGACTTGCAAGATGAAAGGTTTGGGGAGTAGCTGTGGCCACACCCAAAACGCTGGTGAGGCTAGGAAGTAAATGCGTGGTATGCATACGGATGGTACCCCTGGAGGCTTCTCTTTCCTGGGAGTGTTCTCATGTGTTTTGCCTGAAAACTATCAAGGAGTGGCCTGGCCCATTCACACAGGGCCTGGGAAAGAAGGGTGAGCGTGTCTGAGGCTGGGGTACATTATGTCACAGATTTTGTCTGCTGAATAGCTGGGAGGAGAGACGAGCACCTTGAACTACCTGCTTGATTTTGTCAAACATATGGAATTTGAGGCCTAAGATGGACTGGCTGTAGAGAACACAAGAGTCTGGGTGACAGGTAGGAGACAGGACAAAAGGATACTCTTCTGCATCCTCCTAGGGACTCCTTCCTAATCTCAACAGAGAGGACAGGAAAATATAATTGTCAGTGTCACATGGGAACTTAGAGAAAGTGGAGTCCTTTACTTCCTGGGAGACCTTAATCTGAGGATGTTAATTCCTTTTTTTAAGAAACACGTATGGATCATTCACTCTGTGCCTGGTATGAAGCTTGGTTCTGGGGCACAAAGGTAACAAATACACAGACAGACTAGGTAGGCATTTGTCTGTTTAGATGTGGATGAATTTTATTTTATTTTTTCTCCGGGGGTAGGAGGTGGACTGGCGTGGGGTAAGGGAGGAAGTTGATTATTTTGATTTATTCCAACTTACAAATGCCCAGAAGATGTAGGTATGGGACCATCTGATCACAAAGGTCACATTCCTCCCCTTTCATGCCCATGAAAGTATTCTAGATCTCGATTGGATTGTTAGTTACACAGGTGAAGGCATTTGTCAAAAACTCATCAAAGTGTGCACTGAAGATCTGCACATTTCATTGCGTGTACATCTTACCTTAAAAAAATCACACTCCAAACAGAAATGGAAAAGAAGCAGTGAAGCCCCAGTTAAGAGCAGTCTACTTTCATCAGGAATAAAACCTGATTTTGAAATTTCATCCTAACAACATTTTCAGATGCCAGAACCCACTACATTGAATATACCTGTGGCCCTGCAGCTCTGCCCTCCAAAGCACAGATGTGTGACCTTCAGCAAACTCACTGTAGCCCTGCCCAGGTGTGCCTGCTTCTGCTTCTGGAACACTCTTCCCAGACTGCACTAGGACCAGTGTGGTCCCGCCTCCCCCATGAAGCCTCTCTTGATTTCTCCAGTCAGCCGAAGTGATCTTTCCTTTTTTTGTTTCACCTGCATTGACTGCCTTAATATAACGTGACTCTTATTATTCAGAGTCTTTCATTCACATTTACTAAATAAGCCAGCACATATAAAGAGCGTGGAACAGTGCTTGGCACAAAATAAATGCTGAAGAAGTGATCATGACTATTTTTGTTGTTGCTATGTTTTATGCTTATGATCAGTCCCTCTAAGGCCTGTGTCTTTGACTGACATACAAGCTGATATGTCTTGCAGGGACTGGGTTGTGTCCCTTTGGTGACCAGTGTGATGCTGAGCCCTTGCGCCCATTTGAATCCATTTGAATCTGCAGAACTGTGTGTAAATACTCCAGGCAAACTTGAAGCCCGTGGGTGTAATAGAGACGTGACTGAGGGAAATTCTAGCAGGGACCTCTGTACTTTAATGCAGCACCAATCAGATGGCATGGGATGGGAGGGGATGCCCAGGATTCTAAAACCCTTATCCAGCCCTGTGGTTGAGAGGCCTTGAGAAAAACCTGGTGCCAGGGCCAGCTGAGGAGTGGAGGTGGCAGCCACAAAGGCCATCTTTGTGGACAGCCTTTAGAATCTCCTGTGGGTGTCCTGAGGTGGGGTAATAAGATGCCACTTGATGACAACAGCCCTCCCTTTCAAAGTGACACTTGGCAAAGGGGCATCATGACAATGACACCTGCTCATCAGCCCTGTCCACCTCGAGCTGGCGAGGGCTGGGCCACTGTGCTCATTAGGTCGGCATCTGTCCCCACCAGCCTGCCGGCAGCTGATGCTCATTAATCCTGGAGCCCTGAGCCTATTGGGCCGAAAGAGGCTGAGCTTTTAGAGCCATTTATGGCAATGGCCTCAGTGAGTGCTGCTAGATTGATTTATAATTGGGCTGAGGGGCCTCCCTGCGTCCCTGGAGCCCAGGCTCTTAAACTGGGCCAGCCCAGGAGGGTGGTTTTGGCTCACTGGCTTCATGAAAAGGAGAAACGCAGAGCTGGGGTTCCCGTCAGACCGGGCATGGACGGCATCTCCACAGAGCTGACTCCCGCACACCCAGGGCCCTCCTGGCTTGGCTGCCTTGGATGTGTGGTTCCTTGTTGCGACACGAATAGAACCTGTGATAGTGAGGACATGGGCTATTCAGGAGAGCGGGACACTCAGCAGGGTCTTCCTGGCAGGCTTTGGGATCAGTCCTCTGAAGTCACAACAGTTTCACAGGAGAATATCAATAATGAAAATGGCAGGTTATATTTATTTTCTGCTTAGCATTGATCCAAAGGTTTCAAATGGATCATCTCATTCCATGAAGCAAGAACTATTATCAGGCGTCTATGGCAGATAAGGAAACTGAGACACCAAGGGTTCCATAACTTGCTCAGGGACACACCATGCTAGAGGCACAGCGTGGCTTTGGACTAGGTGGCTTAGCTTGGGGCTTTGGTGCCTTTGCTTTCTACTGCTCCAGGCATGGGACTTGGCATTCCCAGCCTAAGCAGTGGGTCTGATGGGTTGTCAGAGATCCTGGGAGCCTCCATAGTGAGATGGCAAAGCCTGGGGTGATGGAAGAGAAGGTGACTGGCAGTCAGGAGACTGGAATTCCAATTTCCTTCCGGTTGCTAAGCAGCTGTGTGACTTTAGGTATATCACCTTTCTCCCCTGTGCCCTTCGTCAAATAGGCATACTGTCCTTAGCTATTGCTTTTAAATAAGGATATCAACCTGAAATACATATTAAAACACTGAGAAAATAATTAATAATGATGACCATGATGGCCTTTGGCCCAGTAGGAAGGCCCCCAGCATAGGTCAAGAGCTTGAAGGAGAGCATCATATTTCAGGTGGTAGAGACAGTGGGCATTTGACAGTCTAGGAGCTGCTTCATCCTTTGCCAGAATGAATCCCTGGTTCTCTCTGTTCTTGTCTTTCTGTATCCTGTGGAATTTCCTGGATTTGGGGGAAGCTGATATCTGCTCACCTCTTTGGGTCTTTTCTTTCTCCCAGCATGGGGCTCTCATGAGTGTGTGGTAAATAAAGCACCTAATCCTACCTCATTCCCCCAATTCTTCCTACTACCTGCTCTCCACTTGCCCTTGTGTCTGTTTCTCTCCTTCTGCTGGTTCACTATCATCAAAGACGCATCTCAGTATCCAAACTGTGAACCCAACTGTCTTCATTGCTGCAGGTTTCAGATTAGCTCGAGTGACGGTGGTGCTTTTTACAGCAACAGAAGCTGCTGATGCATAATTCAACAAACAATCCAGAATTGCATCAGAATCCAAATTACTCACATCAGAAGGATCTTGATGTTAAACACTGTCTCTTAAAAACCAACTTCATTCATGCTGGTTCCTGCGCTTTTATCTTCTAGTATTTGTAAAATTTTGGGGAAGGCTGAGATGCGGAGAAGGCTTTTAGCCTAAAATGGATGGCTGGGTATCCCTGCAGAGAATGCGGGTGGTGTGATGTCCCCAGCCCCCATCCCTGTGCCAGCTGTCAGAGTGGCAGGTGTCTGGGTCTGGATCTTGGGGCAGGATTTCCCTAGGCCCCAGGCAGGTGTGGGGCAGGGCCGCCCCTGGAGGCTCTATTTCCCACACCAAGGCAGGGTCTTTCCCTAAAGAAACGAGCATCCTGCTTCACTCTGGAGAGGGTGCACTGCACCGTGGTTAAGAGTGCACAGGCTTTGGGAGAAGCCTCCTGAGGTTCAAAGTCTGGCCCTGCTGGCCAGGCGCGGTGGCTCACACCTGTAATCCCAGCACACTGGGAGACTGAGGCAGGTGGATCACTTGAGGCCAAGAGTTTGAAACCAGCCTCATCTCATGGTGAAGCCCCGTCCTCTACCAAAAATACAAAAAATTAGTCGGCCATGGTTGCACACACCTGTAATCCCAGCTACTCAGGAGGCTGAGGCATGAGAATTGCTTGAACCTGGGAGGCGGAGGTTGTAGCAAACTGAGATTGTGCCACTGCACTCCATACTTGGTGATAGGGGTTGACTGTCTCAAAAACAAACAAAAAAAATAAAAAACCCAAAACCCAAGTCCAGCCCTGCCACTAATCAGTTGTTCGACCTTGGACATGCTACTTAACCTCTCTGTGGCTTAGCTTCCTTATCTATCAAGTGTGGATAAAAATAGTGCTTATCTTACAGTGCTGTTGTGAAAATTAGAGTTAATTTATATGAGTGCTACATATGTGTTGGCTATTCTTCATCTCTTTCCGAAACTTCCATAGATACCTAGGGAACCTGCAGCTCTCCCCATTCCCTTTATGAACTCCCCAATTTTCAAAGCATGGCATACTCTTCAGTATCTGTACTGAGTCTCCAGAGTCCTTTCTGCCCATCCATTGTGGGGATATCCCAGGGGGCTGGCTGAAGGCTTTCTCTTGATGTGATCACTTTGACCACAGCTCCTCATCTCTAGGGTACATTTGCCTTACCCCTACTTTTGTTCAGCTGTGTGTCCCAGGAAGTCCCCAGGCAACATCACTGTCTATCTCCAGTGAGGCTTAAAGGACCAGAAATTTATATCTCACCAAACTATGGCAGCTCTTGGGATACCAGTTGCCCATATTTTGTGAGAAAACAAAATACCCCCAAACAGTGAAAGCTTTCTGTGTCTTGAACATGTGTACAGGCATAGGTATAATGGGAGAAACTCTAATTTGGAATCAGGCTGCTAACTGGCTTCATCATTTGTTTCCCGGCCATGGGGATCCTGGTCATTCCTTCTAGAGCAAGTGGTCATGGATTGCACTTGCATCTGGACTTCTTGCTTTTTCTGGGCGGCAAAGAAAATCAAGTAATACTCTCCCCTCTCTCCAAGAGGCTAATTGAGGCTCCCAGCTTCCAGGCTGTTTGCCTATCAGAGGCTGCCTGCATGGGTGCCAGGGTTTAACTGGCTGCTGCTTCCCCCTGGTTCTGCCCAGCAGCATGTCAGGGGCCACATGGCCAGACATGAGATGCACAGGTGGGACGCACGTGCCAGCCTGCCTGCAATACTTCAAATAGGACTTTGTGCCCCCACTCAGTGCTGCATCATCAAATTTATCTGGCCGACACCCTCTCTCAGCAGGACTCTCTCTGGGGTCCCTCCCAAGGTTTCCATTGATTTCTTCCTCTCACAGGGCCTCAGACTCTAAAGAAAGTGCTTATTCATCTTGTCCCCACTCCTCATCTTCCTTTCTGCCTGAATGGTCACCAGCCAGCCCCTTGTCCTCAGCCATGCCAACTAGCCCCCATAAAACCCATGGTCCTGTCATCCTGCAACAGCCTCAAACCAGTGATTTCTAGGAGCCTGGAGGGCAGGCTGTGACTTCCACTCCAGTCCAGACCTACACCTGAATGCCTAATTGAGTGTTTCCCCCATTATTTCCAGGTGTGAAAAGTGGGTTATTTGGCCAATGGCTCCCCTAGCTGTTTATCAGCAGCTGTGGTGGCTACCCATTTGCTGTAAGGCTGCAGAGAGATGCAGCTTCACTTTCGCTGGAGTGTGCAGCCACACCTGCCCCGGAAAGGCAGGACTACATCTGCATGTGATGAGGCCCAGGATCCCTGAAGGCTGAGAATCCCCAGGGCTGGTCCCACGGCTCACCTGACTGGTGGATCAGAGCCACAGATGGCCTCAGAGAATTCTGGCGAAGCAGAGAGATTTTTTTAGTGCGGGAGGAAGGGCAGGAGCTCAGAGCAGGACTGCACATGCAGTGGGTGGACCAGCAGCTTCCTCATGACTAGAATCCCAGGGCAAGGACAGTGGGAAAAAGTGGGGAAAGGTTCTTCATAGATTCTCATGATTTCTTCCTGGGTCATTCATGGCCCTGGCCTCACATTAACTCAGTTTTAATTGCATGTTGCGTGCGATGTGACTTCTAAAAGATGGCTAATCTTAGCCCAGAGAGGTGAAGGAATTTACCCAACATCACACAGTAGGTTAACAACAGAGCAGAAGTGAAAACCCAGTTTTCCTTTCTTTTAAAGCAGTATTTGCACTTCTGACAGCTAGAATCACAGACTCAGACAACAGGGACACCTAGGGTCAGAGAGGTGAAGTGACTTGCCCAAAGTCATATAGCCTATTTGTGGCAGAGCTGGGACTAGAACCCAGGTTCCTAACTCTTAATCTAGTGTTTGTTTCACTTCTCACTCCTGATCACATTCTCTGGTCCCTTCACCTGCTCCCCTCATTAGCTAGGGAGGAGGGACCCTCCTAGGGACTGGCATCTGCTGGTGCCATCTGCACCAAATCGGCTTGGGTGTCTCGAGGGGGTAGGACAGAGGCAGCTCTACTGGCTGGGCCCCGCTTCAGAGGAAACTCGGCTCCATCCCGGCCCAGGGGCTGTATGCAAGAGCAAGCTTTGCATGAGCACAAACTGTTCCCTTCCCCCTCTCCCATGTATCCTGGGTCTTGGCCAGGGCTTGGAGAAAAAAAGAAATCTGGATGGCTGCTAGCCAGGCAAACTCCCAGGCTGTCAGAGGATTGGGGAAGGTCAGGCAGAGATGCCAGTTAATACGAAAAAAAAAAAAAAAAAGAGGGTGGGGTGCAAATTAGTGGTCTGTGTCTCAATACCACTGTGCCTGGAATCTCTAATAAGTCTTGTCGTAAGTTGGCAGAAAAGCCTGGATTGTTACACAGCCCCGCTTCTGAGTCAAGCCTGGGCTCTGCTGCCATGGTCTGAAGATGGCTTAGTGTCCTGGTGCCGCCCCGCTCTGCTAGTTTCATCCAGGCTGAACTTCAAGCCTCTAAATGTCCAGTTTCTCTCTTACATGGAATCAGGGGCCTCTTCTGTGGATTCCCACCATCCTCTCCACTTCCCTTGCCATGTCTACTTACTCTTTTGTCTCTCCTCCTAGCCTAGGAGTTTCTAGAGAGCCGGGACTATGTCTTGCTGCACTCTGCATTCTCAGTGCTTAGCACAGTGTTGTGTAGTGTCATGCTTACTAAATATTTCTCAGATGAATGAATGAATGAATGTTTAGCTAACAAAAGTAGGACTTGAGTGATGAGCTTGTTGGGAGGAAGGGTGCTCCCATGATAATCAGCCATGCCCAAATCCAGGTTCATATGTGGGGCTGTTTGCTCTTGACTCCTTAGTTTGACACCCAGGTTAAAGCCAATACAGCCTCTCTGGATCATGGGTTCTTGAGGGTACCATGATCAAGGTACCCATTCACTGCCTTAGGTGCTGGGCTGATAATCAGATGAGAGACACAGTCTGGCAGGGGAGTGGGATTTATCACCCTCTGTAGGAGCCTAGAATGGGGAGTGGGAGAGTCTTCTTGGGTGGGTGGGGCTGGGGTCAGTGGTGGTGGTGGTGGGGGGGGGTGTTGGGGGTCAATGTTGCTGATAGAGAAGGTAAGCATGAGCTAGGCCTTGGAGGATAAGTGAACATTTCCAGCGAAAAGGATGAGGAACAGCATGAGAAAATTCGGAGGAGGAAACTGACAATTGGTATAATAAAACTGTAATAGTTTTATTTGGCTGGGGCATGGGGTAGGGTGGGATGGGGTAAGGCGTGGCTGCAGAGGAAGCTGTGAAGCGCCTTCGTGCCAACCGGAGGAGGTCCTCTGCTGCAGGGCCTGGGTGCTCAGATGGACACAGGGAGGCGGCATCTCCTAGGGCTCCTGGGTTTTGTGAATGATCACGCCTGTTTTGTCTCCTGGCCAGCCTGGGGCTCAGCAGGACTCCAGTGTCTGTGTCTACTCCCTGGTTTGAGATGCCTGGACCTGCACAATGACCAGGATGGCTGTGGCTCACAGGATTGCTGTAGCCTCCAACAGCGGCCCATCCTCCCCAGGACAACCTAGGCGAGGCTGAAGCCTGGCTGTTGCCACAGTAACTGTGAAACAGGGCATACAGCAATGCGCGATGCTCAGCTCTGCGCCACACCTCACTGTAGAAGAGCACTGAGGCCAGACAGTGACTGCCAGAGCCTCTGGGGCACTCGGCTACCTGCCTGGAGCATCACCTGCCAGGGGTGAGCCTCCTGCCAGCTTGGAGTATCATGACTGTGAACCCAGGAGACCTGGGAAACTCAGGGAGTGGCAGCCCTGGAAAGATTGTGAGGACAGATTGGGAGAAACAGTGTCCGCACTTTTCAGAGAGTGAGTCTGAAAGACAGGCTGGGGCCTCCTGATAGCAGGTGCACATTTACAGACTACAAGAAGGTTAGTTAGCTTTGTTCCCTCCATGATGCCCTTCCATTCCTTCATTTCTTCATATATACTCTTGTTAATGTAATAAATATTTATCGAGGGCCCATCATGCCCTTGGCACATAGATGCTGCCCTCCAGGAACTTATGTTCTAGTAGGACAGAAATATCAATGAGTAATTCCCATGCACACCAATGTGTGCTTCTTCCAGGAATCTTTTCTTTTTTTTTTTTGAGACCAAGTTTCACTCTTGTTGCCCAGGCTGGAGTGCAATGGTGTGATCTCAGCTCACTGCAACCTCTGCCTCCCAGGGTCGAGTGATTCTCCTGCCTCAGCCTCCCAAGTAGCTTGCATTACAGGTACCTGCCACCGTGCCTGGCTAATGCTTCATATTTTTAGTAGAGATGGGGTTTCACCATGTTGGCCAGGCTGGTCTTAAACTCCTGACCTCAGGTGATCCACCTGCCTCAGCCTCCCAAAGTGCTGGGATTACAAGCGTGAGCCACCGGGCCCAGCCATTCCAGGAATCTTTTATTCATGCTCCAGAGCCTTGTGCCCTCCAAAGATTGTGGAGTCTGCCTCGGTGGCCTCCCTGGCCTCTGACTACTGGATGAACAGGACAGTGAGGACCCCGGCAGGAGACTGGTGGGATGGAAAGGATAGAGGTTGGAGATTAATTCACACTGGTTCCCCACTTTTAGCACTGCCCCCCTAACCCACTGTCCACCCCTGCTGGGTAGCCTGGGGTTGGCTGCATCCTTTACCTAAGATCACTTCTCAAAGTCATCTGCCCTACACGATTCTCCTTTCAGCTTCCAATAAACATCCCCATTCTTTGCTCCCTCAGGCTAAAGGGTTGTAAGGGTGCTTTACTTTGGCTAGCCCCAGGATCCTGCACTATCCCTTGAGGTTGCCCATTAGTTCACATGGGTGAACCAGAGAAGTAATTAGAACATATCAGCACAAGCTGTCCCCAGTAACAGAAGACAAATGCAAGGAGTTTCTACTTCTTCTTCAACATGCTTTGCCAGTCACTATGGGGGAGATCGAGTAAGGGAAGGGAAGTGGATTCCCCTAGCCCCAGTTCTCCTGCCCTGAGACTGATGCTGGGCATTGCATTTCCCATGTCACCTACCTGATGCCACCTTGCAGCATGGCCACACACACTCATGCACACACGTGCACATACCTGCTCCTGCCAGCTGCTGGTACCCTTCCGTCCTCCTGGCTGGGCACAGACTCTCCTTTCCACTAATGCTAACTGGCATTGAGGGGAAGCAGAAACTAGATTCCATCATCCCTTTGCTTTACTCGAAAGGGATGGGGCAAAAGGGAAACTCCCTAAGACTGTGATGCTGTGGTATGGGGAGAAGTAACTAGAGTTTGCCCTCTGCGTTCCTTCCCATCCACTGCCTTCTCTGCTTACCGGCTTTTGAGTCACCAGCAAAGAATTTACTGTCTTATTACAGACATCATTTTTCAACATTAGAAGCACAAAAGGAGAACAGAAAGGCCTTAGCCCAGCTCATGCCCAACCAATGTGAGGAAGTACAAGCTCCTTGGGACTTTCAAGGAGTGCAAGTGCCTGCTGAAAGGCAGGGTGGGGCTGGGTGTGTCTCAGGAAACAAGAAGGAGAGTGGTTGGTGGGCAGAAGGGGGCTGGGACTCATGGGGCAGAGAAGAAGCGGGGGCCATGATGTGGCACATCCTGGGGCTTGCTTTGCCAGACAGAGAAGTTAATGATGGCTGTGTTTTCAGTGGGGGCCTTTTCTTTTTTATTGTTATTATTTTTTATTTTTTATACTTTAAGTTCTGGGGTATATATGCAGAACGTGCAGGTTTGTTACATAGGTATACATGTGCCATGGTGGTTTGCTGCACTCATCAACCGGTCATCTACATTAGGTTTTCCCCTAACGCTATCCCTTCCCTAGCCCCCGACCCCCCGACAGGCCCCAGTGTGTGATGTTACCCTCCCTGTGTCCATGTGTTCTCATTGTTCAACTCCCACTTAGGAGTGAGAACGTGCAGTGTTTGGTTTTCTGTTCCTGTGTTAGTTTGCTGAGAATGATGGTTTCCAGCATCATCCATGTCCCTGCAATGGATAGGAACTCATCCTTTTTTATGGCTGCATAGTATTCCATGGTATGTATGGGCCACATTTTCTTTGTCCAGTCTATCATTGATGGGCATTTGGGTTAGTTCCAAGTCTTTGCTATTGTGGACAGTGCCACAGTAAACATACATATGCATGTGTCTTTATAGTAGAATTATTTATAATACTTTGGGTATATACCCAGTGATGGGATTGCTGGGTCAAATGGTATTTCTAGTTCTAGAACCTTGAGGAATCTCCACACTGTCTTTCACAATGGTTGAACTAATTTACACTCCCACCAACAGTGTAAAAGCATTCCTATTTCTCCACATCCTCTCTGGCATCTGTTGTGTCCTGACTTTTTAATTATCACCAATCTAACTGGTGTGAGATGGTATCTTACTGCCCAAAGTAAGTTATAGATTTAATGCTATCCTGATCAGGCTGCCATTGACTTTCTTCACAGAATTGGAAAAAAAACTACTTCAAATTTCTTATGGAATCAAAAAAGAGCCCACATAGCCAAGACAATCCTAAGCAGAAAGAACAAAGCTGGAGGCATCACACTACCTGACTTCAAACTATACTACAAGGCTATAGTAACAAAAACAGCATCGTACCAGTACCAAAACAGATATCTAGACCAATGGAACAGAACAGAAGCCTCAGAAACAATTCCACACATCTACAACCATCTGATCTTTGACAAACCTGACAAAAACAAGCAATAGGGAAAGGATTCCCCATTTAATAAATGGTGTTGGGAAAACTGGCTAGCCATATGCAGAAAGCTGAAACTAGATCCCTTCCTTACACCTTATACAAAAATTAACTCAAGATGGATTCAAGACTTAAATGTAAGACCTAAAACCATGAAAACCCTAGAAGAAAACCTAGGCAATACCATTCAGGACATTGGCATGGGCAAAGACTTCATGACTAAAACACCAAAAGCAATGGCAACAAAAGCCAAAATAGACAACAAATAGGATCTGATTAAACCAAAGAGCTTCTGCACAGCAAAGGAAACTATCATCAGAGTGAACAGGAACCTACAGAATGGGAGAAAATATTTGCAATCTATCCATCTGACAAAGGGCTAGTATCCAGAATCTACAAGAACTTACACAGATTTACAAGAAAAAAAACAACCCAATCAAAAAGTGGGCAAAGGATATGAACAGATACTTCTCAAAAGAAAACATTTATGCATCCAACAAACATATGAAAAAAAGCTCATCATCACTGGTCATCAGTGGGGCCCTTTTCTTTTGAGAATGTTGTCTCTTCCAGCCAGAGCTGTGTGAAGGACACGCCTCTGCTCTGAGCTGCCAGTCATGGCTTGTGGGATTCAGGCTCCTCTCATGTTATGGGACTTGCCAGAAAGAAGCCCTGCTTTGAGGAATAGAATAATGAAGGCTAATGCTTCCTAGAATCTTGTAGAATTGGAAGGGAGGGCTGGCATGAGCCCCAGGCTTGAGCTCATCCCACCCTGAATTCTACAACCCAAAGGTTGAGACAGTTTCTGTCTTATCCACCCTTGAAGCCAATGTAGTCCCAACTTAAGGCCCCAAAGCCTCTTAGGACCCCTGGGAGAAGTAATTGGGTGAAACTCTTCATACGTACTTATCCTTCAAAGAGTTTAACAGCTGGAACCCCTTAGTTGGATTGCTAAAAATACATGGTCAGGACACAGAAAAGACATTAATAAGGAGACCTTTTTTTTTCTGAACCAAAATTGTTAGTTAGGGTAGACTATTACAATACAATAATAAGTACAAAATTATCATCGTGGTGGAATATCTGGTGACTGGGACTAATATGAATGATTGACTTACAAATCATGCATTTTCTTGTTACTCTCAGGCAGGGACACAATGTGGCTGGGTGACTTTGGGCAAGATACTTAACATTGGGGGTCCTCAGTTTCCAGGGTCTCCCCAGCTCTGTGTTTTAGTGATTTGGGGCAGAAGGGGAGAGAACTCCTATGGAAGTCGGATCGAAGTGACAGTCACAGTGCAGGTGAGACAGGAATAGGGAGGACAGGTGTATGGGAGTGCTCCGAAAAGGGAACCAGGGATTGGCTGTACCCCACCTGCACCCTGAGATAGAAGTCTCTTATGAATCTGTACATATTCCTTGTGATTTCCTTTCAGCTGGACTGAGGGGGCTGTGACTACTCTCCTCACTTGTGTGCAGGTTGAATGTTTTAATTAAGATCTGGGCTGCTGGTCGGTGGGAATTGATTGAAGCTGGCCTGCAGTCCCAGACAGAAGCAGAGACATGCCGCGGGAGGGAGGTGCAGAAAGAGACCCCGGGGAGCTTCCAGCCTCTCTGGCTCTATGCTGGAGACAGAGCAGGGTTCAGAGAGCCCTTAATGGCCAAGCAGATTAGGAACATGGTTCCGGCTGAGGGCATAGAGACCTGGTGAATGATAATCAAACTTGCAGCCAGTCAACCAGCTAAGTAGACAAGATCTAAATAAACATCCTGCTGTCTCTGCGTGGGCCGCCCACAATCTCCATTACAGAATCAAGTTGTCTCCTCCAGCACCCTGACCTTGGGCTCTCTGCTTCATCCTGGTGCAATGCCCATTTCCCAATACTGGATTCATAAATGTCTCTCACCCTTTGTGCTCACTCTCCTGGGCTTCCTTTGGATCTGGCAAGTGAGTGCCGTAATTCTCTGGTGGCTTCTGAACCATAGAGTTACCTGGCGACAGATGGGCTATTCAGTTTTCTCAGCTTTTCTTCTTCATTCTTGCCAGTTACTCAACTCCCATAAAACATTTCAGCCTGCAGACCCTGCCAATTTTTACATCCCCCTCTGCTCTCCAACTTAGTTAAGGCACTTCAACGTTGAGTATCTCCTTTACTCAAAGACATCGTGAAGGTTGAGTGGAAAGAAAACATTTATAATCTATTAGCTCAGAAGCCTGGTCTATTCTAGCACATCTCAAACTTTCACATGCATACAAATTGCCTGGGAATTTTATGCAAAGGCAGATTCTTATTCAATAGGTGTGAGGTGGAGCCTGAGATTCTGCATTTCTTGCAAGTTCACAGGTAATGATGATGATCTTGGTCCTTGAACCACACATTGAGTGGCAAGGATCTAGACCAGCGCAATTCAGCATATACTCTGTGAACGAGTTGTTAGTGGCCTGTGCTGAGATAGGTACAGACATTGAGAGTGAGCATTTAGAAATGTATACAGCAACTTGATATTGATGCAACATCCCAGCACATACTCAATGCATTTGTATTTTGCAGCTTCAAGTTTCACTCTTCTAGTAATTTGTTCTTCTAGTATTTGACAAAAGTATCCATCTACAGTAGATGGGAAATTTTACAGAATGGCCCTTCAAAACAATTTGAGAAGCTCTGGCCTATAAGACATGTGATGTGCTTTGCAGTCCCCAAGATTTTCTGATGCTCTGCAGCTTGTGCACAAAAGTGTCCCGTCTTTGGGGACAACCCTGGGGAACATGATCCCTGCTGAGGCTCTCGAGCCAGGTCCCTGGAATATCCTCATCCCACCTGTTTTCCGAGCTCAATGTTTTCTTTCCACGGCAGAATGCTGGGTATTTCAGACGACGGTTTAACGTACCGGGGGTATGCCAGGAAAGGCTGACTAACGAGAGAGGCAGCCAGAGAGCCTCTGAGCATGTGGCCCCAGAGGTGTCCACCCCAAGCCTGGGCAGCCTGTTCCCTTCCCCACTAAGCATGATTTTACTCGAATGTAGTACCACCTGCCCCACTTCTGAGAAAGAAAAAGCTAGGCTGCAAAACAAGCCAGTGAGAAGGCTTCCTGCCTTGCATGCCCACAGGGGAGGGCTGGGTGTTAATGAACCCAAGTGCAGTCATAACAGGAATGAGACCAGCTGGAGCCCGCCCGTGTTTGACCAGCGGTCATTTGGCAGGATCCAGACTGCTGGGGGAGTGGTCAGAGATGCAAACACAGCCCGGTGTTCTCCCTGCAGAGGCTGTCTTTGTTGTTCTTGGACCACTGTGGGCCAGGACTGGTGGGGATGACTCTGGGGACACAGGGCTGGCAGGATTCCTTTCAAACTCATTCTTTTTCTTCCATTTCCCACCTCTGGTGCTTGTTTCAATGCTGGGCAGCTCACGGGGCCCCTCTATCAATGGACTGATTGGTTTTATATTCCCCCCTTCTGAGCTGGAGGTAATCCCTCAAAGATCGCTGCTCTATGGAACATCATGCCATCTTTACTAAATGCTAATTAAGTTTAAAAATCACAGAGAAAAGGGGCTGATATTGAATAACCATGTGTTGAATGATCTTCTTACATCCTTCGGAAATTAGCCACTTCAGCGTTCAAAAACGATGTGATTCCAGCTAGGTTCAGATTTAATTGAGTGGATAGATTTTGATTTGTGCTTATGATTTATTGAATGACCCTAAGCTGCTTTATCTTTTAATTTGTGCAAATTATTAGTGAGGGGCAAGGTTGGCCACAGGAGGACTTGTCACTGAGAATGTGTGTGTGTGTGTGCATCCATGTGTGCATGCGCACGCGTGTGTGTGCGCGCATGCACTTGCATGCTCACCTTTGGATAAAAAGTGATACTTGGTAAGATGGGGCTTTGAGGTTGTTCTTTCAGGGACATAGGTGAGGCATCCTGTCCTGATCATTCCCCTTGCTGTCTAAGACACGTGCCATCATACAGCTTGCTGAGTCAGGTGCCTGGGGCCGGGTGTAACATCCGTGGCCAGGGAACAAAAGTAAAGTTGTTTGGTTGACCCAGGATTTGGACTTCAACTGTGGCCTTGTTAGTTCTGCTCCATAGATATTGAGGCTCTTAATACATTTTGTAATACATATTTACTGTATTTCAGAACTGTAATACATATTTACTGTAAACAGAAAGGAGGAGGGGAATAAGGAGGCTTATGGGCATATCTTGTGCACCATGGTCTAAGTCTGCTAAGGTTTCATCTTTTCCAGATGCCTGGTACCAGCCTCTGCCCTACCCTTGAGCTACAGACGGGACCCCGATCCCACAGAGCAACAGTGACTCTGGAACTCCTGTTCTCCAGCTGTTCATCAAACTGAGAAAAACTTCAGAGCTGTGTAGGCTTATTTAGTGTGTTGTCAGCCTTGGATATTGGAAAATGGAAACAGATGAGACACATCTACCTCCCTGTGACCCCAGCCATACATCATAGCTCATGTCCTGCCACCCCAAGTCCTTAGGGAAAAAAGACTTTGGAGAATGTGTCTCTGCTTAGCTTGGCTAGGTAGTTGGTCTCTTTTCTCTGCCCCAAGCGTCCCATGGGTAATTTTGGACAATGGAGTGTAGGCATGTTTGACTCTTGTGGTGTTATCACTTGTATATGTCAGTGAAACTAACTGATTCTCCCATCGGAATATAGTTATCTCTTGGGCCTGATATATGGTAGGATAACCTTATGCTCATCTGTCCACTTCTGCAGCCAAGTCGCCTGGCCAGTGTGTGTGTGTGTGTGTGTGTGTGTGTGTGTGTGTGTGTGTGTGTATGCTTATCTGTGTTTAAAGGTGTGTGTGCATACACAGGGCAGAGAGGATGGAGCCCACCGTACTGCAGCATCATGTAATTAACTCAGTGCTCAGAACCATCCCAGCCTCTGCGGGAAAGAGAAAAGGAAGCCAACAGTGCCTGATGAGCTGATCATATGTGCAAAAGCTCTGTTGGCATCTGGTCCAGGAGAGCACCCAAAAAAAGTTAATTGGTGTTGTCCAGTCTCCTTTCCTTAAGACTATGGTTACAACAAAGCGTGAGCAGTGTCTCCTGCATGGCCACTATCCAGCACAATTCCATAATTCCCCCATAGAGCCGGTGGGGAGGAGGAGGTGAGTGGCGAAGGAAGTGGAAACACTTGGTGTCATGTGCTCCTATCATTTCTACTAGCTTACTGGGAAATAAAGTGTAGTCAAGAGTGTATGAAGGCAAGATGTAAAATTAGCGACTGGTGCTAATCTGGTTACTTGAAAACAAGTGAAAGTGCTGTAGATTTGTTCTGTTGCTAAGAACCACCACACTAAACCTCGTATAGTTCCTGGAGGATACACAACAGTGTAATTCTCTTTAGGGTGTGCCACAGGTTCCTGGCCTGTGGGAGGGAATGAATCAGGAGGGCTCTTGAGAACCTTCATCTGTGTGCTTGCACTGAAAGTGAGTCCCAAAGCTGGAGATTTAGTGAGAGCAGGCAACCCCTCTGTGTCTCACTGTCCATATTCTGGAGGCAGAGGTTTGTAACAGGCCATGTGCACCTGCATAGGGATGGGTAAAGCAAGGACTTTGAAAGAGTTGAAAAGCATTATAAACAGTTGTTCAGAAATACGTCCCAGGAGTTCCATGTGAAACTGGCTCTGTGTGCATTGAAGCATGGCTGTTGGGAATTCTAACTGGTCCAACACTCCTGCAAAACAATGTGTAAATATTTAGGAAGAAACTTGAAAATAGTCAAATCCTTTGAACTGGTGACAATTTTTTAAAGAATCAATTCTAATTTGTTTCAAGGGTAATAATCACCAAGATACACATTTCAGCATTTATTTAGTCTATCAAAAATTGGAATTGATATATACACTCATTTATAGGAGAATGGTTAGGTAGATTTGGTATATTTATGTAGTCATTGAAAACTTAGTTTATAAAGGCCAATCTTGTAACTGATTCTTGTGTGATAACATTCAGTGAAAAAGCATGAGACAATTAGAAAGCATGATACAATGAATAAAATAAAAACTGGAAAGAGAACCATCAAAATGCTAACAGTAGTTGTGCTTGGAAAATGGGATGAGGTGTGGTTTATTTATTGTTTTCTATTTATTTACATTTTTTCTTAATTTTCTTTAATGAGCATTTATTACTTTTACTTTGGAAAAAATAAATTTTGAAAAATAGAATCCCAGGGAATGCTTTAGGTAGCATTTAAGTCTGAGGGTGAAGATGCTTTGAAATATCCATGTCCAATCCTGGTGTGTGCAGCCAGCCAGCTAATTAACTCAGCAGTGAGGGGGTCTTTTCTCGAGGGGGTCTTTTTTCAAGTGGGCTGTATGGTTTGCTTGGTGGCTTGGCCATCTCACAACACATGCCATGAGTGGGCTTCAGAGAGAGGGAGCATGGATGGAGGGATCAATATGAGCCTTTCCCCACTGCTGGGATAAACCTGACTGCCAACAGGAATGTATTAAGGGTTTCCTACAAAGGATGCACCCTGCTTTGAACTAAAGATGATACAGAAGAAGTACAAAGGAAAATCGTTGCCCATAAGAACTTGTATTCCTATATAAGGATAAGACACTAAGACATAGACACGCAAAAAAGTTCATGAACATAATATATAACTACATTTGTGTATGCATATACTTGTGTGTGTTTATATATGTATATATAAATATACACATGCACACCCACACATATATATGCACTCACATACACATACTGCAAATACTCTCTCAAATATATTGGTAGCTCAGACAATATATAATTGTGCAATGCAAAATAAGCACTTGTTATACTGTGTTAGTAGCATTGTCTTTGAATACAAAGGGCAGCGTATCATTGCTGATCATTTTGATAGCGATAACAATTATTGCAGACCATGCCAGTGCCAGTACTCTCTGTTATTAACGAGCTGATGATGTAGCAGCCATTTGCAAAATACTACACATGACAATTTAAAAATCTTGATCCTTTCACTAAAATTGACTGTGCATGCTTAGGGTGAAAGGCTGGTGGAGGTTTGAGGTCCCTGCCACGGGGACCTCATATTTGGATCTCACTTGAATCCCTCCGGGCGAGCTTGAACAGCCATCCTCATTTTACCATGGCAGAAACTGAGACTTCAGTAGGCTGCATGACAGCCTGAAGGCAGCAGCAGCAGGGGCTGTGATTTTTGTGTCTACACTGCACCCCTCAGCTGGTCAAATATTATCCAAGCAGGCAAGGCAAACAACCATGAAGGGCTCATGCTGGAGCCTGGAATGCGTCTTTCTGACTCCTGCAATTGGCTGTGCTCTTAACCCTCTTCCTGCTTCCTCTTCTCTGGGCTTCAGGGAAAGAAGGAGACCTCCTCAGCCTGTGTGCTTTGTCCAAGAGGACAAATGCAGGTGACCTATTAGAAAGCACATCTAGTGGTCTACCCTATACTCAGCCCAGAAAAGTCCCCAGCTTTCTTTTCTCCCCTCTCCCTTGTATTTTATCATGCCCTGTGGCTTTTTCTGTGTTTTCCCCCCTCCTCTCTCTCAAAGCAAGCAAACAGGAGTGTGAATAATTGATTGAGAGAAACTGGAATGACTAACAGTTCTGGTGGGAATCGTCTCTCACATCAGGAAGCCTGCGGGGGTGCACAGATGACGACCAGACGCCTCTGGCTCCTGCCCTGGAGGGATTGTGGGCTGCAGGGGATGCCCACCAAGCCCTGTGGCACCTGGCTTTGTCTGGACCCTGCTCGGGGCTCCTGGCGCTCTCCATTAAAGCCTCAGCCCTGGGCAAAGGCTGCAGAATCTTGGAAAATCCTCTTTTCCAATCTGATTTGAATCACACCTGATATTCACTCCGCATTCATCCCAAATGTGTGAGTGTATGTGAAGTAGAACACGGGCTAGGGGTGTAAATTCTTTGCCTTATTAATATCCATGCCAGATGTTTCCAGACTGTGTTCCTTGCAACTGGAATGTCACTTGAAATTTAAATAGATGTTTTTAAATAAAAGATTATCTGGTCAAATTTAAGAAATACTACATAGCCTCCTCTTAGAGATGCACTACACACTTAAGTATATTAAAATACCTGAGAAGTCTAGCAGATTCTTCAGTTGCATTTGTTTTCTTCAAACTTATTTGGCCATTTGACATTTTGAATCACTTCTTTTTTATCTTATATCTTGTAGGACACTGTCTCAAGTGTACAATTTAGGAAAATATTGTTCTATGCACCTCTGCTCCCTACCTCATATCTAGAAGGGACAAGATCAGATTGCAGATGTGAGTTTGAGTCCTGTCTCTGCCTCACGCCAGCTGTGAGACCTTGCAGGAATCTCTGAGCCTCAGTTTCCCCATCTATAACAAGGATACAACCAAACCAACCAGTCCTCAATTTGCAAGTGCTACCTGTTGCCAGTAACAGTGCCCAGCAGAGTGCTTGGAATCCTGGAGATACTCCATAATCTTGTATTGAAACTGATTATAGTCCATGGTAGATAAAATTACCTTGTAGCTAAGCAGAACAGATTCAGATCCGTTTCAGAAACGTGAGTCTCTAGCTCAGGAGATTTCCACAACTGTCCTTAGTAACCTGATCTTATTCTCATGTTTAACCTTGGCAGTGGGAAGTTCTTCCTGGTATCCTGCCTAATTTACTGGAGTTGGCATTAATGCCATTTCCCCCTAAGGCGTGGCTCTTGGACCAGTATCACCTGAGAATTTGATAGACATAGACCCAGAGTTACTGAGGCAGGTGCTCTGTTTTGGGGACCAGCAATCGGTGCTTTAGCAAGTTCTTTGGGTGATAGGGTTTGGAAACTACTGCTCTAAAGCATCATCTGTTTTGACTTTGCCATGCACAATCTGAACTCACTCCCGTGAGGCCCTGCTCCTGATACTTTAAATCGTCCTGTCTCTTTTTCTGCCTCTCTGTGGAGGACTGCTGTCTGTTTTCTGGGTTCCTGGAATGTTGGCAAGTTTCTTTAAATCAGGATCATGAAATTCTTTGAGAATGGCAATCATCCATACTTTAGGAACACACCAGGAGATGAAGGGCCACATTATATTATCTTCTCCCTCGGTGCCTTGGTCCTTCTGTCTGGGCGGGTTCTCTGATTCCATCCATCTGCTTCCACAGCCATGTCAGGGACCAGGCAGGGTGAGCCAAGAGGGCCACAGTATTGCAGTGGAGGAAAAACAGTCTCCCTGGGGGAGAAGTGTTGGGTAAATATGCCTCCTTGTTATCACCACCAGGGCCTGGTGCTGCCCTTTGCACACGATCACAATGCTGCAAATTCCACAGGCTGCTCTCTACAGGGAGTTGAGCAATGGATAACAACTGTTGGGAGGGTTAGTTCTTTGGTATTTTGATTCATTAAAAAAGTTATCTGTAGTTCCCGGAAGCCCCAAGGGGAGGGGCTGCTGCTACTCCTGGAATCCCATATGGGGCCAGTTTCAGCATCTCAAGCAATTCTCAAGCCATAAATAAGCCAACACTGATATAAAATGTGGTGAGCCCTGCCTCTGTTATATTAAGCCACTGTTATATTATGAGGTACAGGGGCAGTGAGGGGTGACGGTGGTGGCAAGTCCAAGAACATATGAAGCCCAAGAACATACCTTTGACTAGTAAAGGCCAGACCATAATTAAATAACTGGTCCCTACTGCAAAAGCCTTGAAATCTGGAGACAGTGTGTACACCAAAAAGGGTAATAGTTTGGATGTTATCTTTCATTGTTTTTGAAATTTGCAGAGTGACTGTGAAGAGCTATAGTGTGAGATTCGGGAATCCTGGGTTTTAAGATTGGCTCTTCCCTGGTGGTTTGCAACCTTGAACAAGATTATTTCTTCATTCTTTTACTCTTTCCTTCAACATTTGACTGATGTTGATGATGCTCTTGCCACTATGCTGGTTGCTCAGAGTACATTATAATCAAAGAGTAGAAGCACAGCCCTGTTCTTAAGTAGCCCACAGTCTGAGGAGGAAGGTATTTGTAAATAGATCACAATACAGAGAACAAAGGCTTCCATGGAGGAATGCAAGGTCCATGGGGATCTGTAAGGCAGAGCCTCAGATGCTTTGGAGAAAGGAATGCTTCTCAGACAAGGCTTTGACATGCTGCCTCCATTTCTTTCCCTCCTCCAGGGGTTTTGTAAAAGCCAGGTCATATCAACCTAGTCCTGGTTCTCCCTTGCGTGGTAGGCTCCCACATGAGGAGGGACATGAGACACTGCCTGGTGTAATCACCCTTTGGATGCTAATGTACCCATTCCCATAGTACACAGCCACCCTTGCCCACACACAACAACCCAGCCACTTGTCCTGCCTCCACTTGAATATCTCCAATCATGGGGAATTTTGTATGAAATGTTATGGCATCTGTTATAAATAAAAGATCTGGCCGAGCACGGTTGCTCATGCCTGTAATCCCAGCACTTTGGGAGGCTGAGGTGGACGGATCATCTGAAGTCAGGAGTTCGAGACCAGTTTGGCCAACATGGTGAAACCCCATCTCCATAAAAAATATAAAAATTAGCTGGGTGTGGTAGTGTGCACCTATAATCCCAGCTACTCAGGAGGCTGAGGCAGGAGAATGCTTGAGCCTGGGAGGCGGAGGTTGTAGTGAGCCAAGATCGCGCCATTGCACTCCAGCCTGGGCAACAAAGAGTGAGACTCCATTTCAAAAAAAAAAAAAAAAAAAAGATCCAGTGCCCATTTCAGAATTGTCTTGGCTGTCACTGGTTTGAAGTAGACTAAATCTCAACTAGCAGAACCTCCTGATACCATTGAGTGAAATTTCAAATCTTAGCAGCTCAAAGAATATCAGAGGTGGGAGGGACTTTTCAATAATCATTATCATTCTCATTCTCTTTCTTTGAACCTCATTTTGCGCAGGAGAGATCACAGACCTAGGTGAAATGACAGGAGGAAGTTAATCATCTGCCATGCCTGCTATCCATGAAACTTCTTGGAATGTCTGGTAGTTTTTAGGGAATAAGGAGCTCATAAGAACACCTCAGGGATGGGCACAATCCTCAGAACTATGACATGCTAGGGGAGAGGTGACAACCCAGGACACAGCCTGCTTTAGGCCTTTCTAATCTCTAGGGATTGTTGCCTAGTAGAGAACTTTGGCATCAACCAATGACTCAAGAAATAATCACCCAGGACATACCATGTGCCAGCCATGTGCCAGGGGTGGTGAGAAGCTGGAGCTCTGAGTTAAATACTCCTACTCTTTTCTCTAAAGCACGTGTTAAGTTTTCAACGGGAAGAATCACTATTTCCACGACTTGAGAACACTAGACCTCTGGCCCACAGAGCAACAATCACCTCTGCAGCATGAAACACCAAGCTGCCACAGCTAGTGCTCCCTTCCAGGTACCGTCATGACTCTTGAGAATAACATATGTGTTTCTCACAGAAACAAGATAATTGGGGAATAGCATAGATGGTTTCACCAGGAGAGTGTGATGGTTGGGTGGGGTGGGTGATGGAACTTCTAGGGTGCTCTTCCTACCCTCACTTCCAATATTTGGGGGAACAGTGCTATGTCAGCAGAAGTTGGAGGATTGCTCCTGAAAGCCCTATCCATTGCCTCTCCCATACCACAGTTTCAGCTCGCGGCCTCCAGTAGAACGTGGGTGTGTGTTTCTGTTCTTTTCTTTTGTGCCAGGCTGTGCTGTGAGAAACAGCACTCTCCCCTGCCATCCATCCTGGCTCTTTTCTCTCCTCAGCCCCAGGTCTCTGCATTTCACTCGTTACCCCTGGCCATACCTTCCTGCTCACAGATATCTTCTGGAGAGCAAAGGGATTTGCAAGTAGGCAGCAGAACCTATCTACTGAGTTGGTGCTGGTGGCCACTGAGGGGCACAAGGAAATCAAATGGTCTCTCCAAGCAGCAAGGTGGGGAGAGGGGCTCCTGTGGACCCATGAGGGATGTTGTAGAAGGGGAGGCTGTGGTACCCCATCTTCTGTGCTGCCCAATCAGATGTGTGGGTGCCACAGAGATGGGAGAGGATGTCACATCTTGCACCTCAGTTTTCCTACCTGCACAGGGGAACAGAGGAGTTGATCCTTCCAGCTCTCCCTTTTGTTTTGTTTTGTTTTCTTTTTTTTTTTTTTTTCTTTTTCATTTGAGTTTGTAGAAGACTGTGTCTGGAAAAGCTCTGGGCTTATCAGGGAAACACATTCTGTACAGGCCATTCTAGGGGAGGCTATAAAAAGGAGGCAAAGGTCACTTGGCTTGGAAAAAATTATCTTTAGGATTGAAATCATTTAAAGCAATTTTTGCTAGGAAAAGGAGAGAAGTTATTTACTTGGGAATCTGGGTTTTTTCCAACTGGGTCCCAGTAAACAAGGCTGCTGGGCTGATATTTCATAACATAAGCATCTCGTATTCTCTGGCTTTTCCTAAATAGCCTTTTCTAGCAGAGAGAAAGAGAGATCCAATTGCCTCATAGAAAACATCTGGGGAATCTAGTGTAGGATTTCTTTTTCTGTACTTTGTTTTTACACATTTCGTGAGCCTGGGAAAGGAGTTTTTGCTGGCATTCATGTTTGATGAAGAGAGAGCAATGCAGGAAGATAAGTTTCTCCAGAAGCAAACATTGCCATAGGTGGGATTTGGCTCCTCCTGCTAAAAGCAGAGAGAGGATTAACCCTGCCTGGCACCGAAGGTTGACCTGGGAAGACAGAGAGGATCAAGGAGGACTGGGTGCAGGTGGGGCCAGGCAGGAGTGATGGCTGCCCCGTGTCCGTTCTAGGACAGTCACAGGGACAATTTCTTCTGGTTCCAAATCCAGGCCAAAGCCACCATCAGGGCCTGCTGGATAAAATTAAAGGTGGTGGGCGCTGCCTCCACTGCAGGGTGGAGAAATCAGGAGGCCTGGGAAGGCCTTCTCTCCTGCCCAAACAGTGATTGATCAGGGCTCCTGAGAAATGGTTATTGCTGAGCAAATCGCTTCCTGGGAGTGGAGATTTAACAGCAGCAATTTTATTTCCTTATGGTTGCTTCTTGCTGAAAGTGCCTTGCCTAACATCAGTGTTTATAGTTGCTGAGTTTGAAGGGCCTTTAAAAAACAATCCTTTAAAGGAAGGTATTTGGAGAGCTGAGCCAAGTGTAAATGAGGAGAAACAGATACTTAATTGGGATGCAGTGGGCACAGGAACCCCAGCATCCTGCTCCTCCATGGAGCAGCAGCAGAGACATGGATTTCTTCTTCCCTTCCCTGTATCCTCGGCTGGGGGTCCTTTGCCTTGCGGAGCAATAGAGGCTTTCCCCTTAGCATGTGAACTCCAAGGACTTTCGGCAAAGTTGGTACAGTCCCTCGGCCAATGCTGGGATCCCTGGTGATGATTGATGAGACCTTTTCACATCGCCAAAGCTCTCCACAGTCTTCAGAGTAGCAACACTTCAAGAACCTTATCAAAATTTGATTCTCACAACAACACCATGGGGCAGATGCTACAGGTGGGGCTGTTCCAAATTTGCAGATGGGGAAGCTGAGACCCTTGAAGTGAAGGCATTGGTCTAAGGTCATGCCAGTGGCGTTGGGACTCAAACTCTACTGTCTGCTCTTTTCTGTTCACATAAGGGACTGGCTGGAGTGGAAGGAAATATTGCTTCTTGCTCTCCTTGGCTCCTATTTGCCTTTTTCCTTTCTAAATTCCACATAAGCTCTCCCTCACTTAGTTCTTCATGCTGGCAGTCCCCACTTGTGCTTTGTTCCCCCACATGCCATGCTGTTTCCCACCCTGCTGACTGAACACATGTAGCTCTGCCTACAGTGTCTTCCCCACCATTTTGACTGCTCTAGGAGCTCTTTCTCAGATCAGATGTCACCTGTTTCAGTAAGCCTTTTTTGATCTGTCCTTCCTGTCCTCCTCTTCCCCAAGTAGACAGAATCACTCCCTTTCCTGGACTGCTACTGGGTCCTCTAGCATGTCCATGTTGGCATGGATCACACTGTGCTGTGGTTATTTAATCAACTGCCTGTCTTTCTTACTGAGTGCTGCATGAGACCCTTTAGGGCAGGAACATCAACAGTTTGTCTTTGGGTCTCCAGTGCCACACACAGAACATGCACATGGTATTTGCTTTTGATGAGTGGAACTGGGGCTGGGGAGCCAAGTCCATGTGGCATTATTCTTGAGCCTTTTCTACCTCTTGGGGGACAACCGGGTTTCTGGATCCTAAGGAAGAAGTTTGTGTGAATTTAATGATGTTGTCCCAAATTGTTTTGAGGGCTGGGGCGTGGGGGGGGGCGGGATGGAGTTAAGGGGAAGGACCAAGATGACATGGAAGATGTGTAAGCACTGGCCATGTGGGCCTGGAAAGCCCGATCAGTCTCTGCCCCACCAGGTTTCTTTCCTACTCTGGCCTTGCCCAAGCCTCTACTAGTAGGACTCAAAATCCCAGCTAAAGTGTCTGTCTTGGAAAAAGGCACATAGATGAAATGGGGACATCAGCCTCAGAGGCCTTACTAACATGAGCTTGGGTTATCCAGGATGAGAATGCAGAGGGCGGGGACAGCCTCGCCTTTCTTGGTCTTCTCACACACAGACTTGTGCACATTGTCCATCAGACCTCTCTGACACCTTGAAAAGAACACACAGAGAGCTTGTCCCACAGCAGACAGGGTAGTTGTAACTGACTCTGGGTGGCTTACCCCTCACATACATTTTCCCTGCAGAAAGCTGGAATGCTTTTCTGGCTTTAAGAGTGAATTTGTTGGAGTTGATAGTGAAATTGCTAGATAAAAATTATATGCTCTCTGTTGGTGCAAGTGCCTCACACTGATTCATTTTGCTAGTCATGACTTTTCTGTTTTCTTGGGGGCAAAGCTGGCAAAACAGGAGTTTGGTAGAGCTAGAAACTGTTGTTAGCATTCGAGGGTTCAACAAGTGGTGACTCTTTGGCAATCGTGAAAGAATAGCCCAGAACCTACACCAGCTCCTGGGACCCACAGATACTCTGGGTGTGTTCCTCTCTGCAGACATCTGATGGATGCGTTCTGATACCCACCAGTAGCTTCTAATTACCAGCTGCTCACCCTTTCCTTCCCTCCAGCCTTTGCTGGTGTAGGCCTGGCATCTCCCAACAGCTAGCCTTTGACACCCTGCTTGTTTTGTGAAGGAGCCTGTCGTGTGGTATTAAGGCAAGGTGGATCAGCCCCTCAGAACTGAGAGCCAGACCCTGGATAGAATTGCATGTGACAGGAAAGATGAATTTATCAACATCAGCGGCTCCTAATGAACACAATCTCCCAGTGCTAATGGGAACCTTAAGGAGTTAGGCATGGATGAAGGCCACGGAGGCTTTCAAATGCAGATGCCCCTAATCAATCACATATTGTGACTCATCACTTACTCCTTTGGTCCACTTTTAATAAAGACCAGGATGAGCTTCTCTGTCCAAATGGGAATGAACGGGAGCCAAGCTGCCATCTTCACTTCGTGCAGGTCAGCATCAAATGGCTCATGATTACTCTCTGATGTGCAGCAACTTGTGTGTTGCTGGACTGGCAGCTCTGCAATCAATCCCAGCTGCTGGACTGGAGTGTGGGGAGCCCCCGGCCACCTGAGCCTCAGGTTGGAATCCTCTCTTATATATCCCTATTAAATACAAGGCCCTACCACATGGGAGAGTTTAAAGGGAAAATGAGATTTTATTAAAGCCAGGAGACCTCCCTGATAGAACAGAAAACCTAATAAGGGCGGTAAGATTTCTTATCTCCCATGAAAGTTTCCCATTTTCCCAGATTTCTCTCTTTTGTTGTCACTGTATTGCTCCTCCTCCACCCCTGCATTTCCATGGGCACCTCATTATTTAAAGCCACTGCTAAAAAGCCAAAAATTAGTAGCCAAACCATCCAAGAGCTGTTTCCTCACAGTGAAGGCCCAGGGGTTTCAAGTGTATTTGTTTTAAAGTTTGAACATAGTAACTTCAGTAGACTCCCCAGCTTTAGAGCATTGATGGGATCTGGATTTCCAGTGGAAAATAAGACAAGCCAGAAAAATGTGTACATCTACAGCCCTTAGTCCAGGAGGAGCTGATGGCCAGACACACAAAATCGAACCTTTCCAGCTGCCACTCTGCTGGTTTCACTAACCTATGCACATCCAGAGCTACGGAGGCCTGGCACCAATCATAGAATCTTAGGGCATGAGGCACTAAGACCTGGAAGCCTCTTCCTTTCCTTCCCTTCCTCTTGACTTCTCCAGACCTTGGAGAGAACATTGCAAGACTGAGTCCTCTGGGGAAAGGTGTACTTGGCATCCCTGGTTGCTGGGGCTAAAGGTGAACTTAGCAATGAAGTTCAGCTAGAGACTCATGGGCAGCCAGGGCTTGTCTTGCCTGCTCTACTGGTTTTATCATTACTTCTACTGCCTGACCACATCATGCCCTGGCCATCTCAAAGCTTGGAATTAGTGCCCGTGCAAAATGGGAATAATGATATTTACCAACGACATAGTATTTTGAAGATTAAAAGGGATAATGGATGGTAAGCCCTCAGAAAAGTGCCTGGCACATAGTAAGTAATAAATGTTTGGCATTATATAGTTGGCATAGCATTAAATTATTTTATGGTTTTGTTAATAAATGCTGGAGAAATGCCAATTTTCAAGGCACTTCCATGCTCTCCACGCCAGGCCCTCTGCTGAACCCACGGACAAAGATTATCTTCTTTAAGCCTCTCAACTTTCCTTATTTATAGGTGAGAAAGTTGAGGCTTCCAGATGTTGCACAAAATTATACTGTTGGTGAGTGACAGAGCCAGAATATCTTGTATTGATGTTTATGCAGTACCTATTTTATGTCAGACACTACTAGGTGCTGGAGAATTGAACCTTTGTTCTATTTTGTTTGATTCTAAAAGGCTTCATCTCTCTAATGCATCATGCTGGTTTCCAGTGTGTGAGGTGTGGGAGAGGGTGAGTAACATCAGACCTTGGAGGTAATGAAGATAGAGAGGACACGTTGCTTGGTGTGGGGGCTTCCACTCCTGCCTGAAGGCTGTGGTGCAGTAGCTGAGCTGATGCCACTGGGAGGAAGGATCTGCATAGATCTACCTGACCTCCTTCAGAGGACTGTCATCCACAAATCCTAAAGGAACAGGAGGGACTCCTTCAATGAAGAAGAAACTGCTTGAGTAAACAGGGCCCAGGCCACGCCACGTGTGTGATCTGTGTGGTGATACTGAATGGTATACAGTTTATTCTGGGAAAATGTAAACATCAAAACAGCAGAGCCACTCAAGGTTATCATCTCTGACTTGGTTTTAGCCATTTGTTTCTGCTTCTTTTGGATTGGAAAATTGAAGCTCATTGCTGGAAGGGGTGATACCTTTGCTCAATAGCTGGTCCTGCAGCCCTAATGTAGTGCCACATGACAGGTCACGTGATGTAAATCTTTCCCAAAGCATTCTCATGTGCCTGACCACCTTGAGTACAGCTGGTGGGAGTGTGGGTGATGCGTTGACTGATAGGAGATAAGCCAGGCTGGGACAAAAATAATGCAGGTGTCAATCTAGAGGCGATGGCCAACAATCATTAATCAGAGTAGTGGCACAGATAATCAAAAGATCATGTCTTTTTGGCTTTGGATGCATGATTGCAGTTTTTCACATCAGGCTTACCTTCCCAATCAAGTTTCCCCAGAGTTATTTCTCAGTGTGTTTTCATGGATTAAAGCACTCTTCAGTGGCTAGGTGTGGTCTAGACTGTGTGTGTGAGTGTGTGTATGTGTGTGTGTTTGTGTGTCAGGAGGCAGGGGCTGATCAGAGAGGCCCAGCCATGGGCTTTGATAAAGGAGTTACTGTCCTTGATGCCTTCTCTTTAATTCATCCCTTTCAAGGACGGCTGTGAACATCTTTGGCCACTGTCTCCGTCCCCACTCGAGTTTAAGGCTCCCTCCCAAGTGGCTGCTTCCCTTCCAGGCTCACTGCAACTTTGGTTTTAGCCATCAGTCCCCTCGGTGCCCCAGTTTTATGAACTCCTAGGGGGAGGATTAATTTTCTATCCCAAGTCTTTATTCAGGGAACTGTGTCCAGAAATATGCTCCTACATCTAAGCGGTACTGACATCATTGGCAGGAAACTCTCACAAGAAGTGATTTGAGATTAGGGAGATACAGGAATAGCTGTAAGATACCGAAAGTTAGAGAAGAGGTAGCTGAGGATGGTGGGCCACTTTCTTTGAGGGTCTTGGGCCATCTCAGAGGGTCTCCTGGGACAGTTTTTGGTAAGCTCCTTCCTTGCCCACCCAAACAGCCCAGTCTTAACTTCCCATATTCTTTTCTCTGTGCCTTCTGTATACATAACACGGAGCCAAAGGACTTAAAACCTGGTTCATGATTTCCACCTTTGCACGTGTTACTCCCCACCCCCATTTCCCTCTCCACCCCAACCCGTCTCCCCAGCCCAACCACGGGGCATGTGTGTCTGCAGACCAGCCCTAACCTGGAAGCGTGCCTTTCCCACTCCATGTGCTTCTTCTCTGGGATCTCCTTTCCACTCTTCTTGTGCCCCCTGACCTCTGCCTCTGCCCACCAGCATGGCCATCCATATGTGGCCAACACTAATTCAGGTGCTCATGCCAACCAGGCATCAGCTCTCCCTGCCTGCCATAGGCATACGTGCATCCTCACTGGGGACCCTCAGGGCAAAAGTGAGTCGTCGACTCCTGGGACGTGGTATGCCCACACAGGAACACAGTTTTGCCTAACAGCAGAGGATGGCCTAGCTCAGTCACACCCATCAATATCTAGGGGCTTGAGCAGGGCAGGGAAAGGGGTGATAAGGAGTCAATAGAATGCAGGATAATAATCTGCTCACTGCTCCTCTGCATGAGTTTGTTATACATAGACATTTATTAGTGATATGATTGGAATAGAAACAATGAAACACACACACACATACACAGGCACACAAACAGAGTCCAGGATAGCTGGCACCGCTAAATACAGGCAGAGCAAGACTAGTTTTATTAACCAAATACAGATAAAGGATATTTTTATGTATGCATCCAAATACAAATGGATAATTTTATAAAAGTTGTTTGCCAGCATTAAGAATTCTAAATAAGGCCAGGAGAGCATCACCAAAGGCTGTGGGCTGGACATCCTCCAGCATTTGAGAGGCCACGTCCAAGTCAAGAAACCATGGTGCCTCTGGCTTGTGAGGCCTGTGGGCTTCCCAGTAATCCCATCCCCAGATGGCTGCCTCTACTTCCCTTGCATCTCATGCCAGGGTGGCATCTGTGATAACACAGTGGTGGGCAGCCTCTCTGCATCCACTCACCAGAACAGCATTTCGGGAGGAATGTACCTGGATTTTCTACACTCAGAGCTAAGACTGGGAAGGAAGAACACCCAAGTTGACTCTTGCCTCTTCTGCATTAAATGCTGGAGTTCTCCTTGCAAGGGAGCTCAAACCTGCTGTCAGGGACCACACTGCATACCTTTTTTTTTTTTTTTTTTGAGTCAGAGTCTCACTCTGTCGCTCAGGCTGGAGTGCAGTGGTGCGATCTTGGCTCACTGCAATCTCTGCCTCCCAGGTTCATGCCATGCTCCTGCCTCAGCCTCCCGAGTAGCTGGGACTGCAGGCACCTGGCACCACACCCGGCTAATTTTTTGTATTTTTAGTAGAGAAGGGGTTTCACCGTGTTAACCAGGATGGTCTCAATCTCCTGACCTTGTGATCCGCCCGCCTCAGCCTCCCAAAGTGCTGGGATTACAGGCAGGAGGCACCGCGCCCGGCCGCATATCATCTTTTTATACCTACTTCTCGGGGGGCCGTAATGGACAGATTAGGAATCAAAATCACTCCTCTATAGGGTGTCTATAAAAATTCCCTTTCTTTGATGAGCTCTTTGTTCATAGTGATGGTTTCAGGGCAGACATGAAGTGCCTGCTTTTCGGTGATGGCTACTGAGGGATGTCCTTCTCTGTCAACACAGATGGTCGGTGCCCTCTCTTTTTGGTGTATGTTATGCCCACTGGGGGCTCTTCCATTCTTTCCACACAGCCCCCCTGGCTTCTTCCATTAGCCAAGCCAGTGCAAGCATTAGTCTGCCCTCCTTGGAAGGCTTCTTGAGGTGGCAGTGGAGAAACAGGGGCCATCGACCAGCACTCCCTCTGTTCTCACCAGGCTTGGGGACTCCTCCCCTCACCTCCTTTCCAGGAAGCCATGTCCTGTCAGTTTTGCTGAGAAGGGGAAAAAATGCTTATGATATCAGCAAGGGGTCTGGTGATACGTCTTAGCAGGTTTCTGGCACCTGGGTGGCTCTGGGGGCCTGAGAATCAAAGGAGGGGCTTAGGCCACTCAGCTTAGTCCTGTCTCTGCTGCTGATTTTGCCCGAGGGGAAGAGGAAGTTGAAAGGAGCTGTCTTGGTCAAATGGCAGAGGCGTTAGGGATTCTCTCATCTTCTGTGAAAGGGCTGGGAGAGGCTCTGGGCTCTGAGCAGCCAGACACATCAGGCCAGGCAGATCCAAGCAGGAAAACTCAAATGTGGAGGTGTGCGGCAGGATAGAGAAATGGCATGGTCTGAATTAGGGGAGGGTGGATGGAAAAGAGGACTGCAGGGGAAGCCCCTTCAGGTGGTGCTGACAGCGGCAAACATTTTCAGAGTGCTATGTGAGGTGAATGCAGACACCTGCTGCAGATGCAATGTGGGTTCCCAAGGTCATTGCCTGAAATCCAATGTCACCACATGGCTGGCGGCTGGTGACTGCAAATTTCACCTGGCAACCATGTGCTTTGGGAGGGCTGGGCTGTCTTCCTTCAGGGCGGGGCCCAGCTCCTCAGCAGACGTCTGCTTGTCAGTTCTTCTCAGCTCCAGCCTCATCTACAACTGTTGATGGGGACGGGCATGGTGCCCAGAGCAGGTGTCTTTGAGCCCAGCAGGACGCGCCACACCTGTGTGTCCATCAGGTGCTGTGAGCCGCAGCGCAGGCAGCTGAGGGCCCCACTCTAGACACTCCAGGTGTCAGCCTGGGCAGACAGAGGGTGACAGGAGAGACCACAGCCCACCTCCTCCTCTGGTCCCCAGGTCAGTGGGGGTTCCTGCCAGCTGGGCTTAGGCTCAGACAGCTGCTTCCCTGGATGCCTGGCAGGCCCAGGAGCTGCTGGCAGGAAGGAGAGCGACAGGGAGCCAGGATCTGTGTGGGTGCAGCCGCGTCCCTCCCCATCCAGCTCTCTTCCCCCATGTCTCCTTGTTGCTTTTCTTTTCTCTCATACCTTAGTAGTTGATCAAATAGTTAACCTAAAGGAAAAACACTAAGCAGAATAGAATACTCAAATAAGCTGCTGTTCCACTCCCTCTAAATGCCCTTCGTTCTCCCTTCTTATGGAGGCGACACTGCCCCTCCTTTGATCACGCCCAGCATTGACATTGGCCCCAATCAACACCCTGCTGTCCAGCCCATTTCCAAGACATTCTCCTCTCTTGCCAACTGCCCCCATGGTGCGTGGGTATTTTCTATGTCATCACAAAAAGCTCCTTTCTACACCCCCTGTGATCTCTGCCCTCCGTCAGGCCTGGAGCATTAAGAGAAAAGTGTCACAGTTGGAAGAGAGAGGGCTTCGACGAGCAGAATTGCAGTCCTACCGCTGGCACCTGGGGGAACCTGGGCCAGCTATTTGGCCTTCCTGGTCCTCGGCTCTCTTATCTAATAAGTACCTGCATGGCGGGTCTGTTGTGAGGGTTCAACTCAAGTCAGTTCAGTTAAAGCATCTGGCTCCTGGTGGCTGTTCCATCCCTGCAGGTGCCCTTTGCTGCTCTGTCCTTCTCATTCTCTGTTGGTCTTCATGGATGTTCCCCAGAGATGCACTGCTCCAACCTGTGGTCAGCTGTATCAGCCGATGTGTCCTTCCTCTGGACCGTGGCATCTCTAATGATGTCCCCTGCATGAGAGGGGGACTTATTATTGGTTTTATTCTGTACTCGTGATTCTTCCGGGTTTCTTGGTCTTCCTGTGTGTTGCGTTCATCCCCCGCTCCCCACCCCACCCCTCACCTGCATCCTTCATCCTTTCTTCCCAATACCTTCACCCCCCCTTTCTTCTTCCAGGCTCCATGGCAGTTCCTTCTGTATCTCCCTCCTTCCCTGCCACCTCACTCCCGAGTGTGTATCCTTTTTGAGGGTGGTACGCTGCCCACTTGCTGTCATGCCTGAAGAGTTCAGTGTATGGTGATCCTTTGGAAATACTTCTTTGGTCATAGTCCATGACAGAGCTGCTAGGCCACCATCCTTAGCAGGCTCTGGATCTAGGCAAGGGATCTGTGTGGCCACCACAGCCCAGCCCAGGGCTACTCAGCTGAGCATTTTCACTTCTATTCCTTGAACATAGCCAATGTAGTTAATGATTTGCAACTTGCACTTGCTCTATATCCACATGTAGAGCCCATGTTTAGCAAGAGTTTCATTTCCAGGTAATCTTAGATATCTCTTTCTTAGCTTATTTGAAGCTCTCACCAGCTAGGTACAGTGGCTCATGCCTGTAATCCAAGCACTTTGGGAGACTGAGGCTGGAGGATCACTTAAGCCACAGGAGTTTGAGACTAGCCTGGACAACATAGCGAGAACCTGTCTCTACAAAAATAACAACAACAAAAAAATTAGCTAGGGATGGTGGCAAGTGTCTGTGGTTCCAGCTACTCAGGAGGCTGAGGTGGGAGGATCACTTAATCCCAAGAGTTTGAAGCTGCAATGAGCTATGATTGCACTACTGCACTCCAGCCTGGACAACAGAGCAAGGCACTGTCTCAAAAAAGTTTTTTTAAATAATTAAAAAAGATTAAAGCTCTCATCATCATATTCCAACAGCAGATGTCAATTATTCTTTCAACTAATATTTCCAAGGAAAATTTAAATGGCCCTTTGCTGGAATGTCTTTTCTGCAACATCAGTCATTCCTCTTCTTCCCAAATAGTTACTTTTGATTTCCCAAAAGCCCCTACTTTGAGGTAGCCAAGAGAAAGAAATACTTCTTATTTAATTCTCTCTCTCTTTTTTTTTTAATTGAGACAGAATCTTGCTCTGTTGCCCAGGCTGGAGTGCAGTCACACAATCTCGGCTCACTGCAGCCTCCGCATCCTGAGTTCAAGCAATTCCCCTGCCTCAGCCTCCTGAGTAGCTGGGGTTACAGGCACCCGCCACCACACTCAGCTAATTTTTGTATTTTTAGTAGAGATGGGGTTTCACCATGTTGGCCAGGCTGGTCTCAAACTCCTGACCTTGTGATCCGCCTGCCTCAGCCTCCCAAAGCGTTGGGATTATAGGTGGGAGCCACCATGCCTAGCCTCTCTCTTTTTTTAATGGTAGGAAAATCAAGACTCAGAAAGCACAGGGTCTATTACCCTAAAGACAGACCCTCTTGGTCCTGGAAGTGAGGAAAGAACTGAGGCTCTCACCTCTGGCTCCTGCACAATGTTTTTGGAGCTCTGAATGTACTGTGTGTGTTTCAGGAGGTAACTCACCACCATCCCCGGCTTCATGATTGGATTACAGGTTTCTTCCAATTTCTCTTAATATGGAGCTCCCTGTAACTAGACAGTCCTACTGAGACAGGTTCACGGCTTGTAACTCATCTTACTGTTTCTCTGGAGGAGTCCCCAAGCTCCCTGAAAGATAGGAAGGCACCCCAGGGACTGTGAAGGTGAAGGAGCCCCATCTCCTGTGGTTAGCGACATGAAAGCAGAGGGGGCAGGACACCCAGATTTCCTCTTCACAATGTGCTTTGCTAGCTCACTTTTTAACGTTCTCAAAGGAATTGAGTTTCAATAATTTCCTCAGGGATCTGGGTTTCTATCTAAGAGCACTTGGCAGAGGAAAGATTTACTTGCTGATGCCTGTCTTCTCTCTCTGAATCTCCTCTTGTGTGCCCTGGGTATCAGGAGCCCTGGATTTGCACTTCACTTCTCCCCTCTGCCTCATGTAAAAATGCCTTCCTTTTCTTTTCCGGTTTTCCTATTCATCAGCCACAGTTCCGGAATGATGGATCCATTGAACCACAAGTCATTCCAGAAATGAAACTGTACAACTTTTATTTTAGAGATGAGGAAACTGAGCCCCCAAAGGGGGAGGGTCTTGCTGAAGACAGAGGTGAGCATAGAATCCAGTTTTCTGACTTTCAGCCTAACCCCACTCACCATCACACTCTTGCCCCATGCATGCGCGCGCACGCACACACACACACACACACACACACACACACACGCGGGCCGTAGGAAAGACCGGGGGAGCAGGGCATGGAAACCCCTGAAGGGACACCTTCTGCAGTGTACTCAAGGGACCATTATTCACTAGTGCTTTTTATGGACTCACTGCTGAGCTCTCTCAGCTTATTGAAGGAGCAGTTAAATGAACCAGACATAGACTTCAATGAGATGAGCCCTTAAGTTTGTTTCCTAAACCTTCAAATTTGGTGAGAAGCCATTGCTATCCCAGAAATGCCCAAATCCAGCTCTCAGGAGCCCTGGTAGGAAGGGCATTCACGAGGATGGACGTCTGTCAGGGAGAGTTTGGTGCAGTCTTCCCCAGGGAGGGGGACATCTCCATTGGCATGGGACAATAACCCTGAGAGCTTACATTGTGCTTTTAGGTGCCAGGCTCCTGATATTATTAACTGAGATAAGGCATGCATTCCTGTTTTCTCCAGTTAACAGATGAAGAATATGAGGATTAAGCGATGTAGTTATTGTAATAATTTTCCTAAATTCACACACTAGAAGTATCAGCCCTAGGAGTCAAACTGGGTTTTTCCCATCCTAGAGCCCACTTAGCTCAACCACAGGATGAAACTACGAACATAGTGAGAAAAAGGAACCGTCATTCTCCACATCCCCTGAGCAAGACCACGGAATGGGTATGTTTGGTGATAAGGAAAATTCCTGATAGTTTTGGATGGTTTTGCTAATGTCCAGTCCAGGCAGAAAGGGGGCTAAATGACCCTCTGTGGGCCCTTTTAAGTCCAGTGACTTCTCAATGACTTTATGGAGAAAGGAAGAGCCTGTCGAGCTGGCTGCCACTCTCAGATGTCAACAATGCCCTGGGCTGGGCTGCATCCAGGCAGCGCAACCTCTTAATGTCTGTGAGCTGACATGAAACCACTGCCCCAGTGCAGAGAGGACAAGGAGTCTAAAGCTTTGTGCTCTGGCAGGCTAGCTCTGATCTCGCCAGCTGCCAGAGCTTTGGGGAACAAAGAAAGGCAATGCGTTTCTTTCTTGTTAGCGCATTATTTGAAAGCTGAGTTTCTATCCAAATATCCTGTCATTTGCTCCATATGACAAAGTCTAGACACCAGTATGTCATAACCAAAATGTGAATGGCTTCCTCCCACCATGTCTGCCCATTCCTCCCCATTGTTCCCTCCCCATACCCAGCCCCGCCTTTCCCACGAAGGGGTCTGCATTCTGGAGGGTGGCATCTGAGCCATCGCCCTGCCCAGGTAAACATTGCTGCTGATGAGTGAGAATGTTCTTCCCCACTAGAGCACTGGTCCTGGCCCAGGGACCACACCAGACGAGTGGCAAAGGGGATGGATTCAAGCTATTGCTCCTCCACCCTGGTGCTCTGCTGAGCAAGACAGCCTGCCAGCCACAGCCTGGGCAGCAGGAGGTGAGGGCAATTTGCCATGTGCCCCTGGCCAGGCCCAGGCCATACCTGGATGACTTCAACTTGAATTTCTTCAACCTTTATCTCTTTGTGACCCTTCAACTTCTCTATAAAGTTTTTCAAACAGGCATTACTAATTGAAATGTAAGAACAGATGGTGGCAGTATGATGGTTCCTCAAAAAATTAAACATAGAATTACTATATGATCCAGCGGTTACACTTCTGGGTAATGCCCAAAAGAATTGAAAGCAGGAGCTCAAACAGATGTACAACCATATTCATAGTAGAATTACTCGCAAAAGCCAAAAGATGGAAGCAACCCAAATGTCCATCAACAGATGAATGGATAAATAAATGTGGTCTATCCATATAATATAATGGAATAATATTCAGTCTTAAAAAGAAAGGAAATGCCGATACGTGCTACAACATGGATGAACCTTGAAGACATATGCTAAGTGAAATAAGTCAGATACAGAAGGACAAATACTGTGTGATTCCACTCATATGAGGTTCCTAGAGTTGTCAAACTCCTAGAGATAGGAAGCATAATGATGGTAGCCAGAGGCTAGGGGAAGGGAAGAATGGGGAGTTGTTGTTTAATGGATTCAGAGTTGCAGTTTGGGAAGATAAAATAGTTCTGGGGACTGGGTGCGGTGGCTCATGCCTGTAATCACAACACTTTGGGAGGCCGAGATGGGTGGATCACTTGAGGTCAGGAGTTCGAGACCAGCCTGGCCAACATGATGAAATCCCATCTCTACTAAAAACACAAAAATTAGCCAGGCATGGTGGCGCATGCCTGTAGTCCCAGCTACTTGGGAGGCTGAGGTAAGAGAATCACTTGAACATGGGAGGCAGAGGTTTCAGTGAGCCAAGATCACACCATTGCACTCCAGCCTGGGCGACAGAGTGAGACTCCGTTTCAAAAATAAATAAATAAAATAGTTTTGAAGATAGATGGTGGTAATAGTTACATAGCAGTGTGAATGTACTTAATGACACTGAACTTTACACTTAAAAATAGCTAAAATGGCAAGTTTTATGCTATGTATACTTTACTACAATAAAAGAGGTAGCATGCATGCATATTTCACAAATTACAAAATTCATATATGTACATTAGTTTTCCTGTTGTTATTATTATTTTTAATGATAGGGCCTGTGACTCAGAAAAGCTATGTGTCTTTCCCAAAGTCATGGTTTATAGTCTTTTGACTTCAAGTCAAGTGTTCTTTTAAGTGTACCAGGTTGGCATACACATAGCATGTGATACCAGGACTTTCTTCTAACCCTTATGGCAGACATCAGTTAACGGGTCACTATACTTTCTGACTAAGTGAAAATTCAACCCCATAGTCATTCTTAACACAGCACTATAGGAAGTCACTATCAGTCAGTCAGAGTTAGCGTGCAAGTTGCAGCTTACTCCCATCTCTGCACTTCTAGCATTTGCATCAGTTTCTTAGTCTGGGTGCCCCTGATTTATCACTATTTTATGTGAAGTTTTGAAGATGCATAGAAAGCGTGTGTTCCTCTTTGGAGAGCAAGGGGGCTAGTTACACCAATTCCCAACCCAGAAATGAGTGCTTATGGTCTTGTCTTATTTGAATATTGCTATCTCAAGCCACTTCTCTGAGATTGTAGCAGCTCTACCACATCAATAGGATCCCTCCCTGCAGGTGGCTCTACAGCAAACCCATTGAAGACGGAAGTATGAACTGGAGGCCTCTCCATCTTGCTCTTCCCATCTTGGCCTTACTTGATGATGTATAAAGTCCTCTAAATGGTCTTATGACTTAAGTGGGCCCAGGGGAGGGGAGAGGACCTATGATTAAGAGAACCCCTGGTGGCTGTAGTGGCCTTGGAAACCCTCTCTTATTACATGCTGCAGGTTTTCATTTGTGGATTGCCTGGGCTTAATTGGTATTCATACCTCACTTTAGATCCAGTTGAGTTATTGATGGAAGTGAAGGAAAGAAAAGGAACAATATTGATATCAATTTCTCTTCTTCTTTTCCTTTTTTAAATGTTCTTTTCTTTGAAAGATCAAAGGAGGACAAAATAGAACTTTTTTTCACGCACGCGTGCACACACACACACACAGCCACACCCCCACCATAATAGAACACAGGAGGGAAAATTCCAGCAAACAAAATTGTTTTCAGACATCTTTTTATTCTTCCTTTCAGTGGCTTTGATTTAGTCCCCTGGCTTTAATCAAAGTGTTCAAGGAGGCACAGAAATGATTCTGTTAAACAAATTTCTGGCCTCACTCCCTGTTCCTGCTCTAACCTTTCCTCCTTCTGCCCCACTCTCCACATTTTTTATTTTTCTTATATTAATGTAGGTTGGAAAAAATATTCTCTTAGCAAAAGAGAAAGTGAGGATTGGGGAGAAATCTTATTTTCTAAGCTAATAACTGGTTGTGGTGCAGCCTCTCTGCAGCTGACAGACCATTCTCAAACTTGATTGTCCCTTTCCTCCTTCCTTTACTAAATTCACCCATCACTCTGGGCACAATAAATAAAAGGCCCAATAAGCAAATCAATCAACGCATCATTTTCTGTAGCCCACGAGGTACCTACAGCACAACACGTGTTGGCTCTGTTCTCCAAGCAGTGAGTGCACACACAAGGCATCGTGGGCCTGCAGGGGCCTTTGAAGAGGCTGGTTTCTGTCACTGGGCTGGCACAGTGGACAGCCCTCATGATTGTCATCTGCCAACCTGCGACACTTCTCTCTCTCCTACCTCTTCCTAGTTTTCCCTGGAAAGTACCCCATGAGTTCACATCTGGAGCAGAGCAGCAACCCACCCCCTAGCGCTCATTACAGCTGAGTCCTTGGGGAAGTGGATGGCATGGAGGACGATCCATGTTAAGGCCAGTATCTTCAAGCAGACTGTCAGGCAGCTGGAAGTAATACAATCAATTTTACTCATCTCTTTGCTCCATTTACCATGCATTCTGCAAACATTTAGTGAGCTCCTATGCCAGGTTAAGAACAAAGCCACCACCAGGGATAAAATGTGCATTCAGCAGATGTGGCCCCCATCTCCAAGCAGAATGCACTCGGTAGACTTGAGGTGGAAGAAGAACAAGACAGGGGCTATCCAGGGTGCTGTGCAGGACTGGGCATGCTAAAGCCAGCCCAATGCAGAGGGCAGCACCCACTGTCTCTCTCTCTACAAGCACGCAGGCCTCTGTGCCATCTTCTGAGCTCCGAGGTGGACAGAGGCACTGGCCACCTGCAACAACTCTATGGGGGGTTTGGGGCCTCTTCTTCCAAATTGGTCCATTTTTATCTTTTTGTTGTTGTCGAAACATCATTCAGCTCAGATGTCACTGCAAGACCTGTCATGAGTATGCTATATGCTTGCTAAGGAAAGGATAGAACGGGACCCTTATTTTTTGGTAACCCCATAGTCCTAAAGAGAAACTGAGTATCTGATCTGTATTTTTAGTGAGCACCACCTTTGCTCTGATCCTTATAATCTCCTGTCTTCGTGCAATGGGATAGGCAAAGATGATGCCTGGGACCTGGCGGGGATGAATAATTGACAGAGCATATTCTCCTAAGCTGTCTTGGGGTTCATTAGCAAGGCCTGAGGGACAACAAGAACTCTCATGGCAGCTTCATGTGGATGAGGGACAGGCCCACCTGGAGGTCCTGACTTCTTGGTCTCTCCCACCCTCTGAGACCGTGTTTCTTAGTGACTGCCTGGCAGAAAGGTAAGCTTAGGGAGAGAAAGTGCCCATGCTTTTAAGGTACATAGCAATGGTCCCGGGAGCTGTGTAATCTGGTAGGATAAGAAAAGGGATGTTGTGTCTTTAACATCAGGTCCCTAAAGGGAATATATTTGTTAAACATTATAATTACCCTTCAGCCGCTGAACTCCATGGCAAATGAGAACTCAATAGCAATTGAGAACTATATAGCAATTGAAACCACACTGAGGCCCATTACTGTTTCTCAAATGATGCTTTCATTTAGATAAGACAGGCAATTATGCCATCTTGATTAGGTCACTGCTCCCAAGGGGATAAGGTATTTTTCAGGACTTCCCCGCTCCCTGTAAATAATGCCCTAGAACTACATCCAGTCTCTCAAATATCTTTTTTCTTTTTTCTCTCTAGATATAGATAATGAAGTAAAAACTTAGATACAAAGACACAGACATACACACGTAGACACATGCAGGCAAATCTCTATTTTTATCTCTCTTGTCTTAATACTTAGGAACATTGAGATGTGTGAGTCTTTGTGGCCAGGGTGGGAGAGATCAGAAATAATAATTTAAGACCTTAGGTATACATTTTTCTTTATTTTACAAAATATGTTTACATGTATTATTTCTTTTGATTACTGCCACAGTCAAATGAAGTGAACAGAACAGGTATTAGGAGCCTTGACAGCCAGGCACGGTAGCTCATGCCTGTAATCCCAGCACTTTGGGAGACCGTGGCAGGCAGATCACTTGAGGTCAGGAGTTAGAGACCTGCCTGGCCAACATGGTGAAACTCCGTCTCTACTAAAAATACAAAAATCCGGCATGGTGGTATGCACCTGTGGTTCCAGCTCCTTAGGAGGCTGAGGCAGGAGAACTGCTTGACTCTGAAGGTACGGGTTGCAGTGAGCTGAGATTGAGCCACTGTACTCCAGCCTGCGTGACAAAGCAAGACTCTGTCTCAGGAATAAAAAAAAAAAAAAAAAAAAAAAAGCAGCCTTGACTTTTTCCTTCTGAAATAGGAGGGGGCTGAACATAAAAAAACAAAACAAAACTCTCAGGTGCCTTCCAGGTCTAACTTTGAGTCTCTTTGTAGTACCCATTTGCAGAGGAGAAAACTGAGACAGGAAGGTCGAATGGCTTTCTCAGGGCCACCTCACTAGTCAAGCCATTGGTCTGGGTCTAGAGCCCAGGTGGTCTGATTCTGGTGCTTTTTCTTCTAAATGATTTTAAGCCCTTCAGTGGATTCTCCTTGCATCCATGATAAAATCAAGTGCCCCTTATGTAGCCTGCAAGACCCTGACCTTCCCAGTCCTTGCCTTGTCTGGCCCTGCCTGTCTTCAACCTTCAAGTCTCAATCACCCTGCTCTGTCCTGAGCAAGCCCACCCTAGCCCTGCCTATGAGATTGTGCCCAGTGATACTCGCTCATAACTGCATTCATCTTTTCTTCACAGAACTTGACATAGATGTAATTATATACTCACTTGTAGAAGTTGTTTTAAAAAGCTTGTTTTTATCCCTTTATTCCTAGCACCTACCCAAGTCACTGTCATAGAGTAGGCATCAACTTAATATTTGTTGAATGAACACATGCATTAAGGAATTAACTGTGAGTAAATAATGGCCTGGAACCTCTAAACGGCCATACCCAAAGATTCTATATGGCTAATTACTTCCAAGTAATCTAATAAAACACAGTCATATCCTCCTTCCGTTTTCTTCTCCACCAACCCTCTCCTCCAAATTACTAGGCCATTTGAGAGCTACTGCTCTCTAGCTACACTGGCAGGCAATATCTTTTCTTAAAACTTTGCTCTCCCCCAAAAGACTGTGGGTATATTGCTTCAGGCTCACTTGTTAGTAGAAAGGGCATCCCTTGTAGACAAGTGAACTTGAACCTCCACCCAACCCCGGTTTCAGATGAGAAACCTGAGTCACACATGCTTGCTACAGATGACAAACATCTGAATTGGAAGTGGGGAACAAAAAGGATTTGTATATTTCAAAATATCTGGATAATTAAATAAACGTCTCAATTCCCTTCCAAATAGTTGATGCCACATAGACGCAGTCACAGGAAGACTTCATTTTGGATTCTAAAAAGCAAGTTAGTGGTGGCAGTGGAATTTGAATCTTGTTCACAAATCCTCATCTCCATTGAGACACACTGGCTGGGAAAAAAATATATTGTTGTCCTTTCCCCTGAATGGAGTGCTCTGTGTCTAACAATCTCCTGCTTTCTGGCATGGATTTCTCTGTAATTCCTTTCGCTGACTTTGGCCTAACAAAATCCTTCACTTTAACTTGGGCTCGGCCCAGAGCTGGTATTTATTTACTAGAGTTGCCTGTGGAGTTCTAAGACCACCAGGTGTACGCACAAATCTATAAAAACACAATGCAATTTCCAAACACTGCAGTAAAATCCCCTGAAGAGTCTGCTATCTTCAGGGAGGTTAGACTGAAAAGAAGGTTTGTGTTGGCAGCAAAGAGAAGGCTGAGTGGCTTTCTACAAATTGAATGAGGACAGACCTTAATTCCTCTTAGGAAAAGTTCTGAGCCCCTCACATGCTTGAGATGGGATGTCAGAGGCTCCAGCGGATCCTATCTTCATGGCAACCAGGGGAAAGACAACACGCTGCCATGCAGGTATTTTGGCATCTTGGTCTCTTAAGATTCCAAACTGAACACGGATTCAGGACCAAACTATTGCACTACTCTATTTACAATGAACAAATGAATTGATACTCTCATTTGGCTGAGAATGTGGACAAGAGCAGTTTTCCTTGAGACATGCACTCCTGATGACGAGAAAACCGTGCAAGAAGCCCTTTGCTGAGGCGGATTAGGAAGGCAAGAAGGATGCAAAGGAAAGAGGGAGGGCATGTGAAATGCAGGGCACAGAGCTTGGCACTCAGTGTTCCACGCTCTCAGCTGAGCAGGCTGGCTCTCCAGCCTCCCCTCTGTTTACTCCATGTGCCCTGCAAAGATTATCATTTCCTGTGGCTGCCATGAAAAAGGTTGGAAAGTTCTGCTGTTTTTAGATGAAGATGGTGTCTCTAGCCACATGTACATTTTTTCCAGGCTTTTGGGTCTGGAAGAGACTCTGGCTGGTCGACATTCCTTAGCCAACACCCATCTCTCCATTTGGACACCACACCTCTCATAGGCAGAGATGTTGCCTTTAACGTTGAAGCCCTTTGGAAACAGGTGGTTTCACAACCTTCCTTAGGAATCCTTCCCCAGGCCCCTCTGTCTTCCTCATCCTCTAATTAGAATCCCTCAGGGAGTACTTTTGACTCTCTAATACATGTTCCTTCCTCAGAAAAGGAAGGCTAGCTTCCATTTCTCATATGAGAGCCACCCATGGAGAGGAATAGCTCTTACGAAGTCCTGCCTCCAACTTCTGTTTTGATTAGAATTTTGATGGGCTCTATCTGACCTTTAACAATCCCTTTTGTTTTCCCCTGGACTTCTCAGAACTTGCTTAATAGAGGGAACCAATATTGCCTGGGCTAGAATAATTATCCAACTGTGTCCTTGTTCTGGCATGGTTAGGTCCATAATACTCCTGCCGTAGCCTTACTCTGTTTTGGTGGACAACAGCGGTGGATGCAGATCTGGCCTTGGGAAATGACCAAAGCAGGTAGTGAAGAGAGGAAGAGGATGACATCCTTGCAGGGGTTTGCCCTTATGTGGCGCTGTTTTTTCAGCACAGGAGTGAGAATATGGGAATCTTCAAAACATGAACCTTCTAGTCTTGTTTTTTAACAACAGCATTGACCAAATGCAGGAAGTTCATCTTGAACATCACTGTTTATAAACGGCTCAGCAATGTTTACTGTGGTTATAATTGGTATCATTAAGCTTAGGTGACATTATTAATGCTGCTGATTAAATTGCTATAAACCCAACTTTGCCATTTACACAAACAGCTGTATCTGAGCTTCAGGCTTTCCCATTTGAGCACCTGGATAGAAAAACAGACCCACTGGAGGGCCCAGTTGGGAAAAAAATAGAACCCCAGCTTCTCACCGATCTGCCAGGTAGAGCTTCTAGGAAGATCTGGCTTAAGATGTCTTCACCTTGTATGAGTAAAGTGGTTTCCCTTTCTAAAGCAGTTCTTCGAAACTGGATATCCCAAGTCCATTAATGCACGTTCAAAAGGAGCATTAAATATCTCCCCTCTTGCTCTCCTATCCTAAACCCCCTCCTCGCTCTTCCCCTTAAACCTGCATCAGCTGCCCACTGATATGTTGGGGTCATTTCTCAGCCTTGTCCTACTATAGAAATCTACCCTCTATCATTTAACAAAATGGTACCTTCCTACCTCCTCGTACACTTTACAAAATGAATACTCCCTCCTTCTGGAAACACTTTTCTCTGTTGGCATCATATGATCTCCATTTTTCTCCTTCTCTCTCCCTCCCCAAAGCCTCTTGATTTTTCCCCCTTCCCCCTTGCCCTCTACCCCTCCTCCCTCTCTTCCTAGGCATAGGCAGAGGGATTTATATGCCTATTTGTAATTGCTTGTCTCATCCCACACTAGGATACAAACTACATGAGAAAAGGGATTTTCTCCTATTTGTGGCTGCATCTCTCATTCCTAGGGCAGTGCCAGGCACATGGTTAGTACCAGGGAAATATTAATCGGCTGAATGGGAGAGTCTGCCGAGCACCCAACAGTCTCATTTGTCCAGACTTGTGATGAAAGTGGGGTGCACTTTTTGCTCACAGCCAGTGGGGCTCACCCCTTTCAGCTAATGAAATCTGACGTCAGCTGTCCTGGGGGATTTATCAGTTAGGATGTTTCACTTGCAACTAACAGAGACTGACTCAGGTTATTTTAAATCAAAAAGGGAATTTATGAAGAAGGATATCAAGCCCTCCCAGAATTGATGGCTAGCTGGAGGAACAGACTTGGACGAAGTTCAGGAATTGGGACACGGGAAGCTGGAAGGGTGATAGCCATCTCTTAGCAGGAAGCGTCATCCCTGCGGTAACTCACCACTGACATCCTGAAAAGTGTCTAAGCAGCCTTCCTTACCAGTGCATTACCTGCTGGAGATCCAAAGGCTTGGGAGCAAGGCTTCATGAACCAGCCCAGGGCCCTGACCACTAGAGGCAGGAAGAGGGGGCATCTGGCTCTTTGAACTTCCAAAGTGGGGGCTCTTGGTCCTGCCTGAAACCAAGACCTCCCATCGTGGAGAGTTTCACCTAAGGAAGGAGTACTTGGATCCTGAACACCCCTAAAATAAGACCAGTAGAAGAAAGCAGGCATTTGTGTCATCTTTTACGAATTGTGTTCCACAACCACTAGACTCATTTATGCTCATGCTGAAAAGGGGCTCAGGCACCTTCTCCACATTTTCCTGTGGCTGTCAGCAAGTTGCCTCCCAAAGGGCCCTTGTGAAACTTCCTACCACTTCTCTATTTCTCTGCCTTTGCCACATCTGTACGTGCTGGTTGCTAAGTGGAGGGAGGAGCTAGAGCATCTTCCTTTTTGAAGAAAAAGAATCCCTCTCCAAGAGCTTTCACTGTCCTGATTAATTAGAGCCATCTGCAGAGCAGGGGTACATTAGGACACACACATGTGGACAAAAAAGCACATCCAAGAGCCATTCACCAAGAAGCCTGCCCCTACTCCAGTGACCTACCTGCGTTAGAGCTAAATAGCGCTGATGATAATGATGATGCATTATGATCAAAAGTTATTTTTATGAAAGGCTCCTGCCTACCACCCTCTGCCATCAGAATAGTCTATTCCCTGATGGGGAAAGAAGAACTGTAGTAGAATAGGAGCAGAAGTGGGAATGTAAAACACTTCAACTCCAGAAAACTGAGCCCTAAAAAGATTTTAGACCCCAGTGGGTTTCAAATAAAAACTCCTCCTGGCTAAATTGTGAGTACCGTGAGTTCACAGGGATACATGTTTGTGGATTTGCGCTCATTCCTGATTTAAACCCCTTAATATGCACAGGCTCAGTGTGCAGTGCACTCACACACACACACACACACGCACACACTGTTGGTGCCCCAGGCTTACAGGCATACACATTTCTGGCTGTAATGATTCAGATGCCATTAATCCAAACCCGCCAGGACAGTTGCTCCTTTGATGTCCCCTTGGGGGAACATTCCAGGAGGTCCCACTCTTACTGATGTGGAACTCTCTGGGGGTCAGTGAGCAATGAGGACATGTGTTGGGGGTTGGACGGGAGAAGAAAACCCTGGGCTCAGGCTCCATGAGGAAAACAGATCTGACTTGAAAAGAATTCAGACTTTCAGGGGTTGCAAAGCTTTCAAGAAGCACAACAGACTTCATTATTGCCAGGCTATGAGGACCTTCCTTGCAGAAAACAGGACAACTGACACCTCATTGCAGGGCTGAGCAAGATACTGCTTGCCCCCCACCTCAAGTTCTCCCCATAATAAATGGAGGAAATTCATCCTTTCTCTGCCTCTCAACCATAGAACCAAGTCATTCATAGACTTATTGGGTCAAATAAGAACAGCAGAGGAAGCTAATGCAGGGATGAAATAAATCATGCTTGTGTTTTTTTGTTTTGTTTTGTAATAAGGTTTTCCTCGAGCTTCAGGAAAGTCAACATCCCAAATAAACAGAACTTGCCAAACAGATATTTCAAGGTGAGATAATATGTATTAGGAGGAGAAACTTCCTAGTGAATATAGGAAGAAATGCAGTTTGTAAATTTCAGCTTTCCAAGCAACTTTTCCAACATATATATATATATATGTTGCATAGAACCGAGTACACAAACCTGTGATTAAGTAATAATGGTAAGATTATAGCAATTGGCATTGCACTGATGCTAAGTTTATACCATAACAATTAGTCCTCAGATGTGATTTAATAAAGGAATAAGCACATATTTAAGAATGGATCTAAGAACAACTTAGAAAGTAATCACAAAAAGTGTTCTGGGATGGAGCCATAAAAACTGGGCCAATAAATCTCAGCCAGCCAACCAGACATTCTGTTATTTGATAAAACTAATAATGCAAAACTTATTGCAATAGCAGAAACGTCATAAAAATGTAGTAAAAATAAACAAGCACATGGCTCTGGCAGAAGAGCTAAAAACAAGCGTGGAAATTGAAGACATCAAAGTATAGCCAAGAAACATCTTGGCAAGTGGGAGCAGGCGACGTTCACATATATTAGTGGAAAATGTTAAGGAATTTGGGATTTTTTTTTCATGTTTGAGCAATATTTTGGGAAGTGATATTTCATACATACTTGTCTCTGTACCAAGATATTTCCCCTCCCAAGATTATTTTGCAACGTACTTGACTGGTGAGGTCTGTTACTTTTATGATGCCTTTTGGTAGAAAGATCTGAAATTTGTACAGCAAAGGGGAGAAGGCACTAAACGTTATTAAGCCTCCTACTCACCACTTTAGCTGTATTATCTCAATTAATTCTCAAAGCAATCCCGAGTGGAAGGAAAGCGTGTTCCTATTTTACGTAGGAGGATGCTGCAGCTTTGAGAAGTTGGTCACAAGTGTCTGGAAACTGCCACCAGCCCGGAGAGTGTTCGCTTCCCCATAGTGTGTGAACTTTTTCCCATATCCCTCCTGTATTCAGGTTCTACCACGTGCCCCTGAGGGTCTTTCAAGGATTGACCAGGCAGGGGATGGGAGGAGATTCAAAGGTCAAGGTAAACTCTGCTTCCAACCCCAAGTCCCCCTTTTCATCACTGTCCCATGAAAAACTCCTGCACCTCCCACTGCCAATCTCGCCCACGGCAGCTTGGAAGCAGGAGGGGGAGGCTGGCCTCCCTCCCTGGGGCTCTACTCACAGTCTGAAGTCTGCTGCCCAGCCTCGGCAGGCACGCACAGCTCTGCACCTCCTACAGCCACCGAGTACCGGAAGCTGGCCAGTCAGGGATGGGCACACGTAGGCGAGAGGGGGGCCTGCTTCGGCCTCTGGGCACTTATCAGAGGAGGAGGAGGAGGAAAAAAGCTGTGTTTTGGATCTGAAAGGGTTACAGGGTCTGCCCAGCCCCTGGGATGGCAGCCAGCAGGGGAAGTGGGGAAGCTGTGAGGAGAATAGCAAGTTTCTCCTTGCAGGGACCCTATTCCAGCTGAATGCAGCCTCCTCGCCCTTAAATCCAATTAAAGGCCGATATTATGTCAGTGGAAATGTATGCCAATCCTAATATAGTCTAATAAGCCTTAAAATAGCACTCTGTAAGTGGAAAGCCCTGTGGTTTAATTTGATTCGCAGCCTAATAACAGGCTTAATAAGAGGGAATTGGCCCCCTTTTATTTTCCAACTGGTCTCTGCATGCTCTTTTCTTCTTTTCTTTCTTTGTCTCCTTTATCTCTTTCTCTGGAACTCTGTGGAATGACCAAGAGAGGCAGGAGTGAGCAGGAGGTGGGCGCATCTTCCCCCACATTGCTTCCAGCTCAGAGGCCTGGTACCTGCTACCTAAGTGTGGTTCTGGGATGTGGCAGGGACTCTAGGTCCTTGGCTGGGTCCTACATGTGACTTGACTCATGGTGCACATGGACAAGGTGCTTCCTGTTGGCTTTGTTGCCTTCCATTGTAATGGAGAAGGTGGATGGGAAGTACCTCAAAGCAGGTATCTTGGGCATGCACCTTTGGATGAGAAAGGACTCATCGCTTTCTTCCTGGGCCTTGGGTCTCCCCTCCCAGGAAGCTGGAGCCAACGGCCATTCTCACACACCCTCTGCTAGAGATGACGGGGTGGCCAGCCATGGGCAAGTCTTATCAACACAATCTGGAAACTGAATCCGCTTTATGGAACTTTGAATCAATTCTTTATAAGGACAAAGGATTCTCAAACATTTAAAAAGCAGAGTTTTTGAATTTAAAGTACTCTTAAAAAACAGCTTTAATGAGATATATTCACATTTGGTATAATTCACCTATTTAAAGAGTACAAGTCAATGGCTTTTGCAATTCAGTAGCTTTTACTATAATTACAGAGTTGCACAACCATCACCACAATCAATTTTAGAACATTCTTATTGCTGCAAAAAGACAGCTCAAATCCCTTAGCCATCACCCTCTCCAGCTCCACATGGCCCCCAGCCCTAGGTAGCCACTAATCTATCTTTCTCTGTACATTTGTCTATTCTGGACATTGTGTATAAAAGGAATCTTATATGTAGCCTTTTGTGTCTGGCTTCTTTCTTACTCAGCATAATGCTTTCAAGGTTTAGCCACATTGTAGCATGGATCAGTACTTCATTCCTTTTCCTTGCCACTAATATTCCATTGTATGGATATACCACATTTTATTCACCCATTCTTTATCTGATGGACTTTTGCATTGTTTCCTTTTTTGGCTATTCTGAATAATGCTGCTATGAACATTTGTGTATACATTTTTGTCTGGATATATGTTTTCATTTGTCTTGCATATATTTCAAGGAGTGGAATTTTGGGATCATATAGTAAATCTATTTCACCACTTGAGAAGGTGCCAGGCTGTTTTCCAAAGCAGCCACCTCACTTCCATTCCCACCAGCAATGTGTGAGGGTTCCAATTGCTGCACACCCTCACCAACACTTGTCATTTTCTATCCTTTACTCTAGCCATCCCAGCGGGTGGGAAATGGCATCTCCTGCTCATTGACGCTATGATTTGCATTTCTCTGAATGGAGTTAATGTATTCTTTTATTTTTTTATTTTTTATTTTTATTTTTTGAGACAGACTCCCAGTCTGTTGCCCAGGCTGGAGTGCAGTGGCACAATCTTGGCTCAATGCAGTCTCCACCTCTGGTTCAAGCAATTCTCATGCCTCAGCCTCCCAAGTAGCTGGGACTACAGGTGCGCACCACCATGCTCAGCTAACTTTTGTATTTTTTAGTAGAGATGAGGGTTTCACCATGTTGGCCAGGCTGGTCTCAAACTCCTGACCTCAAGTGATCTGCCTGCCTCAGCATCCCAAAGTGCTGGGATTACAGGTGTGAGCCACCGCACCTGGCCCTGAGTTAATGTATTCTTGATCTGAACTGGTCTGCAAGTTAATAAACAATTAACTTGTGAACAGAATTTAAACCTCAGCTGTGGTGATGATTAACCAGATCATCTTGAACCCCTTACTTATCTGAATCTTAACTTCTGGATTTGTGAACAGGAGGTTGGGATTTTGAAGATTCACTCAGAGAATGTGGGGAACAGCTTACAAAGGGGAGGGCTGCAGCACACATTCATTTCCTTCCCTTCACCTGGTCCTAATGTGTATGCCTCCATTTTTGGGATGGTACAATGGGAATGATATTTACTCCTGAGCCATCAATTTTGCAACAAGGTCAGAAGAAAAAATATACTTAAAAAAAAGGACGGTGATGATGGGTTGAGTTGGGACAAAGGAAAAGGGCATTTGATGGCAAGATACAGAAATTGGAGTTTTATTTTTTTTTATTAATAAGAAGCAGCAAGGGGTGAAAAGCAACAGGATACCCATCCTCAATATAAGAGGGGTTATCATGGGGAGGAGAGTGACCAGCTGTTCCTGATCTCCACGAAGGACATCAGAAGGGGAAATGCATTTAAACTGTGGGAAGCAGCCTGTAGCTTCATTATTAGGATGAGCTCCTTTACTGTCAGGGTCGTGAAACATTGGAATGGGAATTTATCAAGTTTCCTGTCCCTGAGGGCCTTTCCAAATATGATCAATTACATCTAGGAGTGGGAATGAGATGCCCTGAGGCAGCTCTGTCCAGCACAAAAATGCTGCAATTCCTGGCAGTGGCCCCCCTTGGTAGCCCTCCCTGTGTTGGCTCCCTGCACACACCAGGCAGGGTTGCAGCCACTCCTCCGACCCCACCAGCCCCCTACCCCCACACCCTGTTTTGGCTGGACCCAGTTGCTCCCTCTTCTTTCCCTCAATGCTGTGGGGGAGATGCTGCTCTTCTCTATTTCAGTAGGGAGTGACGTGGCTTCTATACATAGCACGGCTTATAACTTCTTTGGCAGCTCCTGGGTTGAAAGGTGCTGTTAAAAGAAAGGGAGGGGAAAAAAGAGCTCAATAACCCTTTTATTTATTTAAAAAAAATCTTTCAAGAAAAGCTCAAACATGTGGTCCTTTACTTCAATTGCTCACTGAGACCATTATGGTCCTTGACCCATCTTTCGGCGTTGGATGGCTACCAGTGTCTTACAGAGGAGCAAACAGAAGTACACATGGTGGGGAGGCGTATAAAGGGGAACACGGAGGGGCGCCTCAGACTTGGGACGCTGCCCCCATTAGGAGTTCTGCCTCTGTCCATTCAGTGTGCAGTGGGGATGGTGGTAGTTTCCTCAAAAAAAATTTTTTCCACCTTTCTCCCATAGCATAGTAACAGGAAGCATAATAAGAATTGCCTCTACCCCTAGGACCTGAGGTGGGCTCCCATTGGCCTGAGCTAACCAGAGTGATTCTCTGCACTCCAGGGTTTAGCCCAAATACTTCTAAACCAATTAGTGTCCAGATGTCCCCTGGCCCCAGGGACTGGGGTTGCCCCCACCCTAATTTCGGGCTATGCTTACTTTGCTTCCTATTGATTACCAGGAACCTAAATATTGATCCCTACAGCCCTGGGAGATGCTAGGAGGGATGTGGGGCAGCCAGAGCCTCAGGGCCATGTGCTTGCAGCTGGGAACAACCTCTCCATTGACCTCAGCCTGTTGTACAAATACGGTGATCTTTCTGTGTCATGATGTGGAAAGGTTAGGAAACACTGGGTCTGAAGAGAACAGGTTTGGAGTGAGGACGGACTAACCTTCCTTCATGCATTCACTCACAAACTGTTGGATTTGTCGGTTGTGTCCTTGGGCTGGACTTCCCTCAAGCATACAGGAGAAATGCTAGTGACATCTTAGGTCTTAGGTCTGTGGGTTCCTCTTTCTAAGGCAAACCCTAGGAGGTAGGTATTGTTATGATCTCTGTATAGAAGATTGGAAAAGATTGTTATGATCTCTGTATAGAAGATTAGGAGGCAAAGAAGTTAAGGGATTTGGGCAAGGTTATTCAGTGAGTGAGCAGAAGGGCCAGAGGTTTAACCCAGGCAGTTCAGCTTCATTCATTACCCTAATCTTTCCAATTGAGTAATGGGCGGGTAGGGAGAAGGAAGGCCAGGTTGATATCTGACACCTCCTGCCCCATTTATCACTTCTCCAGCACCAGCCTAAGGAGCAACTGGGAGGCAAATGGAATGTTTTCCTCCTTTCCTTTCATCCTTTCTCCCACAGCTGTCCCAGGAGAGCCATCCCTGGAAAGGTGCTCAAACCATAGTGCCCATGCCTCTCTGCAGGGAAAATCTGGTTACAATGAACACGCTGGTAGCATGAAAGTGCCCGAAAGAGCAACTGCTGCAGGAAACACTGTATAAAAGGGGAGAAGGAGAAAGTGAAGCCAGTGGAAGATATAAAGATAGCCCTGGACTGAGTTAGAAAGCATAGGCGTAGATCTGGGCTCTACCACTATCTCCGTGATCATGGGCACCTGCCTTCCCTCCCCAGACCTCCAAGGTGGCTTGCAGACTCTTCTCGGAGCACACAACTGCTTGTCCCCCTCTGTGACCTACTCAACACTAGACCCTCAGACTGCCTCTCCTTTTGTGACCCAGCTGCCATTTCCTACCAAACGATTTTGGACGGCTTTTTGGGCAGCCAATACTATTCTCCAATACCTCTTCATTGAGCTGGCGTTGATTTGGTCAGTTTCTTGGTTGGTTCCCGATCCTTTTGTTCCCTTTTACCCATCCCACATCAGCTGCAACACATGCCGGCTTTTGAACAGGCTCGCCCTTGTGGGAATCCAAACTTCCTACAGATGCACCCTCCTTTCGTGTCTTGCTTAGTTTTCAGGTGATGAAAGTGGCCTTGGCCTGGGTGGTTGTCATGGAGACGCATTGCTGCTTCCCGCCTCATATGGGCCCTTGAGCTCTTCCCAGCAACCTTTCTGGGCTAGAAAAGGAAGAAAGGTCTGGCTTTGCCCTCTGTGTCTCCTTTTTTGGGGGGAAGGGATTCAGCTGAGAGTGCTTTGATGCTATTTAATCCAAGTTATTCCACTGGGGAGAGGGAAATGGGCTAGCAAAAATCCAGGCAGTTTTTCTATTTGCCTTATTGTATTAGCTAATTATCTCAAGTGGCAATCAGAGAAAGAAGAAAAAAAATGGAATCAGAGGAACATCCATGTTATTTATATTTTATCATCTTTGCCAAGCTTAGCAAAGGGATGCAGTTTTCTTTATTTCTCTGACCCTTCATTTAATGTCATCCTCTCACTACTGATCAAATCTCACTGCCTATTGATATCAACATCAAAAATACCTCACCTTTTCATTCAAGGCTCTGAATAGACAGCTCATCAATAATATCTACCTGAACTTCTGCAAATATACTTTCTCTAGGAGCCTGGACTCATCCAAATGTCTAGTAAAGTGTGTGTGTATGTGTAAATTCTCCAGAACTCATCTCTAAGTATCTCAAAAGAGTTTACATTGTACCTTACATAATTCTAACCATTTTCACTAGGAGAAGACCTCCTCCTGCTACAGTGGGCAGATGGGGAAAACTGAAGTATAAAGTATAAATGAAGGATGGTGTGTTCTTTTGTGGAATCCAACAAATTAAACAGGTTTAAATCTAGTAGGGAAAACAATGTAGGTTTCCTGCTGCTCTGTGGCCTTTCCAGCATGTTTGGAAGGCAGGGCTAGCACAAAAATTCTGCCATAGCATTTGCTTTATAGAGAGAAGAGTGTAATTAGCAGTGGATAAGGAACCTGCTAAACCTGGGTTTTATTTTTGCTTCCTCCATTACTGACTTGAGTAGGTCACTTAATATTTTTGAACTTTGTTTTTATTTTGTTTTGTTAAAACACTGAGTTAAAACATCTAACTGCCTTCCTGATAGTGGACCAAAGATGTGAAGAGCCTTTGTACTCGTAAGGCATGCTAAGTTTCATTAAAGCTATGACATATCTCATTTAGTCCTTGCAACCATCCCATGAAGTTAGCATTATTTTATGAGGCTCGGAGACATCAAACAAGTGCCCAAAGTCACACAGATAGCAAGCAGTGGTATCTGGACCAGGGTATACTTGTCTTTAGCCCACAGCTGTCTGCGGGAACAAGGTTAAGTCAGTGCTGAGAAAGACCCAGAGAGAAGGTCATTTGAAGTTCATCCCAACAAACAGCCTGCTGTACCAGCTCTGGGATGATATGCTGCTCTGGTGACCAGGGCTGATAGGAGCCTTGTAGCTCACGCAGCAGATGGGGAAAGAGGAGAACAGGATAGAGTGGGAGAGGAGAAACAGTAGAGGAGAAGGGGGAGTCATGTGAACGGCTGTGCTGGCCTGGGAGAGGGGTGGGTAATGTGCCATGCTGCGGTCCTTTGAGCCAAGAGAAAATGTGTGTCTTTATCTTTGTCTGTACAATTTATGGTCCAGCTGGGCTCTTTCGTGAGGCTGGGACTGTTCTGCCAGTGCCAGAAGAGTTACTCTTGGGGTGAGACACTGGAGCCCCTGGGGCCCTGCCAGGAGCATAATGTAGTCTGGTTATTGGAGGGGAGTTCCCAACTAGTGTTGGCTGGCACAGCCCAGAAGATTTAGGGAGCACAACTCTATAGAGTTCCCAGAGCAACCGAATGACCTGACCTCATGTGTGTTAGAACCATGGATTATAACATTTCCTTTCCCAGTAGTTGGGATGACAATAACATAGCAAGCTAGGTAGTTGTTGTAATTGTGGATGAGATGTAACATGTTTTTCTGCAGGAGAGATCAATGTGCTGGGTACATTTGAGCTTTCTTGACATTAGGAAATAGGCAAGAATGAAGTGTTAATGCTTAATGCACATATGGTATGTACAGATTATTATAGTTCACCATTGTTCAGATGATTTCTTGGAGTTAATAACTTACTGAGATTAATGACGATCTTTGGAGTGTCGATTTAACAGAAAAGTTTGCCAACCAACTTTGTGCAGTTGTGTGTGCTTTGGCGGTTCTAATGTTTGCCAAAGTAACCAGCCGTAATGTGTTAAGAGTCTAGAATTTTTGCCTGTATTTTATTATTTAACACTCTGCTTATCAATGGATTTCCTACTTTCACACCTACATCCATCCCCCAAAGAACTAAAGATCTATGATCTAAAATGTATGTATGCATTCATTCATTTCACCGACATCTACCAATGCTGGCACCTAGGCTGTTGGGGAAAATATGTATTATTTACCACTTTCTGGTGAGAAAACTGAGCTAAGATGCTCTCAAGGGCACTGCTAGTCCACAGCAACCCTCATTCCTCTTACTGGGGTGGGGAAAGGTCCTTCCTGCTATGATATGTGTTGCTTTGGGTTTAGACACAGGATGCCTGCAAGCCTTGCAGATGTTATTATTCCCTAGTTCCACTGAGAGGCAAGACCTTCTCAACTGATCTCTTGCTTGACACTTAATTAAATTGTAGTACAGAAGTGACATGACAACACTTCGAGGACAAAGGTAGAAATAGAAGATGTTTTGATTAACAGCTATTGGAAATCTGCATCAAACCCTGCATGTAGATAATGGAACAACTTAAAGAAGAGAAGAGGAAGGAGGAAGCTAAACCTCCAGGAGGTTTAAAGGAGGACTGCCAGAGGGAAAGGGGAGGGATGTGGATGCTGGCCCTCATTGGACAGGGGCTGGTAGTGACTATTTCTGGGTGCAGGAAGTAGGCAAGGCACATGCAGTTGCTCCACGAGACCCCACACCTGCTCTGCAGGGGTAAAGACCCTAAGGTAGCCCTCCATTGCACTGGTCCCTCCCTTGCCTCTGGGGAGCTCAAAGTTTTTCTGTTTTTTTGTCTTGTGAAAAAAGAAAATCCAAATTTCAGTAGTCCTTAATCATATCGTAGCACATGTAGAAAATGATAATATCTGTGGGGCACATTGAGGTTGCACACAGTGGCAGGCGACTGCCACCCCAAGGGCTAAGGGAAAGAAAAAAAAAATCCATGTCTTGACATAGGGCTGTCATGGCACCCCTTCTGTGCTGTGGACAGTCAAGGTGAGCTCATTAATGAAAGGACTGGTGCTTTCCAGAAGGCATTTAACCTGTTCTACATGCAGGAAACAACTGCACTGGTGTCATCCTGATAAGACACAGTAATTCAAGTTGGCCATTGGGTACTAGGGGCATTATGGGCAGGCGTGGTGAGTGTGGGGTGGCAATGATGTGTCTAAACTAAGTGTTTGCTCTAAACTAAGTGTTTGCTCTCAGAGAGGTAGTACCTGCTTGTGCACTTAATTATTTACTTATTTTTTTTGAGACAGCCTCACTCTGTCACCTAGGCTGGAGTGAAGTAACATGATCTCAGCTCACTGAAACCTCCACCTTCCGGGTTCAAGCAATTCTCATGCCTCAGCCTCCCAAGTAGCTGGGATTATAGGTGTGCACCACCATGCCCAGCTAAGTTTTGTATTCTGTAGAGATGGGATTTCACCATGTTGGCCAGGCTGGTCTCAAACTCCTGACCTCAAGTGATCTGCCCGCCTTGGCCTCTCAAAGTGCTGGATTTACAGGCGTGAGGCACTGTGCCCAGCCACATTGAGTGTTCTAAGGGAAGCCAAATCTTACTCTCTTCTGAGCCTCAGTTTCCCACTTGTGACTTTAAGCCAGGGGGCTCTGGAAGGATGGTTCTTCTCTTTTCAAAGGACACAAATTTCAGAAGGCCTCCTGAAAGAACAGTGCAACACTGATTATGAAATGCTCCATTGGAAAAAGACTTTCCAGACAGAAACTAGAATGGTGATTGCCAGGACCTTGTGGGAGGGGAAAGGGGAGCAGTTATTTAATGAGTGTAGAGTTTCAGTTTTGCAAGATGAAATGAGTTCCATGGATGAATGGATGGTGGTGATGGTTGCACAACAATGTGAATGTTCTTAACACTGCTCGGCCACACATTTAAAAATGATTAAGATGGTCAATTTTATGTTAGGAATATTTTACTGCAATTTAAAATTGTTAAAAGAAGATTTTCCATGGAAGGATCTCACCCAGTCTAATTTGTATTATTTCAAAGTAGCTTCCTTCTTCCTTTTGTAGTGGGTTTTCCTAACCTTAAAAAAAAAAAATCTTAACTGTTGAATTGATCTTCAGTACTAGAACTTTAGACACTTCTTACTTTTTCCTAGGGTTTGATCTTGGAAAGGGACTTCTGCCAGATGCCAGTATCCCCCATCCCTTGTGTAAATATCTTCTTTTTTAATTTTTTTTTTCTTTTTTTTTTTTTTTGAGGCAGAGTCTCACTCTGTTGCCCAGACTGGAGTACAGTGGTGCAATCTTGGCTCACTGCAACCTCCACCTCCCGGATTCAAACGATTCTCCCTCCTCAGCCACCTGAGTAGCTGGGATTACAGGTGCCCAGCACCATGCCTGGCTAATTTTTGTAGTTTTAGTAGAGATGGGATTTCGCCATGTTGGCCAGGTTGGTCTCGAACTCCTGACCTCAGGTGATCTACCCACCTCAGCCTCCCTAAGTGCTGGGATTATAGGCGTGAGCCACCATGCCTGGCCTCGTGTAAATATCTTCTGAGGGAAAACATATAGTGGCCCAGGGAGTCTTAGTCAGCTCCCTTCTCCTTAAGCCAGCTTGCAGTGGTCAGAGGATTGCTGGCCTCTCACCTGTGCCTAGAAACATCTTTGAGATAGAGAAACAAGAGGCAGAATTCTTGCTTGGGGTTGTGCTTTCAGGTTTATTAAAACACACCCTTGTCTACAGCGTGATATTTTAAGCCCAGCTTAATTTATAATAACAACAATAACAATCACAGAAGCTTCTTATTTTATAGCCAAGATGAATCTGTTTGTAACTCATTATATTCACAGAACCTTTATTGGACTAAGCATATTACTATGGTTAGTGAATTCTCTTGTTATTATCAGCATTGTTATTCATACCTTTATCCAACTTTATTTTTTTTATCTAGTTGCCTTTTTCTTTACTTTTTAGTAATGTCTTACAGGCTTTATTTTTATTTATAATCATAAATTCCCTAACAGCAGGAAATGCTTTTTCTGATGTTGTGGGAAGGAAGAATAGTAAGAGACAGAGCTGGCTTAGGTGGTCTCCTTGAAGCCAGATTGATGCCAGAGGAAAATCCATGATGGATTGCTTGGTTAATGTCACCCCCTGCCTCCCTTGATGCCAGTGCTTAGACCATTAAGATCATTTTAAATGGTTAAAAATGGGGCAGTGGTGTCACCCAAAAGCATGTTGGAATCCCATTTTGACTAAGTCACTAGCCTGTATGAATTTGGTAAAGTTGCTGTCTATATCTTATTTTTCTCATTAGATAATAGCACCCTCTTGCATATGAAATCTATGTGGTTTACACTTATGTAACTGTCATTCAGTAAATACTCAACACATGTTAACTATTGTTTTATCTTCCTCAGGGAATTTATAATCTAGAGAAAGAACTCAACCCTAAAATACTCAGAACTGTGCTGTAAAGGGACAGGGTAAGGGCCATGATGAGGAAGAAATGGAATGTGAGGACCAGCCCAGGCAGGCTAGGGGGGCTGGGGCCAAATAGCTACCTCCCAGGCAAGAGAGACCACATCAGCCCAGGCCCAGAATTAGAAGGTGTGAGTGTGCTGACCAAGGAGAATCAGGCTGAAGCTCTGGTCCATGCAGGAAGGCAGGATATGGGGCTGGAAACATTGGTTGGGGCCATTCTGGGAAGGGCTTTAATGCCATTGTAAGGGATTGAGATTTTACTATATATTAGCAATTCTAAGACACATTTTTCCCTCACAATCTAACATCTCTGAAATTGAATGCTTCTTACAATCAATGTATTGTCATAGTTAATTGCCGGCCTTTTTTTCTTTCTTAGTAGTACATAAAATTATAGTGTGCTGTACAATTGGTGCCTTAGATTAGATAAAATATGGTGTGTTAAAGGCTGCAAAACCCAAGGGTTGGAGAAAACCCTTCATGTTGCTATTGTTTCTGTGCCATTCTAGTAACTTGTTCAGTGTTAGTAAGTAAATGCCCAATTATCCTCAGATAGAATTCAGTTCTGATGGAGGTTATGAGTCTCCCCAACTCTTAGCAGTCATTCAGGGGTAGGGCCTGGATAGGGGTCAGTTCTAAACCTCATGCCCCTCGAAATGTTCTACAGCTTCCTCCAAGACTGGTTCTGTCTGTGCATAGCTGCTATGGGTTCTGCAGGATGAGTTAAGAACCTAGGAAGAGGCCAAGTGTGGTGACTCATGCCTGTAATCATAGCACTTTGGGAGGCTGAGGCAGGCAGATCACCTGAGGATGTTGAGTTCAAGACCAGCCTGGCCAACATGGTGAAACCCCGTCTCTAATAAAAATACAAAAATTAGCCAGGCGTGGTGGCACATGTCTGTAATCCCAGCTACTCAGGAGACTGAGGCACAAGAATCTCTTGAACCTAGGAGGCAGAGGTTGCAGTGAGCTGAGATCACATCACTGCACTCTAGCCTGGGCATGAGAAACAACCTAGGCAGAAAACTGGACTTGCAGGATGGATAATGCTGCAGAGAGAGGTTCTTTATTGTTTCCAATTTCCCAATTCTCTTGTGCTCTTTCCCATCTCTTTTGTGTCCTCCCCTTCTCCATTATGCCCCTCTTTTCTGCTTCTCTCCATTGAATAAAGCTGTCCTTGGTGTACACTAAATTCACAGCTCACTCTTCAGTGGGGACAGGGACAGGAAGGTAGAAGGTGACAGAGGATCTGGAGATTCCACCAACTGATGCTTAGAAGTATCTGAGGTCATTTACATCCAGGTGCCTTGGAAGCCTTGCCCCTCCTTGGTGGACCAGGCTTGGTTGCCTAGCAACAGTGCCCTCTGCTCTTTTCACACATCCTCTGTATCTTGTTTTCCTTCAGACCAGTCCATGAAGTTGATTTTTTATCCAGTCTTAAACTTTAATAAGCAATACAGTGAAGAGGGATGGGAGGAGTGTTTGGTACAATTTTCCTTAGACCCTCAACCCTTTAATTCCAACCAGGGCACTAAGGATGTACGTGGAGTCCAATCCACTGAGTCTCTGTCTCAACTGCCACAGACTCCCTCAGGGACTGGTCAAAAGCAAAGATTGTGAATGAGACCTAGAGAATGTAAAAAATAATGAGATCTGTTGGGCCCATAATTCTACAATATACCCATTTCCCTGCTATGGCTAGCTAGGCAGGGATGCTGAGTGAGTATTTTCAGTCTGGATCTATATTGTTTTATATGCTGTGTGTGTAGATTACAGTGTCTTTGGTTAAAAATATCTTCATTATTAGGTTCAGCTTCTGTGCTAGGTCCTTTTACATAAGAACCCTTAGAGGCCTTTTTATAAAGAAACTTCCAGTTAAAATCAAATATTCTATAATCTAATCATAATAAGTCCTGAATACAGGCATGCTAGGTCACTCGGCACCTAAACTAAGTGTGGGGGCCCCTGAATATTCCATCCTAACCTAAAAAGATGGAAAATTCAGGCCTAAACATTTACAATTATTGTATCCAGGGTGGGGCAAGGAGAGAACAGGGGGAGAGAGGTTATATTAAGGTTTATTCATGTATTTACATAGGAGAAAATGCATTCATAATTGCTACTTTTCACAAAATGGAACACTCTTTTCCCTTTTTTATTGATGCCTTGCATATGGTAGGTACACAGTAAATATCTTGGCAAGGAGAAATGGAAGGAATCTCTAGTTCAATGATTTTATTAAAACAAATCTTTTCATGTGATAAAATTTGGAAAACTGCTCTGTAGAATATGTGACTGAGAACTGGTGTTAAATTTAAGTTGCAAGATTTATTTCCAGAGATAAACTTTCATGTAGTCTTTACTGGCCTGGTGTGGTAAGAAACATTAGATGGGGGATGAGGCAGTATAGGCCAAGTCACATCTCTGGCATAGGTGTTGTTACTTACAAAATGAGAGGTAGGTAGAAAAATCTCTAACATTTAGCCTGGCTCAAAGGTTCTGTGATTGCAGATGTTAATCATTATGTTTTGCGGAGTCTCAGTTTGTGTGGTCTGTGAAATGGCAAGAATGCCATTTACCCTGTAATTTACTAGCGGAATAATCACTTGAGCCAGAAGAGACCTTGTGGGGACCTTCTCTTTCTCAGACTCCTTGCCATTCTGGAAGAAGCTGCATCTCATCTTGGATGGGTCCATGGGCTTCCATTCCTCCTCTTCAGTCATCACAGTTTCCTGAAAGGAATTGTCATGGAAAACAGTGCTAGGTGGTCTGTGTCATCTCGCCAGCAGTGAGTTGAGCCATACTTCCTCCATAACTTTAGGATACTGCTGCAGCCCAGAAATTTGTCTTCCTGGAGAAGACAAGAACCATTTTCCTGTCCAGAGGATGGGTACCTGACGAGGGAAGTGGGTGGTTGGGGTTGTCAGTTCCCACAGTTATTATTTGAGGGCAGGTCCTGTCTTTTATTCAGTGCTGCATCCCCACAGACCACCATCCACCTCCTGATATTTATAATGTGGTCACTAAGTAATTATTTATTGAATGTTGAGCATTGTGACTCTTCTACAAGACATTCCAGGCTAGATTAGAAGATATCTGGCTGTCTATAGAACATCCTCATATGATTTGAAGGGTGAAAATGTTAATCACTGTGTAAATATCTGAGTAATTACTGCACTGGCAGCATTTTTGAGACAATTTGTCCTGAAAGTGTGGAACAACTCATTTTTACTGACATCATATTACATCTAGACTTAATAGTTGGCTGGCTTTGACAACGTCAGAGGTATTCTTTTTTGTGTGCTGTTTTTCATAAAAGCAAGATTGGCATTTGCCTTTCATCAGTGGATTTTAAAACATTTTGGAGTCATAAGTTTGGGGGAGCTCACTGACACACTAAAGTTTCATCTACGCATTTAGAGGCCGAGAGGAATTTGAGTCTGTTCACGGCTCCTGTGCCGGTGGCAGAACTAGTGTGGACCCAGTTCTCCTGATTCCTGATCCAGTGCTTTTTACAAGACACAAAATAGCCTTCCATCCTGCGGTCCTTTCAGAAATTGGAAATTTTAAGAGCATACCCTCAGCACAGTATGCATCTGAGAATATGAGTTTCATAGAGGATGAAAGTCATAGTGAATTTCAGAGAGGACCTTGCCCAAGTTGAGAGTGAGTATATAACAGCGCTCTACAGTGTAGATATGAGAGTGTGACAGCAACTGCCTTCCCCACCACAAGAGAAGATGAACCTAAATTTGCCCCAGGAAAAACTTAGAGCAGACAGTCAGCAGAACTTCCTTGTTCTTCCATAACTGGGCTGGGCAAAGGCAAATCCCATTAGTCTGTGACTCACCCAGCTACTGGGAGTGGCTTTCTGTTTTCTCCAAAAGTTCAAGAAAAGACCCTTGAGTGAGCAAGGCACATTTTACCCAGCCTGGAAATATGTTACAAGGAGAGCCTCATACTCCCTTAAGCTCATTATGCCCTGCTCTTTTTTTGAACATGGTCTGGTTGTGTCATTTTGGACAAAGCCAAGCCTGCCAAAACTACTGAAGCTACCTTGGCTGTCTTTTCTCAGCAATAGGAAGAGAATGTTCCAGCATTTAACATCTAGTTTGTAAACGTTGTTTCTTAGAAATGGGCTTAATGTGCTGCAACTAGGGTGTAGTTGACTGCGGAATTCCAGGAGGGCTTTACTGGTGGCATTTATACGAAAGACAATAAAGCACAACCTTCTCCATATGACTTCCCATTTGCACACCTGTGTTGAACAAGTATGAATGTGCACAACACAGGTATATGTGCGCTGTTTTAGCCATGTATTTCTGTGCATGCATCTGAGTATTCATGTGCACAATTTGATGTGCTTCCACAGCCAGGGGACATGTGTGGACATGGGAAGTGTGTATGAACATGCATGTGCATGTGACTTGCCAGTTTTTATTTGCACATAGCTGCACACATGCACAGGTATCTACAGCACGTTTGCAAGTGTCCATTCTATTTTGGCTCATGCCATTCTCCCTGCCTTTATGGGGGAGAAATTATTGAATGTTGGCAATGCAATAAAGAGAAACTGATTTCAGTGGAATGTTCCTTTGCCCTGCGGACACATTGCCACCGCTTTTATGCAGCACATTACACCGCGGTGAAATTTAGTTAATTTTATGGTTTGTTATTACAACAGCAAAGTGGATTGAGAGAGGCAGCTTTTGTTGGCTCCAAGTTCCAGATTTCCTGGGTGTGATGGGAGTGAACAGAGCAGGAAGCTAGAAGTGGTAGGAAACAAAGTCCACGCAGAAGCAGAGTGGCTGTTTGAATTGGCTTTTAACTATAGGAGTTAATTAGTCAGCAGAGGCTTGGCTGCTACCCTCATGGAGTGTGTATTTTGGTCAAGGGCATCAGAGGAACATTCACAGAACAATGAGAAAGCAACCAGTTGCTCAAGTGTTTTTGCTGAAAAGCAAGATGTTTTGGTGAAGAGAGCTTTGCAGCCTGAATGTTCTGTGTTCAAATCCCAGCTTTGCTAGTGATTCGCTCCCTTGTCTCTGACCTTAGCTTCTTTGTGTATAGAGTGGGGGGTGGTGGTGGCCACCCTCTGAGGTTCTGGAACCAAGCACCTAGCACATAGTAGATGCTCAATAAGTGCTCCTTCCCCATCTCTTTTGTTGCCTAGGAAAACTCTTCTGTTCTGGAATATCTCTAGAGGAGAGAGAAAGGCAAAGCAGGTGGGGTTTTGAGATCAGGCTAAGTACCAAGTAGGAAGAGGTTATGGATGCACATAATAGTACCCATAATTTCTGAACCCCCATATCAGGATATACAATGTGAAAACTTTGGAAAGACTACTCTGGAAAAACCAGGACAAAGATGTGTGTTGCCTGGATCAGATGCTCAGCACCTTGATTCGGGATGTGACTAAAACCCATTAGCTCAATGGGAGTTAAGCCATCAGTCACTGTGAATGAAGCAGAGCCATTAACATTCTTATTTATACTACTAATGAAGCTAATTAAATCTTAACTCCAGAAACAGAGTTGGTGTGGACTAGAATACTTAGAGAGCAGAAGCTATTTCCATAAGAACATGGCTTTCCTTGTTATTCTTCTCAGCTGGGGCCTTGAATCTTGCCATCCATGGTAGGGCAAGCAGATGACAGAGAATATGTCAGCTCTGCTATCATTCCTCTAAGTTCTGGCAACTTCTTTCCCAGACTGGGAGGCTGTTCATCTCTCTACTGATGGTTCCTTCATTCTCAGCAGACAGTAGCCCAGCAACTCTGGTGGTCTTGCCAAATGGCACATGCTGGTTGGGGGAGACCACCAGCAGGCCCCCACTTCCCTCCTAGAATGGGAAAAAGGTCTTGAGACAAGGTGGCAACACAGAGGACAGACCTGCAGATCCAGGTGCATGGGTTAGCTTTAGTTCTTCATTGAGCCAGTCTCTCATCTTTGGTAATGTGTTTTCTGGAAGTCTCCTTGCCTTTTCCTGTCTTCGAAGAGCTCTAGGAGCATGGAGATGCCATGAACTCATATTCGTTGATGGTTTGAATAAGAACAAACAATGATGTCTTTGTTTCCTGAGTAGAAACTCGTCATTTCATGGATAATGTCAGAACGCATCAATTTAATATAGGATGACCTTGAGCTTTAAAGCTAAAAAGGCCGGTGCCGGGGGTGGGGGTGTTCTATTTTGGCCCAGGGAGCCCCAGAATGAAAATACTTGAAAATTAGCAAACAAGGCTAACTCATTGAAGGAGAATGAACTCTAGTGATTTGGGGCAGTGGGAAGAGGAGGTAGGACTTGGGAACAAACAACCTCTGGCAGAGAACAGAGGCTTCTGAGTCATAGCATTATAGAATAGATTTTAGCAGTCATTAAATCATGCCCCTTATTACAGAAAAGAGATGCTGTTTATTTAGTGTCCTCCCTCCAGAATCAAAATGTTCATATTGTTCATCCTCCCTAGAATCCTAATTTCTGATATGGCTCACGAGCCCTGTGAAGGTTGCTGTACAAAACTGCTCAGCTATGAAGACTGTGCTTAGAGAATAAAGTCTTGGGAGTCACTAAACAATAGATTTTGGTGAAACACAAACAATATATTTTGTACAAGGGTGATAAATAGTCAAAAGATTAAGGAGTATCAAGTTTGACTTCACAATACAGTTATGCCAAATATAAATTTTTAAAAAATTATTTGAAAGCAGTCAGGATTTTCACAGAGCTTAGAGTCATCATCCAAATATTAACCTGTCAATGTAGATATGCTGACATTCTGGGTAATTGAAAGAACAGCAAAAGCAACTTACAGTCCTGCATTTTGAATGAAAGTGTTTGATCATCTTATGATTAGACCCTGGGGAGAGTCTTTTGTTATGGCGCCATTCAATGCCGATGTTCTGGGCACTAGGTGGTGTGGTGCCTGAGGGCAGGTTGGTAGAAATATAAGGAAGAGCGTTTCATGTCTAGTACAACTATTATCCACATGAATGGGAGAAGGGCTTTAGGGGCCGCCATTCCCCCTTGTTGTTTAACCCATGAAGTTCCGTCCTGATTCTGGCCCAGATATCATTTGCAGGCCCTGAATTGTGACTTCCTCATTGTTTGCAATCACCACAGAATCTGCAGTGTCTCTCTCTAGAGTAAGAAAAATGTCTCAGCTGGGCACCTGTAAGCTGGGCACCTGTAATTCCAGCACTTTGGGAGGATGAGGAGGGAAGGTCTCTTGGGGCCAGGAGTTTGAGACCAGCCTGGGCAACATAGTGAGACACCGTCTCTACAAAAAATAAAAAAATTAGCTGGGTGTGGTGGTGCATGCCTGTGGTCCCAGCTACTTGGGAGGCTATGGCAGGAGGATCATCTGAGCCTGGGAGGTTGAGGCTGCAGTGAGCTGCGACTGGGCCACTGCACTCCAGCCTAGGAAACAAAGTGAGACCCTATCTCAAAAAAAAAAAAAAAAAAAAAAAGAAAGAAAGAAAGAAAAGAAAAGAAATCTGAAATCTTATAAAGCACCAGGAGACACCTCTGTTTGAATATAATCATGAGACTTCTCTGTGCAAAAATATGACTATTTCCCCCTCCCTACAGCTTCCGTGTTTTACACTGGGCTACAGAGTTCCATTAAGGAGATTACATATAATGTAAAACAAAGAAGTTACAGATGTTATAAAATCATCACAATTATTAAACACATTTAATAAGCATAACAACAGCAGCTAAATATGTGTACAAAATGCTGCTTTGTTCAAAGGACCTTATAAACATGGAGAAGTAGGTCTTCCAGGACCCCGGAGAGGAAGGTAAGTTTTCCTGTGTAGAAAGAAGAGAGAGAAAAAATCAGCAGGGCTGGTGGTTGGAATGAGTCCCTCCCGCTCAAAAGCGTTGCTGGCAGTGTTTATAAGACAAGGCCTATGACAAAGCTTTGGAAGTGTCTTATCCCCACAGGACCCTTGGGAAGTGGGGCCCGGAGCTGATTTTCCTCACTGAAGGGGAATGATGTCTCTTTCTCAGGACTGTCTCTTGGGGTGCCCCAAGCCTTGCCTCTCATCTTTTGGCAGCCCTGCCCTCTGGTAGAAGCACCCCTCCAAACCCAGACACCTCCTGGATTGCACCCCACAGTGGCCGTGTCCCTCCAGCAGCTGAGGAGCAGGCACAATTAAGAGCACCATTGCAGCTCCCAGTGGGGCTGTCAGCAGCAGCAGGAGTCAGGGGAGGAGGCCCAGGTGCCTCCCATCACACCTCCCCTGGCACTGGCACTGGCCTAGATTACTCATGGTTGCCTGGTGCTTGTTGCTACCTTCCCACCTCCCCACCTCCCTCTTCCTCTTCCTGGCTGAAGATGCACGGGAGCTCCAGCTCAGAGCTGGGAGTAGGTGCAGCATGGAGGGGAGCTGGGAGAGCCCATTATTACTCTGCATACCTGTGCCAAATTGTCATTGGGTGGGAGTCCCTCAACAAGCCCCAGTTGTGGAGACCCCTTCCCACAAATTCCCCACTAGCCACACACAGGGATGGCCGCTGCAGGGCAACAAGTTGATGGGGAGGAGTCAGGGAGTCAGAGAGCTGCTATCCTAGTTTCCGACCACAGCATCAGAAACCAGGAATGTCCTTTGGAGTGCATCTCACCCAGTGACTTTTAAATTGCAGGGTGAGACCCATTAATGTGTCATGAAAGCAGTTTAGTGGGTTGTAAACAGCATTTTATTTTAGAGTGAGTGAGTGAGAGAGAGCAAGAAAGAGTAAGAGAGAGAGTGAGAAAGAAGGGAAAATATCAGAATTCATGTCATAGATAAGTGGAACTTTTACTTCTGTTGTCTATAAACATGGATGTCCTGTCCTTTTTTTTTTTTTTCTTTTTTTGAGACAGGGGCTTACTCTGTCACCCATGTTGGAGTACAGTGGCATGATCACAGCTCACTGCAGCCTCCAACTCCTGGGCTCAAATGATCCTTCTACTGCAGCCTCCTGAGTAGCTGGGACTACAGGCCCTCGCCCACCACACCCAGCTAAGTTTAGTTTTGTATTTTTTTTTTTTTAGAAATGGGGTCTCACTATGTTGCCCAGGCTGGTCTTGAACTGCTGGCCTCAAGCAGTCCTCCCGCCTTGGCCTCCCAAAATGCTGAGATTATAGGCATGAGCCACCACGCCCAGCCCATGGAATAATACTGGAATAAATTCTCCCAGTGAGGGATTTAGGAATCCCAGTTCCTTAGTAAGATTTTGGCCAACTTCCCATAGATGATTCCCGCCCTTCCCACTGGCTTCCCTAGCTCGCACCATCTCAGCCAGCCGGGACAAGGCTCAAGTTAAACAAGACCTGATAGAGATGTTCTTGCTTCCAAACATAGCCATGAAGACCAGTAGTCACAAAAGGACAGTGGGGGAGAAGAAGCACACTGATTTCAGAGCGGACAGGTCCCAGAAACACTATAGGAAAAGGCTGTGACCCTGGTAGTGCATTGCCCAAAGTTTCAACTGAAATGATGTCCATTCCGTGGCCTAAACATCTCAGGCTTCTTTCCACACTCGACGTGGGCACCATGGGTTCCTTCCACTCCCTTCACAGGTACAAGAAGGCAGAGGAAAGAGGCAGAATTCCAGATGGCTTCAGAATGTTCTCTTAGTGAACAATGACTTTATTGTTAATGAAATGTGAGTGTTTGAAGGGAGTTTAGAAGTCGTGTATTCAGAGCTTGCATTTTACATAGATGATATACACATTGTCCATGAAAGTTCAGTGCCTTGTCCAAGGTTGTCCAGATGCCTTATCTGAGCAGGGTCTAGGACCCAGATCTCAACACTCAAGGGCCCCTTCCACTTTCTCACAGATGCATTAATGTCTCTAGCCACAGCAGTGGCTGTAGGATGGGGAGGATGGGACCAAGAATCCCCATCCTATAGAACCCGCCCTGTACCTCACAGGGCACACTGGTTCTGCCTATCACCTCTTTCAACCATAGTGCTTGGGACAGGTGAGACAGAGGGCTGGTGCTTTGGGACCCCTGGAGAGGTGGCCTGGAAGGAAAGCCCGAGAGCAATAGCCACCATTATAATTATTATAAGAAAAATACTGTGCACTTTGAGGTTATTATTACATGCAATGGCTGAGTGAGCTGTTCACTTGGACCTAATAGAAAATTGCTCCTGACCACTCCCTATAACCACAGGATCTGGAGGAAAGCAATTGAGAGAGATGCTGTCACCTTCCCTGGGGAGTGACATGGGCAAGACTCAGACCTGATGCCCCAGGTCCCTGAGCAGCAGAGCTGTGTGTCTTGCTCCTTCCTGGGCCAGTGGCTCTGACTGGGAAGAGCAGGTGGAGGTTGCAGCACAGGCTGCAGGCCCTGATTACCCTTGGCAGAGCCAAACCCTCTGTCCTTGGCAAAGGTGAGGCTGTGTGCAGCGGTGTTTCAGCCCCTCTGCCAGCCCCAGCTGGCAAGGTTCAGGGGCCAAGGCAGGGAGATGCTCCCATATCCATCTTCCTCCTGCTCTCAGCTGAGCCCATTAGGAATGTATCTCTGCCTCCTGATTGCTCTTCTGTGCTATTAATTTGTGGTTGTATTAATTCCTGCTGTTATTATACAGCTAGGTGATGCAGAACAAAGCTGCTCATTAACATGGCCAAGGAGTTGTTGCTACTGCCAGGGTTGAGCGGCCCCTCCCCACTGTCCCATCCCACCCTCACTCTCTACTCTGTCTTGACACGAATGGAGCCTTGAACCTTGAAAAATGACTGGCAGGCTTGGAAGTCAAAGGTGACCAGGGAGGTTATAGTAAAAGGAGTAACTTTGCTTTGTTCCTGCCCTTGGTCAGCCTTCTTTATTTAGAAAAACATATTTATTATGTTTGTAAGCAGCACCTGTAACCCCTTATGACAGATGTTGCTTTTGTGATAAGTAGGGATACATGGTGCACAGGGTCACATTCACCAGGTGGCTGCCAGGGTCAGTGGTGCTGTCTGTGACCTTGGACATGTCCATCCTTGTGATTCCAGTAGATTCAAGATCAGACCCATAGCACAGCTGGGACACTCAGCCATTGACCAGCCATGTCATTTCCCTAAGAGTTCCCATTTGGGCCACTCCCCTCCTACAGCCAGATGCAGACACAGTTGGGGCCTGGGCAGGATCCCCAGTGCAATGCCCTGGCTTAGCCAACTTCTTTACATTTTCACATTTTAAAGTGTGCGGTAAAGAAGTACTCAGGACTCCTACAGGACAGAAGACAAGTTTTATTTTTAAGGCTTGAGGACCTTTTCCGCCCTTTCTCTGTTTCTGTCCCTTCTGGATCACTCACTGGTGAGCGGGTTATATTTTACTCAGTGATTACTGGAAAGGCTTGAAATCCTGATTCTGATGGTTACTCTGCCACTGTGAGCAATTGATTAGGTCACTGCTGGTGTCCCAGAGGTCTCCTGATGTAAGGTGGCCAGCACTGCGAGGGACTCTCCCTCCAGCTTCACCTTCTTCCCACCATGTCCCTACTCAGCTCCAGCCAAATTGAGCACCTCACTGCCCCCAAACAATCCAGGTCCTTCCCACCTCGGTGGCTCTGCACTGGCTGTGCCTTATACTAGTCTGTTCCCTCTCTCTTCCGTCTTCACAATGCCCACTCATTCCCTAAAAATCAGCCCAGGGAAATCTGCCCTGTGCTCCTCCCCTTGCCTCCTGCATGTCCGTGGCACTTTCTGGATTTCAGCCAGCTCTCAACACACAACGGAGAGCACGCTTCTAAAGAGTTAAGGTCTCTTAGACAGGGTACGTGGTGCTCAGGACAGCACCTGGCTTCTCTAAGCTCAAAAAATACCTGTTGCCTAATGTAGAATCCTCCCTATTATGTAACCAGAAGATCTTCATCATGGGACTCAGAATGACCAGGCCTAGGTCACCAGATAAAGATTCAGTGGCAGCAGGACAAGAACCTGGGAGCCTTCATTTCTTTTTGGGGCCCCACGAATCATCAGTATCACCAGATTTCCTGAGGGCCCCCAGAGACAAGGAGTCAACCCGTTTGTTTCCTCTTTGTTCTTCTATCCCTTCAGAATGGCTGGTGCAAAGGACTTGTGAGTTATTATTTTGATAATTTAAAAAAATCCAAAGGAGCTGGAGGCCCATGATGCAGATGAGGAAAAGCAGCTGGAATTGGCTGCCAGCTCTCAGGCAGTGCAGCCACAATTAAGGCTGGTGCTTAATCAATTCTCCCTGGTTTCTGCACAGGCAGTGTGTGACAACCACTGGACCCCTGGGGCCCTGGCAGGCACAGGGCTGAGCACCCTTGGGCAGAGTCCTGGGGGGCACAAACAGGAGGCACTCACTCTCTTCTTGTAAAATGAGGGAAACACACACATAAAGATATAAAAATTCATTCCAAGAACCAGAGACAGGGAGAGGGCGAGCATTCCCAAAAATGATGGGGAGACCCCAGAACAGCCTGGGGTGAGTGCTAAAAGGGTAAGGCTGGAGCTGGATTCAAGAGACAGATTCCACCTACAGGAAGGCATGGAGTGGGGGCATTTGGACTTGTCCTAGAGATTTATGTTATGGGCCGACAAAAAGGTGTCCTTTGGGCAGCAGTTCCCAAACTTAGGGGTGCATCCACATCACCTGCAGTGCTCCTTGAAGCACAGACGGTTGAGCTCCACCCTTAGAGGGTCTGATCCAGTAGGTCTGGAGGGAGTCCGAGAATCTGGATTTTGAAAAAGTGATGTCGATGTGCCAGAACCACGCTTTGAGAACCACAGCCTCAGATCAAGCAAACCCAGCTTCCCCAGGAACCCAGACCTTGTGAACCTGAGGCCAGATGGGACATCCTTGGTGGCTGAGTCTTGAGAAGACACCCCCTCCTCATATGCAATGGTCTCTCCCTCTCAGAGTTGCCATGAGCAGGACAGGAAATCATGCTTGTAGAGCACCTGCGGTGCAGAGGGAGTGATCAGTAGAGCACTGGGGACTCCTGGAGTGTGCATAGGTCCTTATGATCCCACCTGGTTTGCCCGGGCCTGGAAATCCTACAGGGCAGCTCCTGGGCAGAGACCAAGCCCATGCTCTCCTGCTCTGCATTCCAGTTTCGCCACCATGACGTCCTCTCTAAGGAGTGATTACCCTTTATTTCTCCAAGGCGAGGAATCTGTTGAACCTCATGGCCCTGGTCATAATTGCTCCCAGAGTCAACAGCCCAGGCCCTCTGATTCTTACATCTGATTCCACTGGAACAGAGGTGGTGGAGGTGTGGGGCAGGGGCAGGAGGCCCCCCCGCTCCTATTAGCCCCAGGCATCTTGCACAGAATGCCCTTTTTGTCCAGCCCTCCGCCAAGCCCATGTGCCTCAGTGATGTCACAGCAGAGACATGGTGGGAGGAAGACCATGGGGTGGGGGAGGGTGACACAGGCCGAGAAGATCAGAAATGCAGCTGAGAAGGTGGCTCAAAATAGCTCATGGAGAACAGGCTTCTGCTTGACAGGCTGACGAGGATGTGCCTGGAGCCAACACTCCTCTTTGAATGCTCTGTCTCCTTCTAATTATGGATCTGTCAGGAGGAAGAGAAGCCAGCGCCCGCCCGACCCAGTGACCCCTTCACTTAACGTGGAAACTCAGTCCCCATTAGCAGGGTCAGACGCCTAAAGGAAAATGGGCTGCCAGAGCGGAACGAGGAAGAGAGTTCAAAGGCAGCGCTCTGTCCATCCGGCCACCCTTTCCATGGGGACTGGAAGTTCTCTTTGCACCCTGCCGCTGGTTTCCTTCTAGATATGCAGAGGAGCTCACCTGTGTCCCCACACAGGGCGGCTCTCCCTGTTCTCAGGGACCAGTGGGAAGGACTGGAACCTTCTCCTCATCCAGTGATGGGGGAGGAGGCTGGTGGAGGGAGGACTTGCTGAAAATCTCTCTGCTGCTGAGACTGGCTTTGTGTCCCTTCTTCATACACAGGGCACAATGGACCGTGTGCTCTGCTCTGTTTTAGAGATTTGTTAACTCACATATGAATAATTTTATGAGAGGATTTCAATTTGGTATACTTTGATGAATAAATCATGCGGGATCCAGATGTGACCTTCCTCACACAGTGTTCACCTCTGTGTCCGAGAACCCAGGGCATAGCAGAACCTTGATGCATATTTTGCATGGGTGTCCGACCTTGGTGTTATAAGGGTGACAAATGAAATTCAGTCAGAGAGGACCTAGCTTTCCAGGCAGACAAGTTATATATGGATCTTATTCTGGAAGAACCTGCCACTTCAGAAGGTTTGTGGGTAGGGGTGAGAATGGGAGACTCCATATGTTATATGATTTTATAATAAGCAATTATGACCTTCCCTGAACCTTCAAGTAAAAGTTTATCTTAAAAAATCTATATATTTAATCTTAATTTTCATGACTAACTTATTTCTCAGTACTTCTGACCCTTAGATTGCAACCTACCCCTGGAAATGTCAAATTATGGGATGCTCCAGGCATGAGCAGACCCAAGGGACCATCTTTGAATGGTGCACTTAGAGCCTGGGGTTGCAAAGCTGCCCACCTTCCCTCCCTCCCTTTCTTTTTTCTTTTTTTTTTGCCTTCCTTTTCTCCCTCTTTCCTTTCCCATCTCTCACTCTCTCCTTTTCCTTCCACATTTCTTTCTCCCTCCTTTCTTCCTACCCTCCCTCCTTTCTTCTCTCCCTCCCTCCTTTCTTCTCTCCCTCCCTCTTTTCTTCCTTCCTCTCTTCCCTCTTTTTCTTCCTTCCCTCCCTCCTTCGCTTCCTTCCTTTCTCACTGTTTCTCCTTTCCTTCTTCCCTCTCTCCCTTTCTTCCCTCCCTCCCTCCCTCTTCCTTTCCCCATTCCCTTCCTGCCACAACACTTACTGAGTACCAGCTCTGAGCCAGGCACTGGGCACAGACACTGTGGGGAGTGAAACAGACATGATTCCTGCCTTTAGGGAGTTTCTAGTTTCTATGGGGGAAACACACACTAAATAAACAGCTATAACTTCAGGTTGTGTTATATAAAAAAAGATAACACTGGGTGAGGGCACAGAGATGTGTTAGAGGAATGGGAACCATCAGCACTCGGAGTCAGGGAAGCCTCTCCAAGATGCCATGGGGGTGCAAGGCCGCGGGAAGCGAGGGCCAGCCTTGTGAGGTTCTCCGAGAGAGCATCCAAGCGGGCAGAGCAGCCCTGATGCAGGGGCTGGCAGAGGAGGCACAGTGGGAAGGCAAGGGGAAGGACGGGAAATGAGCAGGGGCAAGAGTAGGACAGAGAGGGGGCCAGACCATGCAGGCCACGGGAGCACCAAGGGCCACCATTCGAGGGCATCAGAGCATCTGATTCCACATGGATTCTACCAAAACCCAGGAACAGTAGGATGGTGTGTATGTGTGTGTTCATTTATTTACATACATAAAGAGGTTTGTTGTAAAGAATTGTCTCATAGGACTATGGAGGCTGGGAAGTTCCCTCATCTGGAGTTGGCAAGGTGAGGAGCCAGGGAGGTCAATGGTGTGAGTTCCAGCCTGAGTCCAAGTTCAAAGGCAGAAGAAGACCAATGTCCCTACTGGAAGACAGGCAGGCAGAGACAGGGAATTCTCCCTTCCTCCACCTTTTTGTTCTATTCGGGCCCTCAGTAGATTGGTAGAGACCCCCCCTCACTGGGAAGGCAGTCTGATGCACTACTCCAACCACTCAAACATGCATTTCATCTGAAAGACCTTCACAGGTGCACTCAGAATAAAGTTTAGCCAGCTGTCTGGGCACCCTGCAGCCCAGTCAGGTTGACACGTAGGATTAAGGATCATACAAGGTCTGGACAGTGGGTAGGAAGGGCTACTGTGTCCTGGCTTTCAGCTGTGTTGGAATCCGCTGCCTGCTGTAAGATCCATGCCCACCCTTGCCTTTACACGTCTCCCTGTAGTGCCAAGAGTGACCCACTGGGCTTACGTGTGTCAGTTTCCTAGGGCTGCTGTAATAAAACACTGTAAACTGGGTGGCCTGGGGCATTAGGAGTTTATTCTCTCACAGTCCTGGAGGCTAGAAGTCTGAAATTAAGGTGTCAGCAGGGCCACACTCCTTGAGGCTCTGTGTAGAACCCTTCCTTGCCTCTCCTTTGTGCTGGTAGTGGCCAGCCATCCTTGCCTGGCAGCTTCATTGCTCCAGTGTCTGCCTCCATCGGCCACATGGCATTTTCCTCTTCTTTTAAGGACACCAGTAATATGGTGTAGACTCCACCCTAATCAATTCCTCTTATCTTGATTATTTCTGCAAATATTCTATTTCCAAGTAAAGTCACATTCACAGGTACTGGGGCTTAGGATCTCAGCATATCTATTCAGGGGACACAGTTCAACCCATAACAACTGTTTTTCTGAGATGCCCTTGGGTGCTAGAGACTTGTCCAGAGGGGCCCTGATTATTCAAATGGCAAGAATTCTACTCTTGCTTTTCAGCTATCAACAAACTCACTAAATGTAGATGGCCCCGTATCCAGAAGCTTCTTCAATGCTCTGAGGCAACCTCGTTCACACCCCAGGTCCAGAGAAACTGTTAGGCACCCTAGAAGCCACTTGAACAGTTGGGTGGTAAAATTTGAGCCACAGAATGAGGGTTTCTTTCTTTTTCTGAACTAAGCTAAAAGTTACCCAGAAGAATAAACCAGTATGAGGAGCCCGGAGGTGAAGGCAGGTGGGGGCAGGTGTCTGATGCGTTACAGGAGTGTTGTGAAAGTTTGTCAGCCAGAGGATGCTGCCAAAATTCCATCTGGAGAAGAGGAGGCTGCTCTCCTCTGTTTTGTGCTTTTCAGGGGGCTTGTGTTCTTGATTTTAATCTTTGTGGATTCTGCTTTCTATAACCCATCACCCAACACTCAGATACCTTTCCAGTCACCTGCAATGCTTATACTGTATTTTGTCGAAATTCAGTTATCACCCCATTTCTGATGTCCCTACCTTTCTGCAGCATCCAGAGAATCCTTCTAGGCTAAACTCTGGCCTCAGGCATCGCTCCCATTCACCCTAGGGAAAGGATGTTTAATCTGCAAAATTACTTTAAACTTACCTGAAGGGGCTCTCCAATGCTTAGCCTTTTTAATAGCCGACCCTCATTCCCTTCCCAATGCAAAGAAGAGGGAGATTTATTCTGGCTGGTTTATCCCAAATAAATCTTGGGTATCTCAGTTTTACATTTTAACGAGAAACAAGCACTTTATAATAGCCATTCAGATTAAACTCCAACATACTCTCAAACCATTAACCTGAAGGAACTGTAACGATAAATTAAACATATTAATGAAGCTGTATTACAAGCTCAAAATTTGTTAGGTAAATTGTAGCATTATTAACAACCAACTTATCACAATCTATCATTGGGGGGAAAATGAACTGAAACAGTGATTACATGACATGCAAACTCTGTCACAATAAGTAAACACAAAATATTTATTACTAGGAAATGCAAATCTGCTGGGACATTTTCATGTGAGTGTCAAACCGGCAGATCTTTTAAATTTTTCTCTTTTTTCCTCTCCCATTCTCCCTTCACTCCTGTCTGCTTTCTCTTCCTCTTCCCTTCTCATTCATTCCCTTCACTTTCTTGGAAGGATCTTGGCATCCGGTTTTGGGTTCACTGGTCAACATCCTTGTCTGCAGTTCTCTGCTAAGTTTTTAGATAGAGCCTAATTTTTGTAAATAGGATAAATTGCTCCAGGGCCCTCCTTACCCATTGTTCGCCTGTCTCTGATGATCCCTGCCTAGCTCGGTATGGTCCAGGACCATCTCCATCCTTAGGCCTATTTTGTGATGATTTGTAGCCAAATTAGTTTGCACCTCATGTAGAATTGCATCATTTCTGCTTGGAGAAACCACAGAGATATGAGGCCCTCACTTCCAGACGAGGAAGCTGAGGCACAGAGGGTGGTGTATCTTTCCTGCAGCCACCCAGATATTTAAACAGTGAGAAAAATCAAACCTGCAAGTCTCCTCCACATGACAGATCTGTATATTATATCACAGGTTTCTCAATCTTGGGTTCAGATTGTTTTGCAGAACCCAGAAGCATGGCTATAGTCTAAGGACAGTCGACATTATAGTGGCCTGGAAGTGGAACATTCACCCATGGCCTGGGAGAGTCGTGTCAGAAGACTCCCTGGCATGGTGACACCTTGCACAGCAGAGCCGTGGAGCAGGAGGAAGATCTAGCAGACCTATTTTGGAGGGAGAGTGCCTAGAATTGTCCTGAGAGATTTTAGGTGGACCCAGGTCAGGCCTCCTGGGTTGGGGTTTTGTTGTTGAAGGCTTTGCTTTTACCACTTTCTCTTAGGCTTTGGAGGTAATAATGCCTAACTCCTCAGATCACTCGAAGGATTAGATGAGATGATGCAAGTACACTCTACTTTGTAAAATGAAAACCTAATGGACTGTGTAGCCTCATGGCTGTTACTGCTAGCACTTCAACACACCCATGTCTCTCAATCCTTCGGTTTCCTGTGCCCACCAGGGCATCTGTCTGTTGAGTTTCATGAATCATCTGCTGGCACCCAGCAATGCACATGTACAGGTGATTTAAGGCCTGGTGGTGGGGAGAGGGCAAAAGGGAAGACAGGCTGGACAAGGTGAACTCGTGGGGATCACAGTTCAGTGGTCACCTGAGTTATGAGTCTCTCCCCCAACGGATCTTTTCCCTCTGTGAATTTCCATTATGTCACCCAGTGTATTTCATCTGTGCTAAAGGAGAATACACTGATACAAATGTGCACCACCCCTCCCCAACCCTTGTATTTCTGATGTTAAGGCCTCTCTGGCTTATATTGCCTAGAGGGGACCCAGTGAGATAGTGGATCAGCTGTCCTGTTTAAAATCTGAACAGATCTCTTAAGTCACAGGAAGCCGAACCCCAGAACAGTGGTATCCAAACCTGGTTTTGTGACATCCCTTTCTTCCTGAGCATCTCTGGTTGTTTCAAAGAGTGACCCAATGATCTCCTAAATTTCCAAAGCAAAATAAGTCACAATAGTTTAAAAATACATACAGCACGGGAGGTGCTTAAGAGGAGATGAGTGTCTCCAACTAAATGAGTGATAGTGACGGAGCAACTCACCTATGTGGCCAGGTGCTTTTTGGGGTTTGAAACTAGAGAATGGTCCTGAGAGGTTGAAATTGCACCAGGATGTTTAGCCATGCTACCTTCTTGCTGTGTGGGATAAAGAATGGAGCCACAGCCTCTTAAAACCTGATGTGACATCTAGGAGACAGAAATGAAAAAGGCAACCCTTCTGGCCAGGCACGGTGGCTCACGCCTGTAATCCCAGCACTTTGGGAGGCCGAGGCGGGTGGATCACTTGAGGCCAGGAGTTCAAGACCAGCCTGGCTAGCATGGTGAAACCCTGTCTCTACCAAAAATACAAAAAATTAGCCAGACATGGTGGCACATGCCTGTAATCTCAGCTACTTGGGAGGCAGAGGCACAAGAATCGCTTGAACCCAAGAGCAGAGACTGCAGTGAGCCGAGTTTGCACCATTGCACTCCAGCCTGAGTGACAGAGTGAGACTCTGTTAAAAAAAAAAAAAAAAAAGCCCTTTTAGGGAAATTGAACTCTAGCCTTGGTCTACCTGGTTTCCAGACCCAATGGAAAGTGTGTCTCAGACCCGAGTGCCTGCATGCAAAGATTTCCAGATTTCTCTGGCACATTCCTTTTCCAACCTTTTCACTTACCATGTTTATTTTTACTGTTTGTTTTTTTCTCACTGCTATTCTACTATAATTGTGCCCAATTTGGTGATTGGGACAAAAAAGGCACGGAAACTGGGTTGTAGCTTGCCCAGATACTCTGCTAATTTCTACCTTCTTCTGGGGGTGGAGTTTAGGACTTCCTATGCCCCCTCCGCCCCACCCAGGCTTCCCTCCTCCCCAGAAACTTGAAACTCTCCTGGGAGGGTGGCCACCCGCATACAGGCTCCCCAATATATGCACCTTGGCCCTCTCCAAAGGGCCTCCTTTTTGCCCCTCCCCACCCTCAACCACAGACACATCTTTAAAACCTTGTCTTGAATGTTCACCAGACTCTAACATGTGTCCACGTGTCCCCCGGGGCTCCCTCCTGCCTGGCTGTCTGCCTCCTGCAGGTCTGTCTGCTTATGTGCACCGACACGGCAAACACACATGGTGCACCAACATTTCAGCCCAGTGTTGCTTTGAACAAGGCCTTCCAGGGGATCAGAAATGTGGACAGCAGATGTCAGAGGTGACCCACCGTCTGCTGTTTATGGGAGTTGCTCATTCCCTGGGTCAGGGAATGTGTACAGAGACTGTCACAGCCAGCGCAATGAGCATCCAAGAGGTTGTCACTGGTATCTCCCTGGGAACTGGACCACGATTTAAAAAAAAAAAAAAAGCTTGCCTAGAACACAGACACGCTAGGGTAACTGTAGATCTTACATTCACACACATCCTGGGCTTGACATCCTTGCCTTCAGCAGCTTGGCAGACAGAAAAATAACAGTTTGTTTTCTGTGTGATCAGAGTTAACTTAACCAACCCCTGCCAAGCTCTTCTCTTTGTCAGGAGAAAGAGTCAGAGGGAAGTGAGGGCATGCAAGTAAGCGCGAGGGGGTGGCGGACGGAGAGCCAGGTGAGGAGAGGCAGCCGGAGAAAAACAGTGCTGGGAAGCTGGCCGGTGAGTGTGGAGCCAGGTGATGTGCCAGGCATCTGACAGCCGTCAAGGAAGGGCAGCTGGCAAGGGATTGCCAGGAACCGGAGGGCAGAAAAACAGGGAGATTTGGGGCAACAAACGACATAGTCAGTGGCTGGAACTTGCTGGGGATGCCCTTGTGAGCCCTGCCGCGGGAGCAGTCATTCTCAAAATTTAGGATGCATCCAGACCACCTGTAGAACTTATTAAATACAGATTGCTGGCTTCAGCCCTGGAGTTTCTGATTCTGTAGGTCTGCGCAAGGCTAGAGATTTGGCATTTCTAACAAGTTCCCGGATGCTGCTGGTCAGGAGCCCAAACTCTGAGAACCACTGCACTCAGGGAAGCCCAAAGCTGACTTGCTTTAACCTCTTCCAATATGGCATCCACCAAGAGCAAAAGCTTTATTCATGGGAAAGGTCATTCAGTGCTTGGAGAAGCACGGAGACTCTGCTCTCCTCTCTCCAGGCAGGAGGTAAGAAGTGAAAGCAGAATCTTTGGTTCGTGGGGTGTTGCAGGTTGAACTGTATCTCCCCAAAGGGAAAGCTGAAGTCCCAACTTCTGATACTTGTGCATGTGACCTTTTTGTAAATAGGGTCTTTGGAGATCTAATCAAGTTAGGATGAAGGATGGGCTTTAATCCAGTGACTGGTGACTTCATGAGAGAAAAGAATGGGAAATTTAGACAGAGAGACCCGGGCCATGTGAAGACAAAGGCAGAGATTGGAGTGATGCTGCCACAAGCCAAGGAACAGCAAGCACTGCCAGCAGTCACTGGAGGTGGGAAGAGGCAATGAAGGATTCAGCCCTACCGGCCCCTTGATTCCAGACTTCTAATCTCCAGAGCTGTGACAGAATACATTTCTGTTGTTTTATGACACCCAGTTTGTGGTCACCTGTTATGGCACCCCCGGCAAATGAATACACTGGGTTTTCAGAGTTTGTTTGTGTTGCCATCTTAAAAGCGCCCAGTATGACCACTGTGGGTAGGTCTTGTGTCATGCTGACTTTCAAGGGAGATGCCTGTCCTCTGCACATGTCTGTAGGTGCAGCTCCAGGTTGCTTGACTGTGGAGATGTTCACCAGGGCAGTCCAACTCAGGTGTCTGAGAAGGCAGGGGTGGAGAACATGGGAGAGGTGGGGAAGCATGGCACTGCCCTGCAGAACTCCAGCAGAGCCCTTTGACTGGGAAGGAAGCAAGTGGAGAGCATAGGAGAGGTGGGGAAGCATGGTACTGCCGTGCACGGCTCCAGCAAAGCCCCATGGCTGGGAAGGCAGGGTAAGGCACTGTGCATTTCAGGAACTTACACGGAATAAAAGAAAGGTTAGGATGACAGGGAGGCAGTGTGAGAAAACCTGCTTCTGGAGCAGGAAGTCCGGTGATCTCAGAGCACCAGGAAATTAGCATAAGGAAACAGCAAAATTGTCCGTTAAGAATGCAGAGCCAAAACTTCATGGTAGAGGAGTGCAGCGGCAATGTGTTTGGAGAGTAGGAAACAGGTGGAGAGAATTATAAATTACAAGGAACCCTGAGAACAGATCTAGAGTAGGAAACAGGTGGAGAGAATTATAATTTACAAGGAACCCTGAGAACAGACCTAGAGTAGGAAACAGGTGGAGAGAATTATAATTTACAAGGAACCCTGAGAACAGATCTAGGATGAAGCCCTCATCACAGCACCTGGAATATGCTAGTTTTCTATTTCTCAATTTGGAGTTCCCTGGGGACTGCATGGGAATCACCAGTAGCACTTACTCAAAATGCACGTTCCTGGGCTCCACCTCAGCCATGCTGCGTGAGAGTCTCAGTGGACAGGGCCTGGGAAGCTGCATTTTCACAAGCTCTGCAGGGGTTTTATGCTAAGTCTGAAAACCATGCTGCATGTGCTTAGGAAACGTTAGTAGGTTTCCCCCTTTCTAGATTAGATTAGGGGAAATAGAGAAGAATGGAAGAGAGGAGAGGAGGTTTCAGAAGGGCCTTTGGATGGCTCTCCTCCATATCGCCTTGCCCAGGACCTCTATGTGGGCCACCTTGGGGTGCGTGTGGACATGCCTTCCCTTCCACGGTTGGACCAGTCCTGACAAGCGCTGCGGGGCCAGGCGTCACAGGACTGGAGTCACCCGACTGTCGCAGCACTGCCACCTGCTGGCTGCAGGAGAAAATGCAGAATTCAACAGAGAGTCCACACTTGTTAAAGACCAGCTTCAGAAACACACAGGCAGAGACCCGCGCACACACATACCTACATATACACCACAGAACAGAGCCCCTCCGACCCTGGCTAGACCACAGCAGCATCTGTGATTTTGCCTGTGTAACAACTACAGATGGGTTCGATTTCTCCCTTCAGGGGACAGATGAGATTGGAGTGGGGGAGAAGAATTAAAAAAAAAAAAAAAAAAAAAAAGCAAAGTGCGTGATGATCACCAGAGGCTCTGAAAAGACTTCCTCTTCCCTCCTTCCTTCCTGTTTTCCGGTAAACACAGGAGGTAAAGATGTGCAAGTTGTGGAAACGCTCATTCTGCAGGGGGTGGGGAGGGAGAGTCCTGCAGCTGAGGCATCCCTTGGCTCCCAGCCCTGGGGAAGGAGAGGGAAAGCAGGGAGGGAGGAAGCCAGGAGGCTGGAGAAGCTGACCCTCCCCCAGCTTAGCGCTCTCAAGTGTCCAAAGCAAGTGAGCACATACTGATATCACCTCCTTTCCTCGACACTCTGGGTTCTGGGCAGTATTGCGCTCTTTTCTGCCTCAGTTTCCCCTTTAGTGAGCAGATGGGGCTGCCAGAGGGTCAGACCCTGGTGTGATCTCTGGTGCTCAGAAGGGTGAGAGTGTCCACATGAATCACCTGTCTGGCTAGGAAGGGCTCCAACTCCCTCCCCCTGCAACCAGGGCCCTGAGATGCTACCCCTGCCCTCTCCGCTCCAGTCCCCCTGCCTGCAGGCCTGCTTGTTGTGTGGGATGAACTGCTGAGATTGCCTTGTCTCGGTTCATGACCTTATGTCAAAACCACTTGGGATTGAGTTTCTTTGACCGGGTTACTCGGGTCTTCAGGGAAAATGGATTACAGCCTTTCCCAGGAGGCACAGATTCTTGCGCTCTCAGAGAATGTTCTCTGGCCTGCAAACTGTGCCTGCCTGGCCCCGACCCTTGCTCTGCCTGGCTCTTGTTCTCCACTCCCTGCTCTTGGATTTCTTCCCTACCCATTTCTGAAATTGCCTGGCCAGGTGTAACCTGAGCCAGCTGAGGGAGGGAGCAGGCTGAGAGGCTCCCTACAACTGGTGTTCCACAATGCTGTGCTGACTTTTGCTTGTGCTGCTCCATTTTGCTCTTGTTGCACACAACCTGGTCATGGTAAACTCATGGTAGCTTTGCAAGGATAGGCAAATGGTCACTGAATGCCACAGAATAAAAGTAATCAGGGAAGACTTTGGATCCTATGCTAGTGAATCCCAGACCAGTAAATCCAACCCAGTTCAGTCCAACTCAAGTCAACCAATTTATTCCAATTCAACATAACACAACCCAATCCAACCCCATCCAATGCAACCCAATCCAATTCAATCCAACTGAACACAACACAACCCAATCCAATCAAATTCAACCCAATCCAACTCAACTCAATCCAATTCAATACAATCCAACACAACCCAATCCAATCAAATTCAACCCAACCCAACCCAATCCAACCCAACTCAATCCAATACAACCCAACACAACCCAACCCAATCCAGTCCAACCCAACCCAACCCAACTCAATCCAATTCAGCACAACCTAACTCAACCCAATTCAATCCAATCCAATCCAACCCAACCCAACCCAACCCAGTCCAATCTAACATGATATAGCACAGCACACACAACCCAACACAACCCAATCCAATTACATTTAATCCAACACAAACTTAACTGAACCCAGCCCAATTCAATTCAACACAACACAACTCAATCTAATCCAGCACAACCCAACTAAATCTAATTCAACACAACACAATCCAATCCAATTCAACCCAACCTAATCCAATAAATCCAGTCTAACACAACACAACACACACAACCCAATTTAACAAAACCCAACCTAATCCAATCCAATACAACACAACACAGCCCAACCTAACCCAATGCAGCACAATACAACTCAATCCAATCCAACCCAACCCCAGCACAACACAGCTAGGCTCAAGCAACAGGCAGTCTTATAGCACCCTGTTTTACTCATCTCACTCTGCATTGATGAAACTGGAGGGTGGGGGACTAAATTGTGTACTTTTCTTGTGAGACCCCAGTCCCTTATTTAAAAAGAAGTGGGTGCCAAGATAGCATGGTAAGAACAACAGGTTCAGAAGTTAAGAGACCTAATGAAGCTACAGTGGTGTCATGAATTTGGAGAGTCATTTCCCATCCAGGCTTTAGTTCTTCATCTGCTGGGGAGCTATGGCCTAAGGACACTTCCCAAACCCAGCTCACAATACTGCTGGGAGGACACACTGAAATGATGTACATAAAAATCCTTTTCAAAATTTGAGGCACCAAGCTATTATTGATTAAGTACTTTATAGGCTAGGGTTAAATCTATGTTTTAAAATCTTAGCCTGGAAGTTTGTGAGAGTTTAGGGTCTCTATCCCATAGTGACTTGATCCGTAAAGTGCTAAAATGAAATGTTCCTCCTAAGTCCACCATTTTCCATGCGTTTAAGTCAGTTGATTGAGTTTATGTTAAGAACATCAAGGTTTTCCCAAACTCTGGTTAGAGAGCTTGCTGCAAAGAAATGTATTGTTCCCTTAACCTAAACCCAAAAAGTTGACTAGAAGAGAACTGGGAGAATGTGGACGATTCAATAAAATCCACCTCCCAACACAACATAGGGAGGCTTATGGTGATAGAGTCGCATTTTTTAGTTTAGTCATTTGAGGCAATAAGTGGGCGTTCACTTTGTTAAAGGAATGACAGTGCCCCTCTTCAAGGGCATAGCAGTTTTTCCAAGTTGAAAAAGTAGGATATGCTTTGCTTATTATCTCCAGTTTATGAAAGTCAGATCATATCAGTTCCCCCATCCTGGAAACATACAACACTTCCCCTCTGTGTACAGGTTAAAGCCCAGCACTTTGAAAGACATTCAAGGGTCTTTTGCACCTGCATCCAACCTACCACTCTGGGCTTCCCTCCCACCATGCCCCCAAAAGTCATATGCCCTGACCACAGCTGACTACCCTACACTGCACACACGTGGCACTTTCCTCCATCTCTGCCTTTGCTCATGCCAGCCTGCCTAGGACATATTCTTCCTCATGGCTCCTGCTATTTGAATCATATTCCTCCTAACAATCAGCTCACATTGCCACTCTTCTGGGAAGCACACTCCTCAGAATTGACCACTGCTTCCTCTCCATGGCCACCAGAACAGAAGTCAATCATTTGAATGTGCTTCACTCGGGAGGGGCGTGAGATGTGGGCCAAGGTGTATTGGGTTTTAACCAGAATATCTGATCGAAAATGAGATCCAGCACTTGTTAGCTATAATCTAACTTTGAGCATCATGTAGCCCATCTGAGTCTTAGTTTGTTCATAGATACAACATGAGTACAAATAATCATCCTCCTTCCCTCACTGGAATCATGGTTCATTTATTAATTCAATAAAGTTTATTGTGTCCTTACTATGTGTGGTGTGAATTAAATTTAGAAAGTCAATGTGAAACTGCTTTTTAAATTGTGCTGTGAATCTTGTTTTGGACAAGAAGTCTTTGAGGGTAGAAACCAGCCAAATCTTATTTGAAATGTGTGCATTTCTGGGTGGGATTTTACACAGTACATGCTCAACTCATGTTCAGCAATGGAATGAACTAGAGAAAACAAGCCTCCCAGAGGTCACACAGAACAGACCGGAGTGAAAGCCCCTCTGGTCCTGTTTCCCAGGCCCCAGTAGCAGAAATGTCTCCCTTGCTCACACATCCTCCCCTGGCTCACTTAGGTGCCAAATGGAAAAGTCAAGGAAGAAAGTGCCACAGAGGAAGAGCACAATATTCCACTGGATAACTTGCTCAGGAGAGTGGATAAGATTATCCTTAATAACCTGACACTTTTATTTATGGAGTGTCTCTGATAAAAACCCTCCAAAATGCTTGCAGTCCATTGGAGGAGAGGAAATAATTACCTGCTTAGAAATCTGAGAGGAAGTTAAGTGACGCAAGACAATTTTGTTGCTGGCTTCTTTTCGTGTCTTGCAACACAACAAGCTGGCATGATCAGAGCCCTGCTGGGCTGAGGAGGAACAAAGAAGTCTTTCCATCATGACTTTTCCTGGTCTACGTTGAGGATGGGAAGTAAAGTGGCTGGAAGTCCAGTTAGTGAACTCCAGCGTGCAGACCCAGGACAGTTCTGATACAGGACCCAGGGTCTGGTGATGTGGAACCTCCGTGAGGACCTCTTTTGGAACCCCAGAGTAACAACCTGTAAAATCTCAGTTTTTCTTGATATTCTCCAACCCTCAGCTCTCCCACCCTTTCCTTCCTCTTCCTCCCTTCCCTACTTCCCGTGGCCTCCCTTTCCAGACTCTGATGGGGGTGAACCATGGAAGGCCCCAAGAAGCAGAAGGGAACCAGCACCCCCGGTCATGGGCATTGGCATGAGGCCGACTAAACGCTCTGACCCAAGGGGAAGGTCTGTGGGGAGAAGGGGCCACACCACACACTCAACCCTTAGAGGGCTTCGTTTTGTTTTAAGTCTTAGGTCAGTGTGGGAAATAAACCCTACTATTTTTTAAATAATGGTAGGTATTTCTGGATTTTTAATTTGACATAGACTTTGGAAAGAAGTTCCTGAACCAGCCCTAAGCAAAAATTGTGAAAATTTTGGTGCAAAATGAGACTTTTGTTTGGTTCTGTGAAACTGTTTAATCCAAAGAAAAGTTCCTCAGATACTAAAATTGAAGGACCCTGGTGATGGTGCAGAGAAGGTAATTAAATCGGTGTGTCTTTCCTGTGCTCCTCAAAGTGACTGCCTATTCATTTGCAAGTTTATGTTGGGTCATGCATGGAGCCTATTTCAGCTTCTGGGATGAGAAGTGGGAGAACATTCTATTCCTCAACTTAGTGAGCCCTCTGTAGTGTCTGGGGGCAACGTGAAGGGAAGTAGGAAATAGTGATTTGTGTTCTTCCCTTTCCCCGGCACTTTTCCAATCTGTATTCTGTAATCTATGGAATGTGTCTGATGTGACCCTTAGAGACAGGGTAGGAGGGCCAGCCTGCCATGGTGGTCGTCTAAATTCTGGCTCCGGGAAATGATTTGATATCATGATATCACAATCCACCTCTAAAATGACAGTGACTCAATTGTCCTAAGCAATGACTTTCTGCCTAAGCAGAAAGTCATTCAGTCAGACATCCAGCAGACATTCAGTCCTGAATGTCCAAAACAATGAGACAGTCAATCGGCCACACTCCCACCAGTGACATTCAGCAGATCTCAGACCCGCACTTCTTCTTTCCACCCACACGGCATTCCCTTCAACTTGCTCCTTGGGCCCACCATTCCCTTGGCCACCCAGGTGTGACAATCCAGAGTTTGTCCTTCATTCTTCAAGCCCCATCTCCTTCTCCCTCTGTCCTTACCCTCTATTCCAACTGCCTTTTGGCTAGACCAAGATAAGAATCATAGTCCTTTACTGTCACCCTACTTTTAGTCTCTCCCTGTCCACACCATGCAATATAAGAGTGTATGTTCCAGGCACATGCAACTTCCTGTAGCAAAAAAGTTCAGGAAGGAGAATTATTTCAAAACCAGTCTCAGACTCCCACCATCCAATACATTTTATCCCTTAACATGTCCTTGAAACACATTAAATAATATTACTTTAAATGCATTTCATAAATAAGACTTTGTGTAACCATTACTAGCTTAATATTGACTCTAGGCTTGAGGAAAAGTGATGGGGACATAGGTATAGTGAGGTAGGCAGAGAGGGAGGTTGGAGCTCAGGACCACCCCCATGTGCATCCAGGGGGCAGCTGCAAACAGAGGTCCAGGTGCAGCTCCTGCCTCAAGACCATCAAAAAAGAATGCAGTGCCCCTCAAATCTCAGTGCAGCGACTCACAGGAGGGTAAGCCTTCCCTCTCTCCTTTGCCAATGACGTAGCTGTGCAACATGAGTTGCCAGAGGTGTGTCATGGGTCAGTGAGTAGCCATGGACCCCTCATGTAAATAAGTGCTAACTGTAGTTTAGCTGTGATTATGTGCTGGGCAGTGTGCTAAATGCTTTTCATCTACTAACTCATTAAATCTTCACGTCAACTGATTGTGGTAGGTACTGTTATTATCTGCATCTTCCAGATGAGGAAACCAGGGGTTAGAGAAATTGACTCATTTCCCAAAGGTCATGTAGCTAGGTCCTGGCAGAGCTGCGTAGAAGCCCTTGTTAATGGCCTCTGGAACCCATGCTTTCAATCACTGCATTATTAATTTCTTGGGCAAACCTAAAAACTAACACTTTGACAGAGTAAGTGCTGGCCAAATGGATAAATGGATATATTATTATTGATATGTCAATATACCATTAGCATATTATATTAACATATTGATCATTAATATTAATGTGCCATCCCCTGACTCTCTTGTTCTTGGTGACTTCCCCACCGGGCTCAGTTTTCACATCTGAAACATGGGGAGAGGCAACTCCCAGAGCACCAGAACCAGTGGCTGTAGGTTTTTGCTCAGTGCCTCAGAGCTGGGAGATCAATAGTTTAATTGCTGTGAAACACATGGGCCTTGATGATGCCACATAAATAATTGTAATAACTGTGGCCAGTGACGGAGAGAATGGTTTTCCAATATCTTATTTTAAAATGGATTTCTCTGCAACTAACTCCACAGGCTTCTGGCAGAAGGAGTAACCCATACAGGCACTTATTATTATTATTATTATTATTATTTTCCTTCAAGGCACTTTGGCTCTGGTGCCTCCCTCACTGGGATCAAAGGTCACCCGTCTGATTGGAGGAGGATGTCTTTAGGCCCCTCAACTGAGGGCGGGGGTGGCTTAAAGCTGGGTCTCTGTGGTTTTTCCTGGGATGAGGGTGGTCAAAAGCCCCTTTGTGATCTTCCAGCCAAGCTCTCTCCTGGCCCCAGGGCCCCCAGCTTTCTGCATCTGTGCATTCCAGCTCTGTCTGGTGATGTCATCCCCAGACAGGGATGCCCTTCTCAGCTCCAGCATTCTAAGCCCAGGGAAGGCTGTCCCCACAGTCTCTTTGGGAACAGATTTTCTGACTGTAAACTATTCACATGCCTCACCCCAGGACTCATGAATTTCTGGGTCCTCATTTGTGATAGTTCCAAGTATTTCTTTCCCAGAGTAGCTGCTGTTTTTAAAAAGTAAGATGTGGGCAGTGTCTGTGCTGGAGAGATGTGTGGGACGGGGAGGGGAAGGATTCAATAAGGGGTGGTGATCTATGAGATAGCCCTGAGTGAGGCCCACTCTTCAAAGAAGCTCTAGTAATTGTTTTTGCTGGTGACACTGAACATTACAGTGCCTACTTTTAGAAGAATTGTTGCTGAGTACAGGTTTGAAGCCAGAAAATGTAAACTTCAGTGTGGTGCTCCACTTACTGGCTAGTGAGCTTGGGTAAGATGAATAACATGTAGCCCCTGCACTCAAGAAGCTCCTAGGGAGTGGGGAAGACAGTGAGCGCTCATGACCCCATGTAGCAATGCATATAAGTGACACAAGCAAGGTGTGCAGGAAGTGCCGCTGGAGCCCACAGGAGGCACCGAATCATACCGGGAGACTCTGGGGAGAGTTCTGAGATTCTCAGTTTTCCATGAGCCGGATCTTGGGTAACGTCACATGCATCCCTCACTTCCTTCTGACCCTCCTTTAGGCCACACGCGCACACACACACACACACACACACACACACACACACACAATTATCCTAGATAGCCCAGGAACTGGGGCTACTTTGAAATCCTGGTATAGATCCCAACTGAGCAAATCTGGAATCCCCTCCTGTTCTAGGGCTTTGCAAATGCACTGACATTGCAAAATGAAACTCCATCATTTCTGCCAGAAGTCAGGCAGCACCACTCTGACCAGCGTGCTTCCCAAGGGGATGAGGAGTGAATGGAGAAAGGCACCCCAGCCTTGTTGAAGTTGCATCCTCCACCTTCTGGGAAGTTGCACCTCTGCCCCTTGTCATAGGTGAACATGGGCTGTTCTTAGCCTCTCTCACACACACACAGCTGTCCTTGGATGGCAGCCTCAGTGCCCCTTGAAAGTGCTGGTGCCCCAGTAGCTTGATGAGGCTGCAGGGGAAGAACCTAGGGCAGAGCCCAGTAGGGAGAGCAGATGTTGAGGTAATACGCACTTGTCTGACACTCCCTGGGTTATTTATTTGTCAAGGAAATTGCAGAACAGTGCCTGGGGGCTGAGCAACAGACCCACGGGGCTTCCTGCAGACAGGATGATGATGGGAGCCATATAGGGCTGGCTGCTGCGGGTGCCCTTAGTGCTAGAAAGAGGTTTGGTGGTCCTGTAAGGACAGAACATCAAAGAAATGTAAGCTTGGAAGATAGTCTCTGAGGATGCTGGGACCCTTCTGATCTTTTTCCAATGTTAATGGGACTCATGTGTTCATTTGTCAATTTACTACACATCTATTAAGCAACTGGTGTTCCCAGAGCTGCCAGGGAGCCTTGCTAGGGGAAGCTGTGCTCTGCTACACCATCATCAGCATCACATTATCTCCTCTTCATCTTCACATTGGCTAACCAGGCACGGCTACGTATTAACTAGCCACAGCTCACAGGCACGTATGTATATTGCATGTATCAGGTGCTGAACTGAGAGCATTTCACAATTCACCTGATGAGATCCTCACGGCAGCTCTGAGCTCCAAATTCTGAGACCTGTGTTTCAGCTGAGGATGCTAAGCAAGTCTGAAAAGTCCTGCCTGAGGTTACGACATCTATAATAGACAGAATCAGCAGTCGAGCTTGGTTGCCTGCACAGCCCCAGGCTTAAGCTCTACACCACTGACCTGCCCTCAAGATGTTGACACACTCATGGCTGTCACACCCTATAGCTTATAAGGGAGCCACTCTAGGGTGGCGGTGCCTACTGGTAAATCTGGGATGTGAAGGGAGAGGGAGGTGAAGCTGCTTCTGAGGCTGCAATGAAGTCCCCCTTTGCTAGTGCAGTTGATTTATTGAGTCTCTGCCCTGTGCCGAGCTCTGTGCTAGCAGCATCCTTCCTCTGAGTTAGTACCTGGACGACTCCTGAAGGTGTGGTAGCAGCTCACACAGGAGTCCCTGGATTCCCGGGTTTCTCTCTACTTCTGTTTTCTTTGGGCCTCCAGCTAGACAGGAGTTTTCTCCTGGTTCTGGTGTAACAGCATGAAGCACCTGCTGGATCCCACTCCAGAGGAGGCCAGATTTCCAGCAGGAGAGGAACATGGACTGTGCCAGCCCCAGCATCCTTGCACACCTGTTCCCAGTCCTCATTGTCTCGCAGGCATTAACCCCTTTGTCACTGCAACAGTTGTGTGGGCAGAGAGGAGAGGAGGTAGCCTCCCCATGTGTGGGGGCAGAGATGAACATGGCTTGTCCAAGCTGTAGGATGAGGCAATAGAGGCGTGTGGATGAGGAGCTGACGGTCCTGGTTCTGGCCTGCGTCTCTGTGCCTGACACCATGCAGAGCCACTGACTCTGCTTTTGAAGACTGGCTCTGCATCTCCCCAGCATCCTGCCAGCCCCACCTCTGCCCTCCATCCTCCCTGGGTCCTCAGAGATGCCGCATCTCTCAGCGAGGCCAGGCTGTGGTTCTCCACTTCCCCTCCTGCAGCTTGGTCAGACCATGGGCATGAAACTGCTTTGTTCTTCCTCCATAAAGTCGTTGGCTTTCTGAGTCTCTCCTGAGTTAAAGCAGACTCAGGGTTTCCTAGACAATTCCTGTAGCTTCAGGGCAGCCACGGGAAGTTCTCTGGGTCCATTTTGTTCTGTACAATTCATGCTAAAGAGCACAGACTCTTTAGTCCTGGTTCCCTGCCCTCTATTGTCTTCAGACAGCCCAGAGCTAAGCTGTGGGTCCTCTTCTCCCTCTCCTGCCCTTAGGTGAACTTGTCAGATGTTGGGAGTCCAATCTGCAGGCCACATCTTCTAGCCTCTTTATCTACGGCACATATAGAAACCTTCTAACCTCTTTATATCAGGGTTGTGCTCTCAGTGGGCTTGGATGAAAATCATAGAGATCCATTCATTTGAATAGTAATCATTGCACATTAATCATTGCTAGTATTTATCAAAACCCCCTCACTCTGCCAAGTATTATCCATGCTTGGGACATTATCATACTTGCACAATAATGATAACAATGAGGTATTGTTATTATTTCTGTTTTTCATATGAGGAAAGTGATAGGAAAGTTTAGTAGATTGTCTGAGGCTGCACAGTTCCTAAGTGTCAGAGTTGGGAGTCACGCTGTTTGCCCCTGGACTTCAAAAATCCTGCGCTGCCAGTGCACCCCAGCTCAGGATTCTGGTCTTTTGCAGCATGGATGAGCATGGTCCATCTGCCAGGTGTCAGAAGGAGCTGATGCGTGTAAAGTGCATGGCATGGTGTGTGGCGCATGGCAGGTGGTGAATTAACCACCTATTCATGGGAACTTGTTTTCCTAGGAGTGGGAGTGGCCCAGGCTCCTTTCTAACCAGAGGCACATGGGAAATGGCCAACCAAGATTTTAGGATGCAGGCTATCCAAAGAAGTTGTGGCTCTGGGGTCACGGGGTGGCTGACCTACCAAGGTTTCAAACCTGTAACTTTAGCACACAGTGCTCTCTGGTGAGTCTCTGGGAATGGTGCACTCAGTGAAGCTGTTTCAAAATATTCCACATGTGAAATTTGCTGGTTTGAACCTTTTCCTGGTATGTTCTTTATATCAGCCCTATTGACTTCCCTTCTTATTTCTTCAGCATCTTTCTCTTCTGGAGTTGTAGCTTGTTCTTTGTGTCACCACTCAAGCAGGTGGGGAAGGTTTGGAGGCCATTATCACTGGTTTCTTTTTGGTTTGGACATCGCAGGGCAAGAAGTTCCTAATGGCAGCATAGAAATCATTATTTGGCTCTGAGAATGTGTGTAATGGGAGACCCAAAGGGACCGATTGTCCTGGCAGTGTTTGGTAACACGGCACACGATTTGTGCACACACACTGCCTGTCTAATTAATTATTGTTTACACTCTTGCAGTTCCCTTTGCATCCCCTTTCTCCTGGCTGGAATCAGGAAATCAAAACAAAGTACCTCATGGAGCTATTCTGGGGCAGCTTAAGCAGCATGAACACAGAAGCAGGGTTTACGCCCACCTTCCAAGCCCTGAGACTAAAGGCAGGAAGGCACGGATGTGGCATCAAACAGTCCACCCTGCTGGCGAAACAGGGCACCTACCGGCCACGCGGGCCTGGCTGGGCAGTTTCCATTTCACTTTTGCTGTAACATCTCCCAGTTACAGTGAGGGAAAGCCCCTAACTGGTTCCCTCACTGTAAAATAGGGGAGATCTACACCATGAGGATGAAGAAACACGAAGATGATTACTTTGAGTGTTTTCATTCATTCATTTATTCAACAAATGTTTATTGAGCACCTACTCTGTGGCACAGTTCAAGGGTCTGAGATATATCCCTTGATAAAGATTTCTGCTCCCGTGGTGTGTATGATCTAGCAAGGGTGTAAACAATAACCATCATAAATGAACGCAGGACACAGTATGTCAGAAGGGGACAAGCGCTGTGAAAAAAAGCAAAAGCAGAATGGGGAGAGGGGATTGGAAATCCAGGGGAGAGGCAGGAGGGAATACTTTTAAAAAACAAAAGCCCTGGGGAAGATGTGAGGTGCTTCTATGAGTGCAGTCTTATTCTCAGATGCCCTTGGTGTGGGGTTGTAGGGATATTGGCAGTGAGGGCCTGGGGTGTGAGGGAGCTCCTCTGGTGGGGAGATGGACTTGCAGCCCATCAGAGTCTGATGGGAACTGAGAAATCCTCCAGTCTACCAGCCTGCAAACTAGGCAGCTCTTCCACAAGGAAGGTCCCCTTTCTGAAGACGTTTAACCCACAACGAGCCAGTTGCCAAGTTACTCAGACCTCATGCCCGTATTCGCATCTGTCTTGCTGCCAACCTGCTGCACCCTTCCCAGCTCTTCTTTGCCCCAGACACGGTTGTATCACCTGTCCTCTCTCCCTTTCTGCAGAATGAGAAAGGGAAAATTCTAGAGATTGTGTTTGAGCTGAGATGTGGCCCCATCTTCAGAGCCAGAGAGTGCACATGTGTATACATGTGTGTGCACACATGTCTGTGAGTGTGCATTTGTGTCTCCTGGTTCCAGCTGTGGCAACTCAGACCCAGAATCAGCTTCTCAGGCCATTCATTCATTCATTCAACGAGTACTTACCCTGTGCCTGATTCTGGCACTCTTTGGTGTGCTAATTCTTCCTTTCAGGTGCCAAGTGACAGTGATGAGGGCTACATCATTTAGAACCTGTGGGTCCAACTGAGTAGGCTGCATATCTATGATCCAAATGGCTCACAGTTTGCTCCCTCCTGAGAGAGATCATACTGCTGTTGTGTGCCAGAGATACGGCTGGTCACTCATTGCTTGCCAAGGATCTTTGTTGCTGCCTCCTTGAGAGCCAGGTCAGAGCCAGGAGAGAGACTCAGGACAGCTAGGAGAGCTGAAGTCATGTGCTCAAGGCTTCTGAGAGGAGCCAAACCTGGCCCCCTTACTTCCCTCCTTCGGCTCCTCACCTATCCCTGCCTGCCCCAATGAAGTCTCCCTTTTGCAAACTGACTGGTTTGCATTTTGTTGCAAGGGATCTCCTTCCAATTCTGGGCACTTCAAGGCCTAACTCTGGCTCTGGCATGGCTGGAATATGGGGCGCCTCCGCACAAGCCCCTCCACCTCTGGCCCTGTGAGCAAGGCCTGACCTCCTTCTGTCCTGACCACCAGCTGGTTTGCCACGTGCCTCTGTGTTTGAGGTTTGAGGGTCTAGGTGGGGAATTCAGATTTGCCCTGGGACATATGCCTCCAGGTTTGCTCTGTTCCCCTCTCCATCTACAGTTCCAGCTCTATTTCCCTGCCTGTTGGATAAGAGCCCACCCTTGCATTCTTATACCTGGGCCCAGCTCCCAAATCTCGAAGGTGTAGACCTCCATTAGGAAGTTTGGGGAGGATGTGAAGGGAGAGAGGAAAGGGAGAGTGCAGAGGTGGCCTGCATCTTTAGAGATGAATAGCACTGTTTGCTCATTAGGGAGATTAGTCCAAGCAAGACGGCAGCCAGAATGCTCTAGTGCAAGCATCTGCCTGCTACTGGGAGACTATATTTATTGTTCAATCCTTCAATGGATGTAAATAAACAGCCCGGCCCAGATAATGTTCCAATAAACAAACAAGCAGCTGCCAGGAGCTCCCCGGATGGCTGACCTTTGCGGAGGCCACGCTGCTGATGTTTCAATAGCAGTCTGTCTGGCAGTGCGGAGACTCACCGTGCCAGGGATGGAGATAGGTGGCGGTGCCCACTGGTGGATCGGCAGGGGGCCAGCAGGGCTGGAGGAAAGGGGCTGGCTGCCTTGGAAGATCCCGGGCCAGGGACTGAGTGGCTGGGGATGCAGATGCCTGGATACCCAGAGTAGAGTGTGTGTGTGTGTGTGTGTGTGTGTGTGTGTGTGTGTGTGTGTGTTCTTGGTAAGCTGCATGTAGTGTGGAGTAGTGCAGTGCACACTGAACACTGTAGTGGAGGTTTCTGTGTGGCACAGGCAAGATGATGCTCAGTCCTTAAGTGCTCATGTGGCCTCACCAGTCGTTAATATTGAAATGCATCTATGCAATTGTTAGTCAGTTGCTGCCCCCAGCCCCAGATGCCCACCACCGTCTAGGTGTCCCACTTATCACCACTCTCTCCCAAGGCAGTATTACTTGGTGCAGGTAAGAGTCTCCAAGAATCCCCTCCCACAGCAACGATTCTGGCTGACTGGTTGGTCCCCTCCCACGAGCAGGGGTACCAGGGGTCCTGCTGCGCAGGAGGTTTGCCCAGAGTGTGGGAAGAGAAGGCATGGGTGCATCAAATGAGCCTGGATTAGAATGAGGCCCATGCAGCAGCATTCTGACTTGATGGGGACCATACAGCTGGCTGGATCATACAGCCCAAGAATGCCCAAAAAGTAAGGGCAATGGGGCACACTGCACTGTGCTGTAGCTTGAAGGTCCCTGGGAGACACAAAGGGGTTGCAGCAGAGGACAGGGGGGAGGGAGGGCCGGTTGGGGTTGGGGGTGGTTGCAAAATCTCAATGGAGCATGCCTCCGGGGGATAGTCACCAAACCAAATTATTAGCAAGGTCACTTGGTGAATGCAGAATCAATACACAGGAAAGAGAATAGTCTAGAATTGTGCTGTCCAATATGGTAGCCTCTGGCCACATAGTGAGCACCTGAAACGTGGCTGCTCCAAACTGAGCTGTGCTGTAAGTTTAACATGCACCTCAGGTGGCAAAGGTTTAGTTAGTATGAGGAAAAGAATGTAAAATATCTCAATAAAATTTTTATACTTGTAGACATGCTAATGTCATATTTGGGGTATATTGGGTCAGATTAAACATATTATGAAAATTAATTTTACTTGTTTTGTAAAATTTGGCCACTACTAGAAAATTTTAAATAACGTATGTGACCCACATTTGTGGCTTGTACTATCTTCCATTGTCCAGTGCTGTTCTGGAACTATCTACGGGGGCTGAGGTGAGGCCTGCAGGGGCACCCCTCCCTACTACAGAGGACACAGTGGCTCTCTGATCTTCTCTAGTCTCTCTCTCTCCTCAAGATGATGCTGCAGGAAGATGATCAAATTCTTCCCCTCAGACGCCCTTTTTCCAAGTTTTACTCTAACCCTTCTCTCAGTATGTTACGTCTTTATGAAATCTATTAGTCCTGCTAATTTTGCTACTTCAGATCAGCCTTCCTACTGATCTAAAAGATTTTGTCCCCTAAGGTGGCTTTGAGTAAATCTGACGTTACCTGCTATGTGTTGTATTAGTCAAGCTCTCATCACTGGCATGCCATATTGGTAGCTCTTGGTCATGATGCTCCCTGCCCACTAGCCTCGCCTGGAGCTGGGCTGATCATCCCTGGTTAAACTCCAGTTGGCTAGATCTCCTGAGAAGAACAAAGAGAGGCCTTAGAACACTCCTCTGCCATAGCATTTGCCACCTGGCATTATTTGTGTGAAATCTGAGCCCTCCAGGAGACAGGCCTCCTGGAAGGCGGGGCTGGCACTTACCACCTCTTCTCTCTAGGAGAGGCTCTGGAACAGTGGGCATTCAACAGACACATGGTGGGTGTGGGATGTGTCGCTCCGTCAAGGGACACACAGGATTGGGATGTGGTTTCCTCCTTGGTGTCATCCTCAGAGATTAACATCTTCCAAACAACCAAAGTACCTTCGTGACCTGTGATTGGTTTCTTTACATTTTCTTTTTTGAGACGGAGTCTTGCTCTGTCGCCCAGGCTGGAGTGCAGTAGCACCATCTTGGCTGACTGCAACCTCCGCCTCCCAGGTTTAAGCTATTCTCCTGCCTTAGCATCCCGAGTAGCTGGGACTACAGGCGCCCACCGCCACGCCCAGCTAATTTTTGTGTTTTTAGTAGAGACAGGGTTTCACCATATTGGCCAGGATAGTCTTGATCTCTTGACCTCGTGATCCGCCCACCTCGGCTTCCCAAAGTGTTGGGATTACAGGCTTAAGCAACAGCACCCGGCCAATTTCTTTACATTTTCTACCAAAAAAAAAAAAAAAAAAATCAACTTCTGTTTTCATCCTTTCTCATTGTTTAGGTGATCCACAAGTATCTATACTATGTAAAAATAAGAAATCTAGGCTGGGCCTGGTGGCTCACGCCTGTAATCCCAGCACTTTGGGAGGCCGAGGCGGGCAGATCACGAGGTCGAGTTTGAGACCAGCCTGGCAAATATGGTGAAACCCCGTCTCTACTAACAATACAAAAATTAGCTGGGCGTGGTGGTAGGTGACTGTAATCCCAGCTACTCAGGAGGCTGAGGCAGGAGAATCGCTTGAACCCAGGAGGCAGAGGTTACAGTGAGCTGAGATCGTGCCATTGCACTCCAGCCTGGGCAACAAGAGCAAGAATCTGTCTGAAAACAAAAACAAACAAACAAACAAAAAAGAAATCTAATTTGTTCAAGTTGTCATGTTACAAGTGTTGGGGTGGCCTCTGTATTGGTGACTGAACCATGGCCACTGGTCAGTGTGTCTTCTTTCATCTCAACTATTTCTTTCTGGCATGGGCTGTCTTTCCTAGGCTGTTCTTGAGTTGCAGGCATCTGGATTGTGTTCCTACCTTATGAGCGGTGAACTGAATGTGATCTCGTATGTTCAGGTGAACTTGACCAAGATGATGGCTTCTGCTTGTCTGTTTTTCTATGAAATCTTACTTAAATGCTGCCTAACATTTTGTGGGCCTTTTTGGCTGCCCGAGTATTGGGAGTAGTAAATGGTGGCTCTGATCCCTTCCTCGATCCTGACTCTTACCTCGATTATAACTAGCAGCTCAGATATTAGAGACTGTGGTTGTTTTACATTTATTCAGTAATTACTTACTAAGCACCAACCATGTATTGGGGATTGCACTGAGTACAGCAGGCATGACCTCTTCCTTGGGAGACTCATGGTCCCAGGGCTATTTGCCACGTGGCAACTGTCAGCCCCTGCAGAGGGTGGACCATTTTTTTTTGTAGTTCACCTTTGTTATTGGCCTTCTTGCTGTCCCAAAGAGTTTAGAATCATTTGCACATTTTCCTGCTCCCTCCTCCAGACCATTTATAAAAAATATTAAATGAGACTAGTCGTAACACTAGTTACTTCTCCATGCAGAAATCTGTCTTTTCCTGTCTCTTAGTCAATTCTCTCTCTCCATGGCCAAACTGCCCGAAGTCCCATGGAGACTCATTATTTTTAAATAACTTTTCATGTGGAACCTTGTCAAAGGCTTCTGGAAAATCTAAATAGCTAAGAGACAAGCACTGAGCTAGGAATCAGGAGACCTGGGTTCTAGTCTTATATGCCATTGGTTTATCATTGAACTTGGGGCAAGGCACAGAACAGCCTCCATCTTGGCTGCTTCATCAGGAAGATGAGAATGATTATTCTGGCAATCAACATCATAAAAATTTTACAACCATCAGCTGAGACAGTGTTATTTAAGAATGCTTTGCAAGGTATAAAGCAAAAATATAAGGGATCATTATTTAGAAAATTTACAACAGCATCTTCATTCATATGCACGTTTCTCTCCCAGAACTGCAGTAGATAAAGACATGGCTCCTCCAGCACCCCTGGGGTGATGCTTGTTTAAAATCAACTCCTTTGACGTCTTGAAGGAATGCAGGTTTACATAAACAATAGTGCCGGATTCAGTGTGAGCCTTTGGTGTAGAGTGTGAACTCATAGAAGCATGACCACTGGAAACAATCAGACCCTGGTAAGGGTGCAGCCTGTGCCATCCGCCAGATGTGTGACCTTAACCAAGTTATTTAACCTTTTTTGTGCCACACCTATAAAGGGGGACAATATTAATGCTTACTTTACTGAGTTCTGAGATTTAAATAAGAAAATAAATATATATAAAATGCCTATCATTGTCCCAGACCCATAGTGGCCACTCAATAAATAACAGCTCTTGTTCTATTTGTCTATGTTAAGGGTCCAAGAGCCGGCAGCTGGTCCATTCTACCTAAATTTTTGTATTGCTCATCAAACATTCAGTAAATTCCACCATAAACTCCTTTATCCATGTCTTGTGTGAATTTTTTCAACAGATGAATAAATAATGCTTTTCTTTGGTTTTCTGAAAATTTGTTGGAGGGTGGGGTGGGAAAAGAGAGAAGGAGCCTTTCCAGTTACATATTTCTCGCTGGCAGAGTGCAGAGGGTGGGGACTAATCTGCATCCAGCCTCCTTGCAGAAGGCCAGGCCTATGGAACCTTGTCCAGTTGGTGCTTCCTCATCCACCCCTCTGTCCATCCCCCAAGTCAACTGGCTTCCTTTGATGTCCAGCCACACCCAGCAAACCCCTCATCCTAAGGAGCAGTGAAGTTGGAGTCGAAAGATAAAGGAGACTGCTCAGGCACTGAATGTAATTTCATTTGGGGATCAGGCCAAGGGGCACTGGATGGAGCTTAGTTCCGCCAGCACTCCCCTGGGGACCCTGCTCTGGCCGACGGTGGCCTGAGGGGGCTGGAGACCAGCCAGGGCATTCAGTATCACTCTCTGCTCCTGCTCCAGGGGCACCTCCCAGCTGGGGATGAAGCTTGGCTGGGCCAGGGGCCAAGGCCATCATTGCACGGTCAGACTTGGGTGGTAATCCCAATTGGTTTTGCATGAACTCCTGTTTCATCTAGATTAGGAAAGGACCTGGCCAGCATGGACATCTGGTGGCTTGGGGTGGGCACAGAAGAAGGAAGGCTCTGGGAATCAGAGGCATTTCCATTTTTGACACTAACCACGACTCCTTAAATCCTTTAACTGTTGTTTTCATGGGCTTAATGGGAAACCATCAAAGAGGAATCTGAACTACATTCATTAATTTATTCATTTTTAAAATAAATATTTGTCAGGTTCAAGTGTTTGAGCACCAAAATCAAGAATGACTAGAGAAAGTCTCAGGAATTGTACAGACTAGAGACAGACCCTGACCTCAGCTCCCTGCCTTTAGGTGGCCACCACCGGGAGACATACAGGAAACCCTCTGGGAGCAAGGACTCTCATGTAACTGGTGGTAGGAAAAGCATGGACTTCCAGAGTCAAACTGAATTCTAATTCTGTCCCCAGATTTTATCCCACAGGCCACTTGTTTAATGTACCTGGGTATCATTTTTCTTGTCTATTATCAGTGCATCCACTAGGACTTTTGATGTTGCAAAAAACCTTTGTATTACTTTAACCTAAAGAAAATATCTGCAGTAACTAGGAAGTCCCAATGTCAGGCAGGCTTTGGGGTTACTTTGATTCAGTGGCTCAGCGATGTCACCAAAGACCAATATTTTCCCATCTCTGTGTTTGACCTGCCCTGGTTCCAGTTCCCTTCCTTGTTAGGAGAGGGCTGCCCACAGATCTTTGAGCCGCAAGTTCATTCTACCCCTTTGAGAGTGAAGAAAGATGGCCTCTTCTTTCTACCATGAGTCCCTGCTTTGCTCTGATTCACGTTGATTGGCTTGAGCCTATTTTCTCTTAATCACTGTGGCAGAGAGTAAGATCAAGCTGGTTTGTTTATGCTCATCACGGACAACCTGGGAAGCAAGGAGTGGGTTCAATCCCACCCAAAAGGTGGGAGAAGGTGGAATGGATGCTGGAGGGACACATGAGCCGTGATGAATGAACATTAAACCCACAGGATTGAGAGGATTATATCAATAAGGAATTATGTGCAAAACCATCTCCCAGTACCTGATGTCCATGAAGCTTGAAAATAATGCTTAAAAGGAAATTTTAAAAATCAGAGTCCAGAACAAACCCAAAATCAAGCAAATAAACCACAAAATAACCTGATATCAGAGTTCATGGACTCAAGAGAAATGAAAGGTGGGAGCCTTCTGGGGGACCTGGTGTGGTCAGTTGTCATTAACATGGTGTTCTTTCTGTAATTTAGTTCCTCAGAATGACTCTTTTATTCTCCTTGATCTTGTGAGAGGTTAAAAATTATACATTAAAAATTAAAAATAAGAGTGCCTAATGGGAATATTTGGAATATAATTTTTTTCTTTAGTTTTATTGTTGAAATCTCTAAAATTACGTTATGTGTAGCTTACAGTTGTGCATGTGGTAGGGAAGTGTGGTGATCCCCTAGTTCTTGCCTAGCCACACTCTCAGTAATATTTGTTCCTGATTTATGGGAGTGGTGTTTTTAGCACTGACTGCGCAGCGGTCATGTTGGATCTATGCACTCAAACACAGGATGTTTCCAGAGACCTTGGCCAACATCCAGAGGCCAGATGAGCATCATGTAGGGTTGGAAAGCTCATGTCTTTTCTAGGTTAGTTCTCATTCATGGGGCATGTGGGCAGAAGTCTTCTTTCCATTGTCTCTATGCTGTCCCAGCATTTCTAGGAAGGACTTATGGATGGCCGGGGATGATCTATTCAGCTGAGTGTTTGCAGAAGGTTGTGGATGACTCATGCCTGAAGCACATTTTCCTGTAATTCCCACATCCCTTTTGCTGGGGACGTGAACAAAACCTCTAGAAGGTTTCAGGACCTAATGGTATAAGTATAAGCCACTATTTCAATGGCAAAAAAAGAGACCCTTAGTGTGAAACCTTTGGGGTTGGCCCCCTGCCTGGTTCACCTTCAAGGAACAGCAATGACATCCAGGTAGCAGTTCCCATCCTTACACTGACATGTTTTTCTGCTAACAAATGCAGCAAATAATATTGCCTTTCCAATGCAGGGTGACGCTCTGATCTGAGGCAGTTTCAATTACATGTTGTTCCTCCAAGCCTCAGAGCCTCATCTTTTTCTCCAAAGACCAGCAAGAAAGGCATCAAATGCTTGAGCCTGAGGCATAGGGAACCAGGGAGATTAAGACTGGATTCTTGGTGAAGCCCAGCTTGGTCCCCCACTTCCCTCTCTGCCACTCCCATCCTGAGGCCCTTGGTGAGCTTATGTCACTCCACTCCTTGGCTTTAGCCTGTGAGCACTGTGGAGACAGAACTCATGCCCTCTCCCTTGGCTGTTGACAGGGTCTTTGGCTGAAGTTTGGCTGTGGGCAGTGCAGGATCTGAACTCACTTTGGCTCTCCTCTTCTTCTCCACAGATCCGGGTGGATGGACCCAGGGGCAACGCCCTCCAGTATGAGACGGTGCAGGTGGTGGACCCCGGCCCAGTCCTCCGGGATATGGCCTTCTCCAAGGACCACGAGCAACTCTACATCATGTCAGAGAGGCAGGTAAGGCTCTTCGGGCTCCGCTAGACATTTGTCTTGCAGTTAAATACTAGCCTGTGGCTCAGTACAAACCTTAGGAGGCCAGCTGCAGAGAGGTGATTTGATTTATTTGGCGTAGTATGTATCTTTTCAGTTATACTTTTCAGTTATGCTGCCTGGGGACTGAGGCTTGGTGTTCTGAAACAGGAAAGAAACATTTAAAATATCAAAATATTGGAGAGTCTAAAACAAATCCACTAATTTCAAAATCATGCATATATGTTCGGGGCCAACATTTGCTTTCTTCTGAAGGAACGTCGTACAGATGCCCAAATTGTGGGTCCAGATTTCCCTATACAAAATGCTACCTCATACCAAAGTCACCTTCCTGGCCCCCAGAAGCCTGTGGGATCAAGAATTTATTGCCAAAAGAGTGTAGTTAAGGGAACACCATGGTCAGGACTCAGAAAACAGTCTGTGTGATGAGATGTGATGGGGTAGGGCACGGCCTGAACTTTTGTGTGTACATACAACTCTTTGTGGAAACTCCAGCAAATGCCATGGAGCCCACCCGAGAAGAACAGATATGGTGCAGGTTTGCTGATGCTGAGTAGGAAGTAGAAAACCTGGGCTTGGTTCTCAAACTGAGCTGAGAACGAAGTGAGTTTTTCTGGAGTCCCTGAGCTCAGGCCAGGAGTCATATGTCTGCAGCAGGCAAAGGAAGGGGTTTCACCTTGGACATCCATGTATTTAAGGGTATTTCCTGGAGTCCTCCACCCCACAACACACAGCCCACCCCAAGTGAGGTGCAGCACTGCTGTACCTCTGCCCTGTGGCCTCTGTGGAGGATGGGTCATTCTCGGGAGCTGCCCCTCTATCCCATGAATATGTATGCGTTAGCTCTGAGTGGCAGCAGCGGCCATGAGGGGCAGATCTCCCCTCTTTTTCATCCTCGTCAGCGTGGCCTGAACTCTCTGGAGGACCCTGCTGACAGAGTCTGGATTGTTCTGCCTGGACCCTCTTGGCATTGTGGGGGAGATGAATTCCACATTATGCCACCCACGGGGCTTGTGCATTATGCCTTAACAGTCACAGGAGCTCTGCCCTCCCCAAGAGCTCGATGACATCTTCTCCTGTTGTCAGACTCCCCGTTCTCCCGACTTCAGCCATACTGGGACCCACTGTGCCCTGGATGAGGCTGCCATGGCTTGGGAATGGTCTCATTCCCAAGGTAGGGTGGAAAATGGAGTATTTTTTCCTGGGAGGGGAGACTACCGAGATGGAGCCTGCAGCTGGGCACGAGGCTTCCCATTTGTCTGCATTCCTTGCTTTTATAACAGCTTCCACACTCCCCACTCCAAGCCCACCTCTGAGGCCCTAGGAGCTGAGGGGAAGCAGCTTTCCTTGGTGGCATGAATCATCTGGAGAAGATCTTCACAAGGCATTGAATATTCAAGATTTCTTGCCTGATCTGAAAGCCAGCATTTCTGAACCTGGGACTTAAAACATAAGAGGACTTTCAAAGACGGAAAATATAAACGGAGCCAGGTGCAGGGTCTTGCACCTATAATCCCAGCTGCTCGGGAGGCCAAGGCAGGAGGATTACCGAAAGGCCAGGAGTTCAAGGCCAGCCTGGGCAACATAGCAAGACTTTGTCTCTAAAAAAAAAAAAAGAGAAATTAAAAACAAAAAAACAAAGTATAAGCTGGTAATATGAGTTATCAGCCCCCTTTGAGAACTGAGTCAGCATTCTGAGCATTACTCCTTCCCTGGAGGTGCCCATCTGAATCCTTGTTCACCTCTTTGTCCTCAGCTGTTTCCCCTTGGATGGGTAATGTGGTCACTGTCCATTCAGGCTTGGCAATGAGGCATCCTGAGAACTCCATATTATGGGCACATTGGAAAGGAAGGCAGGAATGAATAGAGCCAGGGTGTTCATCCATTCCAGGGCTGCTCCACACAGATGTGGAGACTGGCCTGCCACCCAAATGACCATCTCAAAGGCCTAACACCTGGGCCGACACTGGTCTCCACTGGGCTTGTGGATTCTTGGTGGAGATTTGTAGAACAGTGCAATGATTAAGTCCACAGGTGTTGCCATTGAAATGTCTGAGTGGGAATCTTAAATCTCATTTACTAAATGTAGTCTCTGGTAAGTTCCTAACCTTAAGATTCAGCATTCTTTACTGTCCTATGTTGGTGACAATAATATCAGATAGTTTTTTTCCAAGAATTGAATGAGATAGGCATATAATAAGCTTAGAACCATGGCTGGCACAGAGTAAGTGCTTGTTAAATGGAGAGACTCTTGTTTTTTATGACTCTGTGACAGGAGTTTCCAGACACTGGCCGTGCTTAGAGTCAGGCAGGGGCTGGTATTGAGATTCTAGATGGTCCATCTGGGTTGGAGCACAGCAGCCCAGGTGAGGCCAAGGGAGGCAGGGAGCAAAAATCCAGTCCCGGGGGAGAGCGCATCAGGAACCCAGGCCTGCTTGACAGGTTGGGCATGCGGAATAGAGCTCAGGGCAAAGCAGCTTGATAAATATACCTGGGTATTTTCCAGACCCAGGGTATCAAGACTAATTCCAGCCTCCTTCAGGTGGTGGGTCTCCCTCAGCCATGATGGGTCAGAACACGTTGCACACTGTGTCTGCAGGCTAAGGGCATAGCTTAGCCATGATGTCAGTGCAGCCTGGAAAGCACTTTCCTTTCTTATGTGACTAATTTTTCCTTGTCCTTCAAAACTTAGCTCGGCTGTCACATTCTTCATTGGACTATTCCTGGCCTGCAGTTAGACATGTCTATAGTAGCTCTTGTCAGACCAGGCTGTGATTATGACTTCCTTGTCTCTCTTGCTGCCAGCAGCTTGAGAGCATCCGATGCCTTGCCAGCCTAAACTTCACCTAATAGGCCCCTCTTAATTTTTTAATGAATGAGTCCCCAGTGCCCTCATTGAACCAGAATTGGAAAAGAGAGGTACCAACACAAATAACCTATTGCTTCAGTTTATTACAAAGTTCAAACTTAAGTCAGATAAGGGAAGCACTTCCTGCATGTCAGTAATCTACCACTTATATTCATTGGCTAGGGCTGCCATAACAAAATAGCACAGACTGGGGAGCTTAAACAACAGAAATTTGTTTTCTCATAGCTTTGGATGTTGGAAGTCCAGGATCACAGTGTCAGCAGGGCTGGTTTTTTCTGAGGCCTCTCTCCCTGGCTTGCAGATGGCCACCTTCTCACTGTGTCCTCACATAGCCTTTCCTCTGTGTGCACAGCCCTGGTGTTTCTCTATGTGTCCTACTCGCCTCTTCTTCTAAGAGCACCAGTCAAATTGGATTAGGGCCTCTCTCTATCAGCCTCATTTTAACATAAACACCTTGATATGGTTTTGCTGTGTCCCACCCAAATCTCATCTTGAGTTGTAGCTCCCATAATTCTACGGACTCTACAAAATGTTTCCAGAATATGGCTATTTCCCACCACTTCATTGTTACCCACCTGGATTGAACCCCCATGGTCTCTTGCCTGAATATTTGCAATAGCCCTCCAACTACTCTCTCTGTTTCCACCTTTGTCTTTCCAGTCTTTTCTCCATGCAGCAGTTAATCTTCAAAAGTTTGAGTTAGATAGTGTCATTCCTCCGTTTAAATCCTTTCAATGACCAAAGTGCCTATGAAGACCCACAGGGCCTTATATGCTCTGTCCTCATGAGATGTCCAAGCTCATCACCTGCCGCTCTCCCCGCTCTCCCTGCTCCCCTAGTCTGCAGGGCCAGGGCGGGAGAGAGTGCTCTGGACACAGAAATGTCCTCTGTGATGCTCCTGCAATATGGCAGGCTCCTGCTTCAGGATCTTTGTCCTGGTTGTTCCCCTTTGCCTGGAATTCTATCCAGGTATCTGCGTCCCCTGAGTACCACAGGTAAAACTCTAGATTGCCTTCCACTCAGACTCATAAACTCCCAATCTCCTCTCCTGGCTCTATTTTTATCCATAGCACTTAGTCTCTTCTTATTTGCTATATGATTCTTAATAATTGTTCTGTATTATATGTCTTCCTCATTTAAAATGTAAACTCCATAAGAATATGATTTTTTGTTTTTTAGTCTCTTTAGTTTACTTGTGTGTTACCCCTAGAACAGCACTGACACCTAATAAACACTCAAATCACATTTGTGGAATGGGTGACTAAATGGATCTGGGCTCAAGAGAGCTGTGGTTTCAATTTTGGTGCTCTGGTTGCTCCTATAACTGAAGACTAAAATCTAACATGAAACATACTAGCACCTGTATTCCCAGATCTTAGTGGAAGGGCATCCTAAACATATGTGAGAGTGGCAATCTGGATGATAATCCAGGAGGCTTATATGGGATTGAAGGACACATTTTCTAACAGGGATCACTGTGTAAAAAAACTGGTGGTAGAAAATGTGTGCTTTATGCTGTCCATTCTTACATACCAGCCTCTCTCTTCTCTGATCTGTTTGGTATCTGCAGCAGGGCAGTGGCCTAAACAACCTTTTTGTCCTGGTGTTGTGTTCAATACAATGACAGGTGATATGGTTTGGCTGTGTCCCCACCTAAATCTCATCTTGCATTGTAGCTCCCATAATTCCCATGTGTTGTGGAAGGGACCTGGTGAAAGATAATTGAATCCTGGGGGTGGTTTCCCCCATGCTGTTCTCATGTAGTGAATAAGTCTCACAAGATCCGGTGGTTTTATATTTGCTTGGCTCTCATTCTGTCTTCCCTGCCGCCATGTAAGATGTGATTGTGAGGCCTCCCCAGCCACATGAAACTCTGAGTCCATTAAACCTCTTTTTCTTTGTAAATTACCCAGTCTCAGGTATGTTTTTTTCAGCAGCATGAAAACAAGCTAATACAACAGGCGAAGAGATGAGCAACTGAATCGGGAGGCTTGTGAGCACTTTCCAAGTTAACAGAATGGGTGTTCATGGACCCCTCCTACCATCAGGGGCATCTCATCATTCTTGGCATAAGGCCCAAGCTCCTGGCATGGTCCCTTGGCCCCATCCTGTGACTCATCTCCACCTCTGCAAGCTCATTTTGTGACCCTGGACCCTGGCTCTCCGTGTACCAGCAAACAGGCCTTTGTTCTGTCCCTGAGCCCAGCTCCTTCCTGCTGCAGAACTTGCACGCTTACTGTTTCCTCTGCTGTGAAAACTCTCTGGCTTTTCCTGTGGCTGGTCCCTCCTCATGCCTGTGGTTTTTGCTCAAATATCGTGTCCTCAGAGAGGCCTCCGCTGGCCACCCTACATAAATATCCCTCACCCTGGAATCTTGACTTCTTCCTATTAAGTCTTTTTGTTTACTCCCTTCTGCTGCCCACCACAGTATGAAAATTACCTGTTTATTTCCCATCCCTATGAATTAGCATATAAGTTCCTGGAGGGCAGGGACCTTGTCTCTCTTGTGTCTAGCAGGTAGAGGAAGACCTCACCCAGAGAAAGGGCCAGGTATATTCTTATAGAGTTAATATGAGTGAATGAGCTTTGGACTTCATCTGTTTGTGATGAAGAGCAGCCCTTCTTTGAGAGCACTCTGATTTTGGTGAGACTGGGACCTCCTGCCTGGAGATGACGCCTGAAGACTTAAATAGAGATGGCAGGATTCTGAGTTTTATTAAGAACCAGATAACTTTGATTCGTCAGCAACCCGGCAAGCTCTATCTAGGGTGTTACCTCTGCCCCTGAGGAATGTTCCTCTTTACCATTTGGTGGGCAGGGGCTGCTCTCTCTTCTAAACACTCTTTCATCCCTTCTTGTCCCTAGTTTCTTTGTGGATGGAGATGCTGCTCTCTGCCACCTCCAGCCTCCCTCTGATTTACCTGATACCACACTGGGGGACACAGAGTGCAGGAAAGAGGCATTTGACAGTCAGGGGAAATATTTTGCGTCATATTTTAGTAGTCGTGAAACAGTTAATGAATCCATAGTTAAAGAAGTATCCAGAGAGATCAACTAACTTTGACTCCCCACTGCTGTTTGAAACTTTCCTGGGGGCTGAGTGTGGGGGCTCACGCCTGCAATCCCAGCATTTTGGGAGGCTGAGGAGGGCAGGTCACCTGAGGTCAGGAGTTCGAGACCAGCCTGGCCAACATGGAGAAACCCATCTCTACTAAAAAGACAAAACATTAGCTGAGCCTGGTGGCATGCACCTGTAATCCCAACCACTCGGGAGGCTGAGGCAGGAGAATCGCTTCAACCTGGGAGGCGGAGGTTGCAGTGAACTTAGATCATGCCACTGCACTCCAGCCTATGTGACTAGTGAGACTCTGACTCAAAAAATAAATAAATAAATAAACTCTCCTTGGGTTCCAGTGTTCCTCATTCCATATGCTGAAATAGGCCAGCTCTTGGCATGTGGTAGGATGAATGCATGGTAGAGAGGATGAATGGATGGCCAGCTCTCGACATGCAGGGTAAGGATTATATGACTAATGGAGGTAGAGAATGGAGTGTGTGTGTGTGTACACATGTGCATATCTGCACACAAATGCTACATATTTTCTGGCTCTGTCACCCATTCCCTCAGCACCTTATTCATTCAATATTCAACAAATGTTTACTGAGCACCTGCTCTGAGCCAAGCATTCTTCTAGGATACCAGGAATTCCATGGGGAACAATACAAGCAAAGTCCTTATCCTTATAGGCCTTACATTCTGGGCAGAGAGACAGCGAATGAGAGAATGAGTGAATGGCTTAGATCAGGTAATAGTGAACAGAGTGAAAAATTAAACCGACTCAGGAGAAATAAGGTGATGGCCAGAAGAGTGGAGGGGAGTGCTCTTTTAAAGATGGTTGCAAGGGAAATTCTCCAAGGAGGGAACTTTTGAGCAAAAAGCAGAAGAGAGTGAAGTGGTGCGAGAGGACCGTCTGGGGAGAAGTGGTCCAGGTGGAGGGAACAGCAAGCACAGAGGCCAGAGACGGCATGTGACATGTGTTTTTGAGGACACCGGACGGGCTGCCAGGAGGGGAGAAGGGGGAAAGTGGTGAGTGAGACAGCTGAAGACAGAGGCCAGCTCAGATCACCCCAGCCTCCGTGTGCACCTGTGAAATGGGGATTTAGTAAACAGTATTGATCTCCTGGAGTGAGTGAGGATTCAATGAGATATTCCATGTAAAAGAGCTTAGCTCAGAAAGAACATTCAGCAAACGTTAGCTATTAGATTATTTGCAAATTACGTAGTTCTGTAGCCTGGATATGGTTTCTCTTATCATGGACGTGTGGGTCCCTCTGTGAGCTCTTGCAGCAAATGCCATGTTCCGGGTACACTTCTGCTTGGAGTGTACGAGTGTGCACTGTTAAGTGTCAGTGTCATTTTGTCATGATTTAACTGTCTCTTTCAGAGCCGTGTTACGTTTCTCTCTGTCTCTTTTCTTTCTTCTGCATGATTCTGGATATCTCTCAGCTGTGTGTGCACATGCACACCCACCCCTTCCCCTGTGTCTATCCCTGTCTGTGTGTCTCTGTTAGCCTCCTTCTTGCTTTGTATGTGTATGCATGTATATGAGTGTGGTGTGTATTTACTAAAATTCCAGTAACCCCAAGGGAATGTCTATACACACTGAAACCAGTGTGATAAAAACCTGCCAAGCCAATGGGAAGGAGGTGAGGGGAAATGTCAGTGAGGCAGATAAATGAGAAGATGAGGTGGCAGAGCTGGGACCATCCTTGTTCTTGGGTGCCCTGGAGTGACCCCTACCAGGGGAGAAGCAGCTGTCCCCCAGACAAGGCGAGTATCTTCTTTGATAGACCCAGAGGAAGTGGCAGATTTCTCAGTGAATTTCAATGTATCTGCCTCTCCACACACCAGCCCTTTCCTTCCTGGAAGCCAGAAGCCTCAAACACACATTTCTGCTTTGGGGATCTGTTTCAGCGATGTTTGGACCAAAGCCATCTTTTATGGTGTCCTTTGTTTTACTGACTCCTGTTCACAGTGGGTCTGCTTCCAGGTGCTGGGGGACTCCTGCAGCCTGTCCTTCTGAGCTGCCGGTGCTCAAGTCCTTGCTATAAAGCAGGATGCGGACGCCTGTGGGGCCTGAGGAGGTGGGCCTGGAGGTGAGTTCCCTGCCCATAGGCATTGCCCAGGATAGCAGCCTTGCCTGGCTCCTTCCAGCGTAAACCAGTAGTGAAGTGGCGAGGGCCACCTTGCTTTATAGCATATTACTCAGGCCTGATTCATTCATTCGTTTAGGAAACAGAGATCAACCTGGGCAACATAGAGAGACCCTATCTCTAAAAAAAAAAAAAATTAATTAGCTGGGCACTGTGGCTCATACCTATAATCCCAGCACTTTGAGAGGCCAAGGTAGAAGAATTGGTTGAGGGCAGGAGTTTGAGACCAGCCTGGGCAATATGGCAAAATCCCATCTCTACAAAAAATTTAAAAATTATCCAGGTGTGGTGGTGTGCACCTGTAGTCCCAGCTACTCAGGAGGCTGAGGCAGAGGGATTATTTGAATCTAGGAGGTTGAGGCTGCAATGAGCCGTGGTCATGCCACTGTACTCCAGCCTGGGCAACAGAGGGAGATGACTTCTCTAAAAAAAAAATAAATAAAAATAAATTTTTTTAAAAGATGCATTCCCTAAGCTCCCTCCTACTATGTGCCAAGCACCAGTCAAGGCATTGGGAATACAACCATGAAGAAACAGTGACATATCCCTATGCTTTTAGCAAAAGGAAGCAGCAAAGAAGGAACCAACCTAAGAAATAAATCAGAGACTAGGTTAGCAGGTGATAAACACTCCAGAAAAAGGAAATCAAGTGGATTAAGTGGAGTCAGGATCCTTGTGAGGGTGAAAGGGTTGCATTTTAAAAGAGAGTGGTCAGATGGGCATACAAGAGGAGAAGGGGAGGCCTGTCCATGTTGTCCTGTCCCTTTCCTTCTTCTATTTATTTGCAAGTTCTTTGTTTGGGGTTGTGAAATTGAAAGATAGTGAAGCCAGCCTCTCTGGAGGGAAGAGGTGAGAGGAGGCATCGTGATTGTTTTTTACCATGCTGAGAGCTTCAGAAGGAGCTATAGTTCAACGGGGAGGTAGTATCATGGTCTAAGAAGGCAGCATCGCTTGAGGCTTGGGACCCCTAAGTGGATGTTGCCTCCACCAGGGACCCCCTGTGTGATGAAGGAGTCATTACCATTTCTTTGCACCTCAGTGTCTGTCCCTGTCTCCACCCTGCCTCCCAGGATGTTCTGAGGAAGGTGATGTGAAGTCTGACAGTCTTGGAGGTCTATAGACATTGATTTGATAGAAGAGGCTGTTGTGGAGATACTGTCTGCAGCCAAAGGTGCTGGGCTCCTGTGAAAATGAGTCCTGCCCTCAGCACTGTGTCTGTGGGCATGTCTCATGTAAGGTGCACTGGATGGTGATGCAACCGTCTCTCTGCCATCCTCTCTGCCCCTGTGGGGGCCGAGCTGTACACTCCAGTTAGTGTTTGGATGGCTGACACGGTGACAAGCCCACGTGGATGTTTGCTCCTGGCACCCAGGCTGGCCTATGTCTGATAGCTCCTGGGAGAGCAAACTTGAAGCACAGGGCTGAGGAATGAGTGACAGGAAATGGAGCCACCTCAGACATTCACAAAAACAGAAAAGCTGTCTCAATGTTTCACCCAATTTCACTCAGGTGGGAGCCTTCCCATTTGTCTGGAACAGATTCTGAAGGTTCCAGAATGTCATTACTGAGATATTCCCACTTCCCACTTCATTCTCAATCAAGGCAGGATGTCTGCATTTTACCACGGCAGAACTGGAGGAACCAGAGGGGAAGTGACTTCCCTCCCTAGTTTCCTACAGTCAGTAGGTGCTGAATTGTCCACTGTACCCTAAAACCTTAGGCCTGGAAAACGCTACTGGCTTATCTGGCGCAACACGCTCCTACTGCACTTTGTGATCAGTGTGGAAACTGAAGCACAGAGGAGGGAGCAGGTCATCCAGAGTCACCAGCAGTTTGGGGGAGGAGCTGAGCTTGAATATAGGGCTCAGCTCCTTCTGCAATGCCTTTCCCAGCCCCCTCCTCCAACGAGGAATGGGGAGCCCTCTGTGAGAGCAAGAGATACTATCCATCATCTTGACTTTCCAGTAAAAAGTGGTACGCCCCACTCTTGGGTGTCAGAACCAGCCATAGAAGGCAGAAGGAGTCTCTGGGGATGGGGTGGTGGAGCAGTGCAGATGTGATCAGAACTCAGAACCAGCCTCGGCCCCATGAAGGAGGTCCCTTGGTTTACTTCTCCTTTGTTGTAGCCTGACACAAGGTGGGACAAGTGCCCCTTTGCAACCTCTAGGGCATCCCGGGGTACATGGAGCCCTGGGTGGCACCAGCCTCACCTCACAGAGGGAGTAGGCAGGGTAGCAGCCCACCACCCCCACTGTTTTTTTCTGACTGACGTGTTTCTACATGGTCACTGGTGTAGGCAAAAGTCTCTGACATCTGAGTATGATCACCACAGTGGCCTGGCATCTCTCAGACAGACCATGGGGGTGACCAGAAAGTATAAGCATGTGCAGGATGGAGGCTCCGGGGGGGGTCATGAACAGATCACGGACTTGGCTTTTCATACCCGTCCTTAGTACTCACCAGCTGTGCCACCTGGAGCAACTCACTCAAGCAGTTCATGCTTTGGTTTTTTATGTAGAAAATTAAAGTGATGATAACTCTCTTTCAGCACTTTTAGGATTGAAGTTAATATATGTAAAGTGCCTAGCACGTAGTAGGCTTTTAGTAAGTTGTGGTTGCTGTCATCATTATCATTATTCTTATTACAATTAGAAAATGTATTGTTAATCCTAGCACTTTGGGAGACCAAGGCGGGCAGATTGCCTGAGCTCAGGAGTTCGAGAACAGCCTGGACAACACGGTGAAACCCCATCTTTACTAAAAATACAAAAAGTTAGCCAGGCCTTATTGTGCGTGCCTATAGTCTCAGCTACCTGGAAGGCTGAGGCATGAGCATCACTTGAACCCAGGCGGCAGAGGTTGCAGTGAGCCGAGATCATGCCACTTCACCCCGGCTTAGGTGACAGAGTGAGACTCTATGTCCAAAACAAACAAACAAAAACGTTGTTAGGGGCAGGGAAGCCTGGACAAACCACTGCTTGGTGGCTAAAGGCCAGTTGAGCTCCAGGCACCAGCTACCCAGGATTCTGTGCTTCCCCTATCTATCATCTCAAAGCCTCTAGAAAGTACTCAGGCAGAGACTCCCTTCATAGTAAGGAGCACTGCCTTCCAGGGGATGGAGGGCCCAGGAGGCTGTGGTCTCCCACCCTAATCAGAGAGAGCTATGTTGTCTCTGGATTTTTCTCTGTAACTCTGCTTCCACTCCAGGGAAGGAGTCTGAATCCATTTGAGTCCAACCTCATTGGATATATGAAGTTATCACAGATTGGGTAGCTGAAGAAACTTTTGGTCCCTCATCTTCCAGGACTTCTAGAGCAGAGGGAAAACTGGCTCATTTTCCTTCTCTCTGCCCCAGAATAGAGAAGAAGAGCTATGATGTGGAGGTAGAGCAGGGGTGGGTGAGGGAGGATGTGGAGCAGGAGAAAAGCTGAGGAAACCCAAGGGCCAGTAGTTAAGGAAAGCGCTGGCAGGTCTCTAATCCTGAACTCCATTAAGCATCTGTCTCTGGCAATTGTCCTGACAATTATTGCGCCTTCTCCTAACTTAGCGCCGGTGTCCTGTTACTTTCGGGGCACTCTAAGTGCCATTTTTAAAGACAACCACCTATAATCATCCACTTAGCAGCACATGAGGAGACTCCACAGGGTGGACAGACAGGGCCAGGGCTGCTTCTCTGCTAGCTTCCAGCTCCTGTCCCACCATGTCTGTTTAGTAAGCGCCCACTGCATGCCCCACACAGAGCCAGTCCCTGTACACAATCAGAGAAGGGCCGAGGGAAGGCCTTGTTCTGGAAGCTCTGCAGTGGTAAAGTGAGAGCAAACTCCAGCTTGAAGGGTGTTGAAAAGAGTGTGGTCCTGCTGTGGGAATTGCTCCAGAAACCCAACTTTCTCATGGAGTTAGGGATCAGGGAAGAAAAAGATGTCAGTTTGAAGGGCACATTCTCCTTACGCTTTTGAGTGAGGTCATTACAAGGACTCTGGTCTGGAGGCTGGAGTCTTTGGGCTCTTTCTTAAGACTACCACTGATCCTCATTTGTGGGTGGGGGTGGTGGGTGGGCCTTGACCACCTCACCCCTCTCAACAGGCCAGGTGTTGGTAGAAGTTGACTCACACTGTTCCAACCCACTCCCCTGTCCCCTAGGGATGGTATCCTAATGGAAATAGTTAAATTCCATGAGCACTGATTGACTTGCTCTTGAGTTCTGTGGAAAACAGACCAGAAATGTTGATACTTAAGTACATTTTACACTCCGTTTGAATATCAATGGGACGTTTTCAAAAGTAAATTGATGCACATTAATTTATGCCCTTGTTCACGATGACTAGTTAGCATTAATGATGTCATGTGACTTTACTAAATGCAATATAGGTATAAAAGGGTAAATTACAAATGGCATTTATTTACATATCTCATATGAGTCTTTCAAGTGCATTTCAGATATTACAAGCAGACAATGGAGACATCAATTTGAAACTGACTCAGAGACGTATGCGATGGTTTTGAAGGGATGCACAATGGCTAAGGGGAGATTATCTGAATACTTATTTAGACAAAGTCCAGAAAAACAATGAAGAGGTGGAGGAACAGGTAGAGAATATATCCTTCTCCAAAAGGATTCCAGCTGGTGCAGAAGGCTATCCAGTTGCAAGCTGGGTGGCTTGAAGGTGGTTCAGGGCTAGAATCACAGCTCTGCTTCCGGATTCTGGCTCTGCCACTTGACTTTGGACAAGTTATTTAATCTCTGCGTATTTCCGTTTCTTCATCGACAAAATGGGAATATCCTAGTGCCCATTGGCTGGGTGGTTATAATGAATAAATAAGAAAGTGCACATAAAATTCTTAGCTCATTGCCTGGCACATAATGACAACTCAATGAGGCTTAGCTTTCATCTCTATGATTTTCAGTATGCTGGTGATTGTTATAAGAATGTCTATGTTTTATTGAAAAAAAATCCACCTATGCCAGGTGTGGTGGCTCACACCTATAATCCCAGCACTTTGGGAGGCTGAGGTGGGCAGATCATCTGAGGTCAGGAGTTTGAGACTAGCCTGGCCAACATGGTGAAACTCCATCTCTACTAAAAATTCAAAAATTAGCCAGGCGTGGTGGTGTATGCCTGTAGTCCCAGCTGCTTGGGAGGCTGAGGCAGGAGAATTGCTTGAACCTGGAAGGGGGAGGTTTCAGAAAAGAAAAGAAAGAAATCCACCTGTAATATTTTTCTTCCATCATTCATAAACTCACTCATGTATCCTCTGGAGCGTATTAGGTGTTTTTGGTGCCAAGAGTGACCGAGAGCAGACCAGGAGGCCTCCATCGGCCCCACTCCTGGTTGGCTCTGGCCTCATAGTCTGAGTCCACAGGTTCCAAGGCCCCTTGGGTGTTCTAGTGGACAGAGGTGCCCAACCCCCTTCCCTGAGACGTGGCCTTTGGCTAGGGCCACTACTCACACCTGAGATCACCTTCAGCAGGAGAGGAAGGCCCTCTGGAGAAAGTTCTATTCCCTCAAAACCCCTTTTAATCCACAGGCTGGGAAATAAATGTTCACTCTCATTAAAGTGTGGGGGTCTCAAGAGACAAATGATATTCACATGAAGCATGACACGTGTAGGAGACCTCTTGCTGGTCCTTGCCTTGGTACAGATTTAAGCATCAGTTAGTTAGTCCAGTATTTCCCAAACTTTATTTCTTAGAACAAAAATTCTGCAGGACTTTTTTTTAAAACAAAAGCTTTCTTTAGTCAAATATGTTTGAGCAAATCTGAGTTGAGCAGATGTATAGATATGTAGAGATTAAGATTTTTAGAGATAGGGTCTCACTCTGCCACCCAGGCTGGAGTGCACTGGTGCCATCATAGCTCACTGTAACCTTGAAGTCCTAAGCTCAGATGATCCTCCCACCTCAGCCTCTGGAGTCGCTGGGGCTACAGGTGCCCTTTCTCTCTAAGCTAAATTTTTAAAAATTTTGTGTAGAGATGAGGTCTTGCTGTGTTGTACACGCTGGGCTCCTCCTGGGCTTAAGTGATCCTCCTGCCTTGGCCTCCCACAGCACTGGGATTACAGGCATGAGCCACTCTATCCAGCCCTTGAGTTAAGTGGATATCTTGACTATAGCATTTGATAGTGCATTTAATATACTAATGGGTATTATGAATCTCTGAGCTATGAGTGAGATGACAAATGTAGGAAGTAGTATCTCTCAAAGTCATTTGGCCACAGAACTCATGTTACCAGGAGCACCTAGAGTGATTGGTGCATTGTGGAACCTTCACTGGGAAAGACTTAACTATCTTTTCCCAGCTCTCCTGGTTTCCTCTACCTTTTCCTTGGCTAGTCTCTCTGGCTGTAGGCCTGACCCAAGTTTCTCTTTTTTTGTGTGTGCTGTTCTGTCATGAGCACAGGCTGAGTTCTTCTTGCGATTTGGGGAAAGGAGTGTTCTCTTCATCAATCAGATTCTCAGGGTTACCCCTTGAAGTCCGGGCAGCTGTTGCCTTTGAGACTAACTGATGTTTGGCTTGCTCATGCTCACACAAATGCCCAGGATCGTATCTCTCTATCCTAGGTCTGCGAAGCTTTCCTCACCTCTGAGCTTAGTCCATGCTCTCAGTCTCTAATTCACTGTTCTTTTCCAAAAGGCACACATTTTATTACTATTATTAAAAGTCTGCCTCCTACTGCTGCCAGTTACATAGTTCTCAACAGGAATTCATGTATCACTTTGCATCTTCTCAGATGTTCTTAATTTAGGAGCCATTGTTTATTGTCAAATATTTATTACTCTGTCTTCCACAATTAAAGTTGGATGCTAGCTGGGCACGGTGGCTCATGCCTGTAATCCTAGCATTCTCGGAGGCCGAGGCCAGTGAATTGCTTGAACCCAAGAGTTCAAGGCCAGCCTGGGCAACGTGGTGAAATCCTGTCTCTACAAAAATTAGCTGGGTATGGTGGTGAGCGCCTGTAGGTCCCAGTTACTTGGGGGGGGCTGAGGTGGGAGGATCACTTGAGCCCAGGAGATCGAGGCTGCAGTGAGCTGTGATGGTGCCACTGCACTCCAGCCTAGGTAACAGAGCAAAACCCTATCTCAAAAAATAAATAAATAAAATAAAGTTGAATGCTGATGACCCAATATCCCCAACTTCACAATAATCTAGGGGAGGCTACTTATTTACTGTTTTGCTCCAGAATACCAGAGACCAAACTCTAAAACACTGAGCTCCCTTTTGCCTCTTTAGTGTTATGCATTTTGATGCCAAGGGCTGCTAAGAAGGAACACTCTCCGATGAAGAAAGGGGAGAAACTATTAGAACTACTGCTTCTTTTTTTTTTTTTTTTTTTTTTTTTTTTTTTTTTTTTTTTTTTTTTTTTTTCTGAGACAAGGTCTGGCTCTATCACCCAGGCTATAAGCCTGGAGTGCAGTGGTGCAATCGTGGCTCACTGCAACTTCTGCCTCCCAGGTTCAAGCCATCCTTCCACCTCAGCCACCCAAGTAGCTGAGACTGCAGGTGTGCATCAGGGCATGCAGGGTAGTCTCAGGGCATCACCATGCCCAATTAATTTTTGTATTTTTTGTAGAGATGGGGTTTCTCCATGTTGCCCAGGCTGGTCTCAAACTCGTGAGCTCAAGCGATCCACCTGCCTTGGTCTCCCAAAGTGCTGGGATTGCAGGCGTGAGCCATTGCACCTGGCCTATATTGGGAGATATACCTAATGCTAGATGACGAGTTAGTGGGTGCAGCACACCAGCATGTCACATGTATACATATGTAACTAACCTGCACATTGTGCACATGTACCCTAAAACTTAAAGTATAATAATAAAAAAAATTTATTTAAAACAAGAAATCTGGTTTTACTTGTGTTTAATATAGTGTTGATACTAGCTAGTGTCTGCCTCCCTTGGTCTATGCATCAGTCATTCATGCATTAGAGAGGCACAGAGATGCTGGGAACCCAACATCTTGGAGGGCTTGACACTGGCATCCTCACTGGCTGAGTCAGTTTCAACATACTACAACAAATTTGCAATTTATGTGTGACAGATATTATCAATGTTATAAAAACAATCCTTTAAATAAAATCTTTATAATACTTTGCAATGATGTACAAGTGACCACGGAAATTTTTTGTACAACACAGAGGTCTGCTGCTTATGGAAACATAATTAATCATTTTTCTTTTAAAAGAACCAAAATGTTCCACATTTGCTGACCTTTTCAGTTCTGACAAGCAGCTGTCAGAGTATGCCACTTTGCTGGTAACTTTGAAAAAATAAACACTTAATCTTTCCCTCCAATATAAAAGTAATACATTCACAATGGGTAAGAAAGTAAGTACTTTCAGAAGGATTTATGGCATGAGGAGATCATTTGGGGAGAGAAAAGATGTTTGGAAATATTTTCATCATTATGTGATTTTGTTGCCAATAATGAGTAAATGTGACACTTTAAAAATTCATATCTTAAAACTTTTAAAACTTGGAAACAGAATCTTCTACCTGCTTAAAAATCTTCCAAATGAAGAGTTTCAGAGAATTTTGACCCCTTTGTTAAAAAATATAAAAATTCAGCACCCTCCGATTAGTTCCAAGAGCTGATTGACATCAGAGAAGATGGAAATCTACTAGCTGAATTTCAACAACAGTCTTCACATAATTGGTGCATGAGACTGAAAAAAAAAATCTTGATTTATTCAGCACAGCCAACAATGCACTTTTTTGCATCTCTGCGTCTATGTGAGGTGTCCTTTTCAGTTATGACAGCCATTAAAACAAAGTATGGAAATAAATTGAACCTTAGACCTTAGAGCCTTGTATCACTAAGTGCTAAACAAATGTATTAAACAATAATAAAACCAATTCTAGCACATCACTCTTACCATTATAATAATTTTCTTGGTGATAGTAAAATGTTTTGTATCACTCATTTGTAAAATCAAATACAAGATGCTATTTTATCTTTATCTCACTTCATTTCCTAATTTTCTAAAGGTTTGATAGTGCTATGATGCTAATGAGCAGAACATATATATTATTTATTAATAAATTTTTTATAAATAAATATATGTGCATTGTAGGTGCATGCTCAAAGAACTTTTTACTATGAAGTGTGCAGTCAAAATCAGTTAGAGACCTCTGGCTATTGGAGTATGTAAACTTGCAGCTTCTTTATAAATTAACTTTACCTCAATCTCTGAATTTCACTTTTCTGTTACCTTCTAAAACAATTTCCTTTGTACCAAGAGTTTGTTGTGTAGACTCAGCTCAAAGTCTATAGAACCCACGGTGCAAAGGAGTGGGTAAAGTGGGTGTGGTCACTTTCTATTCCTTGGTAATTTACCCAATGCCTTCTAGTCTTTTCTGTTCTTTTCCTGAAGAACAGATGGAAGATTCTCTCTGAGAGTCACTATAGGAATTTGAGATGGTGCTGACAGATAAGAAATCCCCAGACAGGCAGACAGCATTATCAAGGCTATGGCCATTAATGCTGGCAGGGAAGATTCTTGTATAAATATGGCCAGAATGACTATGGAGCTTGAGAGCAGTTTTCACGGATATGAATCTGTCAGTGTAGGGTTTGCCTTTTCTCATTATGTCTCCCATTTTTCATTCATTTCTCCCTTCTTCTCATTTAATTTCCATTCTTTCCTTTATCCCTTCCACTATTTTTTGTGTTTCTCCCACCTTCTTCCTTATTTTTATCTCAATCTCTCGATCTCTTGTCTCATTCTTTTTCTCCACATTTACCTTCCATTCTCCCAGCCTCTGAGGAGGGAGGGGGAGCTGGAAAAGGGTCAAGCCAGTGTTTTTCAAACTGCTGGTCATGACACATTAGTGGGTCGAGAAATCAATTTAGTGGGTCATGAAATCAATTTAAAGGGTCATGACCAGAATTTGTTTTTAATGGAATAGAATAAAGTCGAATAGAATAGTGGCCATCAAACATAGTAAGGATAACTACTATTTGTGAAACTATATATGGGCATGTATGTATGCCCTGAGTTGCAATGTAAAACATATCTCTTGCCATGAGTCATGGTCAAAATGAAAGTCACTAACCTAGGGAAGAATGCCTTGTGTAAACTGGCAATATGTTGACTTCAGCTTTGGGCGTCCGGCTCCCATCTCAAGTCATGCTAATGTCATCATCTCTCCGTCCACTAGTTTTAAAGTGATTTCTCTATCTCAACAACTTGCCTTCTACAGTTATTTGTTGACAGTTTACTGTGGGTGGCAGTGGAGTAGCAGGTGAAGTATTAAACATAGAGTAAAGCTAACTGGATTCAAGTTCTTGACTTGTGAGACCTTGACTTCCAAGTCTCAATTTTCTCTCTTTTTTTTCTTCGCTGAGACAGAGTCTCACTCTGTCTCCCAGACTGAGTGCGATGGTATGATCATGGCCCACTGCAGCCTTAACCCCACCGGGCTCAAGCAACCCTCCCACCTCAGCCTGCCAAGTAGCTGAGAACTACAGGTGCATACCACCATGCCTGGCTATTTTTTGTTTTAAATTTTTGGTAGAAATAGGGTCTCACTATGTTGCCCAGGCTGGTCTCAAACTCCTGAACTCAAGTGATCCTTCCACCTTGGCATCCCAAAGTGTGTGAGCCACCATGCCCAGCCTTAATTTTCTCATGTGTAGAGCAGATCAATGCTTTCCAACCTGTCACTATGTTAAGGCACACATGGAAAATGAATGTATTTGTGTGTCTAGCCCAAGTGATGGAAGTCCTCTAATGACCAGAGGGAACAAGGTATCTTCCAGCTGCCCCAATGGCACACCTTGGCCCATCACAGTGTGCACCACTCACCAGTCAGGAAGCACTTTCCAGATGACCACAATGGACTCTGTAGGTCTAGAAATCTTTTCCCTGTAACTTTGTGCATATGTCTTCATGCTGGAACATCCAGAGAGCACAAGACAAGCTCTATACCCTCTGGGAGCTTACTATTCAGTCATTGTTATCACCACCTGCAGTTTGCAAGAGACACAATGTGGTACAGAGCCAGCCGAGTCACGATCAACCTCCCTTTGCAGTGGCCTCTCCTTGCCTGAAGCCCTGACGTGTGAAAGTTTCTTTTCTCTCCTTGGGAGCTAAACACATCCCCTGAACTGCCTTGCAATCTTGATATTTCTTAGTTATAGACATAAACCTCAGGCAAATCAAGATGAGAGGGACAGACTCCAATGGTTCTCCAAATACCAGATTCTGCTGCATTCACTGTGTGCACCGAAGGGGAAAAAACTAATTACTATCTTTCTAAAGAGCTGAGCATGGGTGGATATGCCCTTGATAGTGGCCAGCAGATATGCTTCTTGCAAACCATTCTCCCCATGCAGCCGCTGGCAAGTCTCTGTCCCAGGGCCTTCGCTGCCCTGAGAACCCCTGCCTCGGGCCATTAGTGAAGAGGCTGGTCATTATTAACTAGTTGGCATTGACTGATGACACGAAGGCTTTTTGTGGCCATGCATGGGCTGGTGGTAGGCGCTTAGTTGACCCTTGGAATTTGGAGTTTATTCTGCCTTGAAAACAAAGAAATAAAGAAATGAACAGAAGCCTCCCATAGTTAGACATACTGGTTAGAGACAGCCCAACAGCCTGGGCTGCCCCCATCCAGAAGAGTCTGCCTCCCAGTCTCAGACTCTGGCACAGCTCCTCCTCAGGCCTATGAAATGAGAAGGGAGATTCTTTCCCTTTTACTGCCCTCTGAAGCCTGGCGCCGTGCAAAAAGATAGTGTCTGTGCCATATCTTGCACACTGGAGAAAATTCTGAGATTCAGGTTGTATGTAAGGGACCATTTCTTGACATGTGTTCATAGAACAGATTGTATGTTATTTGGCCACAGGAACTTTCTGCATAGAAAATAACTCTTTTCACATGTTCTGCATTTGCATACTTTGTCAGGTCATATTTGACATTTTTAAAAAGTGAGGTACACTTATTATTAATTGACATCATTTTAACTCAATTCAGCAGGCACTTATTGTTCACCCAGTAGAGAGGCTGGCAAGCGACATTCCCAATCTGATCAACCACCTGGTTTTGGAAATAAAGTTGTATTGGAACTTGGTCACACCCATTCATTTACATGTGTGGTCTACGGTTGCTTTGGCCACAACAGCAGAGTTGCATAGTTGAGACAGAGACCATATGGCCTCTGCAAAGTCTAAAATATATATGCTATCTGGCCTTTCTTAGAAAACAGTGTGGTTTCTCCTGCCCTGCTAGGTGTTAAGCCTCAAGGTCAGGGAAGAAAAGGGGTAAGAACCAAACAAGTCTATGGCAAGGTCCTCGTCCTCAGAAAGTTTACAGGTTTATTGGAGAGAAGTGTCTGAAACACAAAGCATAAACCGCCAACAGTTTCTCATTTTCTAGGCAGCCACATGGTGTGTGTCCTCCCTCCTGAGCCTCTGCTTTCCTCCTGCCATCTGTTCAGGACACCGTAGGACTCATCTCCCCAGGGGAATCCTGTGCGTGATTCAAAGCCTGTGTCCTATACTGAGTCATCCTCACACTCATCCTCCAGACTGCACTCTCCTGCAGGGCAGACACCAGGGCTTATAATTGGCTTGCAGCCCTCACAGGACCTGCATGGTGGTTGGTACTGTGCAGCTACCCATAAGCATCTGGTGCATTTAAATGCATCTTCACACTGATTTAGGGAAGGTGGGAGGAACTTACATGAAATGACCCTTTCTTCACCAGTTAAAAAAAATTCCCAATTGGAGCCTGGGTCAAACTCCTGAGATCCAGCTTCCCCCACTTAAGCCACAGTGCCAAGTATTCCCTGAATAAGTAAACCATTCTAGTAATTGACTTCTAAGCAACCCCGTGTTTCTGGAGAATGTCCAGACAAAAATGTTTGCCTTCTAAGAAAAAGGGGCCAAGTGACTCCTTCCTCTCCTGCTTCCTCACTAATATCTTCTCAATCCCACCATCTTGCAAAAGAAAAAATTCTTTAAAAATCAAAATGAGAACAATAATTTTATGTGACAGGAGTATTTATATGGCTGTTCTCCCCACGATGAATCCATCTAGGGGCTCAGCACCTCCCCCAGATGCCAATTCATAAATCAGAAAATGCTATTACCCACTGGCCGTAAAAACAGAGCCCACCCCCAACACAGAGGACTCATTTCAGAAGCAGCAGCCCCATTTCCATGGCAGATATGAGTTCAGAAAATCTACCTGGCTGTCTAGAGAGAGGAAAAAATGTCTTTTCTTTGATAAATAATCAGTCTTTTCTTCCTCTCCATCCTTTTTCCCCTAGAAATATGTAGAGTTAATGGCACGGATATATGCCATTCCACAGAAATAATAATAACAGGGCTAACCAGATTGTAACAGGGCAAAGGGGAAGAGTGGGAACGGCAAGAAACCTGCAGATTTCTGGGGAAACCTTTTCTATTAACTTACATGCAGTTCATGAATAAGCTGCTTAGGGACGACTCAGGGAGAGCCCTGCTTTCTGGGCACTCCTCCTGCAGGCACCCATCAACAACAGGCAGGGCGCCAAGGGAAAGGGTGGGAAAGGGGGGGTCATTGCAGAAAAGGGTGGGAGTAGGAGGAAGTCTCTGGGTTTGCTTGTGATTCCACTAATGATATGCTATACTTTATTTTCCATCTCAATGGGTGTGTGTTGGAAGCAGGAGGAGACAGAGAGCTGAAAGAGAAGAAAAGAGGAGAGAGAATGAGAAGGAAGGTGGTAGAAAAACTCTTCTGGGGGTGTGAACAATTTTAGAAAGTCCCCACTCATATTCCTTTGACAGAGTGGAGAGGCAGCAGTGGACCAAACAGGCTATGCTCATGCATTTATGTAGCTTACATTCTGGAGGGGACCAGGGATAGACAATAAACACAGCAGAGAATAAATAACCAAGACAGCTTCTTCCAGCAATAAGTGCTATAATGGAATAACACAGTCACATGATAGAGAGAAACTGGGACTAAGGGTTGCAGGGAGGGGCCAGTTCACACTAGGTGGCCCAGGAAGCTCTTTCTGCATAAATGAAATGAGAGCTGGCCACCAGATGTCTTCAAGGAGAACACTCTAGACAGAGGGAACAGCAATGGAAAAGACTCGGAAGCAAGATGCACTTGGTATATGCAAATAACAAAATATAGTCACTGCAGAGAGGGAAAATGGGAGCAAAAGAAAGCCCATGCTGATGTGCATGAGAGTCACATGTCACATGCATGGGGGTGACAACCCTGGAATCACTCCAGTAGAGCTAGAGGAGTGCTAGACCCAGGTGCTGGCGACTCATTTCCATCGAATCCATCCACAATAGCAGCAATCAGGGAGGCATGCAAAAGGAGAGGTCCCTTGCCCCTTTGTTTCTTTCTGGGACTGGCATTTCTCTGTGATAAAACAGCAACAGTATGAGAGCTAATAGTTATAGAGTGCTTAGTGTAACATGATCCTGGCAATGTTTGGGTGGTTTTTGGTTTCAGTCTTTTGCCAGCTTTACTGAGGTATAATGTGCCTCTGATCACCAATTTTAAGTGTCTGGTTTTATGGTCGTGATGAAATAGTTCTGGATGTTGATTGTGGTGGTGGTTTCATGAAACTAGACATGTAATAAAATGACATAGAACTATACCCGCATTTTAAAGAAATGTCAATTTCTTGATTTGATAGTACACTATGATTTTGTAAAATATAACCATTGGGGGAAGCTGGGTATAGGGTACATGGAACATCTCTTTACTATCTTTACAACTTCCTGTGGTTCTATAACTGCTTCAAAATAAAAAGATTTTAAACAATTAGAAGACAAAATCAAGATTTTTAAATGTGGAAGAAAAGAGGAAAAATCTTTAATTATGTTACAATAATAATTATAGAGAAGAGTCACTACTGGATACAAAATTGTGGGCAACAGTTTGAGGAGAAACTGGATATTTGCATAGTCTCAAAGTATTGACCCTGAATATTTATTAACTACAAAGGGAAAATAATAACTTTATAGTGTAGAAACCTAGCAGAAACCATCTTAACCAAATGATCAAAGTTAATATCATCAGTAACAAGACTTGACAACATCATGACAATTTGATATGATGCACTGAGGCTGGGTGCTATAGCTCTCACCTGTAATCCCAACAATTTGGGAGGCTAAAGTAGGAGGATTAGTTGAGGCCAGGAGTTCAAGACCAGCCTGGGTGACATAGTGAGACCCTGTCTCTTAAAAAAAAAAAAAAAAAAAAAAAGGATGCACTGAGAAGGGCACAATATCATTTCTGTGGTATTCGTGCCAAAAATATATAACTCATTCTAATCATGTGAAAACCTCAGACAATCCCAAATTGACAGACATTCTACAAAATTACCAACTAGTACTCATCAAAAGTGTCAAAGTCATAAAGACAATGAAGGATTGAGGACTTGGTAGAAATGAGAGATGATGAGGTTACAAAGGAGTTATAACAAGTAAATGGAATGGGGGACCCTGGAAAAGAATTAGAAATTAAATAGAAGAACTGGCGAAATCAGAATAAGGCCTAGAGCTTAGGTCGTGGTATTGTACCAGTGTTAATGTCCTGGTTTTGAGCATAGGACATGGTTATATATGCTCTTAACATTAGGAAAAGCTGGGGGAAGGGGATATAGAAGCTCTTTCTACTATTTGGGTAACTTTTTTGTAAGTCCAAAATTATTTCAAAATCAATAGGTCTTAAAATAGAAATATATACATATATATATATATATACATATTAGCGTAATTACCACTACACTTATGATATAAACATTGCCATCACTCTCCACAATTCTTTTATGACCCTTTGCTGTCAGTCTTCTCTCCCTGTCTCCAGCACCTGGAAATCACTGACCTGTATTCTGTCACCATATTTTTGCCTTTTCTAGAATTTCCTAGAAATGGAATTATACAATACATACTCTTTTGTATTGGCTTCTTTCACTCAACACGGTGCTTTTAACCTTTATCCATGTTGTTGCCCCCTTTTTTTTTTACTGCTGAATAGTATTCTATGGCATGGGTGAACCTCAGTGTACCCATTCACCAACTGAATGACATTTGAGCTGTTTCCAGTTCAAATTATAAATAAAGCTCCTATAAACACTCTCACCCAGGTTTTTACATGAGCATAAGTTCTCATTTCCTCAAGTGAGACTTCTGGACTTTAGTTGCTGCTTAACGCCCCTTCAGTACTTTAAAAGCTGGAGGCTGTCTCTTTCCATTTTTTATTTTTGTAGATAGATGAGAGCTGGTGTTACAGAGTTCTCTCCATTTTATAAATGGGGGGAAACAAGCTGAAGTCTCATAGCAAGTTGTGGCTATGGAGAGGAAACTCAAGTAGGGAGTCCTAGGTTCTCAGTCAACACTATGGCCATCAGCTTCCCTGATCTACCTCCCCTCTCCTCTTTGCCTCTAAGCGGAATTACCATGCAGCATAATACTACCCCAGCAGATAACTAAGTGAGGATCTTGCTGTTCATCAATATAGCTTCCCTTATATTCTAGAATCAAGGTCAGAAGAAAAGTTGAGCAGTACATAGTTGAGGTCAGTCAGCAAAGCTGGGTGCAATTCTCAAGGTTGAGATAGCCTATAATATGATTCTGGAGACAAAGTGATGGGAGGTGTGTGCGTGTGCGTGCGTGTGTGTGTGTGTGCGTGTGTGTGTGTGTGTGTTGAAAACCAATGAGGCATGAATTAAAGGGTTTCAGTTCCAAACAAAGAGTTTCCAGTGTGAGCTTAGTGTATTATATTTTCCCCCAACATTAGGTTCCAATGCTTCCACTTTCAACAATTCCAGAAACACAGACATCACTCAGAGTGGATGACATCTGCTCCATGAAGATGAGGGCTATGTAGGGATCATCTTCATGACCGTTTTATGATTGCTCCATACAGGCAAATGCATTTGTTCAATTATTCATTTGTCAAACATTTGATGAATACCTACCAGGTAGTAGATATGGCTTTAGGAAAGAGAGTTACAGAGTTAAATAAAACACAGCCTGCCCTTCAAAGCATTCATGATTATTGAAAGCTGACATGCAAAGACATAAATGACAATATAATGAGTTAAGTGTGACAACCGAAGTGAATACATTATGGAGAGGTAACATGGAGAACGAGCGATGAAGAACGTTCTTAAGGAGGCCAAATATGAGCTGGGTTTCAAGGATGAATAGGATTTTGCTGAGAAAACCAGAGAGAAAATGGACATTTCAGCAGAAGGAACAGCATTACAAAGTCATAGGAAACTTTGAAACATTACTGTGTCTTAAGGGAAGCTATAAGAAGTGTAATGTTGCTGGGACATAAGTTAAGATGAGAGATTGGTGAAGACTGAAGAGTTGGGCAACAATTGTATCATACTGTATCCTAGTATCATACTAAAAGAACCCCTGGATTTTACTCTATAAATGAAAGAGACCAACTGACTTGATTTAGGCAGGAATGAAACTATGCAAGACTTGATTGTCAAACAGATCAAACAGATCATTCTGGTGACAAAATAGTGAATAAATAAAAACTAGGAAATCCAGGGCTAGGGATACCAAGCAAGAAGTTTTTGTGATCCACTGCCAGGGGCTTATTTAATTTAATCTTCACAGCAGTGCTTAAAAAAATTAGTTGTTTTTGTTTCCATTTTACAGATGAGAAACTGAGAAGTTTGTAATGTACTTGTAAAGCTATGATTTGAATAGCTCCATCAAAATTAATGTCCTGATTTAAGGCTGTAGAAATGCAGACAAAGGTATAGGTTAAGAGATATTGAGGAGGTTAAATAGCACTGATGATAACAGAATGCAGGGAAGACTGAAGGACATAAAACATGTTTGCGATGATTCCTGGAGTTCTTGGCCATTAGAAGTTAGTTGTATGTTGATGCACTGACTCAAGTGAGAAATGCAGAAGAAAAACCTACCTAAACCCTCATGTGTTTCTCCTCCTGGTAACAAGTGTCTTCCCCCTGTGCTCTGATCCCTCCTTCCTTCAATCATACATGGGACTTTCTGTCCAAATTTTCAAAATCTTGCATTTCTTCCTATCATCTGTTTTTTCACCTCTACCTTCAAACTCAAGTTTTATTTTTCTCTTTTAAACTACAGTTTTCTTTCTTTCCTTTTACCACCACGTAATTTGAGCCTGTAGTTTAGAGTTTCTACTTTCATTTTTTCACCTCTAACTCTTTCCCCAACCCTCTGTAATCTGGTTTTTCCAATGAAGCTACTCTTTTAAAAAGGTAGCCTGTGACCTCCTGTTGACCACATCCCATGGTCTCTGTTGAATTCTGATCCTCTTTGACCTCTGCTTGATAGTTACATCCATCATTTCATGGCAGTGGTGTTGACCTTGGCTTCTTTATACATAGAACTCTGATTATCAGAAATTCAACATGGATTATTTGACCATTTTAAAAGGCAGTGCAGAAATGGACTTCTATACCAAAGAGGTGCCTCAGCCTCTGGAAATATTTCCTTTGTTGCTTTCCCAAATAAAGCTAGGTACCAGTAACCACTGGGGTGGAGGGAGGGGACATTGTCAGGTATGTTTCTTTTTTTTTTTTTTTTCCTAAGTGACTAAAGTTCCTTGTTTCCCTATCTATTTATTTGATTACTTTGATAGCAGTGTAAGGTTTTATTGTGATGGTCATGGTTTTTAGACATCCAGATGAATAACTTAGTATATTAAGATGAGATAGGATAGAATAGGATAAGCTTCAAAAATTCAGGAACTTTAACACATAACATTTTATTTCTCTTTCATTCAAAGTTTACTATGGATCTGACAGATCTTCCAAGGAGGATCCTTTCCAGGTGGGCGCTTAGGAATTTAGGCTAATTCCCTCTTGTGGCTCTTCTGTCTCAAACGTGGTCAATATTATTGTTGCTGTGGGGGGAAAAGAGCTGAATGGTCACACAGTGACTTCAGTCTTTTGGTGCAGCAGTTATACATTTCACTTTCACTTACATTCCACTAGATAGTCATATGGCCTCACATAACTGCAAGGGGGTAGGGAAGCTCCATTTCTATGTGTCTCAGAAAAAAATAAGAACCAGATGTAAGTGAGTACTACTCATCTCCACTGCATTGAAAAGTTTCAAAAAACATTTTTCTATAATTCTCTATTGATGGAACAAGTACTCTTTTAGCTTTATATTGGTCATAGATGGTTGAGCAGCAACTCTACTCGAGCCAGGAGAAAACATTCATTCATATTGTGTAGGCACTTTAAATGATAAAATTCTTTGGTTCTGTATTTCAGCACCAGAACTTGAGGACAGCTCCTCCGCATTGTAAATGATTCTGCCTGTACATCAGGTTTATTAGCAGTACTGATTTCCTGAATTTTCATAGAGGTATTACATATATACAACACAAGGTATTGCAATTAAAATACTTCTTGCTCTCATTCCTCTATCCCACAAATTTGAGCAACTTCTTTGATGAGCAGGGACAGAATGCCAAAATGCCATCCTAAGTGGTTGTCAAGTCTATCTAAATTTTAAGGAACAACCTTTACTTTCTGAACTCATGAGACTGCACTGCCTTTCACCCTAATGAAACTGCGAAGTAATTTTGGAATCATAGGGGAAAGTCTGGCTCTAGCCCTCAGGGGATATATTGAATAATTTGTTTCTTGCTGACCTCAATCGGTCTATAATTTCTAGACTTTTTAAGCTATTGTCTGTGAATCTCTCCCTCTCTCTGGGTTCTTATTTGGAAACTATTCCCGCGGTATATATAACTTAAGGAGTCCCAGGCACGGCAATTATTGCTAAAAGAAATTCACATGTGGCAGCTCTCTCCATACGTGGTATGGAAATTAATAAGCATTTATTTTATGGCAAAATAAAAATAAAACTGTAGGTAGGGCTATGTCCTTGTTTCTTCATATATACATGTCTCTTTACGTATAGTGGTTTCTCTCCAAGTAAGCATTTAGGACGATGAGTTTAGTTCTTAGAAACCTGAGGGTGAACCGAATGGATTCTGAGCATGCTGGTGTTTTTTATTATTCCTGTCAATCCCTCAAGCACGTTTCTTTGTGATTTCCCATTAAAAGTAGGGGCCTCAGCACTGACTTCCCATAATGTACTAGGGACAGCTCCCTCTCCCCTCTGCAGGACTCCCTATTTGCCTCATTCCTTTCTCTTCTCTCTAGCAATAGCAATATCAGACATCCCAGCAGCGTGTTCCTGTTCATCCAAACCTGGCAGCCACTCAGGGAAAAGGACAACAAAATGAAGCCACATTCCCAGAAAAAGACAAAAATAAAATAAAACCTGCAGAGGGATATGTTTTTGGAAGGGCAACAGTTGGCAGAAAAAAAAAAAGATCTTTTTTTGGCAGAAAAAAAATTAATGTGTCAGAGTCCCACCAGTGGGTCAGCTTTTTGTTATTTCTACAGTAGGATTGCATCTGCACCTTCAGATCCTGCTGGCTCTTTCAGACATGCCTAACCTGTCATCAAAACACTACCCAGTTCTGAAGAGAGCTGATGTGGTGTCCCATGCCACTCTAGGCATCATGAGCAGCATCCTTTCACTCTCATCTGGTCTGTAATGTTTGCTCACCGGTCTGGTGGAGCTGTGGAGAAGGCTGTCGTCATGGGAGGGCAGATGGTGGGGGCGGGGGAGGCAGGGGGTCTATAGGACCTCTTTCTGCTCAAATTTGCTGTGAACCTAAAACTGCTCTAAAAAATAGTCTATTCAAAAATAGTAAGCTAGAAAACAGGCAGTGTACTATTATTTTATCATTCCCTTAATGAATACACCTACATTCAAATGGCCTTCCTTGCTCTCATACACCCAAATCTGACATGTCCCACGGACACGGAAGAAGGGGAAGGAGCAGAGCTGCCACAAGTACTGGGGCAGCTGCAAAGGTTGAGGGACCCAATGTGGAGAGCCAGAGGTGGGGGAGGACGCATGTGTCCAGTGTCATGTGGACACATTCCAAATATTAAGACCACAAGCTAATAGAATAATAATACTTTGTTTTTACATAGCCCCCACTTTTGGAGGTATTCCAAGTGCCTTGCCAACTGAGACTTTCACCAGCCCTAAATGAAGTGCTACCGTGTCCCCTTGCTCAAAACAGGGACAGCTGAAACATCAATAAGTGGGACTCAGGAAAAGGTGACATGATACTCCTTCCCCACACCACACATTCACCAGGAAGGCCAGCAGTTGACATGCCACAAACATTCCTTGGTCAACTGAGGAAGCAACAGATGCTATCCAAGAAAAGGGGGCTGAGATCTGTCATCCAGGAAGCCTGGCAGCCTTCCTCCTCCTGGAGGCACCAGCAGTCTGAGATGTCATGTGGGAGTAGATTAGTCCATAGGCACCTACGCTGTTCACATGAAGCATTTAGCTCTCTCTCTTAGCAGCCTGTGGGGTGATCCCCTCTGCTCCTATGTAAATAAGACCCATGACCCTCCCGCCAGCCACACTCCAACTAGCCTTGCTTCAGGTAATTTTTCATAAGTGTCTCATGAGCAGACCAGTGATCCAAACAAAATTTCAAACTCATGGTGAAACTGGATGAGGGTAAAATAAAGAATTGCACAGAGTGGGCAGAAAGCCAGTCTTATATTTGGGAATGAGGAAAGTGAGGCAAAGGAGGAAACTGTCATGCATGGTATTTCCATGGTGCTGTAGTTTCACTGTCTGATACTTTAAAGCAAGGGAGCTAGGGGCAAGCATAAAATAGTTTTACCTGCATGCATTCCCCTGTGAAATAAGTTCCTTTCTTAAGAGACCAGCACAGTCATGACAGGTTAGGGAGCTCTATGCCAGCCACGTTGTATCTCAAGGCCCTGCAAACCATGGAGTGGCACTAGAGGCTGGCAAGTTCATAAATAACCCTCCCAGTCGATTGCATTTTTAATCACGGTGTGTACCATGATCACTAATGGCACTTGCTTACGGGACAAAGCCCCAGTATTTATCTTGTTTTAATTATATTAGAAAGCAGTGATATTCAATTAACCAACTAATCAAGCAAGCCAATCAATACTGGTCCTGGCAGGATTCTCCATTGCCTGGCTTATTGTTCTGGGTGGCAGTGCGTGCATTAGAGTCAGATGGAGTTAACTCTTGATGGCCAAGGTCCTGCTGCTAAGAAGTAAGCAGGAGCAAGGAAGCCAGAATTCAGCTCTCAGACATGGGCAGAAACCCCACGGGTTCTTTCCTTTGCTTTATTATGGTGAGGACTCGCAACAGCCTCCATTTGGTTTGAGGTGTTATTTGTTCTACATAGTATGCTTGTTTTCCGAATACATGTAAGAAACCATTTCCTGCATTCTGAGGATTGAAGAGCTGAGATTCCATATCATATAAGAAGCCAATGGCAGAGCTCTAAGTTTTGAGCTGAGAATCTAAATACCATGAGATGATGGCATGATGTTTCCAAGGATTGCCATGTGGTTCCCAGCTCCACCATGTAGCTTAACAGCAGTGGATCACCCTGGGAAGCCTCTACCAAGACTATTTGGGGCATGTGTGTCTAGACTCATGATTAGCTGGAAGATATACTAAGTCAAGGTCAGAACTGCTCTAGGGCTGAGGGCTCTGTGAGCTGGGCACACCCCTCTCCCCATTCACATGTGTCCAAGGACACCTGGCTTTGCGACTGTGTGGTTGGTTGTCCAAGGATTGGAAATGGTTGTTGACTAGAGAGGAAAGTGTTCCCCTTGGGCTATGCTCATTATTCTTCATCCTCATCAGGCTCCTCCTACTGACACACCTGAACATAAACACTCACATAACAACTCCACTTCCCAAGGTGAACTGATGACTGAAATTTCCTCAGGGTTTCCTAGTTACCTGATTATTTTTCCTGACTTCTGAGGCAAGAGATAGTGTGGAATTTGCTCCTGGATGCTCCTTACTTGGGTGGTTATGTATTCCTCAGACCCCAAGCCTTGCGACAGTTTCAGGAATTCCCGCCCTTCACAAAGCTGAAGGTCTCAACTGGAACCTCTGTATATGGTCTGCTGCTAGATGATGATGGCATTAGAAAAGGAGAAACTATCCAGATAAGATGGGATTCAAGGATGCCCACCATTAGCTCACAACTCCCTAGCAGGTGGCATGGCCCATACACAAGATTAATCCCTTTGAAGCCCAGTCACTTTATTCCAAAATGGAAGTAGTTCTGTTTGATGACCAGACTGTACCCTAGAAATGTCTTTTCAAATGTATTAAAGCTCTAAGGCACCCTTGGATGGAAAGTAGAAATCACTTGGTGCAGCCAGGTCGATGCTTATGCAGAAAGACAGTAAGCACGTTGCTGGTTGGAGAAACCACCCAAGTTCTCAAGCCCTTGCACCTCTGTGGGCAGGTGACTCCCTGCTACTTCAGATAAGCAAGACTCAAAACCTAATTCCTAAAGTGCAGCTGTCTGAATCCAAGTGAATATGTGGAAAAAATGAGACATTTCACAGAGAGATAGATTAAAAGGAAAAGAATCTTAAGACTGCCATAGTTTCCAAACATTTGATGAGTTTCAATTCATTAAGAGTTTCGTAGGCTTGTTAATTTCCTAAGAGCAAATGGGGCCTTAATGTCAGACAACAATCAGTAATTTGAAGGGGGCAAAAAAGAATAAGAAGTAAAACAGTCATTACCTAGCACGATGTTTAATCAAAAGACACCAGGAACTTTCAACTTCACAGTAATGTTTTAAAAGGTTGGAGATTTCAAATGCACACAGTCTTTGACTCTGGCTAGCAGGCTGGAAAAATGGACATACTTGTGATAATTGATTGTGATGGATTTTTAAAATTCAGCTCCTTACCCTCCCCCCCACACCCACACCCAAACACAGACACATACACCACACATATACACACACTCTTACCCCAAACCTTCTCTTTTTCCCTAGAGCTGGATTCAGTTTGGGTTCCAGCCCAGTGAACATAGGGAAACAAGGCTTTATCATGGGATTTGATGTCTGCTGAGCCACACATTGATACTGAGTCAACTTCTTCTTGATTCTGAGCCATTTTAGAGCTCCTCTTTTCTAATGACTTTTTCTTATTCCCACCCATCCCTTTTCATGTTATAGTTAGGACCTGTGTGCACCTCCATTTCCCCTGCTCTTCGGCATTAAGGGTGTGACCATGTGGTTTGTGGATTCCCCAAGCCCTTTGGGACCCCCATCCTGCACTGGCTGCTGGCTTCTAGATGACTGCTCAGAATGTTAGTGCCCATGTGTGTGGCTGGCAGGGTCATAGTGCACGGTACCTGCAGCTGAGCCCTGTCCTGTTCTTCAGGGACTACCCAGATTCACATGTGTATCTGCTAGGGTCTGTGTACGCTCGCTTCTGCTACACAAGGTATTCAGTTTGAGATTCAGGGATTCATAAATACCTAGGAAGGACCCCACTGATCTTGTCTGCATGCTCAATTCTTTGCCCAGGACTGAAAATGACCCCAATCCTGTCTTCTTGCTGTTCTCCTGCCACCTGATCCTTCCCATACACACCCTTCATATTGCTACCCAATTCCTAATTGTTAGATTCATGATGCCAATTGACCATATTCAATTGAATGAATGAATAATGGTTCCAAAGGCTTCTCTTCAACTTTTAAGGTGCTGCGTTGCCTGACCTGACCAATATAGCACAGTACTTAGCTTGGGATAGACACTTAACAAATGCTTGATAATTGGTAAACAAAATAGTGTTTTTGAAAGTATGGAAACAACCTGTTTTGATCTAGATGCTTAGAATGGTTTTGAAACCTGGACAATCAGGCAGGACCCAGCTGACCCCAAAGCACAATTCAAACTCAACACCCAGAGTTTCTCAAAGTTATGAACCTGGTATATGGTGTGGTTGGGACTCAAACCCAGGTCTCTTCAGGGCTCTTCCCGCTCACTATTCCTAATTGCTTCCTGTGGCCTGCCATTGCTTGTTGCATTTGTCGTTGTTTAAAAGCTGATTTTATCTACTTCTGGGATCAAGTTTCTCTATTAGCATTAAAAGGGACAGACAGGGCTGGGTGCAGTGGCTCATGCCTGTAATCCCAGCCCTTTGGGAAGCCAAGGCAGATCACTTGAGGTCAGGAATCTGAGACCAGCCTGGCCAACATGGTGAAACCCCATCTCTACTAAAAATACAAGAATTAGCTGGGTGAGGTGGCAGGCGCCTGTAATCCCAGCTACTTGGGAGGCTGAGGCAGGAGGATCACTTGAGCCCAGGAGGCGGCGGTTGCAGTGAGCCGAGATGGCGCCATTGCACTCCAGGCTGAGCAACACAGTGAGACTCTGTCTACAAAAAGAAAAAGAAAAAAAAAAAAAAAAAAGCGGGGAGGACCGACAGTATTTCCCAGAGCCAAATGATGCCCAAAGAGTAGATGAGGTAGCTCAGGGCATGAGGAGCCCAGCGTGGCCTGTGGTTTAGGTGGTGTTATAAACCCAGCTCGCCCTGTGTATAGCAGAAGTAGCAGAGGGGCCACAAAAGCAAGCACTGCCTACTTTTAAGTGTCTCTGCAAACCAGGGCATATGAGGCCTCATTTGCAGAAAAAAAAAGAGTGAGGTCTAAGTTGGGGAAATTCAAGGTCAAAGCCAGGTTTGGACCGAATTATTTGCTACTACTCCCTAAGCCCCACTCCAGACAGTTGACCCCACAATAATTTCTGGGCCCTGTGGGCTGCATCTCCCTAAAGATAAAAGCAATTTTAGTACCTGCTGCAGAGAAAGTAGAGGGAGCAAACTCCAGGGGAGAGGGTTCTGATGGGATATGGATTCCTTCATAGCAATTACCACAAGCACCAGAGCTTTCAATTTAATTAAACCAATTCTTCAGTTTTGGGATCCATCTCTGGGCTTAGTTGCTTTTCTTCTTTCTTTTCATTCTTTCTTTTTTATAACGTTCTTGCTTCTTCAGTCTTGTATCTGAGTGCAGCGGGATATCTGAAATAATGACGAGCAGATGAACAAAAAAGGAAAAATGATTTCTCTTCTGGTGCCTTAATGGAAGGCAGTGAAAGAACTGAATCAAGAAGTTAATAGTTACTATCATTTATGCACCCTAGAAAGCTTGATACAGGCGAACTCTAAATTATCTTTGCTAACGGTACAGTGGTAGCAAATGAAATGATGCCATGGATCTGTTTAGTACTTGCTATTTCCCAAGCGATTTTCCACACAATCTCTCATTGAACCTACCCAGCAACTCCTTGAAGTTGGCACCATTATCTCATGTGACAGATGAGAAAGGTTAAATGACTTCTCAAAAATCACCCAGCCGATATGTGGCAGTCAGCTCTCAAATCCAGGTCTTTTGATTTTGAGTCCAGTGCTCCATAAACAATCCTAAAATCTCATCTGGAGTGTTACTTTTAGTTTTCTCTCCCACAAAATCAATGCATGCAGTGGACAATTTGCTAGGTTGTAAGTGTCAGCTCCGCTCTGTCTTCTAACTATGGGTAAAGCTTCCAAACCAGAACTAGAGTGTGACAAGCTCTCAGAACAACCCAGGTAGGGTTTCTTACCCCTATTTTACCGTAAAGAAGCTGAGGCTCGGAGGCACTCATAACTCAGCCCAGGCATGTCTCTAGTAAACAGTAGGCTGCTGCCCCAGCCTGCTCTGATGGGGTGCCACGGGGCTGCTGGCTTGCAGGGTCGAAGTGCTGCAGATGCCTGCCTCTTGGTAAGCCTGTGCAGGGTGGTGGTGAGTGTGGATGGCATGGCCAGAACACATTTGGCATGGCCAGTCCTGCAGTCCCCACCCCACTGGTGGTGGGCCAGCCATGCCAGGTTCCTTTCCACAGAAGTTCCCATTTTGCATCTCTGCCAACTAGATGGATGTGAGGGAGAACAGGAAAGCTGTGGATACCCAGGGGAGAAGCTCAGCCTCCCTCTCTCATATGGACTTGTGCTTTCCTCAGTGGTCCTGTGCAGGCTGCCTGGATGTAAGGCTCAGGGGCCCAGACAACATAAAGCACTGGAAGCTTACGAGGGGTCACATGCCATAAAGGAAGTGAGACTTCAACCCCCCTAGTAAGAGGAATTGGTTCCACTGAGCCACCCACTATTTGTGGCTTCCCGCCCCCAGCTCCATCCAAACCTTGGGTTGTGGTGTTACGCAGAGTTGTGTGAACTTGAACCACTGACCTTAGGGAGTCATGAACGACAAGTGGTCTCTAGGGACTGGCAGTCCGCTGATGTTTTGACCCCTTAGACCCAGCATCTCTGCCTTCCTCCCCAGCCTCCCCACTGAGCTTAAGCCAGCAGAGGAGCTCCCCCTTCCCCCGAAATGCCATCCAAAGCAGATGGTGCCTCTCTCCTTAGTGCACGCAAGGAATAAGCCTAACAACAATATTAATTGATCAGTTAATTAATTTAAAAGTCTCATTGCCATGGGAACCTGACATGTACATAACACTGTGCTGTCTCCTAGTAAGTGGGCTGGGAGAGGCAGGCTCACCCCATTTGTCTGTGCCACCAACTCTTTCCTACCTGCAGCCATGGGACCACCTTGAAGGACAGTCCTACTCCCCTCTTTACCCCCTCCATGGAAAGGGGAAAAAGCCCATCAAGGTTTGCTGTCAAGGGGTCCACTGAAAATCAAGTTACAACCAGCACAATGTGTTTCAGAGCATCTGGGCTCCGATCCATCAGCCCAGGACATCATTAATAATCCACAGCCTAATGACGGAGATGAATATTGGAGCAGGGAGCAGAGGGGTGGCAGCCCCCGAGCGGCAAGGCAGAGGGAGAGAGTGACTTATGAGCTTGGTTCCAGGTGTAACCTTCTCCCCACCACCAAGCCGAGCCAGAATGATTTATTGATACAGTAAACGGATTTTTATAATTAAAATTGATTTTCAGTTTTAGCCTGGTCTGGAAGGGCTGGGTCAAGTTCAAGAAGGGAAAGGGGGGCAACCCGGGGAAAGGAAGGGAAATGTACTCTCAATTTCCCATATATCTTGGATTGTTAGAGCAGGAAGGAGCCTCTCATTTTACAGCTGAGAAAACGGCAGCCCTGAGAGGTTGATCTATTTGGTCAACCTCTGCTGGTGAAGTAAGGCAGAGCTGAGATTGGTTTTGGGTCTCCTGGATCTCTGAGATACACTCATTTCCCTGGGACTGTGTGTGTAGGTGCTCACAGAGCCACAGTATACTGTTGTGTAGGTTGGTCACTGCACAAGGACTCCTCACCAAGGGGCTGAGTAGGGGCTGAAATCTAGCCATGTCTTGTGCACTAGGGCAGAGTGGCTGCTACCCAGAGGATGTGCTCGGAGGCACCATCTGGAACTGTTTCTTTTAGTGGACTGCTCGAGGCTGGCCGGCAGCTGCCCGGGTCCTGAAGGGCTGTGCCCATCTGACCCACTCCCATCATTCAGTGCCTGGGGGCTATGCTGGGGATGTTTATTGACAGCCCCTGGTGGGCTTTGCTGCAGACAGTGGAAATACCTTGGGGTGTGGCTTGTCCAGCCTAGCATCATTCATCAGGCAGAGAACTGGTGACACTGGCAGCAGCAGACACTAATTGATAAATAGTGTGGTGTGTCTGCATTTTCACGCACAGATGGGCCTGGGCACATCTGGATTGCGCTGGTGCTTCTGGCACTCCCACATGTGCACACACTGCCCTTGTTCAGTCCCTGCAGGAAAAGCACAGCTAGGAGAGAGAAAGTGAGTTCGTGTCCGTTGCCAAATTTTACTGAGTAGCCTTTTTCTGTTCCAGCCCACTGCAGGCATCGCAGCCGCAGGACTCTGCATCCTTCCCAACCTTGGCTCTCCACATTGGGTCCCTCAGCCTTTGCAGCAGCCCCAGTACTGGTGGCAGTTCTGCTCCTTCCCCTTCTTCCATGTCCCCTGGGCATGTCAGATTTGGCCGTGTGAGAGCAAGGAAGGACATTTGAATGTAGGTGTATTCATTAAAGGAATGATAAAACAGTAGTATACTGCCTGTTTTCTAACTTACTATTTTTGAATAGACTATTTTTTAGAGCAGTTTTAGGTTCACAGCAAATTTGAGCAGAAAGAGGTCCTATAAACCCCCTGCCTCCTCCCACTGTCCACCACTATCAACATTCCCAACCAGAGTGGTCCCTTTGTTACAATCAATGAACCTACATTGACATATCATTATCATCCAGAGTCCACAGTCTTTGGTAGGGCTCACTCTGGGGTTGTACATCCTATGGGTTTGGACAAATGTGTAATGACAGGTATCCACCATTATGATATCATACAGAGGAGTTTCACTGCCCTAAAAATTCTCTGTGCTCTGCCCATTCATCCCTCTCCACTCCCACAACCCCGTCCAACCCCTGAAAACCACAGATCCTTTTTTTTTTTTTAATTTTTATTTTAGGTTCAACACATGTATGTGCAAGTTTGTTGCATGGGTAAATCGCGTGTCGCTGAAGTTTGGTGTACAAATGATCCCACCACCCAGGTAGTGAGCATAGTACCAGATAGACAGTTTTTCAACCCTCAGCCCCCTTTCATCCTCCCCACTCTAGTACTCCCTGGCGTCTGTTGTTCCCGTCTTTATCTTTATGTTCCCATGTGTACTCACTGTTTAGTTCTCACCTATTAGTGGGAACATACAGTATTTCATTCTCTGTTCCTGCATTAATTTGCTTAGGATAACGGCCTCCAGTTGCATCCACGTGGCTGTAAAAAGCATGATCTCATTCTTTATTATGAGTACATAGTACTCCACGGTATCTATATACCACATTTTCTTTATCCAGTCTTCCATTGATGGGCATCCAGGTTGACTCCATGTCTTTGCTATTGTGAGCAGTACTTCGATAAACATACGAGTGCAGGTCTTTTTGGTAGAACAATTTATTTTTCTTTGGGTTGATACCTAGTAATGGGATTGCTAGGTTGAATGGCAGTTCTGTTTTAAGTTCTTTGAGAACTCTCCAAACTGGTTTCCACAGGGGCTGAACTAATTTACACTCCCACCGATAGTGCATCAGTGTCCTTTTTCCTCCACAACCTCTCCATCTGTTATTTTTTGTCTTTTTAATAATAGCCTTTCTGACAGGTATGAGATTATATCTCATTGAACCACAGGTCTTTCTAGTGTCTCCATAGTTTTTGCCTTTTCCAGGTCATATAGTTGGAATCACACAATGTAGGCTTTTCAGATTGGCTTCTTTCATTTAATAATATGCATTTTAGGTTCCTCCATATCTCCTCATGGCTTGATAGCTCATTCCTTCTTAGAACTGAATAATATTCCATTGTCTGGATGTACCACACCATTTATTTATCCATCGCCTACTGAAGGGCACCTTGTTCGCTTCCAAGTGTTGGCAATTATGAATAACATTGCTATAAACATCTGTGTGCAGGTCTCATTTGGTGGGTAGTGGATGGACCGCCCCTCACTATAGAAGAACCAAGATGCACAAAGGCTTCAGTGAGTCCAGTCTGGCTGGAGGGCCTTGGGAATGCACACCTTATCCCACAGGTACCGAGCCCTGGAGGTTTGAAGGGAATACCATGGGCTGGTTTTCTTTTGCTTTTCTTTTTTCCTTTTTTCTTTTTTTTTTTTTTTTTTTTTTTTTTTTTTTTTTTTTGAGTTGGAGTTTTGCTCTTGTTGCCCAGGCTGGAGTGCAGTGACACCATCTTGGCTCACTGCAACCTCTGTCTCCTGGGTTCAAGTGATTATCCTGCCTCAGCCTCCCAAGTAGCTGGGATTACAGGTGCGTGCCACCACACCCAGCTAGATGGGCTGGTTTTCTAAGCCATGATCTCTGAGTGATATTCCCAGCTGTACTGAGAAATAAGTCTGAGCCTGCAGACTCTCTGTAGATGGAGGGTCCATCCAAGCTTTCTGTGCTATTCATTTAGGGTATCCTAAGAACTCTAAACCCTGAAGTGGCTCAATACTGTCTGCTAGGGATGGAGGAGGGACCTCTTTAGAAGCTAAGTCACCAAGAGATGTAAAGAATGCTCCTAGCTATTTGTTTTTGTAATTATGATTAGATTACCGTGGCACACAAGCAATAAATTAGGGCAACAGTACCAGTAAACACAGTTTAATGTTGCATCAAACCCTTTCATAAGTCATGTCTGATTATATTTAATGATGTTATTCTTATTATTTTTCTTCAAATTGGATGTAACTGGCAAACACATAGCATAAATATCTGCATTGAGTGGTTATATCCAATAAAAGTTTGGATTAGGCAACTAAGTTTTTACCCAACTCTGGGATTCTTTGGTCCTAGAATTAGGTTAGTGCAGCCAACCTACGCTTTCATAGTTATTTTTGTCTTCTTCCCAGGTGTTTTCCTGGATCTGGGGTCTGGATGGGTGTGGGTGGTTTCTCCAAGCATCACAAAAGGTCTAAGCATAGCTCCTACAGAATTGTGCACATGAGTGTCACAGGGTCACTGATCACAGGGGACAGGAAGGAGGAGAGTGGTGAGAAAAGAGAAAAGGCCAGCCCCAAAGGCAGGGGCTATGGTCAGGCAGGGTCTCCTGCTCCTGGAGTCATTGAGAACACAGGACTTTCACTTCTGCTCCTTGACTCTGCTCCCAAAAACAAGCCTGCAGCAGCCACTGCCAGCAACGGCCTGACGCCAGCCCATTCGTGCTGAAGTATGAGTGAGAGAGAGCCCACTAGGCAATTTCTGATAAAGAATGAAAGCAGGAAGAAGAAAAGGGAAAATCTAATAGGGAGCTGAGGCATGCAAAGCTAACCTTTCATACCCTGTGGTGTCACCAATGCCACCCTTTGCTCAGCCCCCGGCCGCCTTTCGTCGACACAGCAGCTATTTGGTCTGCACTGTTTTCAGATTCCCTTCACTCCTTGAAGAAGCATTGGCCAGAGAAGCACCAGGGGTGGGGAGACCCTCTCCAGGCTTTGCTGAGTCTCAGTGACCCGACATGAGGGCAGACCAGGGTGGCCTTCCAGGCCAGGAGTCTTGCAGAGATTAGATGGGCCCTACGGGGTGGAGCTTTCTGTCCAACTTTTCTGCCTTCAATGACCCTTTTCCAGCTACACCCTCCATCTCAGAGAGCTGGCTTTATTAAGGCCCATGCTAGCCAAAGATGCCTTTGCATGTCAATGATTTTGCTGGATTCTCCCTTGGCTGGACCAGGGTGAATGGCACAGAAAGCTGAGAGGGACCCTTCCAATTCCTCCATCTACAGACATTCTGCAAGGTCAGACTGATTCTTCAGCATAGCTGGAAAGACGCCTCGGAAAACATGGCCTAGTAAACCAGCCCACGGCCTTCCCTTCAAATCTACAGGGCCACAACTGAGCATCTGTGTCAGAACTAATGGCCCACTCAGTTCTAGCAGCCTGGGAGCCCTGTGAAGGTCAGGTTGTCCTAAAGAATTGGCCCACCTGTGGGCTCCTGCTGCTCTGTGTCCCCAGACCATACCCTTGGCCCCAAGACAGGATGTAGATTCCCTACCAAGCTCCAGGCAGCAGTTGCCTCAGGATATGGCCAGCCCTGAAGTCTGCAGCCCCTGGATCCAGTGAAACAATTCCATAATTGGTAAAGTCTCATGAAGTCAGACATACCAGCCCCTGCTGGGTTTGGCCAGGGTGACATTGCACCACCACACTGAGCGATTGTCTAGAATCTTGCCAGGCCCCAGATGATAGAGAGCCTTATTTGGAGATGTGTGTCATGTAGAAGGAGACAGACCTTGTGAGGGAAACATGTTGGCCAAAGAGTGATTATAAGATATATTTGAATGGAAATTCTCCAAGCCAACTCTGCCTTCATCATTGTCCATGATGTTTGGGACAACTTGCCTCTGCAACCAATTAGGCAGCTGCAGCTCATCACGAGAGAGTTACAGCCACCTGGCCCCTGCAAGAGAGGGGACTGGAGTGGAGAAAGGAGGCTGCGCCATGTCATAGAGCAGCCGTTGGTCACAGACACCTTGTGTTAGGGACCTGGCACTGCCATTCACAGGCTGCGTGACCTTGAGCAAGTCGCTTAACCCCTCCCAACCTGTGTCTTCATCTGTAAACTGGAGGCTGTCCTCCCTGAGCTGGCTACCTCACCAGAATGTGGTCATAGGCAACCATGGCTGTGAAATTGCTTATGAATGGGGAAGCCATGTACAGCTGTCCAGTGTTATCTCTATGCTCACCCCCACCCTGTCCCTGTGCCCCCATAGCCTTCCACCTGCCGTATCACTCAGATTCCAGGGCAAAATGCATAATCCTCAAATCACTAACTCCTCTGCTCCCTATGGTCAAGGCCAGTTGTCCCAAACCCAGCCCATTAACAGGGTCATGGGTTGGGGAATGAGTGGAGGAGTACAGGGCCTTGAGAAAATACAGATGCCCAGCTCCTGGGAATTTTGATTTTGCTGCTCAGAGCTTGGCCCAGGCACCAGCATCTTAAATCCAGCAAAACAGAATCTACTGTTGATTCTGTTGCTCAGTGAAGTTTGGAGCCAATTAACCTAGACCCCAAATTCCTGCCTTTCCCTCCTCCTTAGCACCTTGTAAGTGCCTTGATTCTCCCCTTAAACTGTGAGCATCCCTGAGGGGTGGCCCACAACTCAGCAAACGGTGGCATGGTGAACTTGCCTGGGGAGGCACACAACCCAAACCAGCCCCACTCTGCCCCAGACCCTGGTCCAGGTTAAGCTATATTCCCAGCAACATCCGAAGCAGGCTTAATGGAGGAGAAAAGCATTCGAAAATGAATTCCACGTATGGCATGCTACCTGCCCTGAATTGTCACATCCGTTTTCTTGCTGCTGCCTCAGCCCTGTATCCTGCAGGTTTGTTTGCAAACTCAGCAAATGCCCCATGTTTAATTGTGTCTGGAGGCTGCATCCTCATGTCCCTGTCACAGCAGGGGCTGCTGGATTCTGTGCCAAATACCACCATGCTGGGCCTCACTGCCTGACCCTGGCCTTCCAGACGTGCCGTGCCAACTCATGTCCCAACATGCCGGCACACAGCACGGCCTCTTGTACTTGGCTAGGAGCCAGCATGATTTCCTATCCCAGACCCAGGGCACGCTTTTGGTTATGCTTGTTCACAGAGGTCAGGGGAGACCCTGATTAAATAAAGAACACAGATAACCTTGACCTCATTTCATCAGATAGTTGGAAGTGTTCCCTGTCTTTTCTTAACTTTTCCAGGTGCTGGGGCAATAAAACTTACTTGCTGGGGTTTTCCTCTTTTCCTTCCTATGCAATTCAAGAGCAGAGCAAAAGCTCTCAGAATAGCTGAAGAGAGGAGAGAAAGAGACAGGGAACTGGTTGGAAAGTTCTGGGGCTGTGCTGTGTGGCCAAAGCCCTATTGATAGGGAGGGGTTCTTTAGGCCTGGGGATCACAGGGCATCACCCAGTGGAGTCAGTGGTCAGGTTAGGAATAAGACTGTGAGATCCCATCACAAGTTCTCTTCAGTTCTGACTCCTTTTCCAGCACTTACATATATGGTAACTGAGGGCTGAAGTATTCAGCAATCACAGGGACACATCTGGAAACCTTTAAAGTTGAATTTTAAAATTGAACTTTGCATTAACGTGAATGTTGTCTGTCCCAGGAAAAGCAAACCCAAAAGATGAGTTGGCCATGGTGGTCGTGCCTATAAGGACAGATGCTGGGTGTTAGGTTTGGATGGTCTAGGACTGTGTTGAGTGTTTTACATGTATTATGTCATTTAATCTGCATAGCTTTCAGAGGCTTGAGAATGTTGAGTGCGCCTGACCAAGCTCTTAAGTGGCAGAGTTAAGATCTAAGCATCAGCTCTCAGACTGCACAGCCCAGGTCCCAGCAGCAGCAGGTCCCAGGTCCCCTGTGACCCACAGACTCCTGACTAACATTCAGTTATTAAAAGCCTCCACCTATCTGCTGCCCCTCCCTGTGGGCTGCTACACTTTTAGATCCTTCTCCCAGGTTCTCCATCTACTGAGCTTGTCTGTCATAGGCAATGGCATTTTGGTATTGGGGGTTGTCTGTTGCTGTAGCAGAGGCCTGAATGGACAGAAATAGGGTGGCTGAGACTCCCGGCCTTCCCCCAGGCCACCCCCCCTGAGAATGGGCCCAAATTAGCCTGGAATTAGCCTCCTCCTACCCCATCTCCACCCCAGGGCCAGCAATTATTTCTGAGCTCACTGAACCCCTAGTCTAAATATAGCTCTAATAGCCATTTCTCATTTTGGAATGGGGAATCTATTCTGAGCCTTAGTCGGATATAGATCAGACTCCCCAGATGCGCAAAATGTGAAATGGATGCATTATCCGTACCACCACCACCACTCACCCCTTGAAAACGAACTTCCTAATGGAAAGCAACTGGCCTACTACTACAGTCCGGTGGGGTCAGCTCCTGGCAGATGGAAGCGGGAAGCTCTGCATTACGTCTGCAGCCTAGAAAGCATGAAGGCTGGCACAGCGCCGCTGGGTCCCCTGACTGTCCTCCCAGTCCCACACAGAGAAAGGCAAGAAGGGACGTTGCTGAGCACTGACAACAGGATTTAATCGTCACCTAATACTGCTCCCTTTATGCATAGGAGGAAACCGAGGCTCAAAGACACATTTTTGATAAGTGGCTGAGCCAGGAGTTGAATCTAGGACTTCAGAAGCCTGTGCTCTCTCCATTCTCTCAGAAAGGATGTGCACACAACCCTTTACTCACCCTCACAATTGTTTATGTTAATGATAGATAGAAATGGCCACAGTAAACTCTAGTGGTTTCATAATTCATCATTAGAAGTTGCGACAATTTCCTTTCTTAGAATTCAAAGTATATTTCAGATTGATATCACTGTACTTTTTTGAGATCACAAGAGCTAGGGAAAGGGCAGAGCTGAGGGTCCCTATCATACAGATAGATGAAGTAACCAAGATGAGAATAAAATTGAGGGAGATCCTGGAGTGACACTCCTGGAGATTTTTCCAGCCTTAAGATAGTTAGTTATGATGGAATCTTCTGGCTTGAAAGGACAATAGAGATCAATTTATGTTGAACACTGAAAGCTAGACAGATGAAGACAATTGCTAAGGGCTTGCAGAAGTAAGGAACGGGTCTAGGATTACAGCCCAGGTCCTAGGACCCCCAGCCCAGTGATGTCCCAGCACACCATGACTCCTCCACATGGAAACTAAACTGATGCACACATAGTGCGTGATAGCGTCTGCACATATGGGGGCTGTAGGCAGAGGTGCCCTGGTCCTTGCCCAGTAATTTCTGTGGAGAGATGGAGTCTTCTCCATGTTGGGTGGAATTGGTGTGGGTTTTCTGCAGGAAGCTTCTGGGCGGACAGGTGACATCACTGAATAAGGCATTGCCAAACAATGACTTTCCCACCCAATATGGGATAGTTAATTTTATAAGGAGAAAACTCCCCCATGGCCCAGGGCTCACTTCTAGGGTGCTACTGGTCAGAAGGTGAACCAAGAGGGAGAGACCAAGCAGACAAGAGCCCTTTCCATAGTTCCAGAATATTAGAAATCTTGTGGGTATAAAGAAAAGTTGGGCTGGGCATGGTGGCTCATGACTGTAATCCCAGCACTGTGGAAGGTCAAGACAGTCAGATCCCTTGAGGTCAGGAGTTCAAGATCAGCTTGGCCAACATGGTGAACTCCTATCTCTACAAAAAAGAAGTACAAAAAAGAAATTAGCTTGGCATGGTGGTGTGTGTCTGTAGTCTCAGCTACTCAGGAGGCTGAGGTGGGATAATTGCTTGAACTTAGGAGGCAGAAGTTGCAGTGAGCTGAGATCGCGCCACTGCACTCCAGCCTGGGTGACAGAGTGAGACTCTATCTCAAAAAAAAAAAAAAAAAAAAAGAAAAAAGAAAAATTCAAGCTGTCACCCTAAAATAAATTTTGAGCTGCACAGTTAATTTAGTTTAAAAGACTAAAGGTTAAAGCATCTTTAAAATATTATTTTAATTTCCCAAGTCAATAATACCCTGTCTGTGAAAAATTCAAACTCTCCAAAGTTAACCACTGTTAGCAAATATGTAACTCTCTCTCTAGAAGTTATTCTTTGCACGAGGTTTGCATATATATGTATACACAGCTGCACAGTTGTCTTTTGAAAACAAACATTGAGTCTTAATATACCCTTTTTATAAAATTTGTTTTTTTAACTCAAATATGAATCATAGACATTCATCCATCTTAGTACATACAGACTATTATCTTAGAGTGTAGATGTGCCACGATTTTTTTAGCCAGCCCCCTGTGGATGGATATTTAGGTTGTTTCCAAACAGACATTACTACATACAAAGCCACAGTGAATATCCACAGCCAACCACCGGTGTCTAGGTGCTGGTATTTCTGCAGGAAAGATTCCAAGAGGAAGACTTTCTGGGTCATTTTAGGTTTTAGTAATAACTGCCAAATTACTCCTCAAAATGGTTGTGCTAATCTAAACACTCACCGACAGTGCATAAGGCATAAAACCCTTTTAGAGGCCAGGCATGGTGACTCACGCCTATAATCCCAGCACTTTGGGAGGCTGAGGCAGGTGGATCACGAGGTCAGAAGATTGAGACCATCCTGGTGAAACCCTGTCTCTATTAAAAATACAAAAATTAGCTGGGTGTGGTGGCGTGCACCTGTAGTCCCAGCTACTCAGTAGGCTGAGGCAGGAGAATCGCTTGAACCCAGGAGGCAGAGGCTGCAGTGAGCCACAATCACACCACTGCACTCCAGCCTGGGCAACAGAGTGAGACTCCATCTCAAAAAAAAAAAAAAAAAAAAAAAAAAAAAACTTTTAGAATGCTGTCATTTTAACAATTGTCCTTTCATATTTGAAGAATTACTGGAAGATGCCCTCAAAGCTGTATCTCTTACTGAAGAAGATACATTTTGCCTGTGTCCAGGATGACCCAGACACCAGAGGGCCCTCTTTGTCTTTCCCCAGCAGCAGGCTTGGCCCTGATCCTGCAATGGAAGCTCATATAAGTTCAGTAGAGTTAGGTGGGTACCTTGAGACAGGAGATAGGGTGAAACGAAGATGATTTAGAATTCCTTGGGTCATCTGTCGTCTCTGCCTCCTTTCTAAGCCAGCAGCACCTGGTCTTCTGAGAGTGGGGCCCTATGTTGATAAACCTAGAAGGTTCTCCTTCAGGAATATCAGTTTCCAATCATTTGAGCACCATAACTTTTCCCAGAGTCAAATCCCTTTTTGAAAAAAGATGTTTGTTTCCTAGCCAGAGAAGCCTCATACCCAGCCTTGGTTGCCTGCGAGGAAAGATGTGTTTATTTGCACACAGTCTCCTGTGGTCCAGAACACTTCTGCCCCCCATAGGTGTGTGCAAATGCTACTCCTGTGCTGAGACATGCACATCTGGGCACACCCCCTTGGGCTGCTGTGCACTCATTCACAAAATGTATCATTTACACACACTGTTTTTTTGTGGTTTGAACAGCCAGAGCATTGCTGGGAACGCTGGTCAGCAGAGCCCTTGCTAGAAGGAAGTCAGAGAGAAGGGTCAGGTGCTAGATGGAGAAGGGAGTGCCTGCCCAGCCTGCCCTGCCACTTCCCACAAGGAGCCAGTGCCAGCCAGCTAGGGAGCCTCAGCATATGCCTGGGGACTAGCTTGGCTCCGCTGCCTGGGCCAGGAGTTAGGTGTCACCGTGCCAGCCCCTCCCCGCCTTCTTCTTGGCTGCAGAAACAAAGGCTCCCATTGAGCAGGCTGTGCTTGGGAAACACACAACAGTAGGTTCCCGGTCCCAGTTCAGAAGGGGCCATAGTCTTTGTCTGTGTCATTTGCTAAAAGATAAGCCAACCGATACTTTTCTCCAAATTTTAAGGTCAGTTAAATTAAACATTTTGTGGGGGTTGGTGACTTGTATGTGTGTGATGTGTGTTTAATTCTAGGAGTACAGCTGATGAAGAACTTGCTTGACAAGTTTTTAACTTATGTATTATTTTGAAGCAGTGTTTACGTAGCAGTAACATGAAAGTTTCTAATAAAATACCCAATGTACACAGAGTCAAAAAAAAAAAAAAAAAGGCTGGAACAGGAGCAGCACTTTGATCCCCAGGACAACAGCCCCTTCCCACCTGCTGGGCTTGGGGATGGGGAGGGAAACTTTCATTTTTCTCCAGGATGTGGGGCCCTGAGGCTCTGCCCCTGCTTCAGCCCTGACCTTAAGATGGGGTCAAGAATGAGCATTTTGGCCAGGAGTCAGTATCTAGGGACTGGGTATCAAATGAGGAGTGTTGGTAGCCATGTAGCCTTGGACAAATCCCTGCAGCAACTGAGCTTCATCTGAAAAATAAGAGGATTGGCAGCTAGAATGTTTCCAAGGTCCCTCTCAGCTTGTTAACTGTGTGAATGCCAGAACACTCCTCTCATCCCCCATTCCTTTGGGCCTCCATGTTGGAGGGGTTGCTCTGGCTGCAGTCTCCTCTGTCAAATGCATAGGATCTGCCTAGCTAGAGAATCTCACACATTGCAACCCCGCAGCCCTGGAAGTCAGGAAGTCGGGCCTCCTGAGCCTGTGTGTGAATGTGAGCATGAGAGCTCAGAGAAAGGAGAGGATTTAACCTTTACACTAAGAGATTAATCTGTGGCAATAATCCAGAAATGATAGGTTTTAGAGTAGAGCCAAGGTTGCCAAATAAATGATCTCCAGGGGATTCTTGGAACACGTACAAGTGTAATAGGAACCACATTCATTCATTCACTTATTTATTTATGCGTGCATGCAAGCATTCATTCACTTTTCTCATTTACTGCGCATGAGCTGAGTACTAGGTATAGTGGAGTGAAGAGAGATGACTTCGCACCACCCATCACAGGGGCATTTTATCGGAGGCAGAGGCTGGAACAACAGAGTTGCCATTAGCATAACACTAATACATTCATATGTGTCATCCCAATTATTCTTCAAAACAACCCATCAGGGTACTTAGATGAGGAAAAAGAGGCTTGATGAAGTTAAATAAGTTGTCCAAGTCACACAGTGGTGGCAGATCCAGGATCCAAACCCAGGTCTGTTTTTCTCTCAGATCTCTGCTTCTCACTTGTCCCTGAGATAAAACTATTTCAAACTCTATTTTTCTCCCTAACCACATTTGAAGGAGTAAGAAAACCTCCTGGAGGAGGAGGCTGTGCTGAGACCAATTGTCATTCTCTCTTCAGGGCTGCTACTTGGTGATCTGCCCGTAGGTGGGGCTCCTCAGCCCCTGAACTCAGCCACACCTTCCTGGCAGTATAGTAAGTAGCCTGCAATGCTGTGAAGTTTTCAACACAGGACCTGTGTTCAGCAGAGGGACCAGAGGTTTCTCAATCCCCTGTACTATGTTCCGGGAGCCAGTGGTGTCTGGCAGGCCCGAGGGCAGGCTCCAGCCCCCAACTTCATTTCAATTTCCACCTTTGCCACCGCCCTGCTGCGTGACCTTGGGCAAGCTGCTCAGCCCCTCTGGGCTATGGCTTTTCCATCTGTGCATCAGGGAAGGGGATCGCTCTCCCGCTTGGCAAGGGGTCTGGCTAATAACGATCACGTGCCATTTTAGCGCAGCCCACACTGGGAAGCCTGAGGATGGGGTGATTTCTCGACGCTCTGCAGAAAGCACGCTGAGAGCTCCTTGCCCAGCTTCCCAGCTACTGCCGTTTGCTAATGAGGACCAACATATGTTGATGATTCCGGCGTCGGCACTCGCTCCTTGGCTGTCCGAGTTCCCAGAGCAAACTGGCTTCCTATTAGGCATTTATTCTTATTAATAGCAACAAATTGCAGCCCTCCACAACATCTGCTACTTTTCATTTACAAGAAGCTTCCCAAATCATTTGTATTGGTAGTATTTTGTGACCAATTCTTTAAGGCAGAGCAGGACTGGATCCCCCTAATCTGAAAATGAATCCAGTGAGGCATGAAAAATGGGAATATTTTGTTCAAGGTCACCCAGACACACAGATTAGATTACAGCTTGGAACCTCAGCTCCCCAAGCCTCATGCCCTGGGGCGGTTGCCTTTGCTATTCTAAATATCATCAACCTTGACCCCAGAGGTCCTGCCTAGAGGCAGGTAGGGACAGTGGTGGTAGCCAAGGCTGCTGCCCTTGACCCTGTGCCTCTGTCTGCCGTCAAGTGAGGCCCAGCTGGATTAGCCCCATGGCCCAAGCACCAGCAGGAGGAATTGCAAAGCTCAAGGCAAATCATTCCCAAGGAGTTTTTACTGCTGCCAAGTAGAAAAAAAAAAATCATTTTCTGACACTGGGGTGGCCAGATGGTCAGTACAAGGGGTCTGAAGCACATCTTTGCTTCTGGACAGCTGACCACATCTGGAGGGCTGCATTCTCTTTCCAGAGTCTTCTTTAGTACTTTGCTGAGGGGCTAGACCTTCCTGAGATCTGTAGATCTATGACCATAGAATTAAAAGAGCATGGCCAGCGTGGGAGGTACTGAGAAGGGCCATTTATCACGTTAGATCTGGCTTTCAATAATTTCTGAACTTGTACAAGTTACATACGCCATCAATGTTTGCATGACCTATTTGAAGCACAGGGTGGTAAGAAGCTACCACACTGCAACCTTCCCCCTCCTCCATTTGACTGACCTCTCCCCTCTACCTTTCACGGGACCTTTGCATCCTGGTGTAACTTTCTGTCCAGCACCTGTGTATCAGCTAGCTATTGCCACAATAAAGCTTTGTAACAAACCAGCCCAAAACTCACTTGCATACAATAGACATGAATCCTCACACCCATGGCTCTGCAAAGCAATTGCATGTCAGCTCCCTAAGCTCAACTCAGCTGGGCAGTTCTGCTTCAAGCTGCTGCATCAGCCAGGGTTGTCTCCTGGCTGTGGTTTGGGCTCAGGTCTCTCTCCATGTGGGTTCATTTGGGGCCCAGGCTGAAGAGGAAACAGCTATTTCGGGAAGCTCTTCTCATGGCAATGACAGAAGCACAGAAGGCAAAGATGAGCACATAAGCACTTCGGAAGCATTCATTTGCCTCGTGTTTCCTACCATTCATTGGCCAATCGAGTTCTGAGGCCATGCCCAAAGCCAAGAAGTGGGGAAGTACACACCACTTGTCTATTCACCATGAGGCCATAGGGGTGGAGACATAAAAGTCTTCTTTTTAGGGAGTGAAGAATTGGGACTCATAATACAATCTGCCACAGCCTGGGACCAGCCTTCTGGCATCTGCCTTTCTTACCTGTTAGCCAGGTTCAGAAATACCTGCCCCCTTTGAGCAAAGAGAATAGGAGTGACAGGGTTCCAGGCATGTGGAGTGACTTGAAATAAGCACAGCTTCTTGAGCCACTGCTCAACCACAAATTGCAGCCCTGGCAGTGAGGGCCTTGGAGCCATCACAGGGAGACTCCACAAAACCTTTATGTGGTCCCTGGCCAGCAGAAATAAAGCTTGGAAAGGCAGCCAGTGGTGACCAAAGGAGATGAAGGCGGGTGGAGATGCTTTGAGGAGCTCCCCAAGACCATGCCACTAAGACCCATGTGTATTACTGAGCTAAGAATTTGCCAGAAAAGGACTTACTTTTCTCAACTCTACTTCCTCTGCTCGGGGACAGTGACAAGGAAGGACAGCATGAGGTACAGCACCAAGTGCAGCGTCTGCACAGCTTGACAGTTCCTCCAGCAGCCTCTTGGAGTTTCTTAATGGGTCATCTTGCCTCTTTTTTTCTTTCTTTTTTGACAATTTTGAAGGAAATTGGGTACTTAAGAAACCTTTTGGACATTTAAATTAATTCCAACCATCAGGCTCAGTGTAGCCATCGTTGCATTAGCATCCAATTATAAGAGTAGAAATGGAGTAATAACTCACATTTTGACCATAATGTCAAATGCTTAAACAAATTAGAGATACACACAGAGACTGCATGCTATATCTGTGGAACATTTCTGAATGTAATCAGCAGAACAGCAGGCACCCTTCAGAATGTGAGCAGCAACAGGCAGAGTGAGACCCTATTGCCAGAGGAAAGCATCTTTCGAAATATCAGAGAAACCAGGTGGGAGTTGGGCAATGGGGGCCAGGACTCAGAAGCTGTAAAAATTCCTCCAGCTGCCATGGAGGACCCCCAGGCTCCCAGGTCCCCAAGCAATGGGCTCAGCTCATCAGATGGAGAAACTTATGAAGACCAAGGCCATGACTTAAAATCTGATTTGGGACCCTTTGCTCTCTTTTCAGTCATTCATTGCCTTGCTGTGCTAGGCCATTGTTTTGTAAATTTGTGGCCTTTGGAACTGGACAGGTTAGGAAGATGGTGATGAGGATGATGATGAGGATGATGATGATGATGATGATGATGATGATGATGATGATTGCATGTACAACAGCAAATGATAATTCTATTTACAATCATTTAAAACCAGACCAAACTACATTATATTATTTAAGGAAGCTTACCTTGGTGGCAAAAGGATAAAACCACCCAGATTCCCAGAAAGGTGATCTAGGGGGAAAGGAAGTGTAAATGGGGAAGGGCACATGAGTGATTTCTGGCCATAACTGTGAATGAAAAATACCAAAGGAGAGCTTGAGCAACAGCAGGAGGATTTTCTAAAATCAGGGGCCATTTGACCTCTTGTGAGTTATTTGAATTGAGAGCTCCTCGTCTAGGCCTTTTGGAATGGGTGAGAGGTAAGGAAAATTTCCAGGAAGAACAAGGCTATGGCATTATTTTTCCAAATCAGGAAACAGGTATCCAGACCTTGAGAACAACAGAGCCAGTTATGTAATGATACATGATAGGAGACATTTATCCAAAACCCATTTGAGATTACGTTGAAAAGAATAGTGATACCTATCTTTTGACTGAAAGATATCAGAATATTTCATAAAGATGATTGTATTAGTCTACCAGCAAAAGCCGTTCCCCTTTGACCCAAGGAGCTAAGCAGAGAACAGGTGTTTTCATATCCATGCTGCCATGCCGAAGATGAAATAATTTGTCAAGTCCACTCAAAAGGATTATTTCAACTCTTTTATTGTGGTAAAATACACATAAAAAAATTCACAGTGTTAATTATTTCTAAGTGTGCATTTGTAAGTACACTCACATTGTGGTGCAAGCATCACCACCCTCCATCTTCTGAACATTTTCATTTGCTCAAACAGAAAGTCTTTGCCCATTAAAGAGTAACTCCTTATTCCTCCCTTCCCTAGTCCCTGGCAACCACCGTACTACTTTCTGTCACTATGAATCTGACTACTCTAGGCACCTCACATAAGCAGAATCATGCAGTATTTGTCCTTTTATGTCTGGCTTATTTCACTTAGCATCATGTCCTCGAGGTTCATCCATGTTGTAGCATGTGTCAGAATTTCCTTCCTTTTTAAGGCTGAATAATATTCCATTGTATGGATATACCACATATTGTTTGTCCATTCATCTGTTGATGGATATTTGGGTTGCTTCCATCTTTTGGCTATTGTGAGTAGTTCCACTATGAACCTGAGTGTGCAAATGTCTCTTTGAGATCCTGCTTTTGGTTGTTTTGCAGGTGTACCCAGAAGCAAAACTGCCAGATCGTATAGTAATTCTGTTTAATTTTTTGAGGAACTGCTAAACTGCCTAATAGGTTTTTGCACAAAGCCAGGACGATGTCCCAAGACAATGTTGTGCAGACCCTACCCTAACCCTGCACACAATCCTTCTCCCCAAGCACAGTTTATGCACACATGGAGGTCCCCAGAGGTGATGGGGCTCCCATCTCTAGAAGCAGCGAAGGTGAAGTTGCAGCCACATCAATCAACACCTTTGCTAGAGTCTGGTGGCCAGGGGACAGACCTCAATATTTTGTGGTCTCTGAGACAATCTATCATTATGGCAGCTTAGGTCACGTCACCATCTGATTTGTTCTCCAAACAGAAGTCCCTCCCCCGCCCCTCTTACTTTCTTTTTTCACCTCTTCCTGTGGTCTGAATTCCCTCACTCAGTTAATTAGCATGCCTGGCACTGCAGCTTAAGACTTTAATCAGCGTGGGGTGGTTTTAATTAATCGTGTGGCTCTGCATCTGGAGTGGTTTGTGTTCCAGGGTCAGGAGAGGAGCTGGAGTTGGGGGATGGGAGAGGCAGCTTTGTATGGTGTAAGGCTGTGAGTGGCAAGTCTAGGTATTTGGGGAAAGAGAATCATAGAGACAAGGTGGCTCAGAGGCCATCTGGCCACCTGTGCAACATACTAGCAAGGTGTGGATAGTAACTGGGGACATAAGGGAATACATTTATACTAAGCTAAATGGTTGGACTAAATCCAGTTTTCAAAAGTGATTTAAAGTATTAGAAAAACTTCTGATGCTTTGCAGAATTAACCATGGGGTACAGAGTGAGGCAAAGCAATGATAGAGATGGAGAGCTGTGCAGCCAGTCTGGGAGGCCTTGGCCATGCTGGAGACTATTGCCTGATGGTGGGGCCTGGGAGATTTCCCTGGTTCTGTCCTTCCTTGGGAAGGTCCTGGCAAGGTGAAGGAGGTGGCACCTAGCTCTCAAATAATGGTAACCTTTCTACTTGGACTGTCAGAATCCTGTTGGCTCCCCAATTTGAATGTCCACACTTTAAAAAGAGTGGAGAGAACCTAGATCAAGTTCAGAAGAGAGTCATAAAAAATGGTTAAATCATAAATAGAAATATTCCGTAAGGAAAGACTACAGGCAGTTGGGTTGTTTACCTTTAAGATGAGAAAGCTCTAGCTGCCCAGATGATTGTCTTCAAGAGAAAGTTTTCTTGAAGGTAGACCTGGTGCCATTGTTATACATGTCCATGAAAACCAAACAAGTGAGATGAGGCTGACCTGAGAGACTTTGTCAGAGCATTAACAAGGAGCTTAGGATGTTAGGACTGAGAGGGAATTCAGACCTAACGCGCCCAGTTCCTCATTTTTCAGATCATCACAAAGAAGCCCAGGAGAGACTTGTCCAAGTTTACCCAGGAAACTGGGGGGCAGAGCTGTGGCTGGAACCCAGGACTCATAATACCTGTGCAGGACTTGTGTCCCTGTCTCACATGGACCCACCTAAATGAAAAGCTAAGAAAAGCAGATAGCTGTTCCAGAAGCTAATAAAGATAGTGAATAAGTCCTGGAAATGAGATAACTCCAGGTTTCATCCAAAGTGTGGAGCAATGAATGGCTTAGGGGCAAATATCATAGCTCAAGGAGGAAATGACACTATCAAGGTACTAAAAAAAAAAAGTTCTCCCAGGTCTGTTGAACTCCTGACAGAGTTCCTGAAGCCTTGGAAGACTGTCAGAGGAGTTTTCTGGGATGTCGGGGAGAGGTAAGTGACAGTACAAGGAGGATTGGGATATTAATGAAAAGGATAGCAGCGATCCATCATAGCCGTCACTTATAAAGTGCCAGACCATTTACAAAACCATTGCATCATCTGTGCTTTGGGAAACTGTGAATTGGGGTGGGGGTGGGGAGGAGGGATTTTTATCTCCATGTTAAGCCAGAATTTGAACCTAGCTCTGAGGGCTCTTGCATTCTTTCCAACCCAACAAAAAATGACTCATGTTTAAAATCAGGAGGAGGGACTTGACAATTCCAGGGTATGGACATTATTAAACACCAGTTTCAAAATATTTTAAGAATCTGAATGCAAAGGTTTTTGAGAATTTCAGATTCACCAAGCAGCTGGCTCTTGACTTGATGTGGAACATTCCAGAACATGCAGCCACATTCCATCCAAGGTGGATTATAGAACTTGTCAATAGGAGAAACTGAGGAGGATGGTAATTAAGTTTAGAGCGAGAAAATGCTTTTGATTGAGCAAGGCATGATTTTCTGTTTAAGCCTATGCAAAATATGGAGTGCTAGACAAGCAGCTGGAACATATGAAAACATTATTGTGTACTTATGTTTCCCAACTTTCACCATTTATGGCCCCTTTTATTATTTTTTCCCTCTGTGCATTATGTTTTGAAAGATTCTGTCTACTAAACAAACTGCATTTATTAAGTAATAACATATTTCCTATTTTTAATATGAGACATACATCACTGAGTATGAATAAAAAACATAAAACAGCAACAGTTCAATTGCCATTAGGCTTTGGGAAATATTGAAAATAGCGTGTGGACCTCATTACCACTCATGAATTACTAGGAGTCCAGGTACTTTGGGTTAGGAGCCACTATTTATATGCTTACATGACTAGCATGTCTATGCTCACTTAAGGAGTAGGAAGAGAAATTAAAGACGCAACAGAAAGAGGGCAAATTCTTGGCTGGTGTGGAGCCAGTGTGGGTAATTTGTAAGGAACTAATTGTTAAGGTTAATTAGTAGGATAGGAAGGTCATATGTAGGCAGACTCCAGGCACGGCTCATGCAGATTACATGAGCAGTAATAAAAGAAAAGATAAAATTCCAAATGTGCAAAAAAGACATCTGAGAAGGTGGAGGAAGGGCCACCAAGGTCAAGGTCACTGCCGTCAGAATGGGAGAGGTAAGCTAAAAGGTTGCTTGAAAGAAGTGAAAGCGCAGTGTGGTCATTAAGAACGCTCAGTGTGTACTTTGGAGAACAAAAAGATGCATAAAGGGAATAAGAAAGTTAAGGGAAAAGAGATCATGTGGGATTTGGAATTAATTATTAATTAATTCCAAAAGAGAGTTGGAGACTAATTGAGAAGCTCTGGTGCCAGTTTGCCTGTGCGTGAGTTACAAGTAGCCCCTGCCAAGCAGACATCATTTTACAGAGGCACATGCCCCATAAAACAGCAGGGGAAACACTGCCTCTGCATTTGCTCATGTAACAGAGAGGGTTCAGCCAGGTCAGCACAGTTTATAGTTTTCTGTGCCTGTTGTATGATGGCAAGAAATTTAAAAGGATGGCCACATCAAATTCTCTTAGCTCAAGCTGAAACATCAGGCAGGATTCTCCATTGAGATAAAAAGGTATCCCAACTGGAAGAGGATGATGTAAAATTAAAAAAAAAAAAATACTTTTTGTAAAGAAAAAAACCGGCAAAACGGAGAATAAAGACCAAGGTTATAAAAAGAAAATAAAAACTCCGTTTGATCCAGTGTATCATTATTAAATACCTACTATGTAGCAAGTGCTGGCAAGTTATGTAAAGAGACATCAAGGCAAAGCTACATTGGAGAACAAAGAAATTCAAAAGATATTTAAGAGCATGTAGGAAATGGAAGCATTTGGGCTAAGCAAAAATGTCATGTGGAACATTTTACATTAGCAGGCGGCTGGTGAAAGCTAATATAAAGTTTTGGGTTGGAGAGGAAGCCTCTAGTCATGAAAAGAGTGTGGGTAGGAGGAGAAATAGCAGCAGATGCTCTTTGAAAGCACCATAGTGAAAGCTTTTAGAGCCAGTTGGCCAACATTATGAGAAAGAAAGAGCGGGCAAGTAACAGCTACAGAGTGAGCTTATGATATCTTGGTAAATGGCAAGGAGGAAGAGAAAGAGAAGGGTCTTGGTCTCAGACTAAATGCTCTCTGGAGCAGCAAAAATGACGAAACTTGAAGGAGGACTGGAAAGAAGGGGAAACACTACAGAAAAAGAGAAACCATGAGAGAGTGAGAATGACCATTTGCACTTGTTACATTGATAGGAAACAAATACATGATGAATTGGCCATTTGTAGAGATATTTGGTGGTTTCAGAGGTAGAAAACTTGAAATGAACACTGTGTAAATATCTTTTCTGACAACTTAGTATGGACTGTATGGAGTCTGTATTCATGGAGACTGCTAAGAAAATAATATGGCTGCTTGTCTCCCTGGATGCATATGTGGCCACCTACTCAAACATAATCACTCAAGTTCCCTTCCCACACTGGGCTCCAAGCACCTTCATGCTCCTGCAACATTTCAGGTGATACACTTGATATTTAGAGCAACATCTCTTCTGGTACACTGCTGGGTGTTCTGCAAAATCTTGACCACCTTCTCCCTATCCTGCTGTCCTAGCTCACCAGAGTCCCTGTGGAGTCCTGTGGTCAGTATCAGAGCTGCGGCGAGTGCCTTGGCTCAGGCGACCCCCACTGTGGCTGGTGTGTGCTGCACAACACGTGAGTACCATGGGGAGGCTGCCTCGTGCCTCCCACTTCCTCCTGGTAATTCCCTTCCTCTGCTTCTCTGTCATCACTGCCCTTCCCTTTGATCTGTCTTTTCTCCTCAGCTATTCTTGCTCTTCCTTCCTTGCATCCTTTCCAAATGTTATCTCCCTTCCTTTGTTCTTTCTGACTTCCCTTTAAATTTGCCAAATTCCCTTAAGAAATATATGGCAACGGTGGCATGGGAATCATGACAGGTCAGGATATAGTTGTCATGCTGGGCAATCATACATTGGAGGGCTGGAGGAAGCAGGATTCCTGGACTTTCCTGACTGTGGCTTACTGGGCTAGAGACTGACTTTCCAGGACTGAACACCAGGAAAAAGGCATTGGATCTTTTTTTCTGTAGCTTCTTACTGGCCCCGAAATCATAAACAAGATATATGCTGTCCCTTTAGTGATTCCACATCTCCTTAACATCTACTTCAACAGCTCCAAAGGATTTTCTGGTTTGGGTCTGCAGTTGAAGTGTGTAGCACCTGAGGACCCTCCCACTGCTGCCAAACACCCATTAGCTGGCTGTGAGTGCACTTGGGCTGGAGTCACTGGGCCAATAAAGCCCGGCCTGAGTGCTGGCCTCTTGCCAATGTGCCTCCTTTTGTGTGGCTCCATTTTATTATTCAGAAGAGGGAAGAAGGCAATGGCATTATAGTGGAGGTAAACAGTAAATAAACCAAAGGGCAGGAATAGGGCTCAGACAACCAGAAAGCTGAAGGCTTTTCTTTGGGGATCCGAAGACCCTTGCCATCAATACCTGGAGAAGCCAACGAATGGTTGGACCTCACTCTGATGAAATTTGATTCCAGTCCAGCTATTGTTGTTTCTGGCCAACAATTGAAATGTGCCACTTTGTGAGCTGGATCCAGACATTATAAATTAAGAAGAAAAACCTTAGTCTTCCTACTAAGAACCTGAACTACATGTGACCAATGACATTTACCAATAATTTTCAAGTATAAGAAGGTGGGGCAGGATCTTGTCTTCTCCCCTCCCCTTTGCAAAGAGTGCCCTTAAAATTCGGAAACACCCTCTTAAACTCGAATACATCTCTGGGTGGCAGTCTCAGGCATAGTGAGTCCTTGAGTTCCTTAGGGGAAGGTCTGAAATTCCTCAGGTAGGTTACAGTGGAAAAAAGTCAAGAACCACTGAGCTACACTGAAGTATACATAACTCAGTCTATGGCCGTGCCACCCTGAACGTGCCCAGTCTTGTCTGAAACATACATAACTCACAGACAGATCAGAAACTGTGCACTCAAGTGTATAGAAAGGTTGCATGCTAACAGAGCAGGGGAGCCTAGGAGTGGCCAGCATAGAAGAGGATGGCAGAGGTTGCATTCAGAATGCAGATTGGCTCAGATCAGGCCAGAATTGTTCCCTGAATGATACCTTGCCAGGCAGACAGGGGGCAGTTTTCTTTGTGTCACCCAGTGAGGCCTCTGAGGAAGGGACTGTACTCTAAACTCATTGCCTTACTTGGGGGCCTTGACTACCCTGTTTTCTGCTTGGCTGAGGATAGCTCTGCGATCCTGGCATGGGGCTTTCCTACCTGGCATAATTCAAAGGCAATCGGAAAATCTGGTCCCTCCCTGACACTCCATGCCCAGTGGCAATTTCCATGTCAGCTTTGGTCTCTGCCCACAATGCTGTCCCAGCCCCACAGAGCACGGAGCCCTGTGAACAGAGGGGCTCCAAGGCTTGGAGAAGGCACCAGAGAGACTGTGAGAACCCCCACCTCCCACCCCCAGGGCTGCAAGGTAAGCAGACATGAGAGGAGGAGGCACAAGACAGTACTTCCTTTATGGCCTCAGTTTACCCTTCTGTAACATCATACCTGCCTCCTGTCAAGTGGAAGAAAACAGGGGTGGATGGAGGCCAAGGTGAAGTCTGGGCAGTTCATGAAGGGGGCCCTCAGCCTGCACGGGGAAGCCAGCTGCTCCAGTCTCAGCATGGCATAAAAACAGCCATGGACATGAATTTTGGGCGCCTGCCCCCAAGTGCAGACTCCTCATCCCAGCTCTTCCTCTGTGAATTGGACATGGTGATGCCTGTCTCCCCTGCCTCACTGAGTCACTGGGGAATCAAATGAGATGGTATGAGGACCAATGACTGGTGAGCTGTGGATCACTGGGAAATGTAGTGTAGGGTGGGGCAGGAATGTTGACAAGGCTGGGGAAGGACTGTGAGCTCATGGGTGCCCCCCCCCCTCTTGTGACTCTGTTGATCCCTGGTGATTTTCCAGATGGCTCTACTGTAACTGCATGCTTCTCTTCCTGGGGGGTTCCCAGCCTTTGTCTAAGTGGCAGGTACTCCTGCTAGATCCTCCTCACCCCTTTAGTCTGGCACCATGTTTTATTCTGACACTTGTATATCTTATTCGTGTTTCCATGTAGCACCAGCCCTTGTTAAGCACAGGCTCTCAGAAGGCAGGGGCTGTGCAAGTGTTGTTGTCTTTGTGGTCATCATTGTCTGCTGCTGCTGCTGGCACCTCGTTGCTCAAGGAGCCACAGTGGAGCCAGCGCATTGAAGCACTGGGGGACACTGGGAAGATTACTGGAGTGGAAATCAGTGGACTCAAGTTCACATGCCTTGGAAACTTGTTGTGGGGCTTTAAACAAGTGCAGTCAGTTCTCATTGCACATGGTAGATATGTTCCATAAAGTCGCTGGAACACGGAGTTAGTGAATACCAAGCCATTGCTCCTAGGAGAAATACAGGGTTAGGTTCCTGGGAGCCTCTGGTCACATTTTCATCAACAAATCCATCTATAACCTTGTTTTGTGTGTGTTTCTGTTTAAAGACATTTTACTTAATATATATAATAGATTCATTAAGCTTGACCTCACTGCCAACAGCACTATAACACATACCTGAACAAGGCTTATCCAACACAGCTATTTTCTCCATAAGGCACACCATGGCCTTCTTGCACTCAGGATCACTAGACAGACCTTCAGCACTACATTCGGGGACTATTTTAAGCGGCAAAATCACCTGCAAAATGAGAAAAATGTGGCATGAAATAGGGCTTGAAGAGGACACTTGTTCATAGAGCGAGAGCTAAAACAAGAAGCTGAGGCTGCCTTATCCCACCTCAGCTGGGAGTGTGCGTGCCAGATCACTCAAATTTTTCACTGCCCTGTACGTGTCCACGGGTACCGATTTTTGTCACAAATAAACGTTAGCAGTTACTTGAATTTGCAAATAGATTCCACGATAACTCCGTATGTCAGAAACTTGGCATCCTTGTTTCAAAGAGGGAGAACGGTACCTTCTCACAGTGATGGCACGAGGATAAAAAGAGGTGATTGATATAGGATGTTACAGAATTCCAAGATGCTCTGTCAGGGCAAGGTGCTGTCATTCGTAACCTTGAGCCTCCTGGTTATGTCCGTGACCTGAGGAAGGCAGACACAGGTATAAATTTGTGCCAATGTGTCTGGTAAAGCCCAACTCTTCCAGGACAAAGCTCAAGAGCCCCCATAGGCCAAGGCTGCCTGCCCGCTGAGGCACTCAGTAAATCCATCCTCCCTCCCTCTCAGAGTTATGACCAAGGAGAGCCCCCTGGCAACTATAAGAAGGTGGGGGTAAAATCTTGTCTTCCCCCACTCCCTTGCGAAGAGTGCCTCTAAAAGCTAAAAATACCCTCTTAAACTCGAATACATCCTTGATACAAGAGCAGGCACCCTCCCCATCTCTGAGTGGCAGTCTGAGGCATAATGAGTCCTTGAGTTCCTTAAGGGAAAGTCTGAAATCCCTCAGGTATGGATTTCTGAGGTCCTGAAATCCAGGTTCTAAAATCCGGTCCTGGATAAGTAGAGTAGGTCCCTGGATTTCTAAGATATTTTTAATAAAGGTACAATTTTAAATGTAGATGGAATGAGATGCACAGATCTTAAGTGTACAGCTTGAAAGCTTTGACAAAGACAAACACGCTTGTAATCCACATGTCTATCAAGATATAGAACACTTTCTTTATCCAGAGAGCTCTCTCCTTCTTCCCAGTGGGCCTTTCTTCCCTAGTTCCTCAGGTTCAGGTCAAAGCCAGATATTGCTCCTCCTGATCTGCCCTCCCTTTCACTTTTCTTAAGAGTAAACTGGACATCCATGGCTTGGAGAGACACATGAGGAAGTGGGCTCAGCAGGAGAGAAAGGAGAAGGCTGGGGGCTGGCAGTTCAGTACAGGAGGTTGACGGCAGCCAGAGAGAGCCTATGGATGCTTGCTCTGAAGGGCATCCATTTTCTAGGAAGGGAGACAGGTGGCAAGAGTGGGAGGTTTAATTGCTTCCAAGGAGTGCTGTGTCCACACTCACAAATTTGTCCGTAGATCTCTCAGACCTGCCCTTCTCCCTTCGTGCCCAGCAGTGTGCCAGGCTCAGTGATATGAAGGCGACTCTGTTAGGTCATCTCTGCCCTAAAGATTTTGGGGAACCAGGCCTTGGATTCACAGTGGGAGTTTACTAGAATCAATGCATTTGTTAGGCCCCCACCATGGGCAAGACCCTGTGCCAAGTGACTCGGTTGCTTGCTAAGTGGCCTCAACAAGCCTGATCTTCACTCAGGAAGACCAGGACGGCAGGAAAAGAGTTCCTTGAGGTGTCAAGAGAAGTCCATTTTCTCAGTCACTTTTGCCAACTTTCCCCATGGTTGGAGGGAGTGAGGTGGTGGTAGCATTGTGGAAGAGAAGGGCAGCAGATGGGTGTATGAGAGACAGAGACAGACAGAGACAGCAAGAGAGGAAGAAGGAAAAGGCAGAGAGAGGGGTTGAGAGTCAGCACATGTGATTGAGCAGTGCAAGGTCAGGGCCTCTGTAAACAGGTGGCTCATGTGGCTGAATGGGCTGTTTGTAGCAGCAAAGTCCCAGGTGGGTTGCACAAAACATGCTTAAGAAAGGCTCGTGTAATTTAAATCCTCTCTCCTGCTACTCTCAATTGTCATGAAGCACTCGCCTGCCAACCTGGTAGCACACAGGGTCACTCAGTTGCTCTCTTTTGCAGCCCCTGACCCTGGCCCACAGGCTTGCCCATCTCTGATGGCAATGACAGCTTCAGCAATGCTAAGTATTGAGGTGGCCCTGAGTTTTGAGCCTTTATTCCTTGTTCCTGAGCTGACTCATTCTGACTTGGGTGAAGGTAAAGGAAAGCGTACAAGCCCACCCTGCCTTCGCCCTATCACAGCTATCTCCTGTCCTGGGCCAGAAACATTTTCTCCAGTGACCAGGCTTGGCAGGTCCCCAGCCCCCTCTCCATCTTCCCCTCCCATGGCTTCGTGCCCAGGCAAAGAAGCCTGTCTCAGTCTCAGCAGGTAATGGGATCCTGCCCAGCAGACCCAGCCGCATCGATTGGCCCAGGCGTTACCTTTCTTAAGAAAAGTCATCAGCATCACTCCTGGGAGGCTCATGTAACCCAAGACATCACAGGGGAAGGATAAGATCAGCTTTCATAAAGTCTCCCTTTCACCCCCTCACGACCCTGCCTCTTCCCAGATTTCTTCTGTTGGAAGAATGCCCTCCTCTGGATAGGTTGGCAGGGGTTACTTTTCAAGAGTCACTCCTATTCTTTTCTATATGGTTTCTTCCAAGATGGCAAGTGGAAAGACAAGAAAGACACTGCTTTTCAGAGCAGAAGAGATGAGTTACAACTTAGTTACAACTGAGGACCTGTCTAAGAACAGACCCAGTCTGGGTTTAGTTTCTTCAGCTCTAATTTCATAGCCATGCTATGAAAATTAAGGGAGGGGACCTGCATGAAGCCCCTCGCTGGGCCTACAATGCAGCAGGTCCTCATGCCTGAAGTGGCCCAAAGGGCCTCGACTGTGGGAGCAGAGGCTGGAGTTGGATCCCAGTGCCTCCTCCTGGTCCCCCTCCCCTTCCATTCCTCTCCTCCCCAGGACTGGAGGGCTGTGGCTGGTGCTGGAGCCAGCCCACTGTTGGGAAGTCTTCCTCCCCTTGGAAGGCTTCAACCAGCCATGCCAATGTCCACTTAATGACACACAAGCTGATTGCAAAATGCAAGCCCTGCCTTGCTTCACTGAGGCACATCCCACAGCCTTGCTATCTCATTTTTTAAACCTATATTCAAGGGCTACTTAACACTAATCTGCTGGTCACTGATCTCTCCTAGGGCTGCTTGCACAAGGCCTACACAGTCATGAGGAATGGTTGGTGTCCACTTCCACCCAGCAAACTCTTTGCAGTCTGTGCAAGGAGATTTTCCTTGACTCTTTGCCAAAAAGCTATCAGCCTCTGTTCCAAAGAAATGAGTCCCAGACTAGATCAGATACTAGTACATTGGAATTTTCCTCTCCAATGGCTTAGCAGAGACATAGTATGACTTAAGGAAATGGGCCTTTTCTTTTTTAACCCTGCCCCCCGCCAAGCCCCCAATACACATACACACACACACACACACACACACACACACACAAAACACATGCTTCATGACCAGAGAATGGTAAGTCAAAAATGCCATCTTCCCATATAAATTAGAAAAGCCCTGTGGTCTGCTCAAGCTCTCAATGTCCCTCCCAGTCTATTGACTTGGATACCTGTGGACAACCAGAGGAGCTGGCCTACCTCTGAGGCTTCACTCCAGACATACACACCCATATTCCAGCATTCACACACTTCATTCAATCATGCTGCACTGGGCCACATAGGATGGAGCAGCCCAGCCTGCACAGAGCAAAGTGCTCCCCTGCACCAAGCCTACTGGACTTGGTGACGTTAATGGACATGAAGACACCAGGCTGTTGGATAAAGTATAGTGTAAAGTTGATGAGAATCAACTGGAGTCATTGTTGGAATGTGTCTCAGGTAATAGGCAGCATTCTCCTTGTTACCGACTGGATTAGAAAGAGAATGGATTCACCTGTGGCGATGCCTTTGCTGTCTCCTCCTCCTTTTTCCCTTCTCCTGCCGTTCCCTCCCTCTCCCTCCCTCCACTCCTGCTCTGCTCCACACCTGTTCTTTCCTAACCTCTCCTCAACCTTAGTAGAAAATTAATAGGCCCTAATAGAGCTAGCCACTGATGAAGAAAAGAGAAAGACAAGCCCACTTCACTTTCTCTTTTGGCAGCTGCTACATGTAATTTGGTTTGGTTTGGGATCATCTGGAAAAAAACGAACATTTACAGGTCCTTTTTACCTCTCACCTAAGGTTTTGTTCAATAGATTGTTCATTCAAAGCATGGCTACCAAGGTCAGAATCCAGTCAGGGACCCAGGGCAGAACATGGCTTCTCAATGAAGGCTGCAAGCCCAGCATCTGAGCTGATTATGGTGGGACAGGTTGCCTTGGTTGCTATATAAGCCCAGAAAGGTTCTTGGGTCTCCACTCAACCCCTGAACCTGCTGGTTTCTGCTAAGTCCTATGCCCTCCTTCTGTAGGGGATGCATGGGTAAATCTGATTCAGCTGCTTCTTAGGTTAATTTTGGATCTTTAGAGATGGCAAAGGACCATGGGCCCAGTTGCCAGCAACTGATGGCAGAGGGAAAATTACAGTAGAACCTTGGGCTTCCTATCTTGGGATTCATCCTAAGTATTACATGGCACAACCCAAATACTTCAACTTCCTTGAGACCATGGTATCAGTCATTGGATCCTAGAATTGTAACATTGAAAGGACTCATCTGATCTACCCCTACATATAAGAAACCTCTTACACACCCACCTGCCTAGGAAGGATCCTATACTAGCTACTCCACTTCCTCCAAGCCACACATATGCATCTATCCATTACTGTGGTCATTCTTAAGGAGGACAAGGATAATGAATTAGGAATTCTAGTCTCTTCCCTTGTCAGGGTCCCCAGATGTGATGACAATGACCAAAGCTTCCAATAATCTCCTAGGTGAGTAGGCATTCTAAATTATCTTAACTTTTCTATTAGGTCTGCTGGGGAAGGCCCTCATCCTTACCCCCTTTCTTTTTCAATCTTCTCAATTCTAAGCACAGATGGTGCACCTTAAGCATAGGTCATGGCAAATGTGAAATGTTAAGGATTGGGGATCATCTGCAGGGAGAAGTAGGGAGCAAGTTCTGATGCCTAAGCCTGGTAAACACATGCTAGAGAGCCCAGGGAGATGGATCAGCAACAGCCCCTCCAAGCTTGGCGGTTCACTCAGGCTGGACTCACAGATAGCCCTGTTTCCAAATTGAAATTTGTTTGCCTGGCCAGCGGCACCGGGAGTTAATATTTCTATCGCTGTATTTGGGAATTAATTTCTAGAGGACTTAATCACCACCTCTCTCCCTCTCCCTCACCCCCTTCCTTCCTTCATTCCTCTCCCTTCTAATTTTCCACTTGGCTGGGAATTCTCCAGCAGTGAAAGTTCAGGCTTAGGGGAGGGCGGAGGTAGCTGCTTCATTAGAGAGGATAATCTCATTGGAACCACTGGCTTGAATAATAACCCCTTCCAGGGGCCCTAGAGCCTTTCTCCCCAAGGGCTTTTTGCACCTTTGATCTGAGGCTGGAGAAGATGAAATGCAGAGAAGTGGAATGAGGAAGAGAGGTCAGAAGAGGTTAGCAGGGAGGGACTCCAGCTCTAGGGGTCTGGTGTGTCCTCTTGGGGTCGGCTTCCTGCTGGCCATCTGAAGGTTTGCATTTGGGGCGGGGGTGACACTGGCATGCAGAGAAGAATGTCAGAAAACTCCAAGTCACACAGTATATGCACTGTCTGAATCCGTTTTCAGCTCTAGTTTTCCTACCTGGGAAATGGATGAAGCAGGGGATTCCTTCATGTCAAGGGGCCTGTACAGTGGAGCTGAGGGACATGCTTTAGGAGTACCTGAGGCCTCTTGGAATGAAACATCTAAGCCACTACCCCTGCCTCTCAGGTCGTGAATTAACATTTTGCTCTGGTTCCCAGATCTAGTCTGGGCTGTTGGGAATTGCAGTCCTAGAAAAGCAGAAGACCATTCCCTTGACAGACCCCACAAGAAACCAGCAGGAATTCGTGCCTCGCCTTCCATTATCCTATCACATTTAAGGTCAATTGTCTGTGCTTTTGGACATTTGTAGCCTCCACCCTCATGAATCCTGGAGGATAGTAGAAATGTCAAAACATCCCTGGCTCTGACCTTACACTTGACTTTCCACTAAGATAGCTGAGTTCTCAATACCCTTTGACAACTAGTAAGAAAACAGAGCTATGATCCAGACCATTCTTTCGCTCTTTTCTCCCTCCTGGCCTCTGGGTTGTCCTTCTCCTTTATTAGGAGGAAAACTGCTGCAGCCGTGCCTTTCTTTTGTCTTTGATTTGCCCCAAGGGCCAGTCATGGAGAAGATGTGTGGTTCTGGGCTGGGCATGGTGGCTCACGCCTGTAATCCCAGCACTCTAGGAGGCCGAGATGAGTGGATTGCTTTAGCTTAGGAGTTTGAGACTAGCCTGGGCAACATGGTGAAACCCCATCTCTACCAAAAAAATACAAGTTAGTTGGGCATGGCGGTGTGTGCCTGTAGTCCCAGCTACTTGGGAGGCTGAGGTGGGAGGATGGCTTGAGCCCAGGAGGTGGAGGTTGCAGAGAGCTGAGATTACGCCACTGCATTCCAGCCTGGGCTACAGAGCCAGACTCTGTCTCAAAAAATAAAAATAAAAAACACTCATTCTAAAAATAAGATAAAAAATAAAATAAATCTGTGGTTCTGCATCAGCTACAGTTTGGAGAGGTCAAATGAGGATGTCAGAGAAAGGATAAGATGATAATACTAGCTAACATTTATGAGGGCTTACTATGAGCTATGTCCTGTCCTTAATGCTTTACTCACATAATCTCATTTAATCCTCATAATAACCGTATTAGGTAGGTACTGTTTTGTCCCCAATGTATAGATGAGAAAGCTGAGGCACCAAGAAGTTAAGTAATTTGCCCAAGATTATACAGTGATGTTTAAAATTGTAAATTACAGGTGGCTTCCCTATAAAACCTAAAATTGGGGGAAGATGATGAGTAGTTTCTTTGGGGCTTTCAGGAGCAGTGGCAAGATGCAACCCCATGAACTTTGGAAGCAGCAAGCAATGCAGGTAGAATTTGTCCTGAGATCCCCCGAGCAAACACCTGTGTGCCACCTCTTCCTCCCTACCCCTGGAAGAGAGATAGAGTCCTGTCTTTTCTATCTGAATCTCTATTTGGTAACTCCAGGTGATGTTTGGCCTGGAAACAGCTCTGCTTTTCGCTCTCTTCATAATTTAATCAAAGACATTTTTCAGACCTACTGATTGCTCTTAGAAATAGGAACTTCAAAGTTGGGGAGTCAGTGAATAATTTAAGCCCGTACCAGCTCTCTGGGTCTGCTGTTAATGGGAGTAATAACACTATTAATAGCGATGTCAGTGCAGACACTCTGGAAAAGTCCATAACATTAGCTTAATGGCTGAAGGTAATGGAGTCCTCGCAGAGGAGCTGGCCTGGTAAATTAACTTCCAAGTCTTTTAGGCAGACGCTCTTGTTGCCATCGGTCAGCTGGAGCAGCAAGGAAGTGCCACGGGGGTGACCACACTCATGCCTGATCCTTCACTCCTGGGAGGGGGTTTTCTAGAAGCACCCTGGAGAATTTATCTTCGTCCAACAAGTTGCAATAACACTCAAAGTGCTTCCCAGTGCCAGGCAAAAATAGCGATTAGCCTAGACAGAAAGATTGAGGGGAAAATGTTTGAATTGCCCTAAGGATATGAAGGGGGCATCAGGATGGCGAGAAGAACCAGCTTAGTCTGCAGCAAGGGGTCTGCCCCTTACTCCTCAGTCTGGAAGCTTCAGGAGGTAGAGCTCCGTAGGCTCTACAGGCCGCAGGGTGCGTCTTTGTCCCAACACATCCTGACAAGGTGGGGTTTGTTGCAGCATTGTTATGAGACTTAAACGCTAGACAATGTAAACTCCATATCATGTGCCTATTAATAAGCACTTGTACCTCGCAGCCATGAATGTACTGTTCAGGGGTGTTTTTTACTTTCGCATTGCACATCCAATCTACTCTGAAGTCCTTTGTTCTGTCCCTGTGTTCCTCCATTTATCCCATCCTTAGAGGGACAGCTTCAGTCCATGGCCTTCAATGATTTCTCCTTCATTTGCTAGATTCTCCTCTCAGGCTCTCCACCCAGGCTGCCCCTCTTGCTGTGGCCAAAGGTTAGGAGGAGAAACCCCCATAGCTTTCCCTAAGCCTGAGTTACCCCAATAGCAGCTCAGGGTGTCCAGGTACCCCCTTCCCTCATCTCCTTGCCCCACACCACACCTGTCTGCTTCCTGAGACAGTCGTTCCCTCTCCAAGGCTCCCTCCCCAAGGCTCCCTCCCCATGTAGATTCCCTATCCCTGGCTGTTCTGTGTCCTAATAAACTCCTTGCCTGGGGCTCTCTCCTGCCCTGCAACAGCTCCTGACATCTTCCTTCCTCTGCAAAATCTTTTCTCTTTAATCAAAAGAGATCAGCAACTCTGGAGTGATTTCCCTGCTGTCTCATCTCCTCTTGTCTTGTCCCTCCTGAGGACCCTGCTTGCCCCCACCCCACAACAGAATCTGTAGTCCAGAGTTTCCAAATCATGACCACTTGGTGAAGCCCCATGTCCACAAAGTTCACCTGACTTGGATTAAATACTGCTCCCTGAAATTCAGATGCCTCCATGCAGTGACCTCAAGTGATGCCTGCATTTCAGGAGAGTTCCATGTTTTTTACATGCATCTTTCACAAACCTTCATCAGCTAGGACTGCAAGATCCCAGGTCACACTGGACATGGTCCACTTGTGACACCATACACTTTACACAGCACAGAGCACTGAAGAGTAACAGCAAACCTTAGAGCCAGGATTCTGATCCAGAGCAAGCTTTTAACTACAGTTCTTAGCTCCTTTGATCCTTCCTTCCCTCTCTCCCACCTGCCTACATGAGGGGATTCTAAAATAAATGGAACATAGCTGCTTTTTTTGAAAAGCTCCTACTTGGCAGGAGAGGACTGCACTTAGCCCAATAATTGTCATACAATCTAAGAAATTCCAGACTTATTAAAGTAGGAGACTCCGAGGTGCTATGAGATCATAGGAGGAAGCTCTTCACTTTGCCTAGGGTGGGCAGGAGAGATTGCAGGTGCATCTTGAGCCATGGCTGGAAGAAAAAGTAGGAACTGGACAGGTGGAGAAGTGAGGAAAAGGAAGTCCAGCAGAAGAACTGGCATGTTCAAAGCCAAGGAGGTATATTTTCTATATGAAGAAAACAAATCTCTGGTTGCCTAAGGAGGAGAAGAGAATGGCAAGGGCTAAGGATGTGCAGAGAGGGTGAATAGACAGAACTGTGCAACACCTTATGTGAGTTTGGAGAGGATGAGGGGAGTTAGGATGACTCTCAAGTTTCTGCCTTTGGCAAGAGGTGATTGAAATTGCCATCTTTTCTAAATTTGGGAATGATGGAGGAGGACCAGGCTTGAGGAAGGACACAAAAAGGTTAGCTCTGGGCGCATTGAGTTTGGACACATCCTGGGAGCTGCTGGAAACACCTGACCTCAGCATCCGCCCCTCCCTGGACCAAGCGGCCATCTCCTGAGTAACTCGAGGGTATGTCCTTCCCAGTTGCACCCGGAAGGAGCGGTGTGAGCGGTCCAAGGAGCCCCGCAGGTTTGCCTCGGAGATGAAGCAGTGTGTCCGGCTGACGGTCCATCCCAACAATATCTCCGTCTCTCAGTACAACGTGCTGGTAAGGGTCGTGGGGGTTGGGGTGGGGTCCAGGGATGCAAGGAAAACTCTCCCCTCACTAAAAAGTGCCTTAGCCCAAGGCCCCTCTGGAGGACTGGGCCAAGCCCGGCCAGCAGAAGCAGCTCAAGAGAAGGGTGCAGGATATCAAAGAATTAAGTGTCTACGGGGGGATGCAAGAAGGAGACAGGGACAGGACTATTGGGGAAGAGGCTCTATTCATAAAGAGTAGAAAGACAGGGAGCACCATCACCAAAAATGACCAAAGGGTGACAAAGAATGACAAAGGGTGTTGGGAATGATATCTTCAACTATAAAATGGGAAAGATGCATGTACAGAGAGAGAAAGGGGCACAGGTGACTTCCAAGTTCCAGCACTGAGCACTTGGTGGTTGGTGTTTCTATTTTTCCAAAATTGGGCCTAATGGAAGAGGTGCTCCATCAGCCATGCCTCAGTCCTGATCAAAATGGCACCACGCAAATCCCTTAAGCATTCTTGTTTCCTGGGGCCAAATCCATTTCCATCCTAATGAGGTTTCTTTTGTCTCTGTCTCTTTGCATCTCACCACGGCCTCTGTGCCACTCTCCTAATAACCTGAGTCTCTTCTCCATGTTAATATTGCCTCTTGCTTGTCTTTGCTTTCCCTGTGATCTCTCTCACTCTCCCACTTTCTTTTTTTATTCCATACCTGTCCTTTTCCCATTTCACCCTCCTCCTTCTCTCCCCCCGCCTGGCTGTTCACAGCTGGTCCTGGAGACGTACAATGTCCCGGAGCTGTCAGCTGGCGTCAACTGCACCTTTGAGGACCTGTCAGAGATGGATGGGCTGGTCGTGGGCAATCAGATCCAGTGCTACTCCCCTGCAGCCAAGGAGGTGCCCCGGATCATCACAGAGAATGGTGAGCATCCCGGAGGCACAGCTGAGTGGCACTTCTTCCTCCTGGCTAGATAAGGAGAACTCAGGACAGATGTGGGGGGATCAAAGCAACCTGCAGGCAGGAGAGAGTCAGAGGAAGGGGCATGGGATGGTGGGTGTGTTATGGGAAGAGGGGGATGGGATCTCCCTCCATTGCCCTTGGCATTGACTGTTACAGCCCTTCTGTCTCAGCCCCAGGTTAGCCCCCAAGAGTCACCCTCATCCTGGGCAAGGAACAGCTGCAGAGAGGGTGGGGAGGGGCAGGCCAGGACAGCAGCAGAACATGTGGTTAAGTTCAGCCTGCACCACTGGCTTGGCGGGTCAGTGGAGGAGGCCACTGAGCTGGAGCAGGGATGCTCACATGGCCGATCTCTGACCCTGGACCACTGCCTCCCCAACTCTGCCCTACCGGGTCTCCCCAGAGCTGCCTGTTGTTGGGGGCAAGCTGCCCTGGGAAAGACAGGAGTGGGCAGAGGCTCCATGCTGGTGAGGGACAGGCCCAGCCTGGGCAGATTGATTCCATGTTGTCCCTCCCATTTGTGCTTGTCACATTTGTTCAGAGCTGATTGATTAATGAGGCTCTCAGGGAAGGCAAAGAACAAGGCTTGAAGTGGGGGCCTAGGGTCAGGGCTGTGAATTAAACATGGGCTGCAGCTCCTCCCTGGCACCAGATGAGGATTCCAGGGTCTCCCGCCCCGGTGGAGCCCTGAGCCCCCCAGAGGAAGTGGTGTCAGAACAGGGGCTCTCTTTACAGAGACAGGGAATGAGCTCATGCATACACACACATACATGCAAAACTTCTTGCGCAGTTTGTGGCAGCATTCCTAGATTCCTAGAAGTCTACATATGTGTTTCTCCTGGTTATGAATCAATTTTGTGAGTCTGGGCAGGACATCATGCATGCAAATGCACATTTGAATCCCTGGCAGTGTGCATCTGTGTGTGTACACATGGAAGAGTGGAAGTGATACGGTGGGCAGGGAGAATAGACAAGAACTGCCCTCTGCAGCTGCTCTCAGGGTTGTCCTGGGACTGGGTCTGCTGAGTCAGAGCCCTGTTAAGCCAACAGCCGCCTGGGGAGCAGGCTCCCTTTTCCAGCAGGTGTCACTGGTCAGGGAATCCCTGGCTTGGGGCCTCAGCATTCCCTGACCCCTCAGCCATCTCTCCTTGTAGGGGACCACCATGTCGTACAGCTTCAGCTCAAATCAAAGGAGACCGGCATGACCTTCGCCAGCACCAGCTTTGTCTTCTACAATTGCAGCGTCCACAATTCGTAAGTGGCCCCAGCCTTACCCACTTCCCGTTCCTGGGGTCAAGTTTCATCCAAAGATCAGAAAACCCCATCACTATTCCCAGGGAGTCACCATTTAGAAGCCCCAGAGGAGGCCTCCTTCACTCCCTCTCCTCTGGTACCCACAGGGAGTCACCATTTAGAAGCCCCAGAGGAGGCCTCCCTCACTCCCTCTCCTCTGGTACCCACAGGGTTAATGGAAAGAGACTAGAAGAGCAGAAAATGAGAACTTATGGAGTGGGGCTCTCCACATCCCTAGCGCATACATCTTCCCTGACATCAATCCTTCTAACTCAATTCCATCTCCACCATCTGTTGTGGGGTGGTGCATCCCACATGAAGAACAGAGAGCAAGCTCCATGGGCAGAGAAGGGAACTGAGGAGGGAGAGAAGCCCCAGTGTGTGTCCAGGATTGGGGCAAGTGGTCTAACCACTCAATTGCATGCTCAGCTCCCCACAGGCTGCCCAGGCTGAGTGCAGACAGGCTGGTAAGGGCCAGAGGGAGGCAGAAAGCTGTGGGGGGGGGCGGACTCTGGCTTAGGGGTCAGGAAGCCTGACTCCAACTCGAGCTTTGTTTGACTTAAGTATCCAACTTCCAGTGGCAGGTGGGGAGGGCCGAGGCTCTGGCTCTGTAGCCGGACCAGCTGAGAAGCTCAACCCTTCTGTGCCCCAGTGTCCTCTATCAACAGGGAAATCACAGTGCTCCTTCCAAGGGCGTCACACAAATATTTACCAACTGACGTGGCAGGAGCACTGTCCCATCTGAGCAGTCACTGGCTGGCACCCTGTGCTGGCTGCTAGCTCTGAATATCGGCTCTGCCTACCCTGCAGGACAGCCACAAGGGGTAAAAGGGCCATGCTAAGGAGAAGCATTTACAGCCATGTCTGGCCCAGTGTTTAGGCACCACATGTGTTCTTGCCATTATTATATTATCTTTTCTTTATCAAATAATGGGGTTGGACCAGGTTGTGAATGGGCCAGCCTTTTTTTTCTTCTCACCATAGAAATCTTAAACTGAAAGTAGGTGTGGATGCCCAATATACAGAATAGATGGAAGCAGGAGCTCCTCTGATTAAAGGTTGGGGGGCCTGGAACCCCTCTCCACAGAAGCCCCACAAAACTACACATTCTCCAAAGGAACTCCATGGGATCCCCAGAGTTCCACAGAGCAAACCGTGGGACCTGACCTCAAAAAACCCTGCTTGTTTTAACATACTCCTGTTTTGCCCTCCATGCATGATAGGTAGCTGACATGACCAGAGATCTAGGCTGGTGGAATTTTAGGGTCTATTGATCTGCTTATGGCAGCTGTGAGTCTAGAGCTTAGCTCTCTTTGGGGCCCCAAGTAAGAAGGCATCCGGCCCTCCCAGCCAAAAATGAGTTACTCTAGCCCTGGGACTCTCCTCTTGCCTCTTGCGGCAAAGCTGTCCCTGTCTTTACCACTCGGTGGCCTAATCCCTCCCTCCACTTTCCCCTCTGGGGAAGCAGAGTAAATAGGTGAAATCATGTGTGAAGCTTTCATTAAGCCCATAAAATGATTTTAAGCATCTCCCATGTGCAAGGGAATGTGTTGCTCATTAGACACAGTGGAGTCAAAAATCAATGCAACACAAAGACTCAATCCTTACCCTCCAGGAGTTGATGGCCTACAGACTAGTAGAGGAGCTGGACAGGTAATGGTGAGATATGACACAAGATGGCCAGGACTGTCCGAGAGATGTCAGCCAAGAGATTCACGGGAGAAGGGCCCAGGGTGACCAGCTCTTCCTTGGTCAAGCAGGTAGTCAGGTGGAGGACAGAAGAAATGGTGCTCTGGAGGGAGGAATGGCTTGTGGGGAGAGTGTGGCCTATTCGTGGCCAAAGCAACAAACCTGCGTTGGGGGCAGTGGTCATCTATACCGTGAAGGGCATAGCCTGTATGGAGAGGCATTTGAGTTTTTGGAAAAGGGAACCATGTTGGGCTTTTAAGGAGTCAGGAGCTCTTATAAAATTGTCTTGGTTTCCTGGGGTAAAGGGGAAAGGTGGGGTTGCCAACCATGGAGGAGCCATCGTAGTGAGACAGCAGCCTCAGTCACTTCCTCCTGAGGCAAGGTGCAGGTGGCTTCTCAGCAGCAGAGACCCGGAGTCAATTTGCATACAAACCTAATCTTTTGTTTGCCCCAACTCTTAGGTCTGTCTACACAAGCCCTCTGCTCCAGACCTTATCATTCCCTCTTTTGAAAAGGAGGATGTTATCCCATGGAGATGGAGGAGGGCTAATTTGGCCTTGGGGGAACGGGGTTGTCAGCTACATATGGGAAAGGGAGGAAACCAGAGACCATTAGCTTCCTGAGGTCTTGGGGAGTAAAGGGATAGATGTGCATAAGATCTGCCCTTCCTGCACATTCAACGGTGGTTTCTCTTAATACTAAAAATGTTTTGCTAGACCATAGAGACTCAAGCCCTCTGCTTTGGGCTCATCCAGGTTCTTAGATTTGTGCCTCCCTTCCCCTGTGCCCAGGTGCCTGTCCTGCGTGGAGAGTCCATACCGCTGCCACTGGTGTAAATACCGGCATGTCTGCACCCATGACCCCAAGACCTGCTCCTTCCAGGAAGGCCGAGTGAAGCTGCCCGAGGTAGGTCCCTGGCAGCCAGAGTGGTGAGTGTCTCTTGTTGTGAGCATGGGACACAGAAGAGAGGCATTCCCTTAAGAGGAGAAACCAAAGGAAAACTGTGCAGGACCACCCCCTTCTTCCTGGCTCTTAAGGGTCCACTTTATAAAAACAGGAAATATGCCAAGCTCTGTGCTGGGACTGTGGGTTCTGGATCAGCCCTGGAGGTTCTGTTACAGACAAAGGTGTATTCCAGGTCACTCCAACCAGAAGGATCCTCCACACACCAGGTGGGTCCTAGAAAGATTCCAAAGAGATGGGTGTGTTGGTGTGTCCTAGAAATAATTGTAAGTACACAGCAGGACTGTGTCCAGACTCCTCAGCTGTTCCTCAGGGCACTGTTCACAGAGGAGAAGTGAGACCCCCAAAGAGGGCAAGCTGAGTAAAAGGGAGAGAGATGAGAATGAAAGAATGGTCAGCTTGTGAGCTAGAGCGGTGGTTTTCAAAGCGTGGTTCCAAGACTAGCAGAATCTGCATCAGCTGAGAACTTGCTAGAAACACGAAGTCTTCTGTTCCACCCTAGGCCAACTGAATGAGAAGCTCCGGGGGCAGGGTGCAGCAACTTGGGCTTAAACAGGCCCTCCCAGTGGCTCTGATGCTCGGTCCAGGTTGAAGAATCGCTGAGATACTGTTTGGCTCTAAGGCTAAAATGTGACTTTTCTATTCCCTCTGAATTTTTATTCTTCTTGAACACTCATCCTCACTGTACCAAAAATACTTTCTGCCTATGCTGTTACCTGTCTTGGAATGTCAGAGTGTGGGCAAGGACTTCTGGGATAACAGGTATACCTCTGGAAAATTCTGTTGTTCAAACATGACAGTGTTTCTTGCACTCTCTCAGCCAATATTGGACTCAGCAGGCTCCAGCACCTTCACCTGCAACCCCTAGTCTTGCGTGTATCTTTCAGACCCCTTTAACACACCACACAGGTGTCATGACCATGTGGCCAGCCCCACAGCTGTGAGAGAAGGGACCTGTCCAGGTGCAGGAAGCATAGGGGATTTGGTGGGGGGAGGGGGGCAGGAGGGGCATTGAGAGAACACACAGGCCCATCAAGTGCCCTCCCCATCCCAGACTCATACCCCACTAAGAATCCTACCTTTGGCCAAACCCTCATGGGAGGAGAGAAGCTGTTTATTATATGAGGCTGAAAGGGAAGGTCAATGTACACCCCACACTAACACCTGCTGCATGGGGGCTCCCATAGCACGGTGGGTAGTGACTGCACTGTGCTTAGCCATCAGAAAATCCCGGCCCAAATCCCGTTTTGCCCGAATCCTGATGGCTGAGCAGGAGTTCTACAGGTGGACAGTAAGCAGGGTGATTGATTTTAGAAGTAAAAGCAAGGAGTGGAGATGTTGTCTGGAGAGAGGATGATCCTGATTGAGTAACAGACAAGGGGAGCAAACAAGAAAGAAAGAGTAGAAATTTGAAAACCTTCATTAAGATAATGAAATGACTTGGGGCCTTTGGAAGCCTCCACATAGCTCAAATGTTTTGATTGCATTTTATTCTTGGACCTCCTTGCTAGATAAAACCTTTGCTAGATACACTAGTCTGGAAAGCTGGAGAGAGGCTGAAAACCTTTGTCTCAGCTCCCATGAAGTTCCTTGCAAGTTTCAGACAGAAAAAAGAAGAGATTATGGAAGCCTCAGACACAAAACCAACTCCCTCTCTGTGGGAATCTGTTCATGCCTGGAAATAGCTACTATGGATTCACAGTCAGGAAAAGAGACCCTGGCTGAGATTGTCCCTTTATAGGGAAAGGGAGGAGAGTGGTTGCATCTTGGATTTTATGTAAGAGTGTGAATCTCATACTTATGTGTCAGTTCTCTACTTTAACAAAGACAACATGGATATAAAGGTAATAAGAATGAGGTGAGTCAGACAGCAAGGGCATGTCCTTGATAAAAGGCTGCACAGTCTCATCAGCCTGGCCAGGCCTGTCTCAGGGTGTGGTTTCAGGAGCAGAAGGACTGGTTGACCTACCAAGGCTGGGGACAGGGATGTGAGAAGAATCCTTTTCTTGTTCTGGTCTGAAACCTGCAAATAACTTGATGGGAGTTGAGACAAAGTGGTCCTCAGCTTCTCTCCAGCTTTCCAGACTGCCATATCTGGCAGAGGTTCTATGTGCGGAGAGGCCCAAGAGTAAACTGAAAGCAAAAACAATTGAGCTAGCTGGTGGATTTTGAAGGCCTCTAATCATTTAATTACCTTGCAAGAAGCTTTTGCATTTCTGCTTTTTCTTTCTTGTTTGCTCTTCTTGTACCAAATTTCTTTCTTTTAAGTATAGAAGAGGAGCCTCCTTCTGTTGCTCAGAAAGAGGGAAAAAGAACCAGAAGGGAATAAAATAAGGCCAGGCGTGGTAGTACCAGCACTTTGGCAGGCCAAGGTGGGAGGATCACTTGAGTCCAGGAGTTCAAGACCAGTCAGGACAACATAGTAAACTCTCCCCAATAGAAAAATATTTTTATTTTTCTACAAAAAATAAAAGTAAGTAAGTAAGTAAGTAAGCTGGGCATGGCGATGCCTGTCTGTAGTCCCAGCTACTTGAGAGGCTGAGATGGGAGGATTGCTTGAGCCTGGGAGATTGAGGCTGCAGTGAGCCATGAGCAAGCCACTACACTCTAGCCTGGGCAACAGAGCAAGATCCTGTCTCAAAAAAAAAAAAAAAAAAAAGAATAAAATAAGAGCCCACCATGTGTCCCAGGGCAATGCAGAGATCCCTTTAGAAGAATGATGGCTTCAAGCACCCAGACTCCAAGCCAGGTGGGAAACCCCTCTATACCTGACACAAGCAAAGACTGCTGGGGATTCACAGCATCTCAGAGGATGGGATGCCAGGGCCCCGGAGAAAGGAATTAGTCTGGAGGAAATGGCCGAGAGAAGGATATGGAGCTGTATGTACTAAGCTCTTGCTGCCATACTGAAATCCTCTCCATTTCCCATGAGCCATAGTATGGTGAGCCTGGCAGGCCATGGCAGGGAGGGGCTCTGGGGTAGTTTGGAATCGCCCATGCCTCCCTTATCACATGGAATACATTTTGGCTCCTCTTTACCTTGGATGTTTATTTATTCTAAGAAAAGGAAGCTCTAATGGGGAGCTTCTGGTCTAGGTTTGGAGGCTGCATTCTACCCAGCTCAATCCCAGGGCCATTTTGAATGTGAGCATAGAGGTGAACCAGAGTTGGCCACCTGGCGATGGTTGTTGTAGCATCTTCCTAGTGAATGTGGCAAAGAGGAAACAAGTAAAGAAGTATGTGTGGACTACTGACTGACTCCAGCCATTTGGGGTCAGTGAAAGGAGGTCATTGTCCTCAGAACTCAAAAGACAGTTCCTGGCTGCTAGTGTAAATATGAGGATTTTTTTATGTTGTTGTTTTGTTTTGCTTGCTATATTTTTACATTCTATATGTACTTATTTTAGCAATATACAGTCATGGGCTGCTTATTGTTGGGGATGCCCTCTGAGAAATGTGTCATTAGGCAATTTTGTCATTGTGCGAACATCATAGGGTGTACTTATGCAGACCTATGTGCTGTAGCTTACTGCACACCTAGGCTATATGGCATAGCCTATTGCCCCTAGGCTACACACCTGTACAGCAGGTAACTGTACTGAATACTGCAGCCAATTATAACACGATGGGAAGTATTTGGGTATCTAAACACATCTGAACATAGAAAAAGCATGGTAAAAACACAATATTATAATCTTATGAGACTTCTGCTCTATATATATAGTTTGTCATTGACTGAAACATCCCTCTGTGGAACATTACTGTATATTTTTCTGGGAAGATATAGTAGCAGGAGTAGGGGGTAAAAAAAAACTACCCAATTAAAAGGTGATTTTGTGGAAGCCCCCAGACACCTATGTCCTGTCACCACTCTAGGGGAAGAGCTTACTCACAGCACGATAATCTGAAGTTTTGTTATGATTTAACTCTTCATTCTTCATTACCCTAAGCATTTCAACCATACTCAAGGCATTGTGAGAGGTTTAAAGGTGAAGAAGATCTATGGAGATCTGTGTTTAGAGATCTGTAAAATGAGGCCTTTGGTCTACATCATCTCTAAAGTTCTGTCATTGTAAGTAGAAAGCAGCTGGAAAGCCCCCAAGATAAATCCATGCCCAAAAAGTGGTCAGGGGGGCTGGCGATTATAGAGTGAGTGTCAAGTCAAGGCTTAGGTCGACCACCTTTACCTAACAGGGTGACCCATACCCTCAGGGCCTGCAGTTCCACTGAACGTCCAGCCCAAGGCCCACTCTCTTGGAATGAAGGTATACCCAGGCCCTGGTGACTCTTCTGCAAATCTCTGGGGTTTTCATTTCCTTTTACCCTTTGAGTGAGGGGATGCAGACAGTGTCCTTTTGTTAGCTAACAGTGAGGCTGACAGGTGGCTTTTCATCTACCCGGCACCATCTTGCATCTCAGGAATGCTTTCATCTGTGCGTCTTCCATTTCAACAGTAGCTTTGTTGACTATCAGGGATATTGAATTACCTTTTTTTTTTCCTGAACAAAGAATGCGTTCAGGTGAAGTTATTGGACTGGAACAGAGAACTGGTCAATCATTGTTGTTATTATATTAATGGCAAGTATTCTACCATAATTACAATTATTAGAAATAGAATGCCCAATAACATATGTTGTTTATAGTAACTATATTCCAGTTACAAAGAATGATTTTGTTTCAACTAATGATGGCATTATGATAACAGCCCTGGGCCTTCAGATCAGCTGCCAGAGCCTTGGGTAGCCATTAACAAAGCCATGCCCACCCCTCTACTGAGCAGGAGCAGCCACTGGTCCCCAGGTGGTTTTGGAATCCATCCCCAGCTCCTCCACAGGCCAACCTGGACCTCCCATCAGGCATTCACACTTAAAGATGATGCTTGAGGAACAAAGGTGAACTTCCTTGCAAAAGCAAATCCATTGGCAAGAATTTGTCCTTGATGGACTATTTTGCTGTTTTTTCTCATCTAAACTGAAAAGCAAAGTGAGCTGCTGCTGAAGCTGTATTCTCTGGGCACCAGACTAGAGAGGCTTTGCAAGGAGGGCAAAGCACATCTGGCCCCCAGGTGTGCAAGCTCACCAAGGAGGCTCTCAGGAACGCCTCTTCTCTTGAAGTTCAACCAGCCTGCCTACTCCAGAGAATAGTTGTAAGATCAGAGGAGGCAAAATGAATTCTATTTGATTTGCAAAGCTGTGTTTGAAAGCTTCTCCCAACATCCCCTAATACCCCAACACCCCTGAAAAGAAATTCAGAGCCAGGATGAAATCCGTTATCAAAAGGATCAAGTCCTCTCCAGGACTGAAGAGCCGGCAAGGCCGAGAAAGTCCTAGCTCATGGGCTGCCGCTTGCCCCTGGTGCTGAAATAAGCCCCATGCCCTGAGACAGGAGCAGACCAAGGGCATTGACCCACCGACTGGACTCTGGAGGGAAATCACCAACCTACTTTGTCAGCAATTCTGCTTCCCTTCTTGCAGGGAAGGCATTCCTGGGATCCAACCCAAGGGAACCAAACCACCCCTGCCATGCCTTTCACCCTGCTGTGAAAAAAAAAAAAAAAAAAAAAAAAAAAAAAGCAAATCCAGCTACAGAACACGCTCCCCACCCATGCACCACCCCCACTCCAGGTATTCAATTACTGGGTTGCCATTCCTCCAGACAACTGCACTTTCCATCAATCTTGCCTGCCCCTCCCCACTTCAGGTTATGGGTATTTCCTTTTTATATTATTACTTTGCTCTCTCTATGAACCAGCCTGTCATAGATCACACTAATGACATTATAAACTTGGGGAACAGCAAGAAAATATATGATGCGTTACATTTTTGTATTGGGCACTGTGGTTCTGAGAAGGTGAGTATAAATTTGGAGGGTTGGTTGGGGTTAGGGCTGGCTTGTCTTTGGGACTGATGAAGGCTGAGGTGACTTGGACAGAGGAGAGGTGACCTGCAAATCATTTCTTCCTTAGCTTCCCCAGGTCCCTGTTCTTCCCTAGAGCTCTGTTTTCCCCAATCTTGCTGTAACAATAGGAGAATTAAAGCCCTCATTTTGTAAACACACTAGGGGCTATAAATTCAAGGGCCTATCCCCCCAGTCTGTAGGCAGCACCAGCCCTGAAGGCAGCCTTTTCTCTCCCAGCTAGGCTGCATTCTTTATGTCCTTGTTCAATTATTTAAATATGCAATGAAGCCTCTGTATAAAGCAGTCACTAACGTGCTGGACATGGTGGATAGAAAGTCATCATTCTCGCTTTTATACTTTGGCTTCGTGTTCCTGCCCTCTGCAATTAGCAGTGCGATTTGTATTTTGTGTGCATTTCAGTGGAGACCAAAATGTGCATGGGGCTGGACAGTTGACCTGGAGCTCGCTGGAGTCACCTCCTGAATGCCAGGCCTTTAAAGGTGTGCTTGTGCCTCGAGCTGCTGCCACTTCTCACCCCCCTGCATTCTTAGAACTGCAGAATGTAGCCACAGGCAAAACAGCCTCCGAGGGAGTTGGGTTCTTTTGGCATGCATGTGTCTCCAAAGAATCTTATTAAATACAGGTGTTTTCCATCCTCCAAAAGCTGGCCCTTTCAAATCATAGTTCAGAGATACGGCTTGCCTCAAAAGAGAAGGGCAGTATGTTTTTGAGGAGTTTTGGGTGGAAGCTGGATCATCATCTGTGGATAAAGGTCAGTACGGTGATTGGGTGAAAATACTGTGCTCATCATTGCCATGGGCAGAGTGACGTAAACGGTGTCCTTAGTGTCTTTATCTAGAACATAGGAGTGATCTTATATGTGTTTGTGCATGTGTGTCTGTGTGTGTGTCTGAAACAATATAGCACATGGAAAATATGTGGAAGGGGATGGAGGTAGTGGAATGGACACTGAATTGAATGCTTGTACCAAGTTAACCATGTTAATTAGAATCACAGCAGTATCCCATGCTGCCTATCAGAGCCAGTTGCTCAACTGGACAACCATACCAGGTTGCAACGTACCAATTATTAAAATATTAAAACATGTCCCTGCTGATAGGTGAAGAGCCGCCCCTTGGAGGCCCACCTCCCCCATGCCTTCAGTATTCATTCACTGGTTTGCTGAATGCCACATTTTGAGCTAGTTTTGCAGGTATTATTATCCCCATTTTAGAGGTGGGAAAACTGAGCTTCAAAAAGATCATACAATTATATATTCCAGATTATCAGCTATTAATAGTGGATAGAACTGGGACTAAAAGGAAAACAAACCGTTCTTCTCTATGCTTAACACAATAGCAAATGCGTGGGGCTTTTTTCTACACCAAGCAATTCTCCAATCCTCTGCAGAAACCACTTGGGTAGCCTAGAACTCAATTCATTTCTGACACTACCTGCCCAGAGTGAGCATTGGATCTCACAAGTTAAAGGGCTGAGTCCCAAAAGACTGTCTCCACTTCAGATGCCAATTGCAAATCTGAGGTTGTCACCTGCAGTTCTGACCCACCAGTTATAAGTCAGGGGCTCCCACAATCCCCTCCTCAGATTGGATAATTTGTTATAACAGCTCACAAAACTCGGGGAAACATTTACTTACGTTTACTAGTTTCTTTAAAAGGGTGTTGCAAAGGATACAGATAAACAGCCAGATGCAGCAGTGCCTACAGCAAGGTATGGGAAGGGGCATAGAACTTCCTTGTCCTCTCTGGACACCACCCTGTCAGCATCGCCACCTGTTCACCACCAGGGAAGCTCTCCCAACCCCTTCACTTAGGGTGTTGATGGAGGCTGATTTACATAGGCATGATTGATTAAACCATTGCCCACTGATGGTTGAACTCAATCACCAGCCCCTCTCCCTTCCCCAGAGGAGAGGGCTGAAGTGCCATCCTCTAATTACATGTGTGGATCCTCTGGCAACATACCCCCATCCTCCAGGAGTCACCTCATGAACATAAACTCAGGTATAGTGGAAAAGGGCTTGCTGTGAATAACAAAAGATGCTCCTTTTCCACCAATCATTCAGAAAACTCCAAAGGTTTTAGAAGCACCGTGCCAGCAGCCAGAGGAAAAGACCCAATATATATTTCTGATGTCACAATATTCCAGGGACTACACAATTCATCGAATCCAAACCAATCCCTTCATTTTATGAATAAAGAGACTCAGAGGGTTTGAGGGGCTTGCCCAAGGCCAAATGGCTGGCAGATCTCCTGTCTCATAGCACATGGAGCATGCAACTTTACAATGTCACTTCCCAGAAGTGGAGGCTGCTGTTCAGGGAGCAGTGGCCAGAACTGGGACCTCCCTGCCAGTCCCCCTTGTGTTTGGGACACTTAGAGCTATTTAAGTTAGGCAGAGTTATCCTAAGATGTGAAGCCCAGAGGAGTGGAATAAGCTGGGTGGGAACTGCTGGGGTATTTGCAGAAAATTACATGGAGGCAGGAGCAAGGGAGATGGGTCTTTTGGAAATGAGGTGGAAAAAGGGAGCAGATGAGGGACAAGACGCAACCTGGGTTGGGAGGAAAGAGGAGGAAAGAACAAACATTTGCTGAATGTCCACTCACCCCGGACCAGACGCTTTATATGTGTTAGTTTATGGAATCCCCAAAATGGTCATTTGGGAGAGGAATTTTCAGTCCCTAGTCATGGTTAAGCCAAGCAATGGTGAGAGCACTTGTTCAAGACTCTGAAACTAGCCGAGGAGTGGGGAGACAGACTTGTTCTCACAGTTACAGGATTCCCAGCCAGACTCCTGCTGGGTGAGAAGCCTTCAAGGTGAAGATAAAGGTCTGGGTGCCCTGAGTCCCTGGGCCATGAAACAGGGCCTCGGGCTCACATCCTGGAGGAACATGAAAGTTTATCCGAAGTTGCCCTGGAGTGTCAGATCTGTAGGTGATTTTGCATCTGGAATCTCAGCGCGGGGCAGGTCAGGATCTGGGATGCTGGGGTGGGAGGAAGGGGCAGGGTGGTGGAAGTGGTCCCTTCATGCCTTGGTGCCTAGGGAGAAATTGCCGTTTTACATTTCAATTAGGAGGGACACTGGGGTCAATCAGCAGCGCCACTAGAGGAAAATGTGCCCAGCCCAGCCCTGGGCCTCTCCAGTTATTATTAATGAACTTACTCTCAGAGCTGCCAACCTTTTTATATGCAAACTAGGCCTTTATGGGGCTACCGATAATCAGGACTCATTAGAGAACTCATCACAAGCCTCACTAAGAATCTTACAGGGGACGTGGGAGACAGGTTTTGCTGCTCCCCATGTCTTGGACAAGAACAGTCCAGCCCCCAGGCAGGGTTCCAGCCCAGCTCCGGAGGGTTTCACAGCTCCGAGTCCCCTGGACTTCAGGGGGACCCCTGCTGACTGACCAGCCCATCCTGAGGTGGTCCTGCCCACTGGTGGGAACTCTCCTGTTTCATGAAGGGCAGAAACTTGGTGACTCAGGCAGTTGGCATCTGAGTTCTTCAGCTACCAGCTCATCTGCTGATACTGAGCCCTTCTTTCTGCTCTCCTTGCCTCAGTTTCTCCTTTGCAAAATAGATGGGGTCCATGAGGGTAGTCAGAGGATTCTGAGATTCCCATACCCTCAGGGCCTCATTTCTCAGTGGCAACATGTGGATGGCGGGAGGTGGTGGGAAGAGATTCCAGGGCCTCCTGGCTCTCACTCCCAGTGCGACCAGATCTGATTCCCTCCAGGGACTGTGGCAGGAGAGACAGTCAGGCTCCTTGCTGCTTCAGGGGAGGGAAAGCTGCCCAGGGCTCAGGCAGAGGGAGGGTGGAGTCTAGTGGAGCCTGGACTCACAGCAACCCCATTCTCAAGGATCTGCTCTCCTCGAGCTGCCAACATCACTCTCCTCCCGCCCCAGTTCTGAGCTCCATCATTTTCACAAATCGCTTCTTTCCTCTGTGTGCCACATTCCCACCTTGCTAGAGTAGCGGCTGTGGTGGGGGGCACAGGATGGAGCTGCTAAGACTCTCCCCAAGTGGCTACTGGCGTCTCCAGAGACCCACACACTGTAGAGCCTCAGACCACATGCAAGGTGAAGGCCAAGACCAAGGCCCCTGTTCTCTTCCTGCTGGCCCGCCTGCCTGCTGCTCCTCTTCATTGTTTTATAATTGTGGCAAAATACACATATCATAACATTTACCATCTGAACCGGTTTTAAGGATATAGTTCAGTGGCGTTAAGTACATTTCACATTGTTGTACAGCTGTCACCACCATCCCCAACTGAGGCTCTGTTCCCATCAAACAACTACCCATCCTGCCTCCCCTTAGACATCACCATTCTACTTTCTGTCTCTATGAATTTGACTGCTCAAGGGACCTCCCACAAGTGGAACCCTGCAGTATTTGCCATTTTGTGGCTGGCTTATTTCACTGAGCATAATGTCCCCAAGGTTCATCCATGTTATAGCAGAGTTTCCTCCCTTTTTAAGGCTGAGTAATATTCCATTGTATGAATAGGCCACATTTTGTTTACCCATTCATTCCTCAGTGAACACCTGGGTTGCTTCTACCTTTTGGCTGTTGTGAATGATGCTGTTGTGAACATGGGTGTGCAGATTTCTGAGTCCTTGTTTTCAGTTCCTCTGGGCACGTAAACCCAGGAGTGGAATTTCTGGATCTGCGGCTCCTCTTTCAGCTGCCCTTCAGGATAAAGGTGTGAGCAGCCTGTAGGGGTGTGGGAGGAGGGATTAGTTTAATGGGCCTGGGGCACTCCCATGAAACAAGGCTCCACTGCTGGTCCATCTGTGGACCATGGTCTTGCTCCTCCAGCTTCCTCTCTGTCTCCTAGCTTCCCTTATAGCTTTCTCTCTCCCTTTCTTGCTTCCATTTCCCCTGCCTCTCTTTCCCTCCTCTTTTCTGGTTGGATGATCAGAAAGGATGGAGAGAACAACCACTCCAAATCATGGAATCATGATGAGTTAAGATGGTTAGGGCCTTGGAGTCCCACTCAACTGATAGATAAGGAAATTGAGTTTCAAATGGGCTGTGATGTGCTCAGAGTTCCAGAGCTCATCAGCAGCTCACGGGTACTAGAGTTAGTTCAAGCCTTCTCCCTCTGAGCCTAAGTCTTGTTATGGTGTAACTCGCAATGGCACAGGGAGATATTTGGCTCATGTTTGCTCTGGGACCTGGGAGGGACAGCTGCCAGTTGCCTAACTGCCTAGAACCCCTCCCTTCCACCATTTCCCAGTGGCTTCCTTTCTGCCTTACTCTGCTGAGGACAAGTGTTAAGGTGCGGGGTGAGAAGCCTCTGCTGAGAGTTGGTGGTGAGCCCATGACAAAGCACCATCAGAAAGAACACGTGCGTCATGCTTTTGATGATCAACCTGCCCAGGAGCCATCTGTCTTGGCATGCCCCAGACAGTGCCACAGATGGAGGAATCTGGGGGATGGTGGGACCTGCCTGGCACAGGGGATGCCCAGGCCATGCTTGTGTTATGGAAGGCTTCACGCCTGCCCACATCCATCAGCAAGAGCTAGAATACTGACTCTCCTCCACACAGCTCCTGAGAATACAGCAACACACCAGCTCCTACCACTCAACTGGGCAGAGCACCCACCCTCCTTCTTCTGACCTCCTTATGTCCCCAGCCCTCCCTGGACAAAGCTGATAGCCCCAGGAAAAAGGGGCCCAGTGATTCACTGTCTCCATCCCAAAGGCCATCTGGGCTCCTGTGGCTCCAGGGCTAAGTGTGCCCATTGCTAGCATCCAGAAAGAGCTCAGAGTGTTTCTACTCTGAGAGGCATTTCTTTGGGGCCAGGACATCCTAGAGCTTGGTCAGAAGCTTTCTGGATTTATGAGGCCTCTGGGGCCCATTCCAGAACATTCTCAAACATCAGATTCAGCCCATTTAGGGAAGGCCCTCCCAGCCTCCCTGCGGCAGTCAAGACTCACATTCCAGGGGCAGAACAGGGCCCAGGGCTTTGCCTCTCTGCGGAGCTTCTCACATGGTCTGTGCATCCCAATTCTTGACAGCCTGGAACTTAGCAGGCAAAGAAATCATCAGTCCCCAGTGGGAGGGGAGGCCTAGCCCGCAGAGGCAGTCTCTACTAGGGTAGAAGGGTGCCAGGAGGAGGCTACAGGAGTGTCAGAGAATCCAGATTGCATAGGGAAGGTTTTCATGGAACCCAAAGAGGGTGGGGACCACCTCAAGATATGACACTAGGACTTCGGATTCCTCAGTTTCATTTCTGTCCTCAGTGCATTGCCCACTGGGTGGGCACGAGCACCTCAGGGGTCGCCTGTGGGTGTGTCCATGGAAGGGTGGAGACAGGGAACATCCGGGTTATGTCTGCAGAGGTCCTTGCTCATTTGGTTTCCTGGCTGCCCAGCCTGAGCCATGCCCTCTGTCCCCAGGACTGCCCCCAGCTGCTGCGAGTGGACAAGATCCTGGTGCCCGTGGAGGTGATCAAGCCTATCACGCTGAAGGCCAAGAACCTCCCCCAGCCCCAGTCTGGGCAGCGTGGCTACGAATGCATCCTCAACATTCAGGGCAGCGAGCAGCGAGTGCCCGCCCTGCGCTTCAACAGCTCCAGCGTACAGTGCCAGAACACCTCTGTGAGTCGCCCAACCCTGCCCACTGCCAAACCAGGCCCCAGTCCCACCCACATCACTGTTGTCTTCTAGGAGCCAAATCAGCTCAGCCCTGCAGTCGTTTCCTCAACACGCACAAAACTGCCTACCTGCTTCCCCCATGCCTGCTGGCACATCCCAGCCCCACAACACCTGCCCCAGCAGCGTGCTGGGTTCTGAGGTCACCCAGGGCCTGGCCCTAGTTGTAAATGTTTTGTGATGAAGGTTGTCCGTGTAAGACAGGATTAGAAGGGATATTGGACCAGCCGTGGAGCTGTGAGCCCTGTTTATGGGCAGACGCTGGGCTCCAGGTACCTTCATGTCCATCCTCTTTCCTGAGAAGCTCTGAAAGCCCTGCGCCCTGCCTTCTCAACAAGCCCCAAAGACATCCCACCACCTTCACACCTACATAGAGGCTGTTTCTCAGCAGAGAAGGCTTCTGAGACAGACCAAGCATTGGCAGGAGGAAATAACAAATGGGAAGGAGCTGGCTAGGAGAGCGCTGCTTAGATCAGCGCAAACCCTGCCCAATGTGTGGCAAATCCACATTAAGCCCAAGCCCTATCAATGAGTAGTCAGCAGCCCCCAGGCTGCCGACAGCTGTCTACCTAATTCCTAGGTACCCCACAGTGAACCCCACCTGTGTATCACCTTTCCTGACTTCCCTTCGCACCTGCCATGTTGCCTTTCCAGCTACTGCTCTGGTCTCTCTCTTTCTTTCTGGGCTCCCTTCTTTGTGCCCAGATGCTCAGAGACAAACACTAGACACATAGATTCAGAACATTTTCAAGTCATAGGAACTTTAAAGTTTTTCTTCACTGCACAAAAGAGAAAGTAGAGGCCTGGAAGCAGGGGCAGATCTAGATTTGTGGGGTGAGACATACCATTTGGAGACCTTCTTTAAGACCAAAATATAATAAGTACAACTTAGATACATAGGCCTTAGAAGGGGCTGAGTGTGCAAGTGTAGGCCCAGAAGCTGAGCTCTATTCACTTTGGTGTAATGCACCCCAAAATGTGCCAGAAGGTAAGTGACTTGCTCAAGGTCACACAACTAGTGAGTGGCAGAGGTGGTCTGGATTTGAGGACCCCTCCTATGTCACACTGCTTCCTATGTATTCTTCTAGTTGCACCTGGGCACTTATGTGCAATGTCTGTATTTGGAGATGTGATGTGCGACCAGGAGAGTCCCAGACAAAGGATTTCGTGGGACACTCTACTCTTCCTGCAGGAAGTAGTCCAGGGGGAAATGGAGCTCAGAGAGGCCCACACACTTGCCCTAGGTCACTCAGCATTACAGGGATAGAACTGGTCACTGCTCTCACAACCTCTGAAACCCCAGAAGTTGTCCCCATGGCATCCTGTGTGCCCATCCCCCTCCTCCCCTGGCTGCCAGGCTATTTCTCAGATTTCTGCAGCACTCCAGATTAAACCTGCAAGCAAAGGAGATATGAAACACCTCCTGTTTCCCCATAAATTCTGAGTTCAAGCAGATCAGCCCCAAGGGTTTGGCTCAAGTCATTCTCTCCAAAACAAGACCCTCCCTATAGAAAGAGACCTGCATCTGGGTCTCACATTTGACTCTGCAGAAGGCTGGTGAGGATCTGAAGCTGTGGGGAAAACAGCCTTGTTTCTTGAGAGAAGCTGACCCAAGGATCTGGGGATGTCAGGAGGGTGGATAGAGCCTGTGGGCCTCAGATGGCTGTGCCCAAGAGAGGGACACTAGTGTCATAAAACTGGGCCCCATGGCCTGGCCTTTGGTTGACTCCGTTAATAGACAAAGATACTCCAGACAACAGCATGAGTTAGTCTTCTAAACCTCTTGGTCAGAAGATCCCTTGTGCCCTGGGGACTAACTTTAGCTTCCAAGAAGCTCGCTGGGACCCTCTGCCATTCTATTGACTGCCAGAATTGGAAGTAGATTGTGTTGAAATGTCCTCAGCATTTCCCAGGCCGAGAGCTGCCTGACCAAATGAGTCCTTAGCCATCACAGGGAACTCCCCGAACGTGGGTGTGAAATCAGAGCCTCCTGGGAACAAGAGCACAAACAGGGTCTCCGCAGCACCAGGCAGGTGGGTGCTGTCTCCTCCTTCATGGTGTCCCCATGGGGTACCTGGAGCTGGCACCATGGTCGGCACCCATGGGAAAAGGAAGGGAACGGCTGGGCTCCAGTGTGCGCACAGTCTGTCTGTCGGGTGTTGAATCCTTGGACCTCAAGAAATCAGCAAGTGACATAGCTCCTCCCCTGGGAATTTCACATCTGGAAGCCTGATGTCCCAGGACACAGTGGTCATTTCTACTTCCAGCCCCTGTTGGCATTGGAGCTGGAGGCCTGGAAGCTGCGGCTCCCTTCACCAAGAAGAGAACCTGATGTTGAAGCTCCTGGCTCATGCCCTGCCCCCAACTCAGGACCTGAGGAGGGCTCCTGCTGCGCTCTGGCCCTCTGGAGTTCAGAGCTGCAGCCTCTCCATCCACCATGGGCCAGGTCTGGGTGCCCCCCAGGTCACTGCTTCCAAAGCAGCTCAGCTGACTTTGCCTCCATGACTTTTTAATTTTGACACCATTAGTTGTAGGAGAGGTGATTTCTCTACCATTTTAAAGTCTAAGAAAGAAACTGAGGCAACAGAAGGTGTGCCCCTCAGACAGTAGAATGCAGCCCTTTGCTTACTAGGACACACTGGAATCACATGGTTCAGGAGGGCTCAGCTCTGACATTTCCTGGGAGCCTCTCTTTTCATGGGGGGCAGTGGAATCCCAGTTTAAATGCTGGTCTGGGTCAGGTTGCTTCTTACCATCAAGCAATTTCCATCAAATATCTTTGGGGTCATGATCGGGGCAACCCACCCCCACCATAGTTACAGAAAACAGGGTACCATCAGACAAGAATAGACCTGAGAGGGTATCTACTTAATCCTGTTACAGATGAGGTCTCCAAGGCCCAGAGAGGGCAAGTGACCATCTCCAGATCACACAGCAAGTAAGGCACAAATTCAGAACTTGAATCCAGTTTCATAACACATCCCCTAATCAAAGGTTGAGCAAAGAACAGCAGCGAAGGGCACTTTCTACCCCAGCTTTGGTGTTATTCCTGGGAGTACAGTCTGATCAGCCTCAAAGAGGATTGTGTGGAAGGACAAATTTTTTCATTTCCTAAATCCATGAACAATTGGAAACAGCCTTGGACAAGGGATCTAACAAAGAAATCCATGAGTTTGTGATGGCAGAAGGAGGTGGGTGATAAATTGGTCTCAAAGGAGAGCAGAGAAAAAAGAAGAAAATTCAGTGTGGGAGTGACACTGGGTTGGGGTGGTGGAGCCATTTCCAACCCCATTATGCGGGGACAGGCCTTGAGCCAATGGCTGCAGCCCCCAGGAGCTGGTGGGAGGAGGACAGGGCAGACTCACAGGCAGCAGTGGAGGGGAAGCAACTGTGGGTATTCATGGCCTACTTTAGACCAATGCTCTAGGAAAATGTCAAGTGCTGCTAATAATAGTGCGTGGCCACCAGCTCTCGGAGGCTGCCAATCATGCCAGTGAGGGGGCTGCAAAGGGCATCTGGCTGGCTGAAGTGCTGGTCGTGAGGGCCGGGGCCAGGCCCAGCTTCCGCGGACTCATGCTGGCCTCTGGTTTTCTCTTGGCACCGTCATTTACCACGTGCAAAACAGGGATAGGGAAGCAATAGGAAGAGAACTTGTCCCCTTTCTACTTTACTGGGACATGGCTGAAAAGGGGTCAGCAGAGCCCTCTGGACTAGAGATGGACACAGTGTACATACCAGCTTCTTGTGTGGCATTAGGTTGTTGAGATTTGTTTGCCCAAATGGCAGAACTTTCCGGCAAAATATCTCAGATCTTGGGACAAGGGACTGGCTGGAGGAAAGAATGTCTCAGTTATATCGAGGTCTCATTTTTGCTTTAGAAGTAGAAGCTGAGGTTCACACTTTCCCAAGGTAATGGGGAAAGTCATCCATTAGCCCCGCATGGTGTGCCAGACCTTGATTGAGACACTTAACCTCCCGGCCTCCAGGAGCCTGGAGCCTGTCCTCCCTGGGCTCTGAGCTTTGTGCAGATTAACTGCCTGCTGATTACAGAGAGCTATATAAATGCTAAGTGGAGTGGAGATAGGGCGATCCTGGGGGACGGGAGCCCGTGGTCCAGGCTCCCAGCTGTCTGCAGAGGCAGAGAGGCTCCATCTGCCATGCCCACCCCTTTCCCCTACCCTGCCCCAGGCACGTTGCAGGTCATCCACAGGAGAGAGAGCCTCCAGGAACAATGGAAACTTCCCTAGAGACAGAGCGGGGCTGAGGGGGAGCACATGGGGTTAACGATTTCTCTAATAGTCATTAGATCCCAGGATTGGGGGAGAGAAAGAGAAAGAAATGCCCAGCACATGTGATCCTAATGTCTTTTTTATTTTCAATTTCTTCAAAGAGAAAATTTATGCTTGCACACATGCGCACACACACACACACACACACACACACACACACACCAGAAAACATAAGCGTTCTCATATGTATACATCCCCATACATATTAAGGGTCTGGCACAGAAACACTCAATGCATGGCTGCTATTATTTTTCTGCACAAACATAAACATAGGCAACACGAATATAGTTTTGCATAGCATCCCCAACTGCATGCACATAGACTAAAATACGCAATCACATTTGAGCGCTTAGACTATATGACAGATACTATGCTCGGAGCATGCTGTGCATGATCTTGAATCCTTATGCCAATCCAAGGAGATGTGTACTGCTTTGAATTCCCACTTTACCAATGGGGAAACTAAGACTTGGATTATCTGCTCATTTCACACAGCTGGTCACTGGCAGAACCACTTTGTGGAACTGTGTGTGTCTGTGTGTCTATGCGTGTGTGTGCACTTATGGACATACAGATAACATGGAGATGTGTGCTAACGTCTCCTCAAGTCAGCATGCACATAAACACGTTTGAGTACACAGATGCTCACATGCATATGTATGTAGGATTCTTTGCCTTCCTTTCTGTGGGATGTCAGGTCCTTCCTGAGAGGGGGCATGAGGATTTATTGATTTTTGACTAACACTCCTGGTCACCACCTGCTGCTTCTACTTTGTGTCTTGGCCAGACCTAGGCCTGAGAGCAGAAGCCAGGCTCCCATCTTGACATAGCCACTGTCAGCATCCCTCCTACAGGTCAGAGCTCAGCCTGCCCCAGCACTGCCTCTAGGTGATCAGATGGTGCTCAGCTTGGGGTGAAACAGCCAGCCCTGCTCAGAGCCATCCAGGCAGCAGCTTGAAGCCTGGTGAGATCACCTTTCCCCACTGGGACTTTCAAGGAGAGAGATGGGAAGGATGGGAAGAAATTGAATGTGGCTGGAGGAGGGAACTGGAAGCCTGGAAGTTCTCTCTCTCTCTCTCTCTCACACACACACAAACACACAAACACACACAAGGAAGGAGGGCATCCCTCTCTTATACCCTTCTCCCTCCACTGGGGCAGTCATCTGCCTCCCTACTTCTAATAGACTGCAGGGATTCTCTAACTTTAACCAGCACCGGAATCACAGAGTAGCTCTCAAAATGCTCCTCATCTTTAGAGATTCCAGTCCGGCAGATCTGGGATGGGCCCTGGAATCTGCATTTTAGTAGGCCCCCCGGGTGATTCTGCTGAAGGAATCCATAGACCACTCTAAGAGCCACCAGTCTAAAGTGGAAGAGGTTTTCAGGACAACTTAGGACCACCCAGCCTGACCCAGCTGCAGAGACAACCTCTGGGGAGGTGATGATTGAGTTCTATGATGATCAAAGTTTCCACTGTGGTTTCTGCAGGGCTAGGAAACTTTGCTTTACTCTGTGAGCTCGGACCCTGGCCTTGGCCCGGGTGCCATTGGTCAAACGAGAGATTCAACGACGGGGGTACGTTGCAAACTCCTCCGTTGTGGGACAAACACCGAACCTAGCTCTCTGGCCCTGGCACGCGTTGCCAGGGAGGAAGTTAGAACTCTGGATGCTAGGGCAGAGCCAGGAGTGGCTGGAGGTACATCCCCCCGTGGTTGCTGTATGAGGGCAATGTCAAGTCACAGTCTGTTCTCATGGGAGCACATTCCGTAACTCAGGAATTTAGGGCAATTTTCTGCATCGAAGATTAGAACATCTCCTTTAGAAGCTCCTACAAATAGGGTGCAGACCTGTCCCTGCCCAGAGGCAGTAGCCCTCTGAGATTCTTCCCAGATGTGTTTTCCCATGTCCTGTGGCCACCCTCCCTGTCCATGAAGGTGCCATGGCCAACTTGGAGGACGGAGCCTCAGTGGCCTCCTGTGATATCCATCAACATCCCCCTAGCCCAGCCCTCCAAATTTTTAATTCAAATTAAATTTGAATTAAAACAGCCTGTAGGTCCTGCAAACACAGCTTCAAACCTGGTCCTCTGGACTAACTTCGTTCAACAAATTGCCAGGCCTCAGCCCCTCCCATGCAGAAAATCTGTCTCAATTCCATTCTTCCATCCTGCCCCTTGTGGCGAGCAGAGTCGGCTGGAATAATGAGAAAATCACCAGGTAGGGGTTGGAAATTGCTGCCCAGGGTGGGCTCTAAGTTCCCTCTGCTAACCCTCTTTCTCTGGAGACTGAGAGGGGTCTGCTATGGGAAGGCAGACTAGGGGCCATCATGCCTGGGGACTGCCCCCTCCACCATCATCTTCAAGCCAGCACCTCCCTCTTCTCTCCACCCTCCACCTCCTATCTCTCAGCCAGGTAGGGGAGCAGGACCCTGAGGAGCCCTCCGAGGACAGGAGCACAACAGGAATCTGGGCGTGAGCCTGGCTTTGAGCTGGTGACTGTCTGCAGCATCCAGGCCCAGATTTCCAGATTTGTCCTCCAAGGTCCTCAGGATTTCCCCCGTCACCAACAAGCTCCCATCTAGTCCTCTTCTCTCTTAACCCCCAGCCTCTCATCCCCCTAGGGTGTAGCTCCTTCATTTCTTAGTCTCTGCAACCACCGCCCTGCCTGGGAAGTGATCACCCCTCCCCAGGTCTTTGGTAAAGCATCCACCTACCCTGGACATTTCCTGGAAATTAGAGTTCCCCAATCTAATTGCAGACTTGGGAGGGCCTAGGGACCAGGGTTTCCCTGGGCAGCCAGAGAGGAAGTGGACTCCTCCCTCGGTTTTACCTCTCAGGAAATTCCAGGGGATGGGAGCAGGCCTCCTGCCTGAGACCCACAGGAGATGACCTAGTGGCTTGCTCCCATCTGCTCCTTGAGCTGGCATCCACAGGGGCATGCTTGGAGGCCTGGCCCACCCCTGTGTTATCTTCCACCCCCTCTGATATGCACTTCCCTGCCTGTACACACATGTGCATGTGCATACTTGTATGCACACAGGTAGACACATGCACACAAGCACAGTCTTGGCCAGTCTTTAGCCTGTGAGCTCTTAACGGCCGTAGGCTGATCATTTGGGCCCTCTCTAGAACTCTCTGTGACCCCACTTTCTTCTTTCCTCCTCCCCGACCTGGCTGCAGTATTCCTATGAAGGGATGGAGATCAACAACCTGCCCGTGGAGTTGACAGTCGTGTGGAATGGGCACTTCAACATTGACAACCCAGCTCAGAATAAAGGTGTGGAAGGGCTGGGGCCTAGCAGGGGAGGGAGGGGAAGGGATGGGGTAGAGAGGGAAGGAGCCGTCCTGCATTCTCGCGGGAGTCATTCTGCCCCCGCCTCCTAGTGGCTGTCCCTCTCCCTCTGAGCCCCTCCTTCACAGCCTCTCCACCATCTGTGCTTCTAGGTTACTTCTTGAGCATGGGCTCTGTAGAGCTTGACCTGGGCTGAGGGCTTCTGGTAGGAGGTGGTGTGCAGAGGACTTCCTGGGAAGGGCTGCTGAGTGCTGAGTGAACGGAGAACCCCAGAGCTTCCCATTTCAGTCCCTCTGCTCAGGCCTGGACTTTCTTTCAGGTTCTTTTTTGCATCAGAATGGCTAAGGGGGCAAAACTGCCTTTGTGCCCCATCACCCCAGGCTGGCACTGCACTCTTTGTCTCTCTCTGGGCCCCTTCTGTCCCCACTGCCATTCCCAAGCACCCCTTGTCCTTGCCCTTCCCCTCTGCAGTTCACCTCTACAAGTGTGGAGCCATGCGTGAGAGCTGCGGGCTGTGCCTCAAGGCTGACCCAGACTTCGCATGTGGCTGGTGCCAGGGCCCAGGCCAGTGCACCCTGCGCCAGCACTGCCCTGCCCAGGAGAGCCAGTGGCTGGAGCTGTCTGGTGCCAAAAGCAAGTGCACAAACCCCCGCATCACAGAGGTAAGCCGGGGTCGGGCCTCCTGCTCCAAATGGGCAGGCTCCAGGCTGCTGTGCCACACCCTGTGGAAACTCTGCCCAGCCGTGGTGTCGGTCACCCAGTAGTCACTGGGTGGACTTGGTTGCTCTGCCTGGCTGGATGGCACCCTAGTTTTTCTTCACGGCTTCCCCAGAAGCTTAGGCTTGGATCAGAGACTCTTTTTGGGGCTCGACTATCCTCAATGAGGGGCCCAACTGTCCTGTTGGAGTCTCTGAGGAGCTGTGTCAAAAAGGACTCAGTCCTCGCCAGCCCCTTCCTTTGTCTCTAAGAGCCTCGGTGGCAAGGCCTGAAGTTCCACCTTTGGCATCCTCACCAAGTGTCAACCCGTGATTGGAGGTGGCATGGGTGTTGGGGCACAGCCTGGCTCTGGGGAGGTGAAGAAGGTCACAACAGAGAGGTCTTTGAACTCCCCCAAAGCAAGCCCTGAGCTGTAAGATGGAGCACAGTTTAGGGGGACCAAAGGGACACAGGCCATGGAGCAAAGACCTGGGGGAGGAACACGGTGAAGAGCCAAACACGCAGACACTGGGTCCCAGAGAATAGGGTTTGAATCCAGGCTCCACCAGCTGTTTGCTGAGTACCTTGGGGCTAAATCACCAGTATCTCCACACCTCACCTTCCTCACATGTGCGGTGGGCCTGAGCGTCCCTCTCACATGGGAGCTGGAAGGATTTCACACGCACCTACAGGCAAGGTACCTTGCTCTGGGCCCAGCTCATGGGGATCTCACCAGCCTCCTCACTCATCATCATTGGTAAAATCATTCCCAGGGATGTCTAAGCCAAGGAAATCACTGCCCCTGGAGTTCATTTAAGTAGTCCTGTCTCTTCTCCTCCCACTCCTGCACTCTTCCAGCAAGGCTGGAGTCCCTTGCTCCCTCTTAAAATAAAAAAGAGGGCTGCATCTCTCTCTCCACATGCTCCTCCCCCATGGCACCATGTCATCTGTGGCACCATGGCATCTGTGCCTCCAGCTCAGGGCTGAGCACACAGTAGGTGCTCAATACCTCTTTACCACTGCGGATGCTGGTCAGGATTATGAAGCAGCAGGAAGAGGGAGAAGGAGAGAAGACAGAGACTCAGTCTCTGCCTCAGTGAACAGTGAGGACGAACTGGTACCGGGCTTTGTGCACAGTTTCACAAATGCACACAGTATATGATCACTTAACAGTGGCAGGCACAGTCATAGGCCATATATTTGTGTGATGCCTAATAGTTGCACCACACCTTTACACCCCTTACCTTGTCAGTCCAAACAACTACCTGTTCTATTAGGGTCCCAGGGCTGCCGTCACAAGGTACTGCAGACTAGGCAGCTTGCACGACAGAAATGGATCGTCCTGCCGTTCAGGAGGTAGACGGTCAAGATCAAGGTGTTGGCAGGGTCGGTTCCTCCTGAGGGCTGTGAGGGAAGCATCTGTTCCCCATCCCTCTCCTTGACTCGGAGATGGCCATCTTCTCCCTGTGTAGCTTCCCATCATCTTCTCTTTGTGCATTCCTCTGTGGCCAAATTTCTTTTTCATTAGATCATATTGTACCAAAGCCCATCCTAATGGTCTCCTTCAAATTTGATTGCCTCTCCAAAGACCCTGTCTTCAAATAAGGACACATTCTGAGACACTGGGGTTAGAACTTCACCCTGTGACTTTGATGGAAACACAATTCAAACCCATAATGTCTCCCAAGGCCAGGGTTATCATCAGGTTATTATTCTCTTCCAGACAGAGGCTAATGCTCAGAGAGGCACACATACTCTAACCAAAGTGTCAGTAACATGGTCCTGAATCCCAGATCTCCTGAGTAATGTTCTCCTAGGTTATTGTTCTCCTCCACTACAATGGTGAGACTTCATACCCCCACTCACAAATTGTGCACGTGCACCAGGGATGTGTGAAAGCAAGAAGATTCTTGGCTTTTGTGGGCCTCCTACACATTTGTGTGTGGGCTTTTGTGGGCCTCACCCAGCAAAGCAGCCCCTTGGGGTGGCCCTCAACATGTGCCCCATGCTTCAGACCCTTTATCTTCCACATTCCTGGCTATACAGGCTCTGAGAGTTTCTCTCAGTCCCCACTTCAGTCTTTTGCATGGTAGGAATCTAAACAGTGATTCTCAGACTTGGAGGAAATATTTGCAGAATTAACCTACAGAATGATCTGGAATAGGAGGACAGGTGGACCTCTTCTCTCCTCACTGCCCCTGACCCCATACCTGGGCCCATGTCCTCCCTTCCCAGTCCCCACCGCTCACCTTCACACCTGCTCTGTGGAACGGCTCCTCCCAGAGCCCTCAACAAGAAACCAACCCAGGGGGCTGCTGCGCATGGCAGTGTGTCTGGTGCCATCAGTGGGACTTGCTTTCTTCTTGGCCTATGTCCAAGAAAATCACAGGGAGGAGACGGCAAATTAAACATATCTCCCTGTGACAAAGGCTATTTACTGCCTCCATACTGGTGTTGGCCCTAGGGGAACCTGGGAAACGAAGGAGTGGGCCAGAGATAAAACTCCTTTTTCAGTATGACAAGCCAGGGCTAGAATATCATGGAGACACTGCTGCCAGATGCCAGTGGCACTTTGGGGACTGGCTAGGCAGGCATTTGGGAAGAACACAGACTCTCCCTCTGACCTTCCCCACATCTGTCCACCTCCCTCTCATAGAAATGGGCCTGTGTCTCCAGGGAAGCTGTTTTTCCACTGCAATGGGAATATACTTATGCACAGGCTCACACCCCTGCACACGCTCACTCACAATCACACCAACCCTCACGGGGATGTGTAGGAGGTGGGAGGTAGCTTGACTGTGGCAGGTAAGCAGTCTCACCTGGAGAAGCTGCCACTTGGTGGGGAGGGCAGCACAGCCTAGTTCCTTCTGCTTCCCCCATCTTTCACCCTTACCCCAGGATGGAATTCCCACTTGTGGCCCTGCAGGGTTGAGGAGAGTTGGATATGCTGAAAAGGGGTAGAGATGGACTCTCTGGGCTCCTTCCATTCTAATCCTGCTGACATTGGCTAAGGTCCAGGTGCTGGTGCTCATAGGCACCAGGAATGGAAGCATGCCCTTCTCTGGTCCATGAAACGCCAGGATGAGATTGTGTTAACTGTACAGCCCTCACCTCAAAGCAGGCACTTGGATGCTGAGTCCTCACATTTTAATCATGGGTTTTTGACACTGATTTAGGAGGGAAAGCCAGTACACTTTGACCTGTGTACGAGGGTAAAATTTAAATTAAACCTAAATCTATGTGGTACCAGGCCAAACAACAACGGCAAAGGAGTTGTGACAAATGCTCATAGTAATTCCGGAAAGATGTTTGGACAGTTGTAGGTTTTATCACATGACAACGCAAGACATAAAGATGGTTACTGAAAAGCCCACAAGGAGGGAGACAGACCTGCTCTCAGAGACTCAGGATCGGAGGAGGAGGGGGCTGGGAGTGGGAAGGATGAAGAACAGGCACAAAGAATTGTTGCCATGTAAGTGGCACAAAGAAGGTACCTTGGAATTTAAATGGAGAGAGAAGAAGAACACAGGGTTATGGGGCAGTGTCATTTGAGAAGGATCTTGAGAGGTGGGTAGGGTCACATAGGTGTAGGGGGCTCTGAATGGATAGGAGGGGTTTTTATTTTCCTTGAGAGTAGAACCAACACAAGCAAATGCTAGAAGGCATGAATCCCAATTTTCTACGAATCACCCGGTAGCATTGCTGGTCATGTTCCATCCTCTCATCTCTTCTATGAAATGGAAAGATGTACCATGGGCTTTGCATACTGCTCCTAGTGACACACACAAACATGGACTGCTTTCCTAGAAGCTACTACCCATTGATTACCGCAGGCTTTGGGTGCCCTTGGTGACTTCAAGCCACTCAGGGACTCTGGGGCAGATGAGACAAGAGCCAGCAGCCTCTCCTTGCCTCATCAGCAAGTGAGTGGCAGTATCTTGGTGTTTGTCTAATTATTTCTCTTCCTCCCTCCAGATAATCCCGGTGACAGGCCCCCGGGAAGGGGGCACCAAGGTCACTATCCGAGGGGAGAACCTGGGCCTGGAATTTCGCGACATCGCCTCCCATGTCAAGGTTGCTGGCGTGGAGTGCAGCCCTTTAGTGGATGGTTACATCCCTGCAGAACAGTAAGTGAAGCTGCATGCAACACAGGAGGAACAGGGGAGGGAAGACGGGTTAGTATTAGGGATGTCCTGGTCAGCAACTAGGTGCTCTCAGAGCTTGTTGTGGGGGAAAAAGGAGAACCACCCCAATATTTTAGAGTTGGAGGGTGGACTCCCACAACTCCCCGCCTGCTCAGTTAGCTAGCTGCCATATTGGGGAAAGTGTAGAGAGGGAAAGGAGAAATAGCTGAGAGAGAAAGGTGACTGTTACCTACTTGGGGCATAAGGCCGCATGGAGGGGAGACAAAACAAAATGAAAATCTGCAAGAGAAGTGTAAATCCAATTCCTTCTGCTGTCCTCAACTTCCCGCTCACATCCCCCCCAGCACTGATCCTGTGCTACTCTCTGTGGAGACTGACAATGAAATTCACACCCACTCTGAGGCTTGTGGGTGCCTTAGATTATTTTTCTCTTTGAAAGTCTGCTGGCCCACTGAATGGGTCATTCAGCAAAAGACCTTGACCTGTAACCCACCTAGTAGAGGAGGTTTGTGAATCATGCATGGCCTTGTAAATAAGTAAGCACCATTTTCCAGCCCAGCAAACACAACTATGAAATGTTTACCAGCATCATAGAATCTATATTCCATACCATCTTTGTTGCACTTCCTGGAGTGAAATCTTGTCACTTGTGCTGTATGCATAAGTTATTGACTCTTCGCAAGTCTTCCCCTAGGTATGTGAGTGCAGTTTCCATTTCTGCTTGCTGGGTCTTGCCTAGATTTACTAATTCTGAACCATCAGTACAGCCATCCTCAATTCCTCCTGATTTCCATGAGATCTCCCCAAGATGCTCACAGCAGATCAGATGGTTTAAGGATCCAGTCTTGGTAGGACTCACCTCTCTGGTCCATCACCACTTAGTTACCAAAAGATCTTTCTATGGCTCTTTCAACTTTCTGACACCTTTCTAGAACGAAACCAAACTAGGCCACTGCTAATATATTGTGATTTGGAGAATTTTAAAATATCCTACTTTGGATTTACATAGCCAGATATCAAAAGTATTATTATAAAGCCACATGATTAAAATATTGTGATACCAGTTAGATCAGTAAAGTAAGATAGAGGACCCAGAAAAAGAATGCTAATGCATACAAATTTAGTATGTAATAGAGGTGATATTTCAAATCACCCAAGGAAATACCATTCAATAATTGATGCTGGTTAACTCCCTGGAAAAAGTACAATAGCAGATCCTTATTCCACATTACACACCAAAATAAATTCCAGATGGATTAAAGAGTTAAGTTTAAAAAAAATGAAACTGTGAAAGGATTAGAAGAAAATGCAGGTGGAAATTTATTCAATTTCAAGAAGGGGAACTTGTGCGAAGTATAACAGCAACAGAGGAAATTATAAAGAAAAAGATTAGGGGATTTGAGTACATAAAACCTTAAAACTTGTGCATCAAAAATCATTGCAAGCAAAATAAAAATGTGAATGATAAACTGGGAGTATGGTTATACCCTATTACAGTTAATAAATACTTTTTCTTAATATATAAAGAGCTTTTATAAATAAAAGGCAAAGATCACAAAATGATCAAAGAGCATGAACGTACAATTTATGAGATAAAAAAGAACCGAAAGTCATACGAAAAATAAATGTTTAACAGCAGTAGTAATCAATTAAATGCAAATTAAAACAATAGGGAGTGGTTTGTGAAAGTTAATGCCTGGTGCAGGAGAGAGTCATGAGAAGTAGCTGACTCCTTCACTCATGGTGTAAGGGGAAATTGGGACAAACTTTCTAGAAGGAAATTTGGAAATGTGGGTTAGAAGCCTTTAGCCTGGCCATCACACATCTAGAACTTTCCCTAAATAACCAGAATTCACAAATATTTATTTTCAAGAATGTTTATTTCAGCCTTATTTATAATAGTAAAAACTCAGAAGTGATTTACATGTGTAAAAATAGGGAATTCCTCAGTTCAATAAATTATTGTATAAGCACTGGAAAGAAAACTACACAGCCATTAAATCTGATATTATAGAAGAATCATGACCAGACATATACTCAAGGTATATTAAGTGAGAACACAGGTTCTTGGAACACAGGTTACAAAGCATAATATAGAGTTTTGAATCAGTTTTGTAAAAGAAAAGCAAGACTGGCCACAGAAACACCAAAATGTTGACACTGGATATTACACATGGGTGCAAGGCAGCGTGGCATGGTAGGTAGGCAAGAGCTTGGACTTCACAAGGAGATTCCTGGGACTAGAGCCCTGGCTCTGCCACTTACTTACTGGGTGAATGTAAGCAAGTTGCTCAACATTTTATTTGTCTCAGTTTCTTCATTTATAAAATGAGGATAATAATGGCATCTACCCCATGGTCTTATGGAAAATTACATTCTGAATGGTGCAACTAGTGGGGGTTTCAGTATGACAAGTGCTTTTATGTACTTTCTATTTTGTTTCAAACACCAAACATGCATTAATTATGTGATCTGGATAGAAAGTTATTATTTGTTCAGGAACCTTACTCAAAAGTTGTTTCTAAGAGAAACATAAAACATAGAAGCCGTAAAGTTAAAGAACAACCAACTTAAACACACAGATACTTTTAAACTTTAGTGTGGCAAAAGACATTGGAACCACAGTTGAAAGATGACAAGCGTGGAGAAAATCATTGCAATATTTATAACAGACAAAATTAATACTCCTAATTCAGACAATCTATCAGCAAGAAAGAGGGCTTCAACAGAAAAGTCAAAGGAAAGGCTATATGAGATCTTAAAAACACACCCATGTGAAAATTTATGAAACCTCACCTGTAATTTGCAAAATAAAAATAAAAATGAGATTTTTTCCCCCATTATATTGGAAAAACCTTAAAAGGATTGTTCATATCTGGTGTTGGCAAAAGAGTGGGCCATCAATAGAAGTGCATGGTCCAGACTTCTTGGAACATTATTTGGCTCTACCTACCAAATATTAAATACACAAACCGACCCAACAGGTTCCTTCCTTAGAAATCTATCCTACTATACAATGCCTAAGGATGTGTGTGTCAGTTGGTTCATTTTGCAGAATTATTTGGAGTAGCAGAAAAATCAGGACAACTAAACGTTCATCAATAGGAAGATGGTTGTGTAAATGATAGTGCAATCATCAGATGAAATACTGTGAGGCTGCTGAAAAGAAAAAAGTCGAGCCGTGTCTACAGAGACAGGAAGGAAGGTCCATGCTATTGTGCTGAGCAAAAAACAGAAGTGTTTATAGCAGTGGATATGTTATGTTTTGCTTTTATTTTAAAAAAACACATATATCTTTCCTTACGTATGCATGTTTATAAGTGTAATTGTATATATGTAAAAACACATTTATGTTCATGTGTGCCTGCATATGAAATACAAATATAAATATACATATGTGTGTACGTATATATGTGTATATGTATGCAAATATATGTATTGGGCAAGTTGCCTAACTTTTCTTTGCCCCAGTTTCTTCATTTGTAAAATGAAGAATACATATACATATATACATAGATATATATACACATATATATTTATATATTATGTCTGCAAAGATACATACATATACACACACTTAACTTTTAAGTGTATATATAGTTTTAAGTTTTAAGAAGAATGGGGCACTCACTTTTTACTGCCATACTCTGTACTGTTTGACTGTTTGATTATTTTCAAAGGGTATAAACAAATTTTGTAATCAAAGCAATAAAAATTTTTAGAAAGGAAAAAGTTCACACACGCATACACACACATACACACACACACTCAATTATCCCCTCACCCAGCCTGGAGGCTGGCTGGGAAGCAAAAGCACTTCACTGAGGCAACCCAATCATCGGGAGCAGAAAGCTCCCAGGTGGGGACCAGAAAACCTTAGGTCTGTTCCAAGTTCTGGTTTGACTTGCTGCAGCCCTTGGGTAAGTGGCTTTGCCTCTCTGGACTCTGCCAGCCCTATTCCCTAAGGGTTTTGGCTAGAACATGCCCTCCAGTCTAGTTGACAACTGAGTAGATAATAATGAATTAGGGACTGAACATCTAGGGTCAGAACACAGGGACCCTCTTCTAGGCTCCCTCAAAGGAGATCCCATAGGTCAGTTTTCGTCATTGCCTGACAATTAAGGAGAAGCCCCTGCTAGGAGGAATTAGGATATCTTCCCCTTCCTCCCCTACCTGGCCATCCCTGAGATCCTACTGTGGAGAAAGGGACCTGGGTAGGTGCTGTGGGGTGCAGGGTCTTGGCTGGAAGTCCTGTGACCCATGGGATTTCTCCTATCCTCCCTGCAGGATCGTGTGTGAGATGGGGGAGGCCAAGCCCAGCCAGCATGCAGGCTTCGTGGAGATCTGCGTGGCTGTGTGTCGGCCTGAATTCATGGCCCGGTCCTCACAGCTCTATTACTTCATGGTGAGTCTTGGCCAGCAGTGATCTGGCTGGGTGCAGGCCACAGAGCTCATTACCATGATTGCTGGGCCCCTCTAGAGCTCTGTGAGCAAACCCAGGGCAAGGGCCTGCCCTGCAACCTCCCTCAGTTCATGAGACTCCTGTCTTATAGTGAGTGAGAGCACAGCCTTTGAAGTCTGGAAGACCTGGATTCAAATCCAGACTTTTCTGTGCCTGGCTGTGTGGTTTCAGGTAAGTTGCTTTAGCTCTCAGGGCCCAGAGTCCCCAGGTGGGTGCATGGCAGTGTGGCATGGTAGGTAGGCAAGAGCTTGGACTTCACAAGGCAACTCCTGGGATTTGATACCTGGCTCTTCCACTTGCTAACTGGGTAAATGTGGGCAAGTTGCTCAACATTTTGTTTTTGCCTCAGTTTCTTCATTTATAAAATGAGGATAATAATAGTATCAACCCCATGATCTTGTGGAAAATTACATCAATGTATTTATGACTTCTAGTATCATTTGTTTTATTATTTCTGTGGTTGCCACCATTGCTTCCATTTTCTGGCCTGTCCCTGCACACTTGTGGCCCATTATGCCATCCTATCTCCCTCACACTACTCCTTCACCCCAGTGTCTTAGTCTGTTTACTGCTGCTGTAGAAGAATGCCTGAGACTGGGTAATTGATAAAGAAGAGTCATTTATTTGACTCCTTGTTCTGGAGGCTGGGAAGTCCAAGATCTAGGGGCTACATCTGGCAAGTGCCTTCTTGCTGCGTCACCTCGTGGCAGAAAGCGAAAAGTCAGGAGACTGTGTGCAAGAGAGCAAGAGCGGGAGAGGGTGGAACTGCCTTTCATAACAAACCCACTCTTTGATAATAAACATCTTCCTATGATAGTAACATTAATCCATTCATGAGGGCAGAGCCCTTATAAACTAATCACCTCTTAAAAGTCCAACATCTCAACACTGTTAAATTGGGGATTAAGCTTTCAAGACATGACTTTGGAAGATGCACTCAAACCATAGCACCCACTCACCATTATCCCTATTTCATGACCTCATTAACCCCTGCCCACCTCTCACCTGCATACCCAATCCATTTCCCTCTACCCACACAATTGCCCCCACCTCTCACCCTACCACCCCTTTCCCCATCCCATGGCCTTTCTGAGGATCTCTCCCCAGTCCTTAAATTCCTTCCTGCCTGGAACCTCTCATCCCTTCAAAGGCTGCCTGACAAGTAGTTCTAGGGGACAGAGGCTTTTGGAATCTCTCAGCCTTGTGATTATGGAGATGGTGGAGACATAAACACATTCCCTGCCGCACACACCCATCATTTTAAAAACTAAACCTCTCAGATTAATGACAGCTGTAATGGTATAATTTCCTCATGATTCTGAGCTGCTTTTGGAAGCTGGAAGCCTGAAGTGATGGATTTTATGCCTGGCCATCATGTGCCCTGAAATATGTCATGGGGAGTTTGGCTTTCATTCTCCTTCCTCTCTGTCTCCCTCTTTCCTCCTTCTGCACCCCCACCCCTCGCCTCCATCTCTCTCTCCTCCTTTCCTCTCTCCCTTCCTTCCTTCCTTGCTTCCTTTCTCCCTCCCTTCCTTTCTTCCTCTTTCTTTGCTTCCTTCCTTCCTCCCTCCCTCCTTTATCTCATCTGCCTTCCTCCTCCTCCTTCTTCCTTCTTCAACTGACAGCCATTGATCACCTTGCACAATGCCTCTCACTAGATTATTTAATGAGTGCTTGTTTAATTGAGTTGGATTTTATGACTTGATGGTTCTGGCTGTGGGGGTTAATGGATGATGAATAAGACCCAACACAGCACCTCCCTCAGGAGGCCTACAGTCTAGAAGGGGAGGTGAAAGCAACTGAGCTCAAGTACTTGACACAGACTTGAACATGGTCAGGGCCAAACCTTAGAGAAACGTGAGTGTCGTGCCACACCATGACTGGGCCTGCATCTGCTCCACCTCTGCTCTCCGAGGGCCAAACCCCCTCTGGATGCAGTTGGCTGTCACAGAATGCACATAGGAATTCATAAAATTAGAAGAATACGCACATATAATGGGGTTCATGGACGAGTCATTTTCCTTATTTGTTTAGGATTTGTACCCACCACCTTCTCCTGAAAGCATGAGGGAATTTCCAAGGTGAACCCAATAGACATTAAGACAACTAATGAGAAATGTATATATATTTGTATATAAAGCATGCATATATATGTGTGTGTGTGTGTGTGTATATATATATATATAGTATATGATATAGACATAGAGACAGAGAGAGAGAGAGAGAGAGAGATGGAGAGAGGAGGGATGACATTCGCCAGGTATTTGCTAAAATTGGGCAAGAAATCTGGCTTTGAAATTTCCTGGCAGCCAAAGTAAAACGGGAGGAAACTGCTGCATGGCCAAAGCAAGCACTGGACTTCCTTGGCCAGCCACTGCCCAGAGCAGCTTTCCATCCTGAGGTTCTTGGCAGTGATCCTGAATGATAAAGTGGACAGGGCTAGAGCCACCTCCAACTTACTAAGCTGATGCTTCTTTTGAACCTTAGCTGCCTCTGCCCTGCTTCCCCAGTCAGGCCCCTCACTCCAGCGGCTCAATCAAGGCCACCATCACCTGGCTGTTCACTTTCATCTCCACTTGGCCCACCCAGGCTGTCAGCTCCCATAAAGAGTGCATCCTCCTCTCTTGCCTATTCCCATCAGTGATCCATCCCCTAGGCCTACAATCCTGTTGGGCTGTGGCTCAGCATCCCTTCATTCCTGACATCAATCCATCACCATGTCCCAGAGTCTTCCTTTTCCCATTCTGTTTGCCATCACAACGGCCTCCTTAAATCTTTCCCTTGCTTTTCTCTCTGAACCTGTTGTAATCCATCTACCATCATGTCAGCCGCCACCTCAAGAAGAGCCAAGGCTCCCCCTCCCTGTAAAACATTGCCCAGGCTCCTCTGTCTGCTTCCCCATTCAATCCTATTTTGCCAGCCTTTGCATGATCTGCCACCTTATCTTCTCTATCTCCTTCTCTTGGTTGCACGAGCCATATCCTCCTTATTCGTCAAAGTTGTGCTCGGGACCCAGTCCTCAGTCTGCGAATGCAGAGGCCTGAGCTGTGGATATCCACAGGCCCTGCACCCCACCCCATTTACTGGGACTCCAGACATCTGACTGCATCACACCGCTCAGTGGCTCCTCTTTGTGCCCTGCTCCTCGTCAAACCAGTCAGTCTTGGGAGCCACTTGCCTTGGCCTGCCACCTGCCCAGAGCAATTTTCCATCCTGTGGTCCTTGGCAGGGACCCTGGAGCACACAGTGGACAGGGCTAGAATCACCGCCACCTCATTAAGCTGATGCTTCCTTTAAGCCTCTCTGCCTCTGCTCTGCATTTGCAGCCAGGCCCCCACCCCTGAGGCTCCATCAAAGATCAGCTGAAGCCCAGGACTTTCTTTTCTTTGGGATCCCCACAGTGCATAGGCAGCGCTAAACCTCCGGACACAGGAGAGTCTCCTGGGGTGGGGTGACCATTAAACAAAATGCCCTGGACCTCTCCCTGCCTCCTGCCAGGACTAATTAAATCCAATGCTACAGATCCTGGGTAATTCTGAGATGCAAGCTGGGCTGAGGCCCCCTGACCTAGGAGAAAGGATGTTTCCTGAGTAGCTCCCATGTACCAATGCACTCAGCTCTCTGCTTTTATTCTTATAATGAGCCTGTGTGCTACACATTGGAAAGTCTCATCTGCCCTCAGGAAGGGTCCAGTCTTGGCTGTGTGATTGTTCCTACCCTGGAGAGGGGTGTGATTGAATTTAGGGTATTAAGGGAGACTTCCTAGAAGAAGCTGGAGGCAAAGATGGAATTTGTATAATACAAATAGAATATAATTTTCCATGTGGATCTGAAGTGGTGGGAGGCTGTTCCCAGCATAAGGTCTAGTGCACCAAAAGATGGGAACAGGAGGGAGAAGGAAGAAGGTGGGTGGTGAGCAGGAGAGACTGAAGCAGAGGCAGGTCAGGACAGATGACAGAGGTTGCCACAGGCAAATATGCATTGATCTGGTAGGTCCCTGAAGCTCAAAGATTTGTCATTTTTCTACTTAAGGGACATCTTTGAGGAATGGCTCTGGTGCCACATGTTCACTTGGGAAGACTTTAGGAAGGAGATAGTGCTAGGGACACCAGTCTCTTTCTCTGGCCCCTTGCATTTAAGGGTTGTGTCATTGAGGCCCACCCCCATCCCTCACACAGAGTTTCTAGGGATTCCAGGTGGGAGTGAGGGACAGAGGTCCCCATGAGTCTCCGCAGGGGGTTGAGAAGGGACAGAACCCCCATCTATCACACTTTCCAGAGTCTCCGAGCCCTCATGGCCTTCTCATCTACCAGGCAGCTTGCAGGTGCACTCTTTGGGCCCTACACAGAAGCCCCTAGCTCCCCTGGAGTTCTGAGACAGCCAGGAAGCTCTTTCCCCAGGACTTGGGGCATGTTGGGGAGACCCTTTTTAGTACCAAGGCTAGAGGGAAGATTTGTCCTCTCCCACAATCAGGCCAGACTCCAATTTGTGGGTTTATTCATCAAAAACCAAATGCCAAGACCAAGAGGCCCCAGATTAACACCCTGGGCTGTCACTAGCTGTTCCTAAAGGTCTCCATGCAGGGAATGCTTTCCCCCTTCCCTCTACCTCCATTCATGGAGCCAAGTGAAGAGGTGGCAAGTAATGCAGAATTTGATTTCCTGTGCAAACCCACCGTGAAATATTTATGAAGCATGGCTTGAATAATTAATAGCTTCTCACAACTCTAAAACATGTATCCATAACATCCTCTCCCCACCAGTGAGCCCCTTGATAGTGCCCCAGCAACACCTGCAGGGATTACTCACTTCTACCCCTTCTAAGAACCCTCACCCACAGGCTGCCAGGGAGCACCAACCCCCATCTATTTTAACTTCCCTGAGTTCAACTCTGTCTCTTTAGGACCATCCCTGCATCGAAGCCTGTGTGCACAATCTTCTCTCTCTCTCTCTCTCTCTCTCTCTCTCTCTCTCTTTCTCTCTCTCTCTCTCTCTCTCTCTCTCTCTCTCTCCTTTCCTTTCCTTTCCTTTCCTTTCCTTTCCTTTCCTTTCCTCTCTGGGAAGGTTGGTGGGGATACTTTAAGATGGGCACAAGTACCATTTGAAGAGGTACTGCAAGTTACAGAACAAGAGAACTGCCAGGAGCCTTGAAGATCACCACTTTTTGGCTCAGCCCCCTGATTTTGTTGATGAGAGAGGTGAAATGTCTTGTCCAGAGTCACACAGCGAGATCCAGGCAGAGCTGAGAAAGGAGGGCTCTTTCCACAGCCTCACCCCACCCTCTTCCTGGTCTCTGGTTGAGCCAAAATGACAAGCTATTCCTTGGCTTGGCCCATGTTACAGGGATACTAGACCTGGGATCCAGAGACAGGGTGCTGAGACCTGGTGAGGCAGGTCAGGAGCTGTGGTCTGCGTGTCTCCTCACCCATGTGCCCTGATCCTGGACCTGGAGGCGCATGTGCCAGGTGATAGGGAAGCTCTGGGGCTTCCCTATCAAAGCATCTCCAAGGGGAGGTTGTCAGCCTGCTCCAAGGAACTGAGAGGGTTCGACTTTTGGTGCTGAATTCTTTAAGGAGGAGGTAGCTGGGGAAGGGAGAGAGAAATCTTCATTTAAATGCAGATACAGGCTTCTCACCTGGGACTGAGGAAAGTTTTTCCATTAAAATGCTAATGAAAGAACAAACTGCAACTCCAAATCCCCAGCTGTCAAGAGCTTTTTTCTGCCCTGCCCCCAACCTGGACTCCTCACTGGTCCCATTCTGGCAGAGGGCTGGGGGCAGCCCTTGAAAGCAACTGACTCTTTTCTGTTTCTCTCTCTGAGTTTCCCTGGGGCTCTCACTTCCCATTGCTCTGCCACTGGGTGCTTTGGGCAGCTCTTTGTAGAGACCTGTGGGAGAGACAGTTTACCACCCAAGAACAGAGCTGTAGGTCAGAGAGGGGTTGAGAACTGGAGCTCTGGGGTAAGATCTCAGTTATGCCATTTTTTTTTTTTAGCTGTGTGACCTTGGAAAACTAGCTTAACATCTCTGAATCTCTTCTGTAAAATAATAATGCCTACTTTAAAGAATTGATTGGTGATTAAATTATATATATGTATGTGTATATAGGGATATATACACATACATGTATAATTATGAAGATGTACAATCTGACACTTAAAAAATAAGTACATGGCAGCTATTAGTATTACTATTACTAAGATAGGCATGCAAACTCTCAGGGTCTGGAACACTGCCTATCCACGCAAGCCTAAGAGAACTGCCCTGGTTCTCTGGGAGACCACTGTTACCAAAGATTCCAGAAGGCAGCTTGGGGGAGTGGGGTGCTGCCTCACGCCTGCCCAGAAGCCTCCTCCACCCCTTCCTGGTTGTGTCTCAGGCCACATCCTTTCTACACAGACACTGACTCTCTCAGATCTGAAGCCCAGCCGGGGGCCCATGTCCGGAGGGACCCAAGTGACCATCACAGGCACCAACCTGAATGCCGGAAGCAACGTGGTGGTGATGTTTGGAAAGCAGCCCTGTCTCTTCCACAGGTAACTCAGAGGGCCCCTTTCTGCAGCACCAGAGAGGGAAAGGTTAGACAGGTAAATGACTTCAGGGTAGCTTTGTTTTTATTGCAGAGAGTTGGGAGGGTGTAACCACCTGACAGGTTCTTCTTGCCAGCTGCACAGATAGAGCCAATTTCCTGAGACAGCATTATTGCAATAGAGAAAGAATTTAATCAATACAGAGCTGGCTAAATGGGAGATCGGAGTTGTATGATTCAAATCAGTCTCCCTGAAAATTTGGAGACTAGGGTTTTTTTAAGGATAATTTGGCAGGCGGGGGGTTAGGGAGTGGGGAATGCTGATTGGTTGGGTTGCAGATGAAATTGTATAAAGTTGAAATAGGTTTTTCTTGCTGTCTTCAGTTCCTGGGTGGGATCGCAGAACTAGTTGAGCCACGTTACTGGTCTGGGTGGTACCAGCTGGTCAATCAGAATTCAGGATCTGAAAAGTATCTCAAACAGTGATCTTAGGTTTTACAATAGTGATGTTATCCATAGGAGCAATTGGGAACATTTGGAATCTTGTGGCCTCTTGTTGCTTATGTGCCTCCTGAGTCATAATTTCTGATCTTGTGGCGAATTTGTTAGTTTTTCAAAGGTAGGCTCTCTGGTCCCCAGGCAAAGAGGGGGTTTGTTTCAGGAAAAGGCTGTTATCATCTTTGTTACAAAATTAAACTATAAACTAAATTCCTCCTATAGTTAGCTTGGTCTGTGCCCAGGAATGAACAAGGGTAGCTTGGAGGTTAAAAGCAAGATAGGGTCCGTTAGGTCAGACTTGCACTGTGATAATTTTTCTATGTCAGAAATTTTTGCACAGGTGCCACACTTTTTTGCAACAATTTTTGCAAAGGTGGTTTCAATCACCTTATGGCTTGGAAGTACTCCTCCTGCCTAACAAAGTGGACGTGCTCTTTGGGAGAGGATTTGGGCTCAGTCTGGAGACCTGTCAGCCCTCCCTTCCCTGGATGGGCTCCATATGCTTCATGGCCCATCAGTTAGCCCTGGTGCCCCCATAGCACCCACTCTGCAGAACCCTAGGTTACCCCAGAATGCAATTTGGAATCTACAACTAAAGCCCATTCACGAGGGTCAGATCCACTCTGGGAGCTGCAGAGCCAGCTGGACCTGCTCAGAGATGATAGGCACAGCAATCCAGTGGTTGAGGTTGAGCCTACAAGGCCAGGTGACCTTGCCTCCCCTGGTCCTACTGTGCAGCCCCAGAAGGGCACACCTGTCATGAACTGGAGCCTAGGGGGTAGGAGCAAGGCAGGAGGTGCATTCAGTGAAGGACTCTAGGCAATGTGGCTGGAGAAGCTCCCTCAGCTGGCCTGAGATTCTCTAGAGAGAGGATTTTTCCTTGAGGGAGCTACGCTGAGAGCTGTGACAATTCCCAAGTCAGACCTGGCCAGGCCTGGCATCAGTAGTGTTAAAGAAACAATTATTTATTCTGACACTTGTTAAAATGGCAAGGAAGACTCAGGACGATTGCAACTGATGTCAAGACTACTGCATCAGGGAAAACAGATGGGGCTCAACTCCAAATACTACAAAGACAGCAGGGGGTTTATAGCCAATGAGCAGAATAAGGGGCTCAGTGAATGAAAAATCACTAAGAGGATACATCAAGGTAGATGGACTCCTGCTAAACCAACTTAACGTGATTCTTGCAAAGGCAGGCCAGGGTGATCAGATGTCAAGTATGGGAGGGTTCTCCCCAAATAGACTTAGCCAGATTCTTGCTAAAAAACAAGGCTAGACAGGCCAAAGACAGACCCAGGGATGAGGCCTATTTGAAAAGAAGGCTCAGAGGAACCTGTCTAAAGTTTGGCCAAGGAGAGTCTTTGTCACTGGCTCTCCAGTTTTCTGTCTGAGAGCACCCACCCATGGCCTCTGAGCATCCTGACATGCAGGGAGCGGTGTGGGAGGGCCTTGACTCAGGACCTCTGTCCTCCTCAACACCAGGCGCCCAGTGCTCTGTCTTCCTGCCCTCCAGGCGATCTCCATCCTACATTGTCTGCAACACCACATCCTCAGATGAGGTGCTAGAGATGAAGGTGTCGGTGCAGGTGGACAGGGCCAAGATCCACCAGGACCTGGTCTTTCAGTATGTGGAAGACCCCACCATCGTGCGGATTGAGCCAGAATGGAGCATTGTCAGGTAGGAGCTGGCCCAAGCGGACCTTAATGCTTCTGCACCTCTGTTTCCCTTCCCTGACTCTTGAAAGCCAAGGAGAGTTCTGGGGGCCCAGTCCTGCTTGGGGGATGGATGAGCTGGAATTGATTCCAAACACCCCCAAATCAGACCTTCCTACTGTGGCTCCCTCCTTCCACTGAGAGCACCTCTGTGCCAAACCCAGCCTGGAGGCCAAGCTCCTAACAACAAGAACCCACCTTTCCCAGTTCAAGGACAGGCACTGTGCTGGAGGCCATGTCCCTATGCTGCAGTGACTGCTGGGGGTGCCAGGCTACTCTTCTCACTTCTGGTAGACATAGGTGCTAATCCTGGTCCCACCTTCAGGCTGAGGGGTGTGGAAGAAGGAGTTAGATCAGGCCTGACTACTCCCTGTAGTCAGGTTCCTTGGGGGAAGCTGTGTTCTGAGCCTGGAGGCCCCATCCAAATACCTATCCTCTTTGCTCCTGGCTGCCTGCTTATATTTCCCCTCCCCTCTGCTGTAAACTCCTCAAGGGTAGAGTTTAGGTCTTGTTCCTGCCCTTTCCCAGTGCCCAGCCAGATGCACTGAACACCTGTCTCAGAGGGAGGGGACCAGGCATTGAATGTTGGTATAGAAAGGCCCTAGGGCAGGGACTTGGGGACCTTCATTTACCTTGGGCAAATTGGTACTCTTCCTGGGCCTCTGCCTATTCAGTGATTCACCCAGGGATTTTGAAATCCCAGGATCTCTAGGGTCCCTGGAGTGGTATGTCTCCCATCAAGGGAGATGGAGTAGGCACACGGCATGAGTCTGCCTTTCCAGGCCCTGGCTAGCACATGGGAATGAGAAGATGCTACAGAGGGCACCCCACAGCAAAGCTCACAGAGGTCACTGGGAAGTCACTGTAACAGGGGCAGCGTGGGAAGGGTCTCAGCCCAGCTCCACTGCTTACCAGCCCAGTGGCCTTAACAGTTCTCACCTGCCTGGGGCCAGAGTCCCTCATTTGTCCACTCTCATAGGCAGCTGAGAGGCTGAAGTGAGATGCACATGCACAGGGCCCTGCCTGGCTCAGCCCCCTCCCGCTGCCCCCTGCTGGGACCAGGCTTCTCACTGTCAGCTTCAGTTCTCAGGGGTGTGGGGCTGGGGGAGTGAGCAGGAAGTACATGCAGAAGTGGTCTCCCCGGGCTGAGGCAGAGAGCAGGGATGTGTCCAGTCCAGGGAACAATCTTTTTTTAATCCAGGGATCGGCAAACTCCAGTCCGTGGGCTGAATCTGGCTAGCCACCTGCTTTTGTAAATAAAGTTTTATTGGCGCACAGCCATGCTCACTCGTACATGTATTGTCTATAGCTGCTTTCTCACTATAACAGCAGAGTTGAGTAACTGCGACAGGGACCATATGGCCTGTAAAGCCTACAATATTTACTATCTGGCCCTTTACAGAAAGAGTTTGCCACCCCCTGTCTTAAACCCAAAAGAAAGACAGGCTTTGCCTGCAGAGATGAGATTTGGCCGTCCTCAGCAGTTACTCTATCAGGCCCAAACCTTCTGAGCTTTGGCCATGACCTTAAGGCAGATGAAGACCAGAAGGCACAGAGAGGGGAAAATCGTCTGTAGAAAGCCATGCCAGGATTTGGCCCCAGGAAGTTGATGCAGCCCTTTGTGACTTAGTCAACAAACTTTGCAACTCTCTGCGAAATTCACAGCCTGGTATAATTCAGTTCTTCTTTGTGTCATCCTCATAGAAATAGAGGTGTCACCCTAACTGGCACTCAGCTGCCATTCCTGCATCATGCTCCCACTAGGAGGGAGGTTGGAGACAGACATGTTCTGGGTCTGCCAGCCAGCTCCAGGGCTTTTATTTAAGTTAATAAAGTCTGAGGATGGGGTGAGGCTCTGCTCTTATAAGCCACCTGGGTTACTTGTGAACAGTGATGGTGGGCATTTGATAAATGTGTGTTGAATTGGTGATTGAGAGGACAGGGAAGATGGCTAGACACCAGAAGGTCATCTCCAGCACTGTCTGTCACATGTGCAAGAGCCTCTCCGAGTTTCACAGGAATCTTACACTGTGTGTGCACGCACATGCGTGTGTGCGCGCATGTGAGCAAGGAGAGAGGGAGAAGCAACTGGCAATATAAAGACAGGCAGATGGATAGATGGGTGGAAATGAATGTGGGTGTGTGTGTCAAGGATTCTTTACTCATCAACTTCTAGCTAACTAACTTGCTAAAGCCTGTTTTAGATAGCAGGATTCTTCTCGAAGATGCTCCTTTGATTGGGGATCAGGCTATTTCTCATTTTTCTTTGAGTAGCCCCCCTGGAGGACACAGTCCACTACAGTACTGCCCACCCCTTTATGCCCACTTCTCAGCTGCCCTAAGGATAGGCACTGGCATCCAGGTTTCTTTTGAAAGGTTACACAAGATGAAGCTCCTAGGCCCTCCCTGTCAGCAGTCCTGTGCCCTCCCTCTCAGCAGTCCTGTGTCCTCCCTGTCAGTGGTCCTGTGCCACCCCAGGGTACAGGAGACCCGAGTCCAAAAGCATTTCGCACTTGCATTCACATTTGCATTCATGGACCCTCTGCCTTTCCCAGATCTCAGCCTGATCGAAGCCTCCAAGATAGAAAATTATAGAACGATTGCCCTGGGGGAGCAGACTGTGCTCAGCCCCTGCAGGATGTGGTGGGGACAATCTGGAGCGAGGCTTTCATGAGGCCAAAGCTAATGTTTAAAAAGTCCCAAGATTGGTGAGGACCAGGGGAAGGATGGAGGAAGAGACACCAAGGGGTTGCAGAGAAGCAGCTGGCACAAATCAAGAGGCCTTGGAGAGCCAAGGGGGCTGTGCTGTTGACTGGGCCTCCACGGGGGTCCATACTCCAAACAAACTCAGCAAAGGATGGCCACGGACATCTGGTCATTACTGCCCTCCCCTTGGCTGCCGAGATACTCATCCTTATTACTATGCAGTCAGCTTGTCATCCTTGTCCCCATGAACATTACCCTGCTGCCTAGTTATCACTGTCCTTATTGTCATAGCTCAGTCATCATTGTAGAGTGCCATTGCTCTTCCTGAACTTATCATTTACACATCTCCTTCTTTCTTCCTGCTCAGTGGAAACACACCCATCGCCGTATGGGGGACCCACCTGGACCTCATACAGAACCCCCAGATCCGTGCCAAGCATGGAGGGAAGGAGCACATCAATGTGAGTGTAGGGCTGATGGGGTTCATGGAGGCTGCCCATGCAACACGTTGCTTCCCCAAAGGGTGTGGGTCTTCCCAAGTACTGAGGTAACTCCCTGCCCATACACTGATAACCCACAGCCTGACACCCTTGAATACTAGGATAGTGGAATAGGGGGGAAGACATAAGGGCATTTTTACTTCTTGGGGTATAGACATGGAGGAGTAATTACTTTTGGGGTTCCCTGGGTTTTATACCTTTACTCTTGCATTCTTCCAATCCTAGCCATTGCCACACCCACTATGGGCAAAACCGGAGCTGGGTGCAAGCTATAGAGCCTATTCCTTGAGTGCCCAATTGTGTGGCCCTGACTCATCTCTAATCCTCTTGTCAACCCCTTGCTATCCCGATGACATCCAGGGAGGCCCACTATGTGCACTGGGGCTGTGGGTATGTGGAGATACTGCATAGACTCCACTCTGTGGCTCCTCCCACAGATCTGTGAGGTTCTGAACGCTACTGAGATGACCTGTCAGGCGCCCGCCCTCGCTCTGGGTCCTGACCACCAGTCAGACCTGACCGAGAGGCCCGAGGAGTTTGGCTTCATCCTGGACAACGTCCAGTCCCTGCTCATCCTCAACAAGACCAACTTCACCTACTATCCCAACCCGGTGTTTGAGGCCTTTGGTCCCTCAGGAATCCTGGAGCTCAAGCCTGGCACGCCCATCATCCTAAAGGTGGAGTGAGGGTGGTGGGAGGCGGGGGTGGGAAAAGAAGGGGCTGCTGCATGGAAGGGGGTGTTCAAGTCACAGACTCCTGCCACATTTCTCAACCAGCATCTCTTGCAGAGGTTGCAGTGTAGCCCAGAGTGTGATAAATGTTCTCTCTGAGTCTGTACTGGGAAGAAAACTCTCTTTAGGGGCCGGTTCTACCCAGGGAAGGCAGATCCACCTTGGCTATTTGACTCTCAAGCTTTTATTGTCCTGAAAGTCCAAGTACTGGCAGGTCAGGCTCACTGCTTCCTCTGAGGCAGCCTTGTGCGAACCACAGCATAGGGCTTCCTTTGGAACATGGGTTACAGGTTAATTAAAGCTTATGACAATTTGAATCAATTGGTAGTGACTGACTCCAACTCTGCATTGAGAAGGATTCTGAGGCTGCATTTGGGATAAGCTGAAAGGAGTACTTTGATAACTGATTAGCCACTGGGAGGAAGAGGCAATGGTGGTAGTCATGCCATGAATATTTTTTGCACTTATTACCAAAGGTGGCTTCTTCACCAGCTCACCAGCGGGATGGGACCTCCAGGTGGGAGGACATGAGAGCCAGCTGGTAGCTGTGGTCCTCACTCTGGGGTGGGAACTGGTGCTTTCCCATTTGTACAGGGCAAGAACCTGATCCCGCCTGTGGCTGGGGGCAACGTGAAGCTGAACTACACTGTGCTGGTTGGGGAGAAGCCGTGCACCGTGACCGTGTCAGATGTCCAGCTGCTCTGCGAGTCCCCCAACCTCATCGGCAGGCACAAAGTGATGGTGAGGCTGGCAGAACCCCATCCTGGATGGAGCGGGCAGTAGGGATGCAGATGTGAGCTCAGGCCACCAAGGCTTTCCAAGAGGGGATTCTGTCCCACAAAGAACTTTTCCTGTAGCTACCCCACACCCCAAGTTCTTTCTTCATGTTCACTTTTGAGCTTCTCTCTTCTGTATTGTCATTCTTTCCACACTGGCTGGTGCAACAATAAGGAAAATGCAAAACAGCATTAAATAGTTGCTAAATCACCTGCAACAAACAAAGCCTTCAAGGAGAAGGCTGTTGCTGGCCCAGGGAATTCCGTAATATCTTAATATCATGTTCTGTGCTTCAGTTGTCCACCCTTAGATTGGGCATAAATCTTAGGGGAGCCAGTCATTTGTGGCAGACTGTGTTTAGGTCCCAGTTGTGTGCTGTTTTCTTATGAAGATGACAAAACTCGCTCCTGAATAAGAGGAGGTGAGGTTTTTCCAGTTGGGGGTGAGCTCTGTTAAGCTGTGCCTGTCCCCGCTCCCAGCCCCCCATGCCCTCTTGTCTATTTTGACACCAGTGATTGGTCTCCTTTCCGTCATCCTGCCCTGGTCACTAGTTCATGGGTAACTTGGGACTGTTGCCAAAGCTGCTGCGTCCCCACACCCAGCTCCCTCTTGCCCTGTGTGCCCCCAGGCCCGTGTCGGTGGCATGGAGTACTCCCCGGGGATGGTGTACATTGCCCCGGACAGCCCGCTCAGCCTGCCCGCCATCGTCAGCATCGCAGTGGCTGGCGGCCTCCTCATCATTTTCATCGTGGCCGTGCTCATTGCCTATAAACGCAAGTCCCGCGAAAGTGACCTCACGCTGAAGCGGCTGCAGATGCAGATGGACAACCTGGAGTCCCGTGTGGCCCTGGAGTGCAAGGAAGGTACTGAGTGGCCCCATGCTGGAGGCCATGTGTGTGTGCGTGTGTGCATATGTGTGTGCATGCACATCTGTGTATGTGTATGCATATGTTTCATATACAAACAAGCAGGCTGGGCAGCAGTGGGCAGTGCTGGAGGCTGGCGGTGTGTGTGTCTGTGCGAATGTGTGTGTGTGCATGTGTGTGTGTGCACATCTGTATGTATATATGTTTCATATACAAGCAAGCAGGCCGGGCAGCAGTGAGCAGTGCTGGAGGCTGTATATGTGTCTGTGTGCGTGCGCATCTGTGTATGTGTATATGTTTCATGTACAAGCAAGCAGGCCGGGCAGCAGTGGGCAGTGCTGGAGGCTCTGTGTGTGCGTGTGCATGTGTGTGTATGTATGTGTATGTGTTCCATTTACAAGCAAGCAGGCCAGGCAACTGTGAGCAGTGCTGGAGGCTGTGTGCGCGTGTGTGTGTGTATGTGTATGTGTTTCATTTACAAGCAAGCAGGCCAGGCAGCTGTGAGCAGTGCTGGAGGCTGTGTGTGTGTGTGTGTGAGCACGCACGTGTGTGAGCACGCACGTGTATGTGTATGTGTGTCATTTACAAGCAAGCAGGCCAGGCAGCTGTGAGCAGTGCTGGAGGCCGTGTGTGTGTGTGTGTGTGTGTGTGCGCGCGCGCCTGTATATGTGTATGTGTTTCATTTACAAGCAAGCAGGCCAGGCAGCTGTGGGCAGTGCTGGAGGCTGTGTGTGTGTGCACGTGTGTGTATGCGTATGTGTTTCATTTACAAGCAAGCAGGCCAGGCAGCTGTGGGCAGTGCTGGAGGCTGTGTGTGTGTGTGTGTGTGTGTGTGTGTATATATGTGTATGTGTATGTGTTTCATTTACAAGCAAGCAGCCCAGGCAGCTGTGGGCAGTGCTGGAGGCTGTGTGTGTGTGTGTGTGTGTGTGTGTATGTGTTTCATTTACAAGTGTGTGTGTGTGTGTGTATGTGTATGTGTATGTGTTTCATTTACAAGCAAGCAGGCCAGGCAGCTGTGGGCAATGCTGGAGGCTGTGCATCCTACCTGCATACCTGCAAAGCCTCTCACTCTATAGTCCCTATGCCTGTGTCCCAGACCACACCCATACCCAAGCAGGCCCCACCCTGGCAACACCAGAGAGGCCAAGGTCTCCTTGCCCTCTCCTTGAAGGTGTAGTGATTAGAATCTCTTTTATGTGTGGCAGGCACACAGCTTTGAATGTTGGAGGCGCTTGGTGACTTAAAGGAAAGCTGCAGACTGATAAAAAGCCAACTCCCTCCTTCTGCTCCCTGTGGGCCGAGCACCCCAACTGGGAGGGGGCAGCCGAGGGGAGCTCCCACCCAGGATTGTCACCTTCACCCCACTAGAGCACCTTCACCCCACTAGAGCAGCCTCCATACCTGGAATCCTGGTTGAGTGGGTTTTGCACTCTACTCGAGGGGAGGTCTGGGGGTGTCTTAACATGACGCATTTCAGCAATCTCCAGCTTTCTTCCTCTAGCAGGAAGGTAAGGCTGTAGGGCTGATCTGTGATTTAGAAGGAAGGGTGTTTCAAAGCTTGTATTAAAAAAATTACAAACACCACCATAAAGTGAAATCAGCTGCACTAAATCCAAGAAGGAAATTTAGGAGTCAGACTCTTGTAACCCCCAGGATATCATTTTGTGACTCATCCTGGGAGGATCTGAGCTGGTTCTTTGCTGTAGATTTGTACATGGAGTAAATCCGGCCCCATACCTGGGGCTCTCACTTCACACCGATTCCCACCAGGGCAGCCACGGCTCTTTTTGATGGGGAAGTGGATCCATTCCATCCCCTCTCTACATCCTTCAGCTGTCAACACAGCATCCGCCTTGTGGGACTGTTAATTACTGCCTTTTATTATATTTACGCTGCTTAATTTTTTTCTCCGCAATGTACTCTTTCCTCTAATTAGGTGTAGTGATTAGAATCTCTTTTATGTGTGGCAGGCACGCAGCTTTGAATGTTGGAGGCGCTTGGTGACTTAAAGGAAAGCTGCAGACTGATAAAAAGCCAACACCCTCCTTCTGCTCCCTGTGGGCCGAGCACCCCAACTGGGAGGGAGCAGCCGATGGGAGCTCCCACCCAGGATTGTCAGCTGAGGCCCCAGGAGGAAACCTTGGCTTCAGACTTTAGGGGCGAGCTATGCTGTGCACGTAGGAAGAAGGGGTCTTACAGCAAAGGACTTGTCAGACTAGCCACAGAGGCACTTTGCAGCTTGCCCAGAGCCAGCCACTGAACGTTTACAGGGCTGCACTGGCCCAAGCCAAGGGGTCTCCTTGAAGACTTCACAGCAAGCCAGGACGTCCTCTACACAAACTCAGAAGACACCCAGCTGGGCCCTTCATGGGCCTAAGCTTCTGATATATAAACATACCCGTGTATTTACAAACACTCCCACACAGGCCCACACACCCTCACTGACATACACTCATGGACTCACACATACACTCACATGCACACATGCATGCACACTCACATACACTCACTCGTGCACTCACACATACATGCCCACACATAGTGACATGCTCACACACTCATGCTTTCACATACATACACTCACTGACATACACTCATGTGCTCACACGCTCATGTACTCACATTCGTACACACACACTGACATATACTTACACACTCACACTTGCACATGCATACACATGCACTCACATGCACACATGCATGCACACTCATACACTCACGCACTCAACTTGCAGGCGTGCACACACATGCCCACATACTCATGCACTCACATTCACACATGCGTGCACACATAGACGCATGCACTCACACATGCATACACACAGACATACACATGCACTCACATTCGTACTTGCATACACACCAACACACATATGCACACTCACACTGACAAGCATACACACACACTCATGCACTCACACCCACGCAGGCACTCACATTCACACACATACACACTCATTGACATACATTCATTCACATCCATGCACTCACATTCACACATGCATACACACTGACATTCACACTTGCACATGCCTACACACTCACTGACATACACACACACATGCAGTCATACACACTCCCTGACATGCTCACACACTGTCATACTCACACACTCCCTGACATGCTCACACACTGTCACACTCACACACTCACATACACTCCCTGACATACACACTCAGACAAGTGCCCATGCACCCACACCTATGCTCATGCACATGTTCCCACACTCTCTTATAAGCATACACACCCATGTTCCTCACTCAGGACACACATGAATGTTCCCCAGGGCTTTTGGTGACAGTACATGCCAAAAACACATGCACACACACATTGGTGCAGGCTCCACTTGGATGCATTTGGGTTCTCTACTGTTGAAATCAGCCTACATATCAGGAACCCCTGTGTCTGTGTGGCCAGTGTAGAGGTGCAGGGGTGCAGGGAGAGAGGAGCAGCAGGAGAGGCTGCAGAGGACTCTCCAGGTGGCATCCCCTTGGCTCTCTCAAACAAGCAGTCTTGGGATTCTCCTGGCACAGAAAGCCAAAATTTGAGGGCCTGAAGTCTGCTCTGCTGGGTGGAGCTCCACCCAACTCATGGGCAAGGGCAGGACTGGGGTCCCTGCAGACAGTTCCTAGGGTGGCTGCATTGTGTTTCTGTGATCATCACAGCTCACTGGGCGCTGGGCTTGCTTTTTGAGGCTCTAGAGCCACATTGGGCTTGTTCATCCCTTCTGAGTTCACAAAATATTTTCTCCCTATTTTTGAGATTATGTAAATAGAAAGAAATATTTTTTAATAGTTAATGCCCACTGGCTGTTCTTCTTTGCCAGCATGTGTTAATCCATCCTGGTGGTCCATGTGCATGCATGCACGTATATGTGTGTGTGCACACACCAAAGAGAAAGGCGGAGCAGGGAAGGGCTGGGTGCCTCACCCCTGAGTACCCCTGTGGCAGAGGGTGGCCCTGGGGGAGGATGTTTCCAGAACGGAATATGGTGACAGCTTTGGTGCTATGTAACAGCCTGAGGCTCTACTGCATGCTCACTTTCCTGGGGGTTCTTGCCACTCTGTTCATCTGGAGGCCTGAGCTGCCGCCACACACAGCAGTGCCCACATGCAGGTCATAATTCACCATCAAGTAGCATCACCTTGAGGAAGGAAGGACAAAGAAATACCTTGCCTATTTATACAGAAGGACTATATTAGTGTGGCTGAGCCTCCATCTCTGCCCCATTTGGAAGTTTGATGGCTCTGATGAGCTGCATGGTCCAGACTTGTGTCTTTAAACTTGTTTTCCTTTATCAGTTTTTCTTAACATCTTATAAGGAAATCTATTCTAAAACACAGCATCAGGAATGGACTCTTCCTCATGGCACCTCTCCCTTCTCTTACCCATCCCTCTACATCCCCCTCCCCAGCATATTTTGCAAACCAAAGCCCTTCATCTTCAGATGGGGAGTCTCTCCTGGCCAAGCAGCAGCACAGATCTGTGGACAGCCTCAGCCACCACCCCACATCATCACACTTTGGAAAGGTTTTAGCCCCAAGACAAGGTTTCTTGCACTACATCTTTCTCCCATGCTAATGCCATTCATTCATCCCAATCCCAGCTATGTAAACATAGCCTCTCCAGTTATTCCCGCCCATCGTGGTCCATTGCTCATGTCTCCTAGGGGCTTGGGTAAGGGTTCTGAGCATTCTGAGATGGAGGTGACTCCTGGAGCCTCCCCATCCAGCCATCTCACAGGCTTCTCTTCGTGCCAGCCTTTGCCGAGCTGCAGACGGACATCCATGAGCTGACCAGTGACCTGGATGGAGCCGGGATTCCGTTCCTGGACTATAGAACTTACACCATGCGGGTGCTGTTCCCAGGAATTGAAGACCACCCTGTCCTCCGGGACCTTGAGGTGAGAAGCAGTGCTCCATCCTGGCATTAGAGCAGGGGAGCGTGTTGGCAATCTTCAAGTCCAGCCCCTTCTTTCGGAGGTGAGAAAACTAAGGCCAGGGAGGGGACACAACTTGCCCAAGGTCCCCCAGATTGTCAGCACCAGTCCATCCCTCTGGAAGAGGTGGGGCCAAGCCAGGGAACCTTGGAGCAGAGATGTGAGTAGGGCTTCAGGTCTTGGAGGATCATGGAGCCCTTTCAGAATTGAATGGAAGTAGTTGATGACCCTCTCCCCAGAAAAAACTACATATGCACAGAAACAAGAAACACGGCAAATACATTGGGGAACCTCAGGGACCTTTGGTTAAGGGTCCATGAAGTAGGGGATTTGACTCACGTAGTTGGTACTCAATATATATGGGATTTACCACTTAGTGTTTAATTGGAAAAGGTAAACGATGTGTTGGGAAGTGGGGTGGAAATGTGAATGAGAAATCATAACCCTCTCTTCTACCAGCAGGGACCTCATCTTTTGAACACTTTATCCCACTTACTGTCTAGCATGGTATCTGGCTTAGGTGTCTATTCATATTATACTTTGTCCTGAAAGGGCTTTGGAATGGCTTACAGAGATAAATACCAGAGAAAAGTGAAAAATATAAATGAGAAAAGACCAGGACAGAATAATAATCCTGAGGAATAATCACTATGAGTTGACTATTACTAACATCTTAGCACAGTTTAAGCCCTTTGCATGCTTTCATTCATTTCACCTCCCAAGAAGCCTCTGAAGTAAGTAAGCCCATTATACAGGTGACAAAACTAAGGGGCCAGAGTTCAGTGGTTGCCTGGGACCACACAGCTGGTGGCGGCCAAAGGAAGATTTGAGCTCAGGCATTTAGACTTCAGTGTCTTTGCTTCCAACAACAGGCCTCTGTGCTGGACTTCTGGGGAGCTATGTCAGTGACCTGCCTTACAGCTTGGATGGATCAAAAATCTACAGCCAAAGCAACAATGCAAACTAAGATTAATTCCAAGATTTACATTGTCCATAAAATAAAAACAGACCCATCACTCGGGAGCTGTGTGGGTTTGCAGGTACCGACACCTGAGGGAATGTCTAAGTGGGCTGTCCAAGGGAATGTAGTAGGCTGTGCACCTCTGTAGCAAACGTGAGAAGTCCAGAGGGGCATTCGTGGCACACACGTTTCTCCATACTTGCTTGTTGCATGAAGCATAGGCTTGTGTGTGTTTCTATATTGAGGGCATGGGCTTTTCTATCTGGAGGAGGCTCCCTTTGGCTCCTCAGCTAAGAGATACCAAGAGACACTTTCATAAGTTGGAGGTGACGGTCTCTATGTCCTCATCGACAAGGCACCTTTTCTCTCTGTCTATATGTGTGTTTGTGTGCGTGTATGTGTGCATGCATGTGTAGATGTAGCCCGTGCATAAATAAAAACATAACGTGTATCCTGATACTTTTGTCTACCCATTTCCTTGATCTTGCTCCTGGTCTTTGCTCCTCCCCCAGTCCTACTCATTTTTCTCTTCCTTTTATTTTTCTCCAGCCTCACCTTCGTTTGCTTCAAATTACCAGGATTCTCTTAGGGCCCTGGAGAGTATACAAATTCCTGTTTAAAGTGAGACACAAGAGGGACAAGAAGATAAGACCATTGTGTGCACGTGTGTGTGTATGATTGGATGTGTAGACTGTGCATGTACCTTATTTATCTTTGTAGTTCTAACTTCCAGCAGAGTAGAGTGCCTGGCACATAATGGGCATGTGGGAAGTGGTAAATGATTGAATAAATGAATATCTGTGTGTTTGGCTGAATTAAGGTGGAAACGGGGGTTGTAGGACGGGAAATTATGTCTGAACATTCCCATATTACTCTGTGGATGGGATGGAGAATAATTTAAATAAGAATGCAATGAGGATGAGTATATAAAGTTATTCTCCTTTCTTCATGAGTTCAAAATTCCAAATCTAAGTAGGTTTCCTTTAAAGATGTAACTTTATTATTATTATTATTATTATTATACTTTAAGTTTTAGGGTACATGTGCACAATGTGCAGGTTAGTTACATATGTTTAAGTTGGATTTTCTGAGAACTTTTACTGGCCCGCATTAGCCGGGGGCTATGTGAGATCCAGCCTTCTATGTGAAATCGAGGGATTGTGTGTGGATCACTGTTTTTCTTATTTGCTTTTTTTCCAACCCCTTCTTGCCCCTGGAGTAGTTTCTCCCCCTTGGTGTTCTAAGTATGGAAACAAGCCATTGATTAATCCAAACCAGTGTTTCCCAGCCCTTTCAGCCACTGGGGTTCCTGCTTACCTCTGGAAGTGTGAAGAAGGAGGTGTCCTCTTGCTTCAGGCTGTCCTGGAGGGGAGGTCACCCAGCCCCCTCAAGTGGGGCTCTCTGGGTTAAGTCCAGGCCTTCAAGAAAGGTGCTTCCCAGGCACTGGTCATGTACCAACCTTTTAAAACACAGAGCAGTCAATCTCCCAATTTCAGTCTATCATTGGCTCCTAAACTCTAACCTATTGGGTTACAATTAAAATTTACTATCCAGTTTTATACTCACAGACTTCAACTAAATTAGAGAACCATCTGGTGAATAAAGAAAGTCTTGTTTCAGAGTAGCATTTGCTTGGGCTGGGGAGGGTGGCAGGCAACAGTGAGGAACTGTTTTGGACACTCCTGACCAAGACACTTCACTTCCATCTCCTTCCTTCATAAAGTGGGGAGAAAATTCCTACCTCCCACACCCCAAAACACCACCCTGATGCACTAGATGTCTGGGAAACTCTTGGAGGAAAGGGATCCCTGGAAAGCAGTCCAGGGAGTCTGAAAGGCAGGTAATAAAACTGTTGCCGTTTAAGTGTGCACGGTGCATGCCAAGCACTTTACATACATTATCTTATTTAATGTTCATAAAACATTATGACATAGACACTCATATTCTCATTTTACAGACGAGGCAATAGAGCCCAGAGGTGATGGAGTTTTCCTCCACCTACGAGTCACTGTGGTCTCTCTGCTTCTAAGACCCATGCTGCTGAATAGGATGCTATTTCACTGTAGGTGGCTTTGCTAAAATCTTCCTTCCCAGGGCCCCAGACCTGCTTCCCAGGAGGCATATGCATTTTGCACACAGAGAAGGGGCAGCCTCGCAAGAATCCCAGAGTGGATCCTCACACCAAGTGTGCTATCTAGCCAACCCATGTCCTCTTCCACCTCTCTAAATGCCATAGTGCTAAACCTTCTGGTGACTGCCCTCCCTTAGCCGGCCAGTCTGAGCTGGTGGGAGGCCCTGCACGGGAAGGCTTTAGAGAGACATCCGAGTTGGCTTTCAGACAACTCTCAAGCCCAGGGGTAGGGCTAGATATGGTGAAAGATGGGGAGGACGAACGGGCACTTGGGAGCCAAACAAGTTTGGGTTTCATAATCCAGCACTGCCTGTCATGAGATAGGCTGCCTTGGAATAGCTGCAATAGCTTCTCTGAGAGATTGTTAACTCAGTTTTGCAAGATCATTAGAAGGCCTCATTGAAACAATGTGTGTAATGTGCCAGGCACTGTGCATTGCACATGGTGGATGCCCAAGAAATGACATTATCTACTATTATTAGAACAAGTCATAGAACTGCTCTTCTGAGTAATTTGAAGGACAGCGGCATGTATGTGATGGGGGTGGTCACAGAGTTGGAAGACAGATAAATGGGCAGATTGAGGCCCGGGCTGATGGCAAGGTAAAGTTGTCCTTCCCTCATCAGCCCCCAGTGGTGGGGAGAACTGGGGGAGGCAGGCACGAAGAAAGCAGAGGCTAGTCCCACCTCCGGAGGTGAGGGGTTTGCCAGCAGGGGCTGTGGCCTGCTGTAGCCTGTTTATCTCTAGCTGTTCCCATTTGTCTCCTGAGAACTGGCCCTCCAAGGACCAGCACCACAGTGAGAGAAATGAAAATGGACCTGATTTGGAAACACACACGTTTCCTACAGCTTCCAGACCCATAGGAGCTACTGATGACGGGCTAGTTGGAGGTTTCAATGACAGCCCTTCTGTGCAAGGTGCAGGGCTGGCTCACAGAGCTCCGCTATGGAAGGGATCTCAGGGCTCTCTGGGGCTGGCCTCCTGGTTGAACTTCTCAGGACAGGGCCTGGATCTGACTGAACCCGGCCTCCTGCCAGTGCCTTGCCCTGAGCCTGGAACACAGGGTATTGGTAATGAGGATCATGAATGTTCTGCCACCCTCTGCGACTTTGGTTAAAGAAGGCTTTCTCTGGCCATCTCCATTTTTCCCAGTTTAAAACCTCAAGAGTAGAGCAGGAGGATGTAGCTGCTGTTTAGGAGCTGGGATGTGCATCAGCTTTTCATACCCCCTCTCCTTTCAGTTTACATCATGGTCCCTGGAGATGGCAGAAAGAAGTGCCAAGTGCCGGGATTTATGACCTCCTTCCACCCTTCTGTGTCTTGGGGCTTTGTGAAGCTCCTTATCCTCACAGGGTCCCTCATGGGGATTATAACAAACCTACCTTTTTGGTGCTGTGTGCATTAAGTGGGTCAGTATTTCTAAAGCACACAGAATGGCAGTATGGACTTAGATCTATATCAGTATTAGCTATCATTATGTTCATTTTGCTGGTGAAGAAACTGAGTCACTAAGGGCCCTAGGAAATGACTGTGACAGAATTAAACCCAAGCATGACCGACTCTGAAACCAGGCTCGTTACTGCTGTATACATGACACTCCTTCTCAAAGAACTGTGGTATCCACCCCCTTGGGGAGACAGAGCCCTCAAGACGTGACTCCGAAGTTACCTCCCCAGGCCGTCCCTCCCACTCCCTGCCTCCTCCAGTGCCCCACTTCAGGAGACACACCCTGCAGTGTTCTCAGAAGCTCCCCCTTGGGGGCAGATCCTATAGCTGACTTTTTAAGTACGTCTTTTGGTTTAACAGAAGCATGCATACAAATCACGCACAAATTGTCAGCGTGCAGCTCGATGACTTTTCCCCAAGTGAACATGCCCATCAAGCCAGCACCCCTCAAGCCAGCACCAAGCAGAACATGGCCAGTCCCCCAGGAGTCCCGGGGTGCCCCCTTTTAGTTACAGCCATCCCCTAGAGCAGTCATTTCTCTACAACCATTGATTAATTTTATCTGCTTTTAAAATATTTATTTAAATGGTATTCTATGAAGACTATGCCCTCTTTAGCATCTGGCTTTTTTCATTCAGTACATTTGCAGGACCCATCCTGTTATTGTGTGTAGCAATAGGTCATTCATTCTCATTGCTGTGTGGTATCCATTGGGTGGAATACACCACAATTCCTCCACCTGTTCTCTTGTTGCTGGACATCTGAGTGTTTCCAGTTTGGAGCTGTGACTGACAGGATTGCAATGCACACCCCTGGACATCTCAGAGGTGGGCCTTCCACACCTACCTGAGTCATTGACTCGTGTTTGCTGAGTGAATGGTACACCCTTGCAGAGATCTCCCAATGAACAGACAATGGAGGCAGAAAGATAAGACCATCTTCTTCCTCTTCCCCTGCATAGAGCAGGGTCTTAGAGAGAGTCCCTAAGAAAACAGCAAATGCTAGAGTTAGGAAGTTCTTTAGAGACTCTTGGGCTCAATCTTCCCTTTTTATCATGTGGATAAACTTGGGCCCCCAGAGAAGGAAAGAGACTTACCCAGAGTTACCCAGCAAGGTGGTATCAGAATCCACGTGGAACCCAGATGTCCTGACTCCGAGGCCACTGGTGTATCAACAGCACCCCTAGGGCTGGAGAGGGGTGGGCATTAGGTTAGTCCCAGGCTCAGGGATGGGGATTCTCAGGGTGTAAACCACGACAGCCCTGGGCACCTGGAATTCCCCACAGGGACTGTGAGGTGCTCTGCCATGACACAGGGGCCCTCATCAACTCTGCGTCACCATCAGGGAAGAGCTCTGGAGTCCGGCAGAAGTGAGTGCCATCCTAGCCCCGCCATTTACTAACCATGTGATGCTCTCTCTGTGCTTCAATTGATTCATCTCTAAACTAGAGGCTGCGATGGAGGTTAATCAGATACTTAACTCAGTGCTAAGGGCTTGACAGCATTAGCCAGGTGGACTGTGGCTTAATTGGTGGATGAGAGGGTCATGGATATGGGCACAGCCATCCCGTGGGGAGGTCACTGAGCTCCCCAACCTGCCAATGGCATCACGACTCCTAGGTCTCTCTGCAGGTCCCGGGCTACCGGCAGGAGCGTGTGGAGAAAGGCCTGAAGCTCTTCGCCCAGCTCATCAACAACAAGGTGTTCCTGCTGTCCTTCATCCGCACGCTTGAGTCCCAGCGTAGCTTCTCCATGCGCGACCGTGGCAACGTGGCCTCACTCATCATGACCGTGCTGCAGAGCAAGCTGGAGTACGCCACTGATGTGCTGAAGCAGCTGCTGGCCGACCTCATTGACAAGAACCTGGAGAGCAAGAACCACCCTAAGCTGCTGCTCAGGAGGTGAGGGTGCAGTCTGGGGCACCCTGCTCCAGCCTAGCCATGCACCTGGCTCACCGTGCCTTGCAGGGAGACTCGGGTGGAGCTCCTAGGAGAGCAGCCATGTTCCCAAGTTCAAGTCACTAACTAGCCCAGAGCCAGGACTACATTGCAGGCCCCCTTAGAAGAACCTGTCCACTGTCCTCAGGAGTCAAGGATGCATGGACTTGTTGGCTCACCCTCTTGTTCTCTTGCCCCTTTGTCGAATCTCCATTTTTCCTTCTCTGCCCTTCTACTTAATCTTGACCCTGTCTACTGCAATCTCCTCTCATGGAATCTTCAGAGGTCACTTAGACCATCCTCTGGCCTTATCTGAGTCCAAAGTTGGACTAGGAGAGAAGACCTGTGGCCTCATGCCATCAGGTGGCAGAGGACAGCATCGGGAGCACACTGGAGCTTGTTAGAAAAGCAGAATCACAAGCCAGGTGCAGTGGCTCATGCCTGTGATCCCAACAATTTGGGAGACCAAGGCAGGAGGATCTCTTGAGGCCAGGAGTTCAAGACCAGCCTGGACAACATAGCAGGCAACATAGACCTCATCTCTACAAGAATAAAATATAAAAATTAGCTATGCATGATGGTGCACACCTGTAAAGTTCCAGCTACTCTGGAGGCTGGGATAGGAGGATCCTTTAAGCCCTGGAGTTTGAGGCTGTAGTGAGCCATGATCTCACCACTGCACTCCAGCCTGGGCAACAGAGCAAGACCCTGTCGCTAAAAAAAAATTAAAAAATAAATAAATAAATGCAGAATTTCAGGCCCTCCCAGACCCGCTGAATCAGAACCTGCATTTTAGTGAGGAACCCAGTTTATCCCAATCCATATTAAAGTTTGAGAAGCACTGAAGGAAAGTCCTTTGGTGATGTCTCACCCAGCACAGCCCAGCAAGTGTTTCCTCGCACCTGCTGTAGGCTGTAAATGGGCCCAGAGTCCACCACTCAACACCCTGGAGGCCTCAAACTTGATACTGTTGAAACCTTAAAGGTCCTGTGTGAAGACATAACCTTATCCTATGACTTTCGCCTTATAGGAATTAGAAACTCTCTCACTCTACCAGTGCTTCTGTTTGAACTTTTTGTGTACTCGAAGGCCATTTCTCCTCTAGGCCATTATTCCAATACCTTTGGCCTTGGCATATCTGAAGTTAGAAAACTCCCACGTCATGTCATTATGTCCAGCCCTCTGCCTAGACCACTCATGTGCTGTCTGCCTGCTGTCTGCCTGTCCCCCAGACTTCCATCTTTGGTCTTTGGGTCTCAGGCTGAGCTTCAGTGGCTCCCACTTGGTCCAGCAGATAGATTTGGCTTTCAGAAGTGTTTACTTCAGGGTTTTTCCTGGAGCAGTGGGCATTTGCCTGCACAGCTGCAAAAGTCTGCTGCATATAAGAGCCAGCAGACAGCTTTGGAAACAGCAAGGTAGATCATTTTGATTTTTGTTTTACTTTCACCACGCAGCCACCCACTGGCATAATTCTAGGGTTGCCACTGCCTGCCAGAGCTCCCACCGACAACTTTCTGGCGTGGTCTCGCTCTGCCTCTGTGTCTCCTCCCCTTGTTTTCCGTTCCTGTTCTCCTGGATGCTCTTGCTTCCTTCTGCCCTCCTTTCCTTTTCTTCTTCTTGCCCCCGGCTGCCCACCTCCTTTCAATGTTCCTTCTTCTTTTCTCTTACCAGCTTCATTTTGTGCCGGCAGCCTCCCAACTACCTTGGGATTTTAGTTATTAGCATTTTCTGGCAACTGCAACTTTAAACTCTATCCAGACATACCTGGATGGGCTAGTTTCTCTCTGGAGCTGGCCGCATGCTTAGTGCAAGTTTGAACGTAATTTGTTTTCTCTAAATGGATGCAACTGAAAATGTCCTTGGGCTGACTGCACTGCTGCTGCATCTTCACTTCCAAAGTAAAAGAGTAGATGGGCTTGTGTTGTAGCATGAAAGATGCAAGTTAGACTCAAGAATGAACTTTCTGTCATTGCAAATGAAACTCTAGAAGGGCTCCCAAGGGAAGTTCCAAAGGATGTGGAATCTTTTGCCATAGGACAGTTTCTTGTTTGTTTCTTTGTTCGTTTGTTTTTGAGACGGAGTCTCACTCTGTCGCCAGGCTGGAGTGCAGTGGCAAGATCTTGGCTCACTGCAACCTCCACCTCCTGGGTTCAAGCGATTCTCCTGCCTCAGCCTCCCAAGTAGCTGGGGTTACAGGCACGTGCCACCACGCCCAGCTAATTTTTGTGTTTTTAGTAGAGAGGGGGTTTCACCATGTTGGCCAGGATGGTCTTGATCTGTTGACCTCATGATCTGCCTGCCTTGGCCTCCTAAAGTGCTGGGATTACAGGCAAGAGCCACCGTGCCCAGCCGCAATAGGACAGTTTTAACACGGCTTGGGCTGAGCTGGGTATATGGCTTTATGCTGCGGCGAATGCTGGGAGCCTTTAGCTGAGGCTGTGGACTCAGTTTGGCCATCTGACCTTCTGACATGGAACCCTTCTCCTGCCACCTTTATTCCTATTCCCTGCCAAATTGGTACCTCCCCAGGATTTGGGATTTTTTTTTTTCACCCAAAAGAACACAACTAGCCTATAAAGTTCTCTAAGGTTATACTATCTAATAGGATAGCTATGAGCCACATGTGACTATTTAAATCTAAATTAGTTAAAAATAAATACAAGTTCAGTGTCAGTTCCTCAGACATGCTGCCACATTTTAAGTGCTCAGTAGCTATGTGTGGCCGGTGGTTGCCATATTAGATGGCACAGGTAGAGAAAATTTTCATCATCACAGAACGTGCAATTGGACAGCGGTGCTCTAAGGCGTTCCAGCCAAAATCCCACCCACAGCCTGCTGCCCAAAATGTCATCTTCCAGCTTTGTAGGAAAAGCTTGTCTTACCATTATGGGGGCGTCTAGGAGTCCATGAAACTCTCATATTCATTAGGATCGCAAGGTTTGGCCTAAACGCTAGAAGCAGCAAGATCAATGCACAATTCCTCCCTTGCCCTTCCCAGCCCACGGGCTCTGACCAGCTGCTTCTTTCTTTGTCTTGTTCCGTTGGTTCCCTCGGTGACTGCTGACAGGACTGAGTCAGTGGCTGAGAAGATGCTGACCAATTGGTTTACTTTCCTCCTCTACAAGTTCCTCAAGGTAGGGTTGGATGTGGACGTATTTCTGGCCTTGCCTCGTTCATTCTCTGCAGCCTGACTGGGGATCGCTCCACACCCCCGAGTCCTCCCTTACTGGGCCTGGCTCTTATAACCCCACAAGAAATGGAATTCATCCTTATCATGGACTGTCTAGGAAGACAGAGGCCTGCAGTCCATCATAGCTCCAAAGACACAGTCTTCCCAAGGCTAGTTTCCTACTGCCGGGCAAGGGATAGATGAGCCCTGAGAGGCCCTGCATGGTCCCTAAAGCTGAATCCTCCTTTGAAGTTAAAAACAATTTGCCCATTATTTCTCTGCTTTTCCTCTTCCCTCTCCCAGCCCCAGACTTACTGAGGCTGATAAGGCCCCCCGGCCGGTGCAGAAGCCGCATGTTGCGGCAGATAAGCCAAGGATGCGCCTGGGAGGTGGAAGAGGCTCAGCTTCCAATTATTAACTTATGTTCTAAGGAGTTCTTGCCACCCAGGACTGACCTCTGCCTTTGGATGGGGCCTCTGAGAGAGCGGGGTGAGGTGGGGAGGGAGAGCAGAGAGGAGGGCAGGAGGGGAGGGGAGCGGGGGAGGAAGAAAGAGCCCTGGAGAGGCGGCAGTAGGAAAGGAGAAATGGGTAGAATGGGAAAAGACCCTGTGGTCCAAAGAGCCAGGAGGAATGCCAGCCTGAAGGATGAGGAGATGGAGAGAAGGAGATTGAAGAGCTGAGTATAAAAGCAGGTGGGGGCAGGTGCAGGGACTTGGCAGGGGATGGAAGCAGCCCTTTGGAGAAGCAGGGACTGGGGGTACACTCCAGTGTTCCAAGAGCTCCTCCTAATGACGTTCTTCTCACCTCCAGGAGTGTGCTGGGGAGCCCCTCTTCTCCCTGTTCTGTGCCATCAAGCAGCAGATGGAGAAGGGCCCCATTGACGCCATCACGGGCGAGGCCCGCTACTCCTTGAGCGAGGACAAGCTCATCCGCCAGCAGATTGACTACAAAACCCTGGTGAGCCCACCCATCTGTTTCCCCTGGGGCTTTGACAGGCGGGCTTCCATCCTGGGTAGCCCTGCTCAGCAGTGGAGATGGCTGAAAGGCTGAACAGCTGCCTCTCCAGGTGTGTCTGCTGTGTGGGCCCAGCCAGGTGCTCCCGCTGTGTCCATCACCCCAGACTTCCTCTGTTCTGTTTCACCAGGGCATTTGGATTTGGGGACCAGTAGCTCAGACACATTTGAGTGACACTTCAGCCAATGAACTGGGGGTTTCTGACCACACCAGTTATAGGGTCAAAGCCCTTGACCCAGGTGAACTCTTCTGTCCTCCCAGCTTAGAGTCAACGCTTTACAGAAGAGGTCCGTGCAGGCAGAGAGTGGGGGACAGAGAGGAAAGGAAGCTAGAAAGAGTTACTCATAGCTCTGAAGCCCCCACTGCCTTCTGCTCTAAGTTCAAATACAACTGTGACCCAAGCTGTATAACGCAAGGCCAAGGTGGCCTAGTGGTGCAAGGCAGTTGTTGAAGGAACGTGGGGATCCCCTCCATCAAGGTCAGGCTCCCTCACCTGACAAAAACAGCTACCCTAGGAGGCACCAAGGCTTAGCATTCAAGAGCATGGCCTTTGGGATCAGACAGACCTGGATTTGAGCCCTGGCTCTGCCTTCGACCAACAGGGTGAATTGGGGCAGGTTCCTAATCTCTCTGAATTTGGGTCTCTTTATCTGAAAAAATGAGAACACCAACAGAACCGACTAAAGTGGGGATAATCATAGTTGCTCAGAGTGAAGTTGTGCAGAGGATCAGATGGGACAAGATGAACAGGCAGTGAAGCCCGCGTCATACTCATGCACTAGTGCTTGGTCACGCAGGCCCCGCTTGCCTCTCCCCACTGTCACCGTGCGTCCACTCGCTGCTCACTGTCCTTTCAAACCCAGGGAGCTCACTCTCGGGATTTTTTGGAGATCACAGTGATCTCCAACCAGCCCTTTTTCTCTGAGAAAGAGAGGACTTGGAAGGAGGGAGTATGAAAAGATAAAAGCTGAGTGTTGGGGGTGATATGCAAGTGGCACCCAAGAATGGAGGCAAGAGAGACAGAAGGGAACGAGGAGGACGGGGAACAGACTGAAGTTCAAACGCAGCGGTCGGGAGAGGGAGCCACAGCAGGCTGGGGCATTGTAGTACTGGGAGGGAGTGTGATTCTCAGACAACCCCTCCAACTGCTCTGAGCTGAGGGCAAATTCCAGAGCCTGTGGCTAGCTGGGGAGACAGTTCCCACCTCTGAACAAAGCCATCCCTGCTGGCTGGGAAGGCTGTGACCATGATCCACCTATCCCACTCTCATTTTCCAAAAGCCCCGGGAATCCCAGTAGACGTCTGAACAGATTTGTGGGGATTGGCTCCGTTATGAAGATTCAAAGGAGCAGCCTGTGAATGAGGCCCCTGCTTTCTGGCAGTTACCGTCTGCTTGGAAGGAGAGAGAGAGAGGCTCCGATTAAAATGGAAAAGAGGGGGAAAACCCTTCCAAAAATAGAGACCTGAATGGATTTCTTAATGAGATAGAAGTACTGCGTAAATGTCTTCCACCCTGTCTCCCCCGTTCCACTCCCTTTCTTTCCTGTCTCCTCAGCACCCTCCCAATATTGAATCCAACACAATCAGTTGTAATAATGTTCTGTCCCCAAATTGCAACATCCTTTGTTCCAGAGGCCACAGTACTGGTAGTGCACTGAGCTGATTTCAGGTGCCGCAACTTAAAGAGAATGTGAGGAAATTGGAGTGGTTCAGGGACCAGTATCCATTTAGGTGGGAACACTTGAGGACAGGAGCAGTGAGGAAAGAGGAAAGAAACTGCAATTGTTTTGCCTGGAGAAGAAACGGCCACAGGGAGCTTTAATAGCCACCTTCAGGCCTGGGGAAAGTATTTGCACATGTGCAGGGGAGCAGCCCCCTCAGGGTGTGGACAGATGGCAAGAAATCGTGCAGGACAGCAGCACACAGGGCGTGCAGACGAGTCCTGGAACTCGGCGGTGGCTGGAGGAGCCCAGAGTGCTATGGACCTGCTAAAAGTAGCCTTGTCTTGGGCAGGAGAGAGAACCACGGAGAGGCTCTAAGAGGCTTGGGGAGAAAGCGAGTGTACCACTTTGCAGTCAGGTGTGCCTCTAGGGGTTTAGTGATTTATTGGATTGATGCTGGAGCTTGGACTGGTGTGGCCAAGGACCATGCCAGTGGGAGCACCCTAGTACCAACATCAGCAACATCTGGGTGCAGAGTGCAAGATGCCTACCTAGAAGCCCACTAGAGCACTGGGTACCCACGTGGGAGCCTGGAACCAGGCAATGCTAGATGCCTACCTGGTAGCCTGTCAGAGCACTAAATGCCCACCTGGGAGCTTGCCAGAGCGCTAGGTGCCCGCCCGGGAGCCTGCCAGAGCGCTAGGTGCCCGCCCGGGAGCCTGCCAGGGTGCTAGGTGCCCGCCCGGGAGCCTGCTAGAGTTCTAGATGCGCACCTGGAAGCCTGCTAGAGCGCTAGATGCCCACCGGGGAACCTGGGAGCACTAGCTAGTTGCCTGGGAACCTGGAAAAATGCAGAATCTCAGGCCCCATCCCAGACCTCCTAGATCAGATTTTGTATCTCAACAAAGCCCCCAAGTGCTTCTATTCACATTAGCGTTTGAGAGGCACTTCCCTGGCAGAGAAATCATGAGGCAGCTTGTCCACAAACTAGCCAAGGAGCATGGAGGAAGGGAACCTGTGGGTGGAGCTCTAGCTTGGCCAGTGGCCAGGGGCTCTGTCCTTCTGTGGGGCCACTGCTTCCACTTTAGAACGCCAACTCCTGCCCTGAAGTGCACCATGGAGTTGTTCTCATGAGGCCACGCTGAATTCCTGCGGCAATTAGAAATGCCAGGGGATTACGTTTAGGTGGCAGCCTCTGCCCCATGGGTCCCTCAGAGGAGGAAGCCCAGGGCAAGCTGTGTTGCTGTCTTGGGAAGGCTGAGCTGCCCCACCAGGGCCCAGAGGACAGGACAGCAGGGGCTGCCAGAACAGCCCAAGGGTCAGGCTTTGCCTGGCTGCTGAGCAGAGGGAAGGGGCCAGAAGACTCTTAGAAGGAGGGGAGAGCTGGGAGGAGGCACACATGGAGCGCTTGAGGCAGCAGTCTCTCCACCATTGTTTTCAGGTTAGGGCATTTTGAGTGTGAAAGTTTGGTTTTATAGATTTCAGGGGTTTTTTTTTCTTCCCCTTCTTAATGGAATAAGCATGTTCGCATTTGAGCTCATAGCAGTCTAGTTGCTAATGAAAGGCAGGTGCCCAGAGCCCAGGGTTCTGATTGCCACCACATGCAGCAAGAAGGGGGTGGAGTGGGAGAGAGACTGCTGTCTGGCTCTGCAAACCAGATGGGACAATTGGGAAATGCTTATGGGGGCACAGAGGGAGTGAAAGTTCCGAGAAGGAGAGAGACACACAGAGGGCTCTCTGGCAGCAGGGCCCGAGGGAGAGTTCGGGAGCCCAGAAGGGGAGGGCCACTTGGCATCAGTACCCCTAGGATGCCCAGCCTCTCTGCCTTGGATCTTGTGCCCTCACTTACTCCAGTACGCACAGCACCCACCCCGTTCCCCTCCAGTCCACCCAGGAGCCCACACGGTGCCGTCGATGTAGAAAGATCCCACTGTGAGAACAGCAAGAGAAGAAAAGCCTTGTTCTTTTTAAAGGAAAAGCCCAGAACTTTTTAAAGGAAAAAAAATAAAAAGATAATTTGGTGAAGCAGTTTCAACTTTTCCTACTAGTTCCAAAAGGAGAAATGGAGGCCCTGAACTATGCAGTCGCCTCTTCCCCCAACACAGGGGCCCTATTCAGGGCCACGAAAGAATCTCAGGTGTCCTGAACCTGCAATCTTTAAAGGGCATCTTTTTATTTTTAAAGAATACATTAAGTGTCTTATAGATTTGCCAACCTCTAATCAGGTGAATGAAACCTTCATAAAAATTGAAGCTTGTGAAATATTTGGAGAAAGAAGCCAGATTCCTATTAGTTCTGTGTGTGTGTGTCCAAGAAGGAGTGACAAGAAGGAGACAGACAAACATGGATGGGCAGGGGGTTTCAGAAGTGGGCGAGGGTCTGGGTGTGCCGCTGAGACACTGCCTCCTGTATGCATGTGAGAGAGATAGCACGTGTGCATGCATGCACTGGTGTCTGTTCTGTTGCAAATTTCCCCTCACTGCTTCCACATGCTTGGGCATTGTCCCTTTGAAAAATCAGGATTTTAATGAAGTTTGTTCTGACAGGGAGTGAAGTGTGCAGCTCGCACTCCCTCAAGGACATTGAAGCCAAGGCATTGTCCTGCTTGCCTGGACAGGAAAGGGCAGTGGGCTTGGTGGGAGCACAGATGGCCTGGAGCCACCCTACTCCTCCCTAGCCCATCCTGGAGAGGATGAGCCATTCAGGACGGAATCCCAGGGTGCTGCTGGGGATCTAGGAGCTTTTCCTGCTACCCCATTTCATATGCTTCCTCTCCCCACCTTTCCTTCAGGTCCTGAGCTGTGTCAGCCCAGACAATGCCAACAGCCCCGAGGTCCCAGTAAAGATCCTCAACTGTGACACCATCACTCAGGTCAAGGAGAAGATTCTGGATGCCATCTTCAAGAATGTGCCTTGCTCCCACCGGCCCAAAGCTGCAGATATGGATCTGGGTGAGTAGGCTGTCCACCCAGGGGCTGTCCTTGTGGCTGCTCCTGAACACACCTCACCTTCTCCTGTCAGCAGAGGCAGGGCTGGGGTAGAGATCTGAGGGGAATAATCACTGGCTGGAGGGAGTCAGGCATGGCTGGACCCCCGCAGGAGCCCATGGGGTTGCCTTCCTGGCCTGCTTGGAATTGACCAGAGCTGGTCAGTGAACAGTTTGCAGAGAGGGGTCCACGGGCCACTTGGTAGTCTGTTGGTGATCTGCCTGGCAGGACATGCCTCTGGGGTCCTTTGAATAGCAGAGGGGTGGGAAATGAAGGAGTCATATCTGGAAAGAAGGGGATTTAAGGGCAGAGTCCGCTTGTCTGAGCTCCTGCGGCCCAAGGTCCTGCCACCGCCTCTGTTGTTGCCTGAGGCTCTTCCCTTCTGCTCAGTTCCATGCCTATAATTTTTGCTGAATACCTACAGCTTGAGGGATCTGGGTCAGTGATAGAGAATGGAGAGAAAGTATAGGGAAAATGAGATTTGAAAGCCTGCTGGAGAGAAGTCTGACATTTTAGCTGTTACATGAATATATCTCCCAGCCTCTATAAACAAGGGCATGCTGGTTAGGGCCACCTGTACTTAGAGCCAGTTATGGTTTGCATAAGCATTTCATAGGATGCCATCCTGGGGAAATCCTCATGGGGAGCCCCAGGATCTGAAGAGGCCAGTGGGGAAGAGAGGTGGTTCCAGCCTTGAGGGCCAGCATCAAACACATCTAGATTTGAGTCCTGGTGCCGTCAAGTCCTAGCTGTGTGTCCCTGGTCAAGTAACCTGTGTATGCCTTAGTTTCCTAGCTATAAATGGAGATAATCATAGTGCCTGCCTTGTAGTAAGAATTCAGTGAGATCATGCATGTAAAAGCGTCTTTAATGCAGTGTGTGATCCATTGTACACATTCAGTAAGTATTGGCTGCTGTCACTGATTATGAGGATAATACAAGGATACTGTCTGTGCCTGTTTGTTGATGCTGGCCATGGAGGGAGAAGCATTGATGTGTGTATGTGCTCGTATCTGGAGATTCCTGGTAACATAGTGGTGGGAGGACCCCTCAGACACCTCTAATCCATCCATCTGGCCTCTAAGCTGGCTTTGGCTAAGCCATCCAAGACAGACGGGCATCTATGCTATTTTCTAGAATCCAGAGGGAATTTTCATTGCCTCCCACTGCCTCACCCCACTCCCTCTGAATTCTGATGTCTAAAGAGTCTTAGGATCAGGAAGTTGTAGTAACTCCTCTAAATTCTCACTTCTTCATTTAACCCCATTTCCTCTCTCTTGGCTCTTGGCTGAAGGTGTTTGGCCCTGTGCTCTGAGCTTGGATATTGAGGGAGGGAGATTCGGTGAGCATGTGTCTCCCTCCACTGTGGAGGTGTCTCTGAGTATGCTGTTTCTGGGACACAGAGGAAGCCAATGTGTGATGGTGGTGGGGAGGGGTATGGGTGTGTGCTCACATGTGTGCCCTTAGAGCCAGACCAGACCTGTGTGTCTGTGTGCATTTGATTTGCTGCCATGAAGAGCCCACAGACTCATGGGGTGAGGAAACTGTTACGGCCCAGTGGGAGAGAGAACAGTTCCTGGAAGGAGGATTTTTGTGTTCCCCACGTCCAAACAATTGAGTGGAATACTCCTTAATGGGTTTTTCCAGGGAGAATTGAGTTTGGTAGTGGAACCAGCTAGCACCCACTGTTCCTTTGTTTCATCTGTGGGCCATATAGCAGGGGGCACCTTCAGCTTTGCAGGGTCCTTAATGCAATTCAGGTGGGAGGAGAGTCCAGACAGAGTGGGGCCAAGAGGGGGAGCTGTGATAGGAGCAGGCTCCTTCATGCTGGAAGCTGAGATTGCAAAGTTGTGCCAGAACACAGAAGGAGCACCTGCATGCAGCTGCATGAAGAGATGTGTGCTTCTGTGCTTAAGAATAGGTGATTTCCCATGGAGGGGCTCACAGAAGGCAGCCCCGTGAACTTTGTCCTGAGAGTCCCTTAAATCACTCCCTTAAAAAGCCTGGGAGTGCAAGCCCAGCAAGGCAAGTCTTTTATGGGATGCAAAGCCTCCTGAAGCCAGAGTTCTAGACTATCTGGAGTGGAAACAGCAGCAGACAAAGCAGGCACAGTCGCTCCTGCCACCCGCCATGATGAAAGGAAGCCCAAGAGCAGCTCTGCAACAAGGACCTGCCTGAGGGTGGCTGGTCTCCCCAGCCAGAGGCTGCACAAGCCAGAGAAAGGCTACCCGCTTCCCAGAGGAAACAGGTCTCCAGTGCTCACCATGAATGTTCAAGCTCCAGGCACCCAAACAAACAGAGAGGATCCCTCTGCCATCACATTTGCTGCTGGGCCACACTTGGAGGAATAAGATCCCCACACCAGGGACAGATAGCAGAGAGAAACAAAGAGAGGCCTGGGGCAGTTTGAACCTCAGGGCCCCCCTCTCACTGGGAAGGGGCATCACACTGAGCTGCTCAGCAACATCTCCCTGCTCAACCATGATGGGTGCTCTTCTGAGAAGTTCCCTTTTTTCCTTTTAAATCTAGAGTTTAGAGCTGCTTACAAAGCTCTAGGCTTCTTCTTACCAAAGCTAGATTGCATCGCAAGAAAAATGGGGCCTCCTCAGAGACCCAAATGCTTTTTCCACACTATTCAATCACAGCCCCCACAGGGAGAGAGAAGCAAGGCAAGTTGTTCCCATCATGTAGGTGAAAGTGCTTTGAAAGCCTAAGAGCAATTTACAAATGTAAGGTGTGACTATTTATGCCAAAGGGACGCATAGCACATTGGCACTCACTCAGCCCCATGGGCTGGACAGGACCAAGACAGCACAGCATGCCCCCCGACTTTCTCCCCGCACCCGCTGTGCTTTCTTCTCCCACTGCTGAGAGCATCCAGCAAAGGCTGCCTTCCCTCTCCTGATGCCCAGCCCCTGGCACGGCAGGAGCACCCATCCCAGGCCAGCTCCGCAAGAAGCAAAGACATTTTGCACCACCCCGTCATTGTCCCAAGTAAATCCAGCCCAACCCTCCCGGCTCTTGCTTGGCTTTTGGCTCCTGCCTGTCATCATCACTGTGGCCCCTGGCTTTGCCTAACTGCTCACTCCTGACATGTCTATTCATTGCTCCTCAGAGCTCAGACGAGCTCTCCCACTCCTCTCCCTCTACTCCCTCGCCAGACTTGTGCAGGCATTAAGGAGCCAAGATGGGAAACCGCGTTAGTAAGGATTCTCCAAAGAAATAGAAACAAGGGTTGTGTGCGTGTGTGCGTCTGTGTGTGTGTGTGTGTGTGTGTGTGTGTGTGTGTGTGTGTGTGTGTATGTCCAGAAACAGAGAGAGAGAGAGATTCATTTTAAAGAAGTGGTCATACGATTATGGAGGCTGGCAAGTCGAAAATCTGCAGGGTTGGCTGGCAGGCTGGAGACCCAGGGAGGAGGCAACATTGCAGTTCAAGTCTGAAGGCTGTCTGCTGGCAGAATTCCCACTTTCTCAAGGGAGGTCAGTCTTTTGTTCCAGTCAGGACTTCAACTGATTGGATGGGGCCCACCTACATTATGGAGAGAAATCTGCTTTATTCAAAATCCATCCTGATATAAATGTTAATTTCATAGAAAGACACCCTCACAGAAACATATCGAATAATGTGTGACCAAATATCTGGGTACTGTGGCCCAGCCAAGTTGACACGTAGAATTAACTATCCCAGAAACCGCAGGGCCCACCTTCACTGCAATGTGTTGGAAGCTGGGGAAGGACAGCGACCACAGCGGGAGGAGTTGGGACTGAGGCAGAGCTCTAAGGCACAGTGCCCAGGTAGCACTCCCCCTGCTACACGTGAGGCTGTCCCCACAACCAGGTTTAAAATGTCCCTTTCCACCCACAGGTATCTGGGCAGGGTAGGTACCTGTTTGCATCACTAAACTCTTCAACAAACACGAGAAGATCCTACCCTGTGGCCAGCTCTGTGCCAGGCTTGGGGGTGCCAAGGTGCCTAGGAGATGTTCCCCACTTCTTAGCAGACTAGCAGAGACAGGACATTTTTCTATCTGAACTAAGGAGCTTTTTTTCCTCCTCCCTTCACTCCTCAAGGGAAATCACTGGTGCCATTCTCTTCCCCTGCACAGATGGAGAATCTGCAGCTCAGTTCTCTGAGTTCTCACAGTGCCTGGGCCCAGGTTACACAGCAGGGAGGTGGAGAGAACTCCCATTCCGTTCACACGCAGTCTCCTCTGCGACCCATTTCCTCTCCCCTCTGCCACTGTCCGTGACCTCCAGAGGTTCCTGTAGTTTAATGCAAATGCTCTATCAATAGCCCCCAGAACTCCACCACCCTCTCTCTGTCTTGTGGCTCAAGTCGAGCAAGCTGAAAGGATATATTTTTTCAAATAAGTAATTCCTGTAGGCAATAAAAAGATACACTATCTTCTGAGTGAAATATAAAGAGTTCACAGCAGCTGTCTCCCCAGTTTGCATTTTCCTCTGCACCTGATGGGAAGGACAGATAAAGATAATGGGATTTTTCTTTATTTTTTATTTCACCTCCCTCTCTCCCTGGAAGGTGGAAATGTAACAAATTGGATTGTGAGTGTGTCTGTCCTTTGTGCTTGGTGCCTGGAGCAGGGCATCCGGCTGCCGGGCAGAGCTGCTGCGAGAGAGGTCAGAGCTAGCAATTTTCTCTTGGTGCCATGCATATGAGTGCCAGGGTCACCTTCCCTCCTTCCCACTGACACCACCTGCCCTCTAAACTCTTCTTTGACCCACCACACTGTCTGGAGCCATGCCAGAGCCCTGTGTTCCACATTCAAGAATATCTACTAAGTTCTAGCTTGTCTCTCTTAAATCAGGAAGCGGGGCTCAGCCTGCGTTTGCCTTTCGCTCTCTAGGCATCCCCAAATAGCAACAACTGACCAGTGCACAGCACTTTACAGTTTACAAAGATCTAGTACCTTCAGTGCAAATAATGCACTTCTATTCAGGAACTTCTTCTTTTAAGCACCAGGTGTCACACTTGCTGTCACAATAATTAAAAAAAAAAAAAAAACAGAACGTTTTTAGATGTCACCCCTCCTGCTCCCAGGTGAATTTTCTGACCTTTTTAGCAGATACACTCTGATCTTCTCTTGGCTCTCCCAGCTCTTCTCCGGTGCCTGCTCCCAGCACTTCAGCGTGGCCAGGTGTTGAAGGTCTCAGGGCTCCCTGTCAGGTGTTTCCTTGGGTTTCACCTGCTGACAGGCGTGCAGAGCCATAGAATCTTGTCTCCCCCTACAGCCTCCTTCTCAGCCCGGGGTTTGGAGGGTGGAGTGGGCCCTGTGCAGTGCTGGTGTGTGCTCCTAGTGAGAACCTGTTCACAGTGCCCCCAAGGTAAGAAAAGGTGGCAGGGGTGGAGGTCCAGGCATGTGGTCATGAAGGTGGTCCTGCGTGGACTGTGCAGGTCGATTTTGCTGGCTCTACCTAGCCTGGTTAGTGGCTCCTTCCACCCTTTCCTTTCTTCAGCAGCCCTTCCTGAAGCTTCCTGGGATGGGTCTGAGGAGAGATGATGATAGGAAGACTGGAAGTGGGGTTATTGCAAAGCCTGAAGGGTCCCCAGCCTGGTGGAAAAGGTGCATGTGCACATGTGTGTGTACATGTGTGGGTGCCCTTGGGCCCACCTGCATGTCTACACTGTGAGGGCCAGAACTATCAGGTGCTGTGCACCCTGGGGAGAGTTTGCCTCTCAGCATGGCACCTACTGGTAGGTAGGGGACTCTTCAAGAGCCAGGCCAGTGGGGTCCTCCATGCAAGCATCTCCTTCCAGGTTGGCCTGTGGAGGATCTCTTTCCTATCTATGCCTCAGCTTCCCACTGCCAATTACATGGATCTCCACACACTTGGAGGCAGGCCAGGGTCCCCCTACCTCTCCCCTTCCTAGAGACTCTACAGGCATGACCTGGCCATCTTCTGAGCATCCCTGAAACCCACACCCCTGCCCCACTACCTTCACTTAGGTCCTCGCTGCCACTTCTGCTTTGGACAAAGGTGGCCATCCCGACAGGGCTCATGCCTCTTTGCCCCTCTAATAATGCTCTCCTCTCCTTATCCCCTCCCCGCTCTGTCTCCCTGGCCTCAGCTCAGCTCCAGACACCTTGGCATGGCATGCTGGATCTTTCTTAACTTAGCTCCTGACCTCCCTACACCTCTCCAGCCTCTCAACTTTCTCCTGCTCAGACTCATCGATCCCTAGAACTACAACATGAGTGCCACCTTTGGACCAGAACACTTGTCCCCCTGGCCAGCCAGTGAACGCCTACTCATCCTTCACAATTTAACCTGGGCAGCCCTTTCCCACCAGCTCCCCATAGCTCCTCTTCCCTGTCTCACCCCTGCCCTGACCAGCAGGCTCTTGCACAGCCTCTCCACACAAGGAGTCTTCAAGGGCAAGGGCTTATGTTTTATCCCGTTTCCCTGTTTAACTACCTCTCATGCCCAGTTGGCCATGCCCAGCACACTGGGGGCACATGGCAAGTGTTCTTTGATGAATGAGTGAGCGTGGAGCTGCAACACCTCCTGGACCTGGATTCTCACCACAGAGACTGCAGGAGATGCATCTTGTGAGATGGGACTGTAGGTGTCCTCTTTTGTAGGAGAAGGTGTTTGTGAGGAGTCACTCTGCCCCAGGATTTGCTACAGCTCTCTCTGAGCTCAGCATCTCATAGCATTTGATGCCTGGGAGGTATTTTCCAGCTTCTCACTGTGCCCCACAGGCAGGCAAAAAATGCCCAAGAGGCTCAGCCTTCACGGGAGGATGCTGGCCATTGGCTGAGCTACGACATTGCCTCTTGGCTGTCCTAATGTGGTCACCTCCTACGGAGCAAGGTAGAGACTCAAAAGAGAGATATTTTTAGTGACATTTTTTATAGGCAAGACAGAAGGAGCCCATCTGGTGAAAAGAGGGCTGGATCAAGCACTGGGGGACCTGGGTTCTATTTATTTTCATTACTGTTATTAAAACTAAGCACACACTGAATATGCAACACAGCACAAAATTAGATACCGCCCTCACAGAGGGCCTCCTGAGGCTGATTCAGCCAGTCGTGCACACCGTGAGGGGACCAGGGTGCTGGCCTTCATATCTAAGGTGGCAGGGCTGTCTCATCCTCAGCTGACTCAACCTGACCTTGGGATCTTTACTTCTGGGGTGGGGATGAGATTTTATGAGCCCAGCCATGCAGCTTAGGAGAGGGCACTGTTCCTGGGCTAGAGGGAAGCCACCTGCGATGGTCTTTGACCTTGGCTTTTCCTGGCCCCTGCTTTACTCAGTAGAGCTCTATGGCTCAGATTTCTATTGAGAGAAGGTCAGGAAGTCGTGCAAGAGCGCTCCAGAAAGCTGAGCCCATGCCCACTATCTGATCTTCTTGAGACATTCCGTGATGAGCCTAGGGAAAATAGAGACCATAACTGGCCTGAAGAAGGGGTTTCAGGAAAGGAAGGAGGGCAGGTAAGTATGGAAGTGAAAGTGGGTTCTGGCCAACAGGGTAAAAGTAAGGAATTTGGGTAGAGAAGAGTGACATTAAGGAGTGGCTTTCCTTGTCAGCCTACTTGAATTATTCTGTGCCAGGGAATGTGGGGCTGCCCGCCAGTTATACTCCACCCTCTCTCCTCCATTCTGGGTTCAGCTGGGTAGGCTTCTTGTGATCCTTGCTTCTTTCCTGAAAGCCTCAGGGATGGAGCTGCCCACACCAGCTGCCCGTCAGTCTGGGCTCTCTTTCATCAGGACTAAGTTGTAGATGCTACAAAACAACAATTTCAACTACTACTTTCTTCTTCTTCCTCTTCTTCCTCTCCTTCCTCTCCTTCCCCTTCTCCCCCTCCCTCTCCCTCTCCTCCTTTCTCCTCCTCCTTTCTCCTCCTCCTCCTTTCTCCTCCTCCTCCTTTCTCCTCCTCCTCCTTTCTCCTCCTCCTCCTTTCTCCTCCTCCTCCTCCTTCTTCTTCCTCCTCCTCCTCCTTTCTCCTCCTCCTCCTCCTTCTTCTTCCTCCTCCTCCTCCTTCCTCCTCCTCCTCCTCCTCCTTCCTCCTCCTCCTCCTCCTTTCTCCTCCTCCTCCTCCTTTCTCCTCCTCCTCCTTCTTCTTCCTCCTCCTCCTCCTTCTTCTTCCTCCTCCTCCTCCTTCTTCCTCCTCCTTCTTCTTCCTCCTCCTCCTCCTTCTTCTTCCTCCTCCTCCTTCTTCTTCCTCTTCATCCTCTTCTCCTCTTTTTCCTCTTCGTCTTCTTCCTTCTCTTCTTCTTTCTCCTTTCTTCTTATTCTTTCACCTTTCTGATATTTCAGAAAAAAAGCACATAGCAATTTTTTTCTGTCTAGGACATAACAAAATAATAGGCTTGAGAGATCTAAAAGCAAGCTAAGTGTACTCCTTGATTCCAGCCCCCTCTCTCCATATTGGCTTTTGGGAAAACATTCCTGACTTTTTGAGATAATTCCCAAGGAGACATGACCATGCTCTACCCAGTCTTTTTGGATAGGGGCATGGAGGTAGGTGGACTCTCATTCTCATAATTTCCGGGCATGACTCAGCCAGGGTTGTTGAGTATGGCCGCCCAGGCTGTGCACTGCACAGCTCTAAGGGGAATTGTGCATCATGGTGGAAGACCTGCCCTGGAGCCCAGAATCAGTCACCAACTGTCATTGCCTAGTTGGCCAGGCCATGTGGTTTATTCATTCAGATGCTCCTGAGATGTGCTACAATTCTTTATCAGCAAGCAGTGCCCTTGCAGTTGCTAAGCTAGAGGGCTGTCTCTCCACTGGCACCTTCTCCTTCTAGTCCTAGCAAGCCCCATGGTCACTTCAGTGGAGGAGACTCCCTTGGGCCCAGCCAGAGGACTTAGTGTCCAGAGCTGAGTTCATTGCATCCCTCTCCCTACCCTAAATATGAGGAAAGCAGAATGCTGGCTCCTTTTTTTTGTTGTGCCCCAAAGCTGTTCCTCCACCCCTATGTAGCCTCTGACTTAACCAGGTGCCACTCACCATGCAAGTGGGGGAGGCTCACTGCCGTATACTCCCCAACCCAGACTGGTGTCCACCAGCATCCAACTGCACAGCACATCAGCTGTCTGGCCAGCTTGGAGAGATTCCTCTTCCTTTGCTCCAACCACTCAAAAGTGCATGCATGCATACCTCCATAAAATAAAAAACAAAACAAAAAAACTGAAGAAAAAAACAACACAATAACAAGCAAAAACGCTAGTGACCAGATACCTCAGTGAGGCATTTTCCCCTTTGCCTATTAGTCTAACCACCCCAGACCATAATCACCATGAGCAATCCCAGCTGTGACATCCACAGGACTAAGGGATGGATGGTCCCCAGAGACTTCTTGCTCCAGTGAACAAGCATGTAGTCCCTATGCTTTCATTCCTTTGACCACCTGACATGATGCTAAGCTGTAAATCAGGCAGCAGGGAAGCCCCAGGGACTGGAGCCCCAGGGACTGGAGGCAAGGGGCTTAGATTTTAGGAGCATCTCTGCTATTCCAAAGGGCATGCCATCTGTGAAATGGGGTTGGCAGCACAGACCACAACAAATACACAATGCAGGGAGGAATTGGTGCTCTCTGCCACAAATGTGGCTGGTCATGGACCAGCCTTGGCAGGAGGGAAACGAGGAAGAGAATCTGAACATGTGGCTCTGTGAGACATAGGAAGAAATCCCTGGTGGGTCAAGCAGTGACTGCCAGGCCACTTAATCCAGCAACTAACGACACTCTGAACGAGCCCAGCATTCTTTGCACATTTCAGAAGTATCAGCATCTGAGAGGCATTGAGCAGGATCTGGGCTGCCTGGAAACCAAACGTCTGGCTTCTTGGCTGGAACACACGTTGCATTTGAATTTAAGAGGCTGTTTTTCCTTTCTGGTATATGTCCATGAGAATGGTATGTGTGGATGCGTGAGCTCATACATGTGTGTGCTGCATGAGTTTATGTGTGTCTGACATGCACATGGATTTTCATGTGTGTACATTTCGAGATAAGAATGTGCACTTCTCCACCTACACGTGATTTGTACCAAGTATGGTGGTGGGGATTTGGTTGATGAGAAACAGCCTCCCATTTCCATGTGTGATCCATCAGTAAGCCCATGTATTGTAGGTGTTTGGACCCGTGAGAATAATATGGGGATGTAAATATATCCTTGTAACATCAAACAATTAGGTGTTGGATAGATTACAACGTTGATATCATTTACATAAACTTTGCAGGGAATGGGATGTTCATGGGCGTGAGAATGGGTTTTGCTGATTTTTTCCACACTCTTTGACCCAATCTCCCTGACAAGGGTGACACACCTGCCAGTTTCACCCTGTAGGATACACCCCTGGAACAGGTCTGGGGCTGTTCAGTGACTGAGCCTACAGCCTTGATTTCATCAGCTCTAAGAGCTTCCAAACAAGTCACGCTACCACAACTATGCCACTTTGCATTTGCCTCATGCTTTGTCAAAGCTTAGTGTTTTATTATGTGCCTCTTTTGTTTGGCCAATACTTTTTGAGCACCTACTTTTTACAGATGTAGCCATTCACAGCAAGCAGATGGGCAAGGGTGGATAAGTGATGTTAGCCCCATTTTGGTCACATAGTTTGTTGGGCTTAGAACCAGAACTGGAACTCAGGGCCTCTCTGCGTTGAGAGCTTTGGCACTCCATTTTCGCAGGAGCATGTGCTAGCACTTGCAATGGACACACCCTTGAGCTAGCACTGCATAGGTACCTACACAGGGTCCTCAGCTTCCCCACAAGAGGGGTCATAGGGCCTCTCTGAAACGCCACCGCTCTTTTGGCAGAGTGGCGACAAGGAAGTGGGGCAAGGATGATCTTGCAGGATGAAGACATCACCACCAAGATTGAGAATGATTGGAAGCGACTGAACACACTGGCCCACTACCAGGTGAGGGGAATGTGGAAAGGGGAGGAGCTAGCCAACTACAAGTCCCTTGCCCTGGAAATCATTGCCCTGGAATAACAGGGGTAGACACCAAGCCCCTCACCAGCACTCCATGTTCCCTTAGTGATCCAGAGGAAATTGGTGTCTCCCAGCCAAGAAACCAGGAAACCCTGACCTCTTTGGAGATAGCATCCTGACATGCACACTTTCTGCAGGGCATGGGCAGAGTCCCCAGGGAAGGCTCTCCTGAGAAGTTCCTCTGGGCATTTAAGGCTGGGTCATCTTCCAGGGAAGCACTGGGATTGAGAATGCTAGGGAGGAGCTCTTGCCAGAAGTTACTCCAAGAGAAGCCACAAAACAGAATACTTGTCAGTATCCAGATCTGTGTCTTGTTCTGCTCCAAGGAAAGCTGACAGCCTCCAAAGTCCCCTAGTTCTCCAGCAAGGCACCAATTTCCCCTTAGTGCCAAGTTCATCATGATTTGTCCTTATTTCCTGGAGTGGCAGAGCTGCTGTGCCTAGGCCCTGAGAAGCTTTTTCCCTGTAGGTGCCAGATGGTTCCGTGGTGGCATTAGTGTCCAAGCAGGTGACAGCCTATAACGCAGTGAACAACTCCACCGTCTCCAGGACCTCAGCAAGTAAATATGGTAAGATCCCACCGAGTGTCCTAGGGAGGCCTGGGTGTCCTGAGCAGCTGTTGTCATGACAGCAGCATAGCCAGAAGGCAGGAGACTCTTGGAGAGGGGAGATGGGGCATCAGACAGGCTGACCATCGGGGAAGAGAGCCAGGTGGGGGAAGAGGACCCTGGTTTCAGTCGGGCACTCTGATGCATAAGCAAGACCTTCATCCACGAGCAAAAGAAGTAAAGCCAACTTTCATGAATGTCTTCCAGGCTGTGTGATAGCTATTATCTCACATCATGTTCATAACAATCTAGTGAATTAAATAATTATTATTTCCCCCTATTATGCAGATTAGTACATTATAACTCAGGTGCACAGAGGCTAAATGATTTGTAAGAGCCACTGTTATTTTGCAGTGGAGTGCAGGTACAGACCAGGTGCGAGGCTCTGCAGTGGTGAGGAGAGGGTGCTGGAGGTGGGGTAGAAGCCAGAAGAAGCCCTGTTCTGCCCTATCTGTGTGCTTTGGGGCTAGTCATCTGACCACTATGAGCCTTGGTTATTTATTTATTTACCAGAAGAAGAGACTGAAAAATCTACCGACTGAACAGGATCATTCTAGATAATCAATAGATGAATACAGAGAATAGTGCCTGCACACAGTAGGACCGCCATTTCTTTTTCCTGCTCAGTACTCATTTCACAACACTTCACAAACACTGGCAGGAATTTCAGCAAATAAACAGGAATAATTGGCGCAGGCCAGAGGGGAGGACAGACGAAGGTGAGCAGGTTACCCAGTGATTACTCATCCGATCAGCGGTTATTGAGGGAGACAGGCTACCTGCTCTTAAGTATGTACTTAATTGGCTGCACAGAACACATCCTGAGACGTGACTTGAGAACTCTTACAAGGAAAAGCATTAAAAAAGTACAGGCTTATATTTTTACAAATTGAATAATTAAGGGTTGACACGATGCAGAGTACAGGAAGAAGGGGGAGATCTGAGTGGGTAGAATTAGCCACAGATAGTTTCCTGGAGGTGGTGAGAAAGGCATCCCAGTTTCAGGGAATGCACCAAACCAAGGCAAGGTGACAGCACCGACCAATGGCAGGAATGATCAGACAGTCGTTGGCTTCTGCCGGAGCAAGGGATGCATGGTAAGTGATGGGCTAAGGCTGTGTGGCCTCACATATGTCGGGGGGTGATCCTTGCCTTGGCAGAAAACATGATCCGGTACACGGGCAGCCCCGACAGCCTCCGCTCACGGACACCTATGATCACTCCTGACCTGGAGAGTGGAGTCAAGATGTGGCACCTAGTGAAGAACCACGAGCACGGAGACCAGAAGGAGGGGGACCGGGGGAGCAAGATGGTGTCTGAAATCTACCTGACCCGACTCCTGGCCACTAAGGTATCAGACTTGAGAACTGGGTGCAGGGAGCCCAGAGGCTATGGAGAGGGACTTCATCAGCCCACAGAAATGCCAGAGTAGCCAGTACCCAGCATTCATGCTGGTGCCCACTCTATTACCCACCCCAGGAGGCACTGCTGACCATTCCCCGTACCGAACCTCAGAATCCTTCTCAATCCAGAACTCCAGGCAAACCCTGCCAATACATCAGTGTTGGCATGCAATCTGAAGATTTGTTTCTACCCCTTCTCCATGCCCTTCTGAAATACTGAGACTCTAACTGCCTCTTTTCACATTCTTCTGCCATGCCTTATAAAAGAATGATTTCTTCTCTGTGGTATCATCTACAATCTCAAGTTGGGGAAGTCGGGGCTCCATCACGACTTCCCAGGCACCATATCTTTTCTTTTTTTTTTTTTTTTTTTTTTTTGAGACAGAGTCTTGTTCTGTCACCCAGGCTGAAGTGCAGTGGTGCAATCTCTGCTCACTGCAACCTCCTCCTCCCAGGTTCAAACAATCCTCCTGCCTCCCAAGTAGCTGAAACTACAAGCATGCACCACCACGCCTGGCTAATTTTTTTTTTTTTTTTTTTTTGTATTTTTAGTAGAGGTGGGGTTTCACCATGTTGGCCAGGCTGGTCTTAAACTCCTGGCCTCAAATGATCCGTCCGCCTCAGCCTCCCAGAAGTTGGGATTACAGGCATGAGCCACCGTGTCTGGCCTCCGGCACCATTTCTAATCCTGGTTCTGGGGACGTTGCTTGCCTGCAGTGCTAGTCTTTCACTCCTGAGACTGGGCTCAGCTCTGCTCTCTGCAGAGCCAAGTGAGTCACTGTTCATTAGCCAGTGTGAGTAATGCCCAAACAAAGCCAGCAGATTGTGTTTGTCTGCTCTGACCAAGTGAGTGTTCATTAGCATTTGTGAAAAGTGCTAAAATAACACCGCCAGAGGGTGTTCAACCAAACCGTGTTGTTGGCAGAGGAAGCCTTACGTAGGTCCAGTCATCAGTGTTATATCTCTTTTCCATGTGCAGGGGAAATTTAAAGCTGTTAGAGACAGATGAAATGGGAAAAAATGATTTAATGCATGGACTTACCCAATTTTACCCAAGTAGGGTGGGCTGTATACCATCCTCCCCTGCCTAGGTCTGTGAGGCAGGTTTTAAAAGCCATCCTCAGAACTACGTGAGTCGAGCTGTGTCTGGACGTATCCTGCCTCTCCAGGGCACACTGCAGAAGTTTGTGGATGACCTCTTTGAGACCATCTTCAGCACGGCACACCGTGGCTCTGCCCTGCCCCTGGCCATCAAGTACATGTTTGACTTCCTGGATGAGCAGGCTGATAAACATGGCATTCATGACCCGCACGTCCGCCATACCTGGAAGAGCAATTGGTGAGTGAAGGGAGGGCAGGGGGCACATCGGGAGCCCTGAGCCCACCCAGCCTCAAGTTAATGGTGGTGGGACTCTGGGCCTCCAGGAGAAGGGCTGGCCAGAGCCTGTTTTCATCAGCAGGGACTCTGAGCAGGCACATTCTCTGGTCCTCCCCATCCACTCTTCCTAGATTTTTGTGCTCACTCCCTCTCTTACTTCCCTCTAGTCAAATCTGTCTGTGCATCTTTCTTTCCTATCACTTAGTCAGTTAACAAACATTTATTGAACCAGCTGAAGAAGCAAGAAAAATATGCCAAATGTCACGGCCAGGACACTCTCCCATCCAAGTACCTCCTGGGTGCCTGTGATTATGCTAGACACGGGGCTAATCAGACATGGCCCCTGCCCTCAATGAACTGACAGATGAGGGTGAGAGGCAAGGAAGTCTGCTGGTGTGGGACAAATGCTATGGAAGATGGAGGATGTGTCGTGTGCAACCAGATCTTAGAAGGGCAATGTCTAACAGTGACTTGCAAGCAGTTTTGAAACACACTTAGGAACCAGCCAGGTGAACAAAGGGCATTCCTATTCTATTCAAGCAATTGCTCTCTTCTCTTTTCCAAGCTCTGTGTGGTGAAGAGACCTGCCCTTAACCACTATGTCTTCCTTTGAGACAACAGGATTCTCCAAGTACTAATTGACACTCTAGGTGTTCTCCCCTATGATCCCCTCTCTCCTTTTAACATGGATCATCCTTCCTTTCACTTGTGAGTAATTTGTATTTCAGGTTGAAATTTCAAGATCGCACATCAGTATTCAGCACTTAGTACGGAAGCTTGCATAAAGCTGGGTCTCAATAATTATTGATGAGATGCAGAGCCAAGGTGGTCTCTGGTTGAGAGCTCTACCTGAGGCAAAGCTGGCTTATCCTTTGTCCCATTGCTTCCAGAACTGCCTCCCTGTAGCTTTTCCAGATCTTCTTCCCCAGATCATTCTTCTGAGGCAGTGTGGGCCTGTTGCCCGCACCAACAACTGCTAGGATGGGCAAAGCATTAGGGCTCAGCGAAGCACCCTGGCACCTAGCCCTGGGCCCCAAAGCAATGCACAGATGAAGGCAGAAGTCAGGCTTTGGTACCAAAACTGTATTCAATGTAGTATACTCTGGCTCCTCATCCTCTTCACCGGGAGAAGAGACTATCCCTGCTGAATATGAAAAACCAGGTAGGAACCAAGGTTGAGACCACAGAACCAAAGCATGGGGTTTGCTCCCATATTAACTCCTAGTGAGAGAAGACCTTCGTTCTGGGGTTCTTCCAACCTTTCTGAAATAAGACTCAAAAATCTAGATTGCTCACTCAGTGTAGCAAAACTTTGTGATGCGATTTCCTCCTTTTAAAGCTGTGCTGGGTCTGATATCTCCCAGGACCTGCCTTTAGGTAAGATGCGTTTAACTCTTCTAGACTTTGTGGCGTGACTACTGGGAGCTGTTCAGTGGGGCATGTCCCCAGCCTACCAATCTGCTTCTGTTAGTGAGTCTTCCTACTTACTGCCTCCATTGAATGTTAGCAGCCTTCAGGAAATTTTTAAAAAAAAATGCTCTGCCCAGAACTTCTCTCGGTCCTAGCTGGAGAAAGTTGGGTCTTTCTAAACATTTCTACCTGCTTTTAGTAGCACAGTGCAAGAATATCACCTACAATGGTATCTAAACCATTTGTTTTCACCCCATCCCTCCTGCTGGGGCAAGGCCACCTCCAGGGGTGCCATAATGTCCTTGGAGTGGAGCCAAATCTTCTTGGATGCCAGCTCTTCCAAGTACTCAGGTCTGAGCAAAGGAAATCCCAGAAAGTAGACAGTTTCCCCCAACCCTGAGGACACTTTCCCCCAACCCTGACTTGATCTATTGCTATGCTGAGGAAGACACAGTCTGGGAATTTTAAGATCTGCATATTGACTTGGAGTTAATTGTCTCTGATGGAAAAGTGATTATTTTTTTATTCCTGGCCCAAGGTGTAACCCACCCTCTCCCCACCCCCTTCTTCCACAGTTCCCTACCTCTTCTCTTTTAAATAAACCTCCTGCTCATTTAGCCTGAGTGGCTGCAATCAACCAGAGATTAGTGCCACCACTAATGTTAATAATATGCTAATATTTCATTAGGCGGGAACCTCAGGTGGGTGCTGTGGCTTCCCTGTTTGCTGTGCCTGTCAGCAAAACTGGCTTGAGGACCGGGAAGCATAGGGAAGAAACAACCGGCAGAGCAAATGTGGACTCCCAGAGTCCCTATCCTTGGTGTAACTTGTGGAACAACAGGAAGATGTAAACAGAGATTTCGTTAGCTGGAAGTCGTGAGTCCTGCATTCAGGGCTCTGAGCCCAGCTGTCAGGAAGGCTGGGCAGCTGGAATGACCCCTACTTTCACCTGGGTGTTGTGGCTGTCTGAGCTTTCCTGGGTGCCATCCCATTATTTCCTATTAGGGATTTCCAGGGATGAAGCAAACACCGCCAAACATTTTCAGACCTCAATGCTGCCTGCCTGAGTCCCGCCCTGCACACTTTGTAGGAACTTAATAGATCCTTGTCGACTGATTGGCAGTCTTGAACATTAGGTTTTCCTGTATTAATAGCATTTGTTATTTGTACATGCTGGCTGCTGGGAGATAGAGCAAGTATAGAAATATTGTACTGGTTCTATTGAAATGATGTAATTCAAAGAATTTAAGTTCTAACGAGCAAGCCAAACACATAATGAATATTCTAACTATTACCATCAGTGAGAACAACCACCAAAACAATAAAACATCAGGGGAAATGGCAGGAGGCAGAGGTGGGAGCAGAGGAAAGAAGTAAGCAATCCCTTGCATGGTGCCTAGCCCTCTTTCCCACCTGCGTCCAAGCAGGCTGGTTGGAAGCCGTAGGATTATAGCCTGCAGGGATGGCTACAGCCAAAAGGGGCAGAAGGTCCCAGGATTGGGACATTATAAGCAACAGGCTTACAATAGCAGACTGCAGGGCACACTTTTCCCTCTTTGTCTTTGTTAATGCAGATTTCCTGTCTGCAGCCCATCCTCCACCACCTTCCTCCAGGCCTCACCCTGCTAAGAAACACACAGGCCAGGCACAGTGGCTCACGCCTTGTATTCTCAACACTTTGGGATGCAGAGGTGGGCAGATCAACTGAGATCAGGAGTTCAAGATCAGCCTGGCCAACATGATGAAACCCCATCTATACTAAAAATATAAAAATTAGCTGAGTGTGGTGATGGCTGCTTGTAGTCCCAGCTACTCAGGAGGCTGAGGCAGAAGAATCGCTTGAACCCAGGAGGCAGAGGTTGCAATGAGCTGAGATCGCCCCACTGCACTCCCGCTTGGGTGACAGAGCAAAACTCCATTGAAAGAAAGAAAAAGAAAGAAAGGAAAGGAAAGACTTACACAAGTTTTAAAACTCCCACCATCAAGTGCCCCCTTTGTGAAGGCATTCTGGACACTGCCCTCTGGGTAGGCTTGATGCTTCCCTTGGTCCCATGCTGGACCCTACACATCCCTGGTCCTAGCACCAACAGTCCTCCCGGCATGTAGTTGATTTCATGTCTGCCTTTCCATGAACCCACCAGAATGCAGGCTTCTTGAGAGCAGAGGATGTGTCTCATTCATCACTGTATCCCCAGTTGCAAGCACAGTTCCTGGTGGGCAGGAGGTGCCAACTGGAGGGGAAGGAGGGAATACGATGGGGCCCATGAGGTGGGTGAATGTGGGTTTTCAAGCGTGCCAGCTTAGAAATGAAAAATCAGTCAGCTACACTGTACTTCTCAGCCCCAGTAGGAGTAGGCTGAGAGGCCCAGGCAGGGAGGAAGGGTGTGACTTCTGCCAAGTCATACAGTAGATGGCAGAGAGTCAGATACAAAGCCTAGATTCCAAGCAATTCCTTACAGTTTGCCAACTAGATGCTCTTGTACCAGGCTTAGGAGCAGACAGACAGAGAGTTAGAAATTCCGCTTTATAGCATACATCATGGCTGCCTTTTAGACCAAAGGGAAGATGATGAGCCCTGCCATCAAGGCTGGGTATCAAGTCCTCTCAAGTACCTACCAACATTATATCTCTGGATGAATTATTCAGCCTTGCCAGTCCTCAGTTTCCTGGAAGGTAAATTGGGGCCCTGCAGACCTGCCTCACCTCCCTTCCCTGGCACATCCCATCCGCAGCATAGAGAAGGCTCTTAAGTTCTATTAGTTCCCCAGGCTTCTCTCCTTCTCCAGAGACCCCTCCTACCCACACCACAGCCCCACTGCCCCGTCTTTCCTGACCATCTGCCTCTTCCTTCCACGCAGCCTGCCCCTGAGGTTTTGGGTCAACATGATCAAGAACCCGCAGTTTGTGTTTGACATCCATAAGAACAGCATCACAGACGCCTGCCTCTCTGTGGTGGCTCAGACCTTCATGGACTCTTGCTCCACGTCAGAGCACCGGCTGGGCAAGGACTCGCCCTCCAACAAGCTGCTGTATGCCAAGGACATCCCCAGCTACAAGAATTGGGTGGAGAGGTGAGTGCTGGGCCACGGAGCCAAGTCAGGGCCCCTTGCTGGAGCCAGCAGCTCCCTCAACAAAAGGTCCCCTCCCCATCAAAAACCAGCTGTGTTTCCAGATGAGTCATTCACAAAGCCTAATCCTGCCACTGCAACACCCACACCCCCAAGTCCCAGTGCTGCTGTCCCCTGAAACCAGAATAGGAAAACTTGGCCAGAGGTTGCCATGGTAGCTCAGCTTCCCTAGATAACAGGCCCTGGAGCCTAGTGGCTGAAATGTCTTCTAGGCCCAGAAAGGAGATGCGGCTCCCAGCTCTGATCTTCACCACCCACCCCCCAAAAAATAAATAAAAACTGTCATCATAACACTTCAAGGGGCCAAACTACATCATTGCTGCAGAAAAGGCTGGAGGCCTCTACCCATCTGCTACCGTCTGGCTGGCAGTTCCCAGCATTCAGTGGGGATGCCTTTGTCACTGTCTGAACAGTTTCTCACTCTCCCCATCCCTTGACTCTTGCATGAGCTCTTAATGCCCTGGTTCTTGCAGCGTTGTGATCAAATCCCAGTGTCCTGCAGAGCTCTCGTGACTGAAGGTCCCCCTATGAGCCGCAGGGCTGGGCTCTTCCTAGGGCAGTGCGACTCATGGTAAAGAAGGTTAATGGTTTGTCTGAGCCACATCAGCTCCATACGCCAAGCACCTGAACTAAGCAACCAGCTGAAGCTTTATTTATTCATCACAGAAGCCCTGTACTAGGGAGAGGACAGGAACTATAAGCTCCTTTTATGCCATGAAGGTGAAGAAATATACATGCAGAATGGCTAAGTAATCTGCCCAAGATGATTTAAAGAACCAAGATGAAACTAGATCCCAAGCCTCTTAGCTGACTCCCAAATAACCTTCCTACTTATTTGCGTTACTTTCAGACAGGGCCTCTGCCAACCCATATGGTGCCTCTGTATGGTTTAAGAAAGATGCCCCTTCCTACAGAATGAGGTAGCCCCACACCAAGTGCGTAGTTTGCTGAATGATGGGCTTTGTCACCCCCAGCTCATCCTCTTGTCCAAGTACCTTTGTGCAGTGAATAACCTGCGCAACTCTACATGGCAGTCCTGCATTTAGACTTTCTCTTTATTCTAAGTAGCTTAAATATAGGAAACCTAGAGGGAAGCTCAGATATGGTGCCTTTTGAAGAGTAAAAGAGTCCAGAAGGTGTTCTTGACTTGGTGACAAAATGAACTTTATCATTTTGCCTATGATAGAGACAGCCTCTGTCTTTATACTTGAAAATTGCCTTCCCTTATAAAAAGGAAATAACTAAGAGGGAGTAGAGTCCTGGCCACCTCAGTGCATTAGTGTCACTAAAAGGGTTTGATTTTGTTTTTCCCTCTCCCCTCTGCTCTTTGATACCCTCTCCTCCTTTCCTACTGATGCAGGTGGTGGACATGCCACCTCAGCTGTCCAAAAGGAAACTAACTCTTTTGTCCTAGTGTCTGATTATGTCTGAGTCACCTAGACAGGCTCTCACCTCCTGCTATGTAGACAGTGGCTCACTCTCCCAACAATAGAGCTGCCAGGAGCAGGCCCTCCAGCCCCTCCCATGTGGACAGCCAATTCTTCAGCAGGGAGAGGGGGAAGAGGCAGCAGCTGGGCTGTTGGTCATCCGAGTGCCACAGTGTCATTGTGATAGTGCCCCAGGCGGGGAAGGGGAAACCAGGGCTGTGAAGGGCTGGGAACATTTATAAAGTGTCTGCATAAAGGACACTTCCCAGGAACAGGCTGCATAGTCAGAGCTGAGGCTCATGCATGGGCTGAGCAAGTGGTCTCCTTTCTGCTTGGTGCTCAATGAGGTTTGTGCCATGCAGCTGCTGCAGGTCACAAGTAAACTCAGTCCATTGGGTTATTTTTAGGAGTGATTTGATGGTTTCCATTTCCTATCCCACTCGTGTCTTAGCAACCACTGACACTTTCAAGAAAGTCATCTTTCACTTACTTGAAGCCCCAAATCTTTTCTCCTTTTCGGGACCGGGGTACAAAGACAGATAGATCGAGAAAACAGCACAGACAGGGCTGAGGTCAAGCCCAGAGTTCTTCTTCACTTGGTGATGGAGGGACAAGTCCACGTCCACTCCCACTCCCAGAGGAGGTATCCTCCGAGCTTGCCTGGCTCCCTGGAGGGGAAAGTAAAGTCCGGCAGGGCAGACCTCACCTGGGACCACAGCACACCTGATCTCCCGCCTCCCCATTCCAAGGAAATTTGCAGCCTGCAGTTGAGGATGATGGTAGAGTGACCTGGCCACGGCTTGGTCACTTCTGAATTTGCTCCCCTGCTGTTGGTCAAATGGAGACAGTCCTCCCAGGACTTTTTACTTAGAGGCTCACTGCTGTGGAGTGTGCTCTGCATGTATTTGGGGAAGGTTTTCTGCACCATCACAACTAAAAAATAGGGCTTACCCTGGCTGGTCCTCTCTTCAGAGCAGGTGAAAAAGGGAAGCATATAAATTCAGGAAGCCTCAATAACTCTTGGTTGAATGGCATAGATGATTCTGCCAGTATGTTGAGTCTTCTAGAAATTCTTTACCCTCCCACTCATCTTTTCATCTGTCCTCCCACCCATCCCCCACTCATCCTTCCATCTAGTCTCCCACCAGTCTTCTTATCTGTCCTCTCACCCATCTTTGCGCCCATCCTTCCACCATCCTCATACTCATCCTCTCATCCGTCCTCCCACCTGCCCTCCCTTCTCTCCTCTCACTCATTCTCTTACCCATCCTCTAACCCATCGTCCCGCCTGTCCTCCCATCCATCCTCCCACCTGCCCTCACTCCTGTCCTGCCATCTATTTTTCCATCTCTTCTCCGATCTCTCCTCCCACCCATCCTCCTACCTGTCCTCCCTCCCACCATCTCCCCACCCATCCTCCCCTCCCATTCCTGCCTCCAAGTACCTTGTAATAATGGTGGTTTGTAGCCCCACTGTGGATTCCCAGTATTCATTCCCCTCATCCAAGAATTTAAGCTTTTGCTTATGGCCGAATCTGGAAAAAGGGAGAAGAGTCTCTTGGTTTCCAATTAGCAGTTAACTACTACCTTCACCTTACAGACAAAACACAACAGTGTCATCACCATGAAGTGGCGTGTTGTGATTAGTTGTAGTTTTTGTGTCATTACCAGTAGCAAAACATTTGCATACTTTAGTAGTGATTGATTTCCTCTGATTTTAACTTGGAAGAGTTGAAAGGTCATTCTTGCAGCAACATTGGCCTCACTCACTTGCCATCAGTCAGCTTTTAAGAAGTAAGTAGAATGGAGTCACAGCAGGCCACAGGGGTTTGGACTAGAGTGTGCCACACATTTGAATGTCATCTATCATGTGTGTCACGGCATGAAAAAAGGTTAAGAATTTTAAATATTTAAATATGCCTCCTATGGAAACCATCCAGTCAAATACATAAAATGGTGACAGCTTACCCTGGGAGCAAGATATAGTCTAGAGGTGAGATATAGACATTTCATTAACATATTCATTAATTCATGGGTCAAACATTAATGGTATCCATCATGAGTGAGTTGGGTACTTGAAATGCATTGAACTTGACCCTTTCTTTGCAGCTCCTGTGGTCAGGGAGGCCACACAGATGCTCAGCAGGCCCCACAAGCATCATAGTGGGGAAGTCAGGGTGTGGGGCCTCGTTCTGCTGGGCCCAGAGAGACCCTCCCATGATTCACAGAGGAAAAGACTTGTTCAGGGCCTTGAAAGGTACATATTGGGAATATCAGAGCATCAGGCTGGAAATATCTTTCACTCCTGCATCTTCATCCTCGAGGTGTGTGGAGGAATGCCAACGCTGTGTCCTTTCCAAAGAGTTTAGGGCATTGGAGACCATCTTCCCAATCACTACAGAGCTAACCTAAAGGCAGATGTGAGATACGCACTGTCACTCTCTGGGCCCAGGATTTCTGCTGGCATCCCACTACCCCATAGAAATCCACAGACTAGGACCCTGCAGACTGGCCAACAGTGGAGGATGCGGCTCTGTGGGGTGCTGATCTTTATGGCTGCTCCCAGAGGCCTGATGTCAGGACCTCAGGGGTGCTGGCCTCCTCCCTGCTGTGAGCAACTCAGCAAAAAGAACCAGGGAAGGCCAGTGGTGGGACCAGCTCCTTCTTAGCAGGTCAGGCCTGGGGCAGCTCGGAGGGGTCCTGAAGGACTTCCTGGAGATGGGCTCACCTGAAGGCAGAATGCCCACAGGAGCAAGTTCAAGCACAGGGGCCCAGGTTCCCCTTTCCCTTCCTCAATGCACAGCCAGCAGATGAGAATGCTTGTTTAAAGTTCCTTAACAGAGCCTAATTGTGTTCTTCCTGATCAGTAAGGCTTCCCAGTGGAGGAGCCCAGCACTGGGGCCGGCACAACAGGAGCGAGAAGGAAGCAAGGTTCACCCGGCAGAGGTAGTGCCGCATGAGTCAGCGTCAGGCACAAGGTGCTGGCTAGGGAGTGGGAGTGGGGGAGCAGGAGGGGTCAAGACAGCATCAACAAAGCCCTGCAGAGAAGATGGGACCACTTAGCAGCAGGCAGGCTTAGGATCAAAAACAGGGTAGACTCTCAGCAAGACTTAAGCCCCACACCCACAGACACTGGGCTGTCGGTGGCCATTCAGCTCAGCTGATTTAGAACTTGCTGAAGATGAGGTCATGCAGTTGGCCCACCTGTCAATAGTATGTGGCCACAGACGTGCCCTGATTTGATCCAGCCTCCCCAGTGCAAAGGGAACAGGAAAGAGACAGGAGCTACCCAGCAAGGACCTGACCTGAGAGAGAGGATGATGTGTTCAGGAGAGGCACGTCACCCAGGACCTCTAGATGAGATGGTCAGGGCCCCAGCCCTGTCCTACCCTACTCTCAACTCCCTGCCCTCCACCCCAGCAGCTCTCTCTGTCTTTCTCACACACACATATATACTTCTAGATATTCTCTTTGGAGAAATGGACAGGGCTTTTAGTGTGCTACCATGAGGCAAGACACTGTGAAGGCAGAATGCTGGGCTTCTGTTTTTTTCCCTAGTGATGGTCTCTTCACTGCAGACACAGTGGCCCCTAACCGAGGATTCCTTACACCTCGGGGACTATAAAGGCAGCAAGAAGGTCCCTGGCACTGTTTGCAAAAAGCCTGACAGAGCCACCTGCCTACTGTGAAAGGTTCCACAGCTGGTGAGAGAAATTACAGGAGTCTTTGCTTTTGATGACAGTTGTGTCCTTTCCATGGGAACCTGGGTTTTTCACCTGGTCAGAGGCTCTGATTGTGTACAGGTGACAGAGTATACCTGTCTGGTGGAAGCTTGGAACTCAGCTGAGTTACCAGAGTTGCGTGGCTGGCTGCTGGCCATGGTACCAAAAGTGAGTGAGGTTATTTGTTCACACTTTTTACAAATAAAGCCTGTGAAGATAGCCCTTTACTTGACAAACATATCTTGCTTGGTAGACATGGGATCCCTAAGGGGACAATGACACAAATCTCCTTGGGAATGGCAAGGTTGGGAGCTACTACTGAAATCTCTGGTGTCCCACTATAAAATGGAACAATGGCATTTATTGCATTCCAGAAATGGTTACAATGAATCAAGTCTCGCTGCAATTTTATACCTGGAATGTCGTTAAATTACTCAGAGCCCTGTGTCCTGAGGTACCTGAGGATGTGTTTTGGGGCGGGTCACAGGCCTCGAAGAGAACAGGCTCTTCTGGGGATGGAGCAAAGAAAGCAAAATGAAACAGGAAGGGGTACTGGGCCCTGAGGGTTCTGAAGGTGGAGGAGGGGCGGGGAATGGAAGAAGATGTGAAGGATGGAAATACAAATGAGACGGGGGCAGGGCGGCCTGTCTGAACACCCAGGCTGCTCTGAGAAAGGCCATGTTATTACGCCCTTGGCCTTGTTGCCTGTCTCAGGCTCCTGCCCAGCCAAAATGCTACCAGTTCAGCAAAACAGTTGAGAAAGTGTCTGGTATGTGGCCAGGGGAGTCCCCTCTGACCAGCCCCTTCCCTTGCCAGGGAGCACAGCTGTCATCTCCCTCCCTCTGCCTCCCCATTTTCCAGGCAGAACAACAGATCTGCAATCCCAGTACCACTGTGGCTCAAAGCAGGGAAGCCATCCCAGCCCTCACTAGCCCAGGGATGCTCTGGTGCAAATTGAACTGTCATTCCATTGCAGGCCCTTGAGCTGATGACTGAGATGGCACAGGAAAACCATCTCTGCCAGTCTTCACCCACCTCCTAGGCACTGATGGGAACAGTTAGAGGTCAGGGAAACAGCACAAGACAGACAGGGTCCTGGTTGGAGAAGTGAAGGATAGGGCTGGGAAAGACACAGGGCTGGGGTGCAGAAGGAGACTGTCCCGGAGCCTCTGACCAAGATTCAAGTTCTGAGAACTCCCAGGGTCTGTCATTGTCACCAATACTTGCACAACCCCAAGAGTGAGTGCCTTTTCTTAAACTTGGTGCCTAGGTGCCTTGCTTCATGCACCCTAGTCCCTGCCCTGCAGACTGTCCTCCCCCATCCCCTCTGATCCTAGGTTTCAGGTTTACTTTCTCCAGCATGGCAGCCACAGGGATTTGGCATGGGCTGGATTGGGCTAGGCTGAGCTGGGCCACCACAAGGCCTTGAGGTTTATGATGCCCTCCTGTCATTGCAGTTACCTCTTCTCTTTTATGCAGTCCACAAGCCCAAAAGTACATAGGAGAGGGTGAGAAGTGGCTGTCTTTGGGGACACTGAGGCCTTTCAGTTCCTCATTAAGAAACTGCGCAACCCCCCTCTGGTGGGGGAGTTGAGGTTTGGTGCATAAAATGTCAAATTGCAGAAATTAAAAATGTAAATGCTGGCATCTACTTAACCAGTTGACAGCAGTGCACAGCTGCAAGTGACAGTGACTGATTGCCTTCTACCAGTCTCTCCCTGAGTAGCCTCAGCCCTGCCTCCTCCCATTTAGCCCCCAGAGAGTGGAGGACATCAGAGAAGAGCAACCGCTCGGAAGAGCCTTCGGGCCCTGCTGGAGGAGATCCCTTGCGTCTGTGGGAGGGGCGTTAGAGAAACTCAAGACAGTCTAGACCTCTCTGTGTGGTAGCTGAGAGCAAAGAGGATGCCCGAGTTGGGACCCTCTGGCTCTCGGTTCCTCTCCTGTCTTGGCCACTCCCCAAATCCCTTCCCTCTATGCCTCCTGCATCCAGAGCTGCAGAGGGCTCTTCCTGGTTCGGACCCAGCAACCCAGATGAGAGAGAGACCACAGTGGTCCCCAGGTGGCCACAGCACAAGTACCCACTACCTGCAGTGCAAGCTGAGCTCATGGCCCCAGACACGGTGCTGGGAGCATCCATCTCTCCTCTACTCCGTATGCACGACTTCAGCTTCTCCCTATTTCCATCCCTCCACAGGTATTACTCAGACATAGGGAAGATGCCAGCCATCAGCGACCAAGACATGAACGCATACCTGGCTGAGCAGTCCCGGATGCACATGAATGAGTTCAACACCATGAGTGCACTCTCAGAGATCTTCTCCTATGTGGGCAAATACAGCGAGGAGGTAAGCTTTGCCCTGCTCCAGGCCCATTGGGATGGAAGGGGGAAGAGAATGAAGACAACCCTGCATGCCTCCGTATAAGAGATCATCGCCACAGACACATCCACCTCTGCTGGGGGAACCACCACTGAGGACCTGGGGCTGTGATCCAAAGGCTGGGATGCTAGAAACCCTCCATCCCATAAATTCTGCATTCATCCCTGTGCTTCTTAGATATGTAAATAAGTACCTGTTTCTTTTATATTGTCTTTTTTAATTCTTATTTTCTCTCCTGTATTTCTTCTTTTTTATGTTTTCCACATCTTTCTCTGATCTAACTCTCTTTAAACAGGCACCTCCTCACTCCTATGGGCCGGCTATGTGGTATGGCATTGTATGGTATGATATGGTATGTTGTAGAATAGAATAGAAACAGAATAGACTAGAAATGAAACAGAAGTGAGTCAAAACAGAATGGAATAGAATAGAATGGAATGGAATGGAACGGAGTAGAATAGAATAGAATAGAATAGAATAGAATAGAATAGAATAGAATAGAATAGAATAGAATAGAAAAGAATAGAGCAGAGCAGAGCAGAGCAGAGCAGAACAGAACAGAACAGAACAGAACAGAACAGAACAGAACAGAACAGAACAGAACAGAACAGAACAGAACAGAACAGAACAGAACAAATAGAATGTGTTTTCTGTTTTGTTCCCTCACTGGAAAATCCCACCTGGGGTCATTGCCACTATATACAAGGCCTTCTTTCTGGCCAGTGCCATGGTGCTTTGGGAGTTTTCTTGCCTATGCATGGGGTCAGGAGCAGCTGGGAGAGAGAGGCCCCTCAGACATCTTCTGATCAGCCCAGGAAGCTCAGGAAGACACAGGCATGTGCAGGGGCACACACGACACTGCTGGGTAGGAGGAGGCCTGTGTCTTCCTGGGCTTCTAGTCAGCTCTCTTGCCATGGGTCTGGCCATCCTTGGAATCCAAATTCCCTGCATCTGAGCAGCAGCATAGCCACCTTCTCTGAGTGGACGGTAGTAAGAGAAGCTGAAGCTTGTGCCCCGAGTTCTCTATTTCCTCCCATCCTCATCACTTAAGGAGAGTCCAGGAACCCCCAGTTAAAGAAGCAGACCCAGCAGGCCCAAGGCCTGGAGTCCTGCAGGCCATGAACAGCCTAATTCTGTGGCCCTTACATCATGGGAGAGCCAGTGCTGGGTCCCTTAGGGGAGGGACCCTGATGCCAGTCTGCAGGTTAGTATTGGTCTGGGGCAGAGTTTTCCCCTGCCTGCGGCAATGCAAGATAATAAGGATGCTATAGTGTGCACCAGTGTAATATTCCAACCGTCTCCTCTCAGAAAGGATTCTCTGTTAGTCTACAAGTACACCTGTCTACCTTGGTGTTTAAATAACCCATCTATGAAATGATGGCGCGTACAAATGACAGTTCTTGGCCAGCTCTATCCTGCTTCCACAACTAAAGAAACATTAACTGGGTCATGAAATCCAAAGCCCTGGGCGCCTCCCTTGAGCCTCCTTCTCATCTCCTTGCCCTCCCTTCTTTTCCCTGCCCCTCAAACTACAACATCAGTAGGTTCCACCCAATTGTCTAGTGCCTCTCGGGGGGCAGGCCTTGTGTTGAGGGTGCTCACAGATGTTATCTGACATCCTCTCCCCTGGAGGTGGATTAGTCATTCCTACATTAACAGTTGAGGACGTTGAGTGTTCAGACAGGTTACCTGTTTGGCCTCAGATCACCAAGCTAGAAACTGGCAGAGCCTTTACTCCATCCCTCATCTCCTGAGTCTGAGTAAAATTCTAGCATATTTTTCATCATGGGCCACATTTGCTGGCTGTCATTGTCCTCTGCTAACTGCCTGCCTTCAGAAAAGGCTTTGGTAGACATTATCCATTAGGTGTTAATGACCAGGAAAGCTTGTAGTCTTACTCTTCTAGGGACATTTGTTTTTTAACAGGCAAAGTGAAAACAAATGACTTTCTAAATGTAGAATTTGGGGCCTCAAGGAGCTGATGGATTTTTATTTCTGCGGGAGGAAGGGTGGGATGTCTTAACATCCATGAAATCACATTCCGGCTCCATGCTGAGCACTACGCATTTCCATCGGATATGGAACTAGCTGCTGTCTAACCTGCAGGTAACTGCAGCATCTCGGCACAGGCACTTTCAGCAGAGCTTCTGCCCTCTGTCTACCATCTTTTGTAGCCAGTAGAATGCACACAGTCATTCAGACATGACTGTGTGTGCTGGCATCCTGTGCTCACTGCCATGCTGATGCTCACATGCTATGCCTGCCACAACTTCCTGCCCATGCTCCCCAGGTCTCCTCCTACCCCGCAGTGTCCTGTGTGCCCCTGCACATGCCTGTGGCTTCCCGGGCTTCTGACCACATCCACACCATCTTTGTGCCTCCTGAGAACACAGACCTGTACACACAAATGAGTAATCTCCCTGTTCTTGGCCCTTCCGCAGATCCTTGGACCTCTGGACCACGATGACCAGTGTGGGAAGCAGAAACTGGCCTACAAACTAGAACAAGTCATAACCCTCATGAGCTTAGACAGCTGAGAACCGTCCTTCCAGGGCCGCCCTGGAGGGGGACACACCAAGCCGTGCCTCAGTCTAGATTATCATCTTTACCAAGTGCAAGTTCCGACTGGCATCAGCAGCATCCCCTGAGCAGCGCTGTTTCTCTCTCTTTCTCTCTGCCTCTTTCCGTTTCTCCCTCCTTCCTGGATCTCTTCTCTTCCAGTTGCTCTGCCAACACGATTGGACCAAGCCACTGACCCTCAGTTAGTCCAAGAATGGCCAGGCCCATGGCAAGGGAGCTGACCAGAAGATGTCAGAGAGGCCTCTGTCTCCCAGGTGCTCCTGACCCTGTGCATGTCAGCAGCAGGGTGCAAATAACGAATGAGGAGCCAGGGACAGGGGACATTTCTGTGCTGCTACTTCACCTTCCACTTTGGCAGCCCCTGCTTTGGTCTGAGCCTTGGCCTAGGGAAGAGGCAAGGAAGGACTTCAGTATTATCTTTACTGGGAAGACATCACCTGGCTCTCCCTTCCCACAGTTCCATCTCCAGTGGTTCAGCCAGTGGTCTGATCGCTTTGCAGCTGTGAGAAGAAAGGCTACACCTCCTGCATGTGGCTGGAGCAGGGCATGTGTGGGCAGCTGGGAGGTGCTCCTTGAGGCTCCTTCTCCCCCACTGGGCTGGTGTCCAGAGGCTTCCTGTCCTTTTCCAGGTCTCCAGAGGGACCTGCCTGCCCTGCCTGCTCCCCCGCCAGTAGAAAGCCAGGCAGGAGAAAGAATAGCAATTACATTCCACCATGGAGATGCTCCTGACCTTTTCATCTGAATCCTAGTAGCAGAAATGTAACACAGGGGGAGAAAAGGAAAGAGAGTTGCATCTACCCTGGAAGCAGAATTTGTTTTCCATTTACCCTCAAATTCAAATGAGTCACAATCATAGTCATAGGTCTAGTCCACTACCAGAGCCCTGAGTGCTGTCAAGAGAAAGCATCTATCTCCACCCTCCTTTGTCAACCTTCATCAAGGGTCAACGTGAAATGCAGAGTGCATCTAGGAGATTCTACCTCCAGCCATCTCCATGGCTCCATCCCCATCATCCTTCCTGAGAACTCCATAGACGGCTGGGGCCAACAGCCTAGTCCCTGTTCCCTCTGCAGAATCCGGTGCCATTGCTATGCAGATGACTTTGTCACTGGGCTGTCCAGACCTCTTTGGGAATGATTTCATCAACATCTCAGCTGTCTCTCATCATTCTCCTTCCTCATCTCTTCAGCAGTCATCCTTGAAAGAAACAGACTTAAGCAAAGCCTCACGGAGACAGCCCAAAATGCCAGCCAACCTCAGCCTCCAGCTTGTCAGATCTGGGAGGGACAAAGAGTCGAGCTGATGGGCCTGGCTGGAATTAAGAAGAGGGACATACAAATGACCTTGGCCTTGGCATCCATCTCCCCATCTGTTCTTACATCTACAGATGCACGATTTTAGCCAGGCAGGCAAATGTGTGCCTAGAAATTGATACTAGGTAAGCAGAGGCTATGGGGAGAGATGGTCTAATGGAGGGTTCTAGGAACCTTTCATCCTAAGGAGACCTTAGGTGCTGTCTGGTGCAGTCTCCCATCCTAAGCAGGAGTCTCTGTTGGCACCTCTGCTCTGGAGTTGTTCACCACTATGGGAGACAAGGAGAAACATCTTAGGTGAGGTTGAGGAGAAGGATTCACAGTCTTGCCTTCACTCCCCAAACATCAGACATCATTCCTTGTCACCCACTCAGAATGAGCCCCCCTTGGGGAAGAAACCACACCATTTCCAGCAAAGTCCATGGAGCATCCGGTACTTTTAAGAACACTTGCCCCTTTGGATATGAATATGTGCACATGTGTGTGAGCACATGTATGTGTGTGTGTGTGTCTGCCCCAGGTGTAGGCGGAAAGCTCAAAAGGATTTCTTGTCCTTTGTAGGAGGATTTTTGAAGTGTTCCCCTTCTCTTTCCCCTTGCTCATCCATTCATCCTGCAGCTTCAGGACATTTCAACACTTACTTGCTTTCTATGCTGAGAGCTGGTGGGTGGAAGGAGAGGGCGCTTGTCCATAGGAAATCAGGGTGGTCGCCTGCCGAGGCCTGGACCTTGGAACAGGGCATCATGTGACATCGCAGAGGACAGATGGTGGAAAAGACATGAGCAACCTAATGGGAAGAGGAAAATGGGAAACAATGCATTGGAAGAGGAAGAAAAAAAATAAATAACCAAAGGTTTTGGCAAGTGCAGTACCAGGTGGAGAAGCTTGACTTTTCTATCCTTGATCATTTTATTCCCTCCCAAGAAGTCAGTCACAGGACCTGGAAGGCCAGAAAGGGTACATGTGGGAGACGGTCTGAGGAAGTACCTCGGTCACTACAATATTTTTGCACATATAAAGGGTTGGGGAGGAAAGAGACACAAACGTATTTAACACAGATTTGCTGGATGGAAGCTGCGTGTGTGAACGTGTGTATGAGTGAGTGCATTTTGATTTTTTTTTTTTTTTTTTGCACAGTTAAGAGAAAAAATCAAACAAGCAGAAAAAAAAAAGAAAAAAGACTTATCACGGTTCTGCTGAAGCTTTTATTTTTTACTGGATGATGATTATTGTTATTGTTACTTTGGCGGTACAGGACTTTATTTTATTCCATGTTTTTGTTATAAGAAAAATTTCAAACACCTCAGAGAAATAGAAAGGTTAGGAAGAAAGAGGAGACAAGGACAGACAAATTTTCTGGCTGTCCCCATTTCTCCTGGGGGAGGGGTTTGGGGCTGGTTTGACTTTAATTGGTGGGTGGGTTGTTTCTGCCGCTCTGTTTGCTGCAGTCCCCGTGGCCTGCTTGGGGACTGAGAAATTTGAGCCAGGTATCCAGAGCCACAGCCCATCTTGCTTATAAAAATTATCTTCTGCTGTTTGTTTTCCATTTCTTCCGTTTGGATTCTTGGTGCACGTGTGATATGGTATTTAAAAGCAAAGACAAGCAACATTGTCAAAAAGCTGTCCTTGCCCCCCATCCCCCACCCAAATCTTTTTTCCAAACTCCCCCAGGGATCTTCCTTACCCCACTGGCAGAGCAAACATCCAGGGGCTGTCCATGTGGCTTGCGGGCTCCCAGAGAAAGGAATTGGGCCAACTTTGTCCTGTGGGATGGAGGCCCCTTCACGGCCTCCCTCGAGGCAAAGTTAATTTGTAGGGTCACCATTATGTTGAGTCATGAGCAGACAGAAGGAGAGAAAAGGCCATCTTCCTTACCTTCCCCTCCAACTTATCCCGTACCCTCCCAGGGAAAATGGTACCAGACTGAGCCATCAAAATCACTGACAAAGTTTAGGTGGGAATTTTTTTTGCATGTTGGAGAGAGAAGGGCTTAAGGTAGCAGGGAAGAAGGGGGCTTTGTGGGGTCCTAAATTTTAAGGAATAAGTAGAGGAAGACAAGAAACAGAGTGGTAGGCTGGTCATTTCTCCTGGCCACAAGTCCCCCCAGATGCAGCTTTTACCCATTCTTTGTCCTTCCCCATAAGGAGAGACCCTGACATTTCTTGGTAGCTGCAAATAGTGCCACTAAGTGAAGGTGGCCATCATGCCAGTTACTTCCTCAGGAAAATATTTTCTTGCCTTCTTCTTTCAGTATGGTTTTAAATTTGGGAACAGTGGATAACCCAAGTGTCCCACAGGCCAAGGTACATTCCAATGGCAGCATGATCCCTGCACCCAAAGCCAGCCCCTAAAGCCTACCCCTTGTGCACCCGCAGCCTGGTAAGTGAGCTTGGCTGCTTGTGAGGAGCTACAAGTGAAAGAGAAGTTATTTTAAATAAATCCCAAAGTTTGAGGCAGACTGTCCAGGACTGTTCCCAGGAAGAAGCAGGAGTTACCCACAGGAAAAGTCTCTGACCTGGTCCCCTCAGGCCCAGCTACCTGCGCCCACCAGCAGTGAAGGTTGATGTACTGGCCCAGCATCTCCACCTCCCCCATGCAACCAGGTCCCTGGTACCGTGTCTCCCGTTGCATGTCTGGCTTCTGCCTGTGCTCCTCCTGCCACGAGCATCCTCCCTGTCCCTCCTCATTCCACCGTGTCTCTCCTGCACACATAGCCTCTGTCCCAGGGCGATTTATCCACTTGAGTACAGGAGCTGCTCAGACCTCTCAGCCCAGCCCTCTGTGACTGCCCCAGCCCCATCCTACCCCACCCAAAGCTGCCTTCCTGGCTGTAGGAGCTCCCTCGTCTAGCCAAGGCCCTATGGGTCCCCATCCGAGGATCCACAAGCAATGACTTCCCAAATGACCTCCACTGCAAGAAGAATCCTTACCACTGTTTCCAGAGCCGTGAACGATGCTGTGATGGGCCCAGGTCTCAGCACCACCCTCTGTGACCTAAAAAGAAAAGCTCAATTTCCATCTGTCTTCTTTCCCAGGACCAAGGGGACACAGTAATGTGAAGTCAAATACTTAACCGAGCAAAGGGCCAGTATTGTTATCAGTCAAGGACAAACCTCCCACCTCACAGACAGCCAAGCAGTGAGGGAAAGACAGACAGACATAGGTAGGAAGGTGCTCTGCAGGCACAAGGCCCAGAGAAGCCCCTCTCCGGGAACTTCCCCTGCTCCTTCCAGGAACAGTGAGCCCAGTGAGCAGCCCCAGCCAGCTCTTCAAGGCCTTCAAGGGGTCTTTCCATGACTGAGTCACCTCCAGGAGCTCACCTGACCCCCAGAGAAGACCTACCCCAGGCAGCTCCGTGCCCTGGCTTCTCCCCATGCCCCAAATCCCCCCCCGCCATCCCTCCTGGTCCTCGTCTACATCAAGGGCCTCTTCCCCTCTTCCTGCCAGCTCTCAGGACAGGTGACTGGGAGGCCTTGAACCCTCAGCCTCTTCCTTTAAAAAAAACAAAACAAAACAAAACTGTGGGCCATTTATTTGGGATTTTGGAGTTGTTTGGTTTTTGTTTGTATATCTTAATAGTTCGAAAGTAAGAAGGGAGCCCTGCTATGGATGTTAAGTCCAAATTACTCGGTTAGTGGGAGCAAAACCTATGACTTCCAAGGGGATGAGGAGAGGTTCAGAGGACAGGAGGAGCCTCCCCCATTGAAAAAAAAAAATGGGTCAGGACATTCCCTGGATGAGGACAATGCTAGGGGTGGCATCTCACATGGCTGCTGCTATTCCTGGTGCTTCCCCACACTTTTGACAGATGGAGTCCTTCTCCTACCGCCTCCTGCCACCTCACCCTACAGGCATTCTCTATGTAGGAAACAAGAGCCTTATTTTATAGAGTGGGGAGCTGAGACACAGCCTCAGGTAACACTGACACAGCTCCCGAATGAGGCTGGGACACTCTGCAAACCTCTCCTCATGGTGCTAAGGGTGGCATGCTCTTGACAGGAAACCTAAATGACCACTCCTCTCATTTGGAAAGTAATCCACTGCAGTAAAAGTTTCAGACATGCAAGAGAGAGTTTTTTTTTTTTTACTACAAATTTTTGCTCCCCCATAAAATTATTTTATTAGAGGGAGTATCCAAGTTTTAAAAGTATATAGAATTTTTTGGTTGTAAGAGAAATACATACTCATTAGGATCCCGATTAAATTCCTTGAGTAGACTGGTGCCTACCAGAAAGCAAAGCAAAGTTAAACAAAACGAAACAAAATCCTTCATATACAAAAAGAACTTTCTGTTTGTATTGGCAGAGGTAGTGAGGTGATTCAGGTAGGCTGAAAATCCTGGGTTGCGGGAGCCTCACTTTATTCCATTCCCACCCGCTTTGATGTCTATGCTTGGCTCTCTGGGCTGCCCCTGGTACTGCCGAATCCTACACATCTCTTATCAGCTTTCCTCAAACTTTAAGGAGGCTCTGTGAGGGATGGGTCATGGGAAGACCCAAGCTTTCCCTCCGCCAGGATTGCAAAAGCAAGTAGACTTGGTCTATGCAGCTCTTCTTCCAGCAATTTCTTTATTTGGAATTAGAACTTCCTTTGTTAGTATCTTTGATCTTTTGACTCAAGCACATTTTGGAAGGGCTCCCTTACAAAAGTAGAATTTAAAACAGAGGATACAGTTAAAGAGCAACCCAAAGGACGCTTAAGAAACCGAGACCACTTCACCAAACAGGACTAAGGAACACTTTCGTGCACAGAAGTCAGCCGCAATCCAGGCACAGGACGAAGATGGGATACACGTGCTCATCTGTCTGTCCTCCTTTCCTCTCCCTCCCCGACGTTCTAGTTAGCTTGTTGACTTGTTAAACCTTCTGTTCTTAAAATGAAAAGCTAGCTTACCTCAAAGAATCTTGTTTCCATTCGGAAACCAACGATTTTGTGTTTTAGAATGGACAGCCCTCCCCTCACCACTCCCTACCTTGGCCTGGTGTCCTTGAGACATACGGTCTTTGCTTAGTCGTGTGTTGGCTGCTTTGAGCAGGAACAAGGCCTCCAGGCCCTGAGGTGGGAAGGAAGGATTGGATGCCACTGCCCTCCTCCCCACTTTAGCATGTAGGGGCCAGCCCATCTCTTCCAGCAGGGTCCTGCTGAGTTACCATAGCAACCAGCAACTCCAGGGTACCACAACAGACAATGGCTCAGCGAGCCGACGTGTGGGGATGATGCAGGGGTTTTGGCCCAGCCAGAGGACCCAGAGTTGAGCTTCAAATGCTAGAGAAGGGGAGAAACAGGATGGAAGGGTGGTTTAAGGAACCGGCAGGGGTCTTTGAGTCACATAGAGAAGCCGTTGAAGGAGGTAGGGCAGGTTATCTCTGTTCCAGTCACCCCCTTCCAGCCCCATCCCACTTCTGTTTCAAACTAAAGCTCCCACCTCGAACATTGACCCTTTGTTAGAACAAAGCAAAGCATATCTTTAGACAACAGTGTTAAAATGAGCCTCAAATGTATGTGGATGAGATCTCTAAGAAGAGGGTCTTCTGGTTTTGATTTTTAAAGAAGAGTATCCTAGTAAAATATTAAAAAAAAATTAAAAAGTTTTTAAAAAGGAAACCTGTGCTATTTAAATTGGAGCCCAGTTGTAACTTGGTAAAGGCAAGCTTCTGTACCTTTGTTATAATTAATTGTATACCTGTGTATGTAAATATAAGGCATTCCTATTTTGCAGTTCAGAACAAAAAAAACTTATTTGTAATATAGAATAAAGTTTATTAAAAAATAATAAAAATGCAGTTTGGGATTTTGGGTGCTTCTTTATGTGACTGGCTAGGAGGGGCTGGGGGAGAAGGCTGGCTATAAGATGGCAACAGCTTCCAGCATGCAGACACATGGCTGGCACCTTCTCTCTGCAGTTGTGTGACATCTAAACTCAACCACCAGAGATGCATCCTTCTACTTAAGACTCTCTTCTCGGTTGCAAGGCAGCCATCCCGAGGTGGCAACACTTCAAGCCAGGGAGAGTAAGCATGTTACTAGTCAGTGCTGTCAGGAGACAACGCTTTCCTAGGCAGCCCAGTCAGTCCCGGAATCCCTCTCAACGCAGCCCTCCAGGAACTTGCTACTTGCCCATTAGAGTTGGCTCTGGGGATGACACAAGCATTGCCATCTCTGCTTCAGGTCTTCCTGGCAAGCGACACCTTCATGATCAATGATTCTCTCAGCCCCCAACTCCCCCGGTATGTTGATAGAGAGTGAAGATCTTGAATCCAACTGTGTTCCTTGGGTAGAGTGGGTTAGGGAGAAAAAGAGAATGAAAAGGGTGGCAGTGAGGAGGGCCAGAGTGAAGGAGCCCATGCCACTGCCTGCCTTGCACACCCATCTAACACCCACGCCGCTCAGAGGTGGGGGCGGGGAGCCAGTGCAGCTGGCATGACACAGAGAGCCCTGGCCTGGGCACCAGGACCTCTGCAGTTTCTGCTGTTGGCTCAGCTGGCCACCTTGGGCAGATCTGTCCACATTTTAAGCCTCAGGTCATCAGGTAGAGGAGGCTGGGCTGGATGACTCCATGAATATTCCAGCATCCTTCTTATTCAAAGGGAAAGCCATGAGAGAAGGGAATCAGGACAGAAGCAGGATAAAGATCAGGAGGCAGAAACGTGGAAAGGGGAAGACTGAGGAGGGAAGCAAGAAAGGAAGGAGGAGTGCAGGGTGGAGGCAAGGGGGAGGGGTGAGGCAGATGCTGAGGGCACCGACTGCTGATGAAACTTCAGGCAAATCCCACCCTCCCACCTCCCTAATGCCCCCACCCACCCACCCACCCACCCATAGGCCCCTCCAGCCTTCACACCCTGAGATGAGCATGGGGAGATTTCACCCAGGATGGGACCCCTGGAGGGCACAGACAGAAGGGTCAGGAAGTGGCCTGGGGAGTGTCCACAGGGGTCCTTCCTGGCCTTGCTCTCAGCACTGTCCCACCTTCCAGAGGCAATTTCTTCTGAGATACGAGGGAGCTCCTGAGGAGAGAGCATTCCTCAGCCTGAGATGGAGAAGCCACGGCCTCTGGAGGCACCATCAGCATGGCCACAGGACGATGTACAGTGTGGGGTGACTGTGGGAATGGACGGGGCAGCTGTGAGGGCAAACCGAACTCCCTGGCCTCAAGACCTGGAACAAACCAAATGGATTGAAATCAAAAAGAGTGGTGGGTGTTTTTTTTTGTTTTTTTTTTTTTTTTTCTCAGTAGATCAGGCTTACAAGAAAAGTATAGTTCAGGAATAGGAAGGAGATGTTCTTCCCTTCTCCTAAATAAAGACTCAGGCTGGGTGGGGACGGTGATGTCACTCTGAAGGTTCACATTGAGATTGAACAACGAAGTTTCCACCAGGGCCTCAGATTCCTTTACCTATATGAGCTCAAACTTTGTCAGAACCAACCACCATGACCTTGAGCAGGCCACTTCTCTTGTATTTTGTTTACCTAGCCACAAAATTAAGATTGTCCTAATTGTACTACAAAGCCCAGAAGATTGGGGCAGGCCAATTTAGACAACTGAAGTGAAAAAGACCCCATGTGCTATGAAGGCTCATACGTGCATATAGTATTATTATTAGTCATAAAAATGATACTCTACAGGCCGAGCACAGTGGCTCATGCCTGTAATCCCAGCACTTTGGGAGGCTAAGATGGGCAGATCACTTGAGGTGAGGAGTTTGAGACCAGCCTGGCCAACATGGTGAAACCCCGTCTCTACTAAAAATACAAAAATTAGCCGGGCGTGGTGGCAGACGCCTGTAATTCCAGCTACTCAGGCAGGAGGCTGAGGCAACAGAATCGCTTGAACCCAGGAGGCGGAGGTTGCAGTGAACCAAGATCGCCCCACTGCACTCCAGCCTGGGCGACAGAGCAAGACTCCATCTCAAAAACAAAACAAAACAAAAAAGATGCTGTACAAATAAGAGTGGGCCCATCCTGGAGCCTTAATAACAAATTTAGAATAATGCCTCATTTACCCATTGCAAAATAAGTAAATATCTAACACCTTATGAAATCGTATACTTTTTGTGGTCATTAGACTATGAGATCTTTGATTATTTTTTTTTTCCTGAGACAGAGTCCTGCTTTATTGCCCAGTTGGAGTGCAGTGGCGTGATCTTGGCTCACTCCAACCTCCACCTCCTGGGTTCAAGCAATTCTCGTACCTCAGCCTCCCAAGTAGCTGGGATTTCAGTTGTGTGCCACCAGGCCCAGCTATTTTTTTGTATTTTTAGTAGAGATGGGGTTTCGCCATGTTGACCAGGCTGGTCTTGAACTCCTGACCTCAAGTGATTAGTCTCCCTTGCCCACTCAAAGTGCTGGGATTATAGGCGTGAGCACCGTGCCCGGCTGACTGTGAGATCCTTAAAGTCAGAGACCACATCTCAGTTGAATTTATTACCCCAGCTTAGCACAGTGACCCACTCAGAGAGAGTGCTCAATAAATCATGAATGGAGGGAGAGAGGGACAGAAAGCAAGACTCGGTGAAAGCAATCAGCTACAAAGTTGGCCACTGGGTTGTCTCCCAACTGTGACTCCATTACCTTCAATATCAGGCCACTCGCCCTCTCCCATCAATGGTTTATCTTTAGAAAACTAATTCCTTGAGTTGCAGCTAATGGCTATCTTTTACAGGTAAAGAGAGATGGTGTTGTAGTGGAAACCTCTCCCTGGGTTAGCAGAGCTGCTCCTAGCTGAGCAGAGTAAATGGAGGCAGATGCAGGTCACTTCTGCACCATCACTTTCTCTAAACCTGCCTCGCTTTTCTCTTAGCAGAACTCCTACCGTGGACGCTGAGCCAGAGCCTGCAGGGCTGCTGAGGGTATGCACTAGAGCCAAGGCTCATGAATGATGTTGGACCCAGGCAGAGGAGGTTAGTCCCAGGCATAGGAATATCTGGTAGGTCATATCACAGTTCAACAATATCTATTTCCCCTTCCTGAAGGAGCAGTACAGTTCCCCACCCCAATAAAGTTCAGCTGGCCCAGCAACTTGGTTTGGGCCGATGGAATATGAGTGCTAGTGGTGTAGTCACTTGTAATGCTCCAGAGAGCAGCAGCCTGAATCACAGAGTGAGATCAATGACAGCACAGAGCAGAGCCACCAGATGACACCATGGTTGTGTAGTATGAGTAAAAAATAAAACTTTGCTGCTTTAAGTCACTAAGGTATGAGGCTGTTTGTTACTGCTGCATAGCCAAGACTATCCTGACTGCTATAAGGTACAAGGGATTTAACCTAACAGGTGGCCCCTCAGTTCATAATTAATGTATGAAATATCATATTTCACCTACAAAGAAGTATTCTTTTGGCCGAAAGCCTTCTTTAAAAAATACACTATTGACTATTTACACTCAATATGAATCATTTTGTGGAAGGTCCTAATTTTCCTGAACTAGCTTTGGGACAGATTAGGGAAGAAAGCAAAGACTAAAAAGAAGCAGAGGTGGAAAAAAGGCAGTGCAAATCTACAGAGTTAGGACAGAAGGAAGTATAAGGAGGGGAAGTATCAGAGGAGAGAAATGGGGAGGATTTAAAGGGTGAGAGTAAGGACCTGCCTTTTGCTAACTCTGTGCCAGGCATGTGCTGCCTGGTTCCCACACCACCTGCTGTGGTGAAGAGTTTTCAGGCCCAAGTGAAAGTCATGGCATTCACATCCCACAGTGCCCTGGGAGAAACTATTTATTATCTAGGAATGAATGCAACCAAGGTTGTTTAAAAATATAACCTGTAGTTTTCTATATGCCTTGGTTTTGATCAATGATCAATTTACCAGGAAAGCAGAGAACTCATCCTCAGGGGATACACACCATATTCTCAGCACTGGTCCTTGATCAAGATAGCAGCTCCCTTCGAAGCCATAAACGACAGCTTCTTGTGATGCCTAGAAGGATGCTGGCTGATTCTAATGAAGGCTTGATGATCCCTCTAAGATGCAGGAGAGGAAGAAGTCATGCTCCTCATGCACCTACACGCAGAAGAGAGGTCCTTCTTATCCCTACTCCACATCCAAGTCCAGACCAGACCAGCCACTATATCACTCACCTTCCAAGTTCCTGCTCATTACCTACTTAAGCCTCTCCAAACTCCAGCAATTCAGAGGCAGGGCTTGGGGGAGAAAGAAACAGAGGCCCTGGGAGAGGTGGCTGGCAGGTCAGTAGGGATGTGTGCTCCCCCTGATTCATTAGGATCACATCCCTCACCATAGGAAACATCCTGTTTCCTTAACAAAAAAGGGCATTGGCTGTGCTGAACTGCCCCAACTCCACAGTACCCTGCCAATCCTTCCTTCTGCTTTGGTTTGCCTGCTGTTTTGTGAATTTCTGTGGGCAAGGCAGGGTGGAGATGCCACTGACTCAGAGCTGTGAGAGCAGCCCCCCTGGGCAGACAGCTAGGACTTCTACCCCTAGGACCCGTTCTCCATCCTCCTTTTGTATCTGGAACATACTCTCTACACAGTGTGATGGTGAAGACCACGGCCTGGTTCAAACTCTGCCCTTCTCTGGCCAGCTTTTACCTGGAGTTCCCAACTGTCTCTAAATCGTGGCTTCCTCACCTGTAAAGATGAGAATAATAATGCAGGGCTGCTGAGGGTATCCTCATACAGCTCTCGTGAGGATCAAGTGAGGCAAGGATTACAAAGCACTTAGAGCAGGTCCTGCCATCCTGTAAGTTTGTGACAGATGGTAGCTTTTACTATTGGGTAGCAGGCTTCTGAAAACTCTACATATGATCTCTCTAACCCTTGCTGATGGGACAACTCCAAGCACATAGTAGTTGCCCTATAAATGTTTTTTAAATGAACGGGTAAAGTAGGTACAAGAATTTCTCAACTGCCCAAGTCTTGAAATACACATGTAGATAGAACACAGCTTTCCAAAGAGTACAAAAATAGATAACTAAAATTTATAAGGGCCTGAGTTCCCCCTAAAAGCAGAAGTGAGACAAGGGGTTGTGAGCAGGGGGCTTATTTTGGGAAGCAGTCCTGAGGAACAGGAGTGGAAGGTAGGGAAGTGAGGACAAGCCAGTTCAAGGGGATATTTTCAAGCTGGCCCTCGCTGTGGGGGACCAGGACTCTGACCCCTCTTGGACCCTCTAGTAATGTAGAAGCCACCTCAGAAACCATCCACTGGCTCCCACTCCCCACTGCAGAAAGTTTGCCGTGGGCTGTTTATTCCTCACACTTCTAAGTTTGCAAGTGAGTTGGAAAAGCTGAGTGGTTTCCCCCAGGCACCCCCTGCCCTCCATGTAGAAGCAGAGGAGCCCCGGGGGAAGAGGCAAGGGGAGCGCAGTGTCCCTGAAGCAGACACTATCAGGCTCCACGTGCATGCCACCTGGTTGCTGTGGCAACAGCTGGGGTGGAAAGGTGGGTCAAGAGGGTATGCGGCCGAGTGCAAGGAAGTCTACAATACAATATGTGATCCTTTAAAACCCTTCATTCTAGATCAGTAAGATTAAAGTCATTTCAAAAACTATTGTTTTGGGTTTTTTTTTTTTTTTTTTGTTAGGAGTCCCCAGTTCTTTTCTTCTACCTCCTCATTTTTCCACTATTTTCATCACCGGCTACAGTGATTGCCTTTTCTCCTCCTTTCCATTATTCACAACAAAGCCAAGTTTTTGTTCCACCTTGAAAGTTATGACATATGGGAGATAAGTAAAGGATGTCGAGGTGACCCTGAGTCATGGATGCTGGTGAGGGCTGGACAAGCCCATTGGTTCTGTGACTCATCAAATTCACACATGACTTCTGGGGTGGGATGTGATACTATTTAACCTTTCCCAGCACTGTCTGCCTTTCTCGGCTTTGCCATCTAATTAGCACCTTATCTTGGGTGGCCTTAGCCTTTCATTGCCAGTAATGCACCACTTAGCACTTTATTTTAATAGAATCAATGCTGATATGTATGTAATAATTTTATCCCCTAATAATTTCACCTTTTTATGTCCTGTCTCCTTAACTCAGAAATAGACCAGGTCTTCTATTTCTTTGATTCTGAACTCAATGCTGGATACACAGTAATTAGATAAATGCTCAAGTTTTACATGAACTGTGTATGTCTTTATTACTCATTCAAACATGTCAGCCCATTAACAAAACTCCTGCAGGGTTGAAATAATTATGAAATCCAGTTATTTATATTTTTACCAACTTTCAGTCATGTATAAGGCATAGATTTCACTCCCCCTGCCCCACTAATTTTATTGCTTTGAAGGTATATTTGCCAAGGTACAAGGATGGAACAAAGTTTATTTAAATATAAGCATTTGATGTCTAGGCCTCCATTCATACCCTCACCCTCTGCAGCTCTGCAAATGTTAGGGCTGGTCTGACTGTGATTCAAGGTCTCCATGCACAACATGAGGAAATATCTGTACTTAATGAGCTTTTTCTTGACTTAGAATCTCCTTCTCTGTCTCTTGGCAGGATGACACCTAGCCCATCTAGGAAGAGGGTTAACATTTCCAGTTTTTCAGGGTCATCAGTTCTTTCTACAATATTCAGTGCATAGGAATTCATGCAGTGAATCATGATTTACTTTATGGAAAAACATCTCCTGAACTAGATAAGATCAACAGCCTCGGGCCATCAGTATTTGAACCTTAGGAGAGCTTTCAGAGACCCACCCTCCCTTGCAAAAGTGCAGCTTACTCATTTATCTCTGCAGCCCCCTCATCACCTAGGTTCCAAATATATAAATGGATAGGCCTGCCCAACCAAACGTCATCGACCATTGTTTTCTTTATAGCACTGGACCACAGGACCAGGTATGTAAAGAAGATCATGTAATAAAATCAAGCTGATACTGAAGGCAAGTTTTCCTAAGTGATCTTAGTCTGCTGTAGTCTATCAATTAAAAAAAAATTAGGTCCCTTAGAAAATGGGATGTTAAGATACTTGGAAGAGATAAAGAAGACAATACAAGTGCTGAGTGGGATTGTAAACCCTGATTTCCAATAACCCATGCCCAAGAGTCATCACCTCCCAGGACATGAAGGGATTTCCTCAGAGAAATGATGTCTGTGTCACTCACATACATTACTGGCATTCAATTCTCAGGATCCAGTTCTAGTCTATAGTTACCATTATTATACCCATTTTATAGATAAATATACTGAGGCTTAAAACAGTAATTGGACAAATGGAAAGTGATAGAGATCAAAGAGCGGGGATGTAAGCCCAGGTTTCTCTGATTCCAAAACCTACACACTTAATGACTGTGCTGAACTACGACAAACACTGAACAAGTCTCTCTCTCTGTCTCTATTTCTCTCTCTCTCTCTTACTGATGGATAGATTATCATAATAGTGTTACTGGAAAGGGGTCCCAATCCACACCCCAAGATAGGGTTCTTGGATCTTGTGCAAGAAAGCATTCAGGGCAAATCCCTATAGTGAAAGCAAGTTTATTAGGAAAGTAAAAGAATAAAGAATGGCTACTCCAAAGACAGAGCAGCCCTGAGGGCTGCTGTTTGCCGATTTTTATGGTTATTTCTTGATGATATGCTAAACAAGGAGTGGATTATTGATGCCTCCCCCTTTCAGACCATATAGGGTAACTTCCTGACGTTGCCATGGCATTTGTAAACTGTCATGGTGCTGATGGGAGTGTAGCAGTGAGGGCGACCAGAGGTCACCCTCGTGGCCACCTTGGTTTTGGTGGGTTTTAGCCGGCTTCTTTACTGCAATCTGTTTTATCGGCAAGGTCTTTATGACCTGTATTTTGTGCTGACCTCCTATCTCATCCTGTGACTTAGAATGCCTTAACTGTCTGGGAATGCAGCCTGGTAAGTCTCAGCCTCATTTTACCCAGCCCCTGTTCAAGATGGAGTTGCTCTGGTTCAAACACCTCTGACAATAGCAAAGGACATTGTAGAGAAAGTGACTAGCGTAGGCATTGGGTTGCAACTGCAAGCTACAGCAGGGAGAGAAGAATAGAAATTGATGGGATTCAGCCAGCAGATTTAGGGACTGCCATGCGCAGGATGGGGCACCAGGCAGCCATGCTTGTGGGATGCACTGTAGATACAGAGGGATCTGGATTTAAATCTCCAGTACGGTACTTAGCATGTGTGTGTGACTGGAGAAGTTTATTTTGATCGCTTTGCCTCACTCCCCTATCTGTGAAATGGAAATAATTTGTGAGCAAGTTGTGGGGATTCAGCATGATGAAGTGCACCATGCCCGACTCACAGTCAGCGCTCCTCACAAAAGGCAGCTCTTTTAAACAGCGCCTCATTGACTTGCCATTAGAAACCCACTTCCTGTGGCCTTTTCTTCATCCTGGACATGCCAGAGGCCACAGCTAGGGCTAGCTGGGAGGTGGGCATATCGGTAGCAAACCTCTCCTCTGGCCACGGGCGTATCTTCCCCACCTGCAGGAAGACCCCAGCTCCTTCAGCGAATGGTTTGCCCTCAGGCTGTGAGCTCTTCTGAGGCCTCGAGAGTATCTGTCAGCTCCCTGAGGAGAGGCTGGTGGTCACCATTTTGTAAAGCGGCAAACTAGAGACACGGCCCTGATAAGGAAGCAGTAGCCAGGTGTCTTCCTGCTACCCCACCCCACCCAGGAGGGGTCCAGTGTGTCCTTGCTGTGCAGTTCCACAGCACCCCGTGGAATGTGACGCTCACACAAGCCTTCTGTCTGGTGTTTGTGTCCAGCAGCTCAGCTCACCTCTTCAGCCTCAGCTCCTTGTCTCTCTGACAAGCCTCACAGAATCCCTAACACTGAGGCCTGGCTGCCTGTACCCAGCTCAAAAACATCGCCTCGGACTCCCTCTTCATGCTCCCCGGAGGCCTCTGCCAGGTCAGCCTCTCATTGCTGGCGCCCAGATTGGCCTTCCCTGGGGGCCCTGCATGACAGCTGAGGCCAGGCTGGAGGAAGGAGCAGGCCCCAGTGAGTTATGAGGCTGTAATTCCATCAAGGGCTTCTGGAGAGATCGTAAACTCATGTCCCAAGTCTCCCCGGTCCCCCGACCCCTTTTCTCCTCAGAGTGATTTATGAGCCCATAATTCTGAGGTGGGACTGCTTCTTATTTCACATAATCCAAATATTTTCATAAAGCCGCATCGTTCTTTCTCCTGGTCTCTGGTTTCCTTCTTCAGAGCTAAAGAGCTGCAACAGCGTCGTCTAGTGGCTGAACCCCAGGGTGGCCCCCCTGGTGGAATCACCCATCACACCACTTTTGAGATGGCTGTGGAAACCCAAGTCATGCCTGAAACCAAGTGGATATGGAGGGCCTCTCTGGGGGTTCTGGGACATGCAGATATGAGCCAAGAGGGATTAACGCAGCTTTGATTTCTGCGTCATTAGTTGACAAGCATTTGCCGGGCTCCACTTAAGTGGCGCTCTCTGCAGATCCTGTGAGCTGTATTGCCAAGCCCAGGTTCCTTCTCGTGGCCATATTTCTGCCCTTCACATGCCAAAGACCATGTGTGACTGTGGTCACCCTCAACAAGGCCCCGCCTGGCCCAACACACCACCCTGAGGCCAATGGAACATAACGTTTATTACCTGACATTATAGCTTCCGTCTACGCTTTTAATGCCAGTCTCTCGCATTGGAATATAATAAGCTCCATAATAAGCTCCACAATTGTGGGGATGTTGCCTGGTTGGGCTCTGCTGTATTATCTTGCCCCAAGCAGAAGTATTTGTTGAATAAAGCATGAAGGAGAGAGCCAATGAGTGATCACGTGAGGCAGCTGGGTGGTCCACAGCATTGGCCTCAATAGATGAAAGAGACACACAGGCTTGCTGGGTGCATCCAAGCCCCAAGCTTGAGGATCAATGGTGGTAGGGCTGGTATAGACACTTTCCTGCCATTTTCCCCTTTTCTCTGGCTTTGCTTTGGGTGGAGGCCCATAGTCAGGGGTTTCATGGAAGGAGAAAGAAGTGAAAATTCTTGGAGCTCGCACTGGAATGGGGCCAGAGAGTGGGACCTCTGAATGGTAATCATCCTACCAACTGTGCCGAAGGCCCCTTCTCAGCCTGCTAGGTGCACTTCATGGGAGGCTACTATGGTGACGCACCATTACTGCAGCCTGAGGACCTCTGCCCTGGGATAGAGACAATGACTAGGACTGCAGCTAAGTGAGTAGAGGCCACCCTGTAGCCCAGACCCTCTCTGGGACCTGTCTCTTCCTCCCCTCCCTCCCTGCTTCCTGACTTCTGCCTGTGCACGGATTTTCCCTTTAAGATCTGCTCACGTTCTCCTCAGTGGTGGCTGGTAACCATGGAAACTACAATTAGGCTGCTTTGCTCCAAGTCTCTAAAAATTACCAAGTGCAGGCAGCAGCAGCCCCTGACTTATGACAGGCCCCACCCGAGCTCTCTTGCAGGCTCTTTTAGGACACACCCTTTGCTGGGCCAAAGACAATGCTCCAGGAACTCCTGTGAAGAAGGATCAGTTTCTCTTCGTAGACATTTCCAATTCATCACAGTTCAATGTTTTTGTAAAATGCAATGAAAACAAATTAGAAATGAAATGGAAAAAAGATATACAACATTCAAGCCCCGTTTTATTGTGATAAATTTAATAGACGTAAGATTACTCATTAAAACTGCCACAAAAGTTTTCAAAATTGCTCTCCATTTTTGTACCAAATTATCATAGATCAGCACCAGTGTGTAGACAGGCTCCAGGCCCTGGACCATCCTTTGAATAGCTCTAGTCTGGAGTCACATCCAGGACCAAGCCTTCTGACATTGTCCAGCTGGGGCCTGTACCCAAGGATGCCTCAAGGTGGAAGGCGAGGCTTCTCTAGGGGCCTCTGACAAGCTACAGAAATGTCTGCACTTGACTTGAGCAAATGTGTATGAGGGAAGCAGCTGCAGAGGCTTGGTCACGCCTGGAAGTCCTCCCCAGCAGCCAGGAATCTGCAGAGCATCTGGTGGCATAGGACAGAGGTCACTCAGAGGGGACCTCAGTGAGCTTGCACTGTGCCACAATTCACCAAGCAACCCCTCCACTTTCTTCATCCCTTCTACCAAAACAAAGATTACGGTTTGTATGAACTGGATGGACATTCATCTTTTTTTTTTTAACCTGATCTCTGAGTTTTCTTCCCATTTTGTAAAATTGAAGTACACTTTTTTTGTACATTAAAGTGCATAAATGTTAAGAATACAGGCCAGGGTAGGGTGATTCACACCTATAATCCTAGTGCTTTGGGAGCCCCGGCAGGAGGATCACTTGAGGCTAGGAGTTCGAGACAAGCCTGAGCAATATAATGAGACCTTATCTCAAAAAAAAAAAAAAAAAATTAAATTAGCCAGTTGTAGTGGCATATGCCTGCAGTCCTAGGTACTTGGGAGGCTAAGGTAGGAGGATCACTTGACTCCAGGAGTTCAAGGTTACAGTGAGCTGTGATTGCACCACTGCACTCCAGCCTAGGGGACAAAATGAGACCCTATTTCAAAAAAAGAAAGAAGAAAGAAAGAAAGAGAGAGAGAGAGAGAAAGATAGCTCTATGAATTTTTACACATTGATACCACGATCAAAATATAGAAAACTGGCCAGGCCTGTAACCCTAGCACTCTGGGAGGCCAAGGTGGGCAGATCACTTGAGCTCAGAAGTTCAAGACCAGCCTGGGCAACATGGTGAAACCCTGTCTCTACCAAAAATACAAAAAATTAGCTGGGTTTCATGGTGTGTACCCATAGTCCCAGCTACATGGGAGGCTGAAATGAAAGAATCGCTTGAGCCTGGGAGGCAGAGGTTGCAGTGAGCAGAGCCTGGGGAACAGAGTGAGAACCCCTCTCAAAAAGAATAAATAGAAAACCTCCATCACCTCCCCCAAAAAATTCCCTTATGCCTCTTCCTAGTAAATACTGATTCTCCCACCCCACCCCACAAGCTAACTACTATTCTGATTTCTATCACCATAAATTAGTTTTATACAGACTTTGCATAAATAGGATCAAATAGTGTGCACTCTAGTTTTTTACGCCTTTCATTCAATATAATGTCTGTGAGATTGACCCGTGTTGTAGGCTGGTATCACTGGGGTCTTTCTTAATTCGTGTTATATTCTATTGCATCTGTGAACACTTCTGTATAGCATTTTTAGTGCACACAGATTTCATTTCCTTGAGGCAAATATCCAACAGGGGAATTGCTGGATCATAGAGTAGGCATATGTTTAGGTTTTTAAGCAGACACTGACAAGTAGTTTTCCAAAGTGATTGAACAAATTGACACTTCCATCAGCAATGTGCTGCTTGGAATTCCGGTTGCTCCCCATCTCTGCCACACTTGACTTTATCAGTCCTTTTCACATTAGCCATTCTAGTGGATGGATAATGATATCTCATCATGGTTTTAATTTACATTTCTCTGATAAATAATGATGTAAAGGACCTTTTCACGTGATTATTGGCCACCTGGGTATTCTCTTTCAAAAAGTTTAACTCTTTCACCCTTTTTAAAAAATTGGATTCCTTACCAAATGTGTGATTCATAGCTTCTTCTAGTCCTTGGATTGACTGTTTACTTTCTATATGATGCCTTTTGATGAAAGAAAGCTATTATTTTCACATAGTCCAATGTATCCATCACTCCCTCCATTTATGGTGTTTTTTCTGTTCTGTTTAAATACTTTTTGCAATACTGCCAAGATTATGAAGATATTATTTCCGTTTTCTCCCAGATACTTTATTGTTTTATCTCTCACATATGTCTATAATCCACCTAAATTAATTTTTGCATATGTTGTGAGGTAGAAGACGCAGCTCATTTGTTTTGCCATTTGGGTATCAATGGCTCCAGTACTACTTATTAAAAAGACCATGTTTTCTGTACTGAACTGTGGTGGATTCTTTGTTGTAAATCTTGTGACCATACATCTATGGGTCTTTTTCTGAATTCTTTATTCTGTTTTATTGATGGGTCTATTTGTCTCTCCTTGGACTCGTATCATACATGTTTAAGTGTATAGTGCAGTTGGATAACTATATGCATATTACTGTGCAATAGAACTCTAGAACTTTTTAATCTTGCATAACTGAAATTCTATACCCACTGAACAATAATTCTCCATCTCTTCTCCTCTTCTCATTCCTGGTAACCATTCTACTTTCTGTTTCTATGGCTCTATTTTAGATACCTTGCATAAGTAGGCTTATGAAGTATTTGTCTTTCTGTGACTGACTCATTTCACTTAGCATAATATCCTCAAGGTTCATCCATGTTGTAATGTATGACAGCAGGATTTTCTTCTTCTTCTTCTTCCTCTTCTTTTTTTTTTTTTTAAATGGAGTCTTGCTCTGTCACCCAGGCTAGAGTGCAGTGGTGCGATCTTAGCTCACTGCAACCTCTGTCTCCTGGGTTCAAGCTATTCTCCTGCCTCAGCCTCCTGAGTAGCTAGGACTACAGGCATGCACCACCATGCCTGGCTAATTTTTTGTATTTTTAGTAGAGATGGGGTTTCACCATGTTGGCCATGCTGGTCTCAAACTGCTGACCTCAAACAATCTGCCCCTGCTCAGCCTCCCAAAGTGCTGGGATTAGAGGTGTGAGGCACTGAGCCAGGCCGATTTCCTTCATTTTTAATGCCAGATAATAATCCATTGTATGTCTATGCCACATTTTCTTTATCCATTCATCCGTCAGTGGAAATTTGGGTTGCCTCCACCTCTTGGCTATTGTAAATAATGCTGCAATGAACATGGATGTGCACATATCTTTTTGAGATCCTGTTTTCAATTTTTGTGAATATATACCAAGAAATGGGATTGCTGGGTCAATATGGTAATTCTAACTTTGATTTTTTGAGGAACCTGTATACTGTTTTCTATAGCAGCAGCAACATTTTATATTTCCTATCAATAAATAGCATTTTAAAAATCTCACTGTCCAATTGTCTGTTGCTATACCTAGAAATACAACTAGGATTTTTGTCTATCATCCTTGCATATACTGATAATTGCTAAATTCAGTTTTTAATTTTAATAGTCTGTAGATTCATTGGGATTGACTATGTATACAATCATGACATCTGTGAATCAAGATGGCTTTACTGGTTCATTTCCAATACTTACATATTTTATCTCTTTTTCTTGCCTTATTGAAATACTGAGGATCTCTAGCACAATGTTGAACAGAAGTGGTGATAGGGTACATCTTTGTCCTTTTCCTATGTTTACAAAATTTCCCACTCCATAAGCCTTGTTGAGAAACAGAGCCTGCCTCCTACCTAGGAGCCGAAATGCCAGATTCTTATTTTCCTGGCTTTCTTTGCAGCTAAGGCATCAATTCAGTCAGTATCCCCACGGGAAACAGGGCAGATTCATTCAGAAGGGATTCTGAAGAGAAGGTAACAAAGGGCTATTCATAGAGATGCAGACTGGATTAAGGGAACCAATAAAGGATGTCAAGGCATTCAGAGACTAACAATAGTGGGAAGCGATTTCCGTGCCCATACCTGGAAGGGGCAAGGTGAGAAAACAGTGTTACTCAAGGCTTGTGAGTTTGGATCCCTGGAAGAGGACCACTCAACAGGAGCTGAAATCTTGGAAAGAAGCAGGTACTGCCAGAAAAGCTGCCCTGAGTTAGAAGGGAGTAAGTAGGGACAGAAATACCCTGGCTCCTCTCTCCTCTCACCCCCCAGTCTCCTACTGGTACCTCCCATTGCTCCAACCAAATGGAAACCCAAGGGCAAGGGAGCCCGGGTGGAGCAGTCCGTGGAGATAAGGCCCTGGGGCCTGAGAAGGCTAGACAAGGATGTGGAATGAATGGGAGTGGGAAGGTAATGGGGATAACTGGTGTAGGCATGAACATGTGATCAAGGCTTGGCTGATCAGATGCATCCTTCCCAGACCACACATCAGAAGCTAATGGTACAAATAAGCAGCAACCAATAGGATTTGTTCAGGTCGTAGCAACAGGGACAGCACAGCGTCCAGGATTGGGGCCAGCAGTGTCATGAGGGCAACTGAAGCATCTGTTGTAGCAATTCTGCAAGCTACCCAGTATCTGCTCAACAGCCTCCTCTTCTGTTTAAATTAGCCAGAGTTAAATTTGCTTCGTTGCAGCTAAGAACGTGATGGAAACATGCCCCAGTGGTGGGTAACTTATCTCCATGCTGAAAATATTTTTAAAAACCTCACACGCTACCACCTGATTCATTCAACATTTACTGGTTATCCCACATGATCCCAGCCTAGGCCAAGACATCTCTATCATGCCACGCTATATGTCCTGCAAGAGGTGAAGGAGGCTGTGTTTTAGGGATAGTTAAGGCCACAGGATAAATATGGACTATCTTTCTTAGCATTTTACTTTAGAATTTTACTTTAAAATGTTTCAGAGAAAAATTAAGTAAATTTACTACTAAATAAAAAATTATGTGGAAATAATCACATATATTATGGAATTGAATGCAAAACTTGCTGGACTTCTTGAAGCAAAACTTAAGCCTTCAAAGAATTTCCAGGCATATGGTTGTCCACCACTTGATACAAAATGTTAAGAAAAAGCATATTAGAGTCTCTGATCCCTCTGCCTGTGTTGTGGAAGATCTCTCCAGAACATCAAATTGCTCTGGGAACCTAGATTCCCCTTCAAAACACTACTGATAGAAAGAACAGCCATTTATAATCTAACCATTAGAATTTAAGTGCAAGTGCTGTATTTGAAATGGAAGAGCCTAATTGACTTTTCTTTACATTTTTATTAATGTATTTTAAAAAGCTCAGTGAGAGTCTTGTGCTGAGCAGCAGCCCTTGAATGCTGGGCTTCTACCAATATGACAATAACCTTTGGCTGCTACCAATGGGGCAACACCCACCTGGCCCCTGTATTAGTCAGGGTTCTCCAGAGAAACAGAACCAATAGGTTTATTACAAGGAATTGGCTCACATAACCATGGAGATGAGGAGTTCTAAGATCTGCAGTCAGCAAGCTGGAGACCCAGGAGTGCCTATCTGTTGCTCCAGTCCAAAAGCCAGCAGGCTTGGGAGTCAAGAGAGGCAGATGTTTCTGTTTGAGTTCCAAGGCAGGAAAAGACCAAGGGCCCAGCTCAACACAGCCAGCTGAGCATTGGCATTCCCCTGTACTCAGCCTTTTTGTTCTATTCCGGTCTTCAATTGATTGAATGAGGTCCAGCCACCTCAGGGAGGGTGGCCAATGCACTTTATTCAGTCTACAAGTTCAAATGTGAATCCCATCCAGAAGCACCCTCACAGACACACCTAGAATAAGGATTGGCCAAATGTCTGGGCACCCCGTGACCTAGTCAAGTGGGCACATAAAATGAACCTCACAGCCCTATAAATACAGAAGTCCCAGTGTCCCCCTTCCCCACGTAGCCTGGAGAGACAGCACGACCCACAGCTAATCTAGGCTGCCTTTCATGCACCAGCCAAGACCCCTGGTAGAAGTGCTGTTTCTCCCCTGAACCCGGGAGGTCAAATCTTCTGTAAGCACTGTAGGCTGTCAAACAAGGCTCATCCCTTCGTCTCCACCACCAAGGTGAGGCCTGGGGTGACCCACTCATCCGGTTCACCCATGCCTTTCCTGGTTTTAGTACTGCAAGTTTCGTGTCCTGGCAATCCAAGGCAAACCAGAATGTTTGGCCACCCTAATGCAGCCTGATCTTGGAGGTGAGTAGCTGCCAACCTTTATATACCTCTGGGCAAAAAACCCTTTCCTTTCTTCCTCCTTGGTATAGGGAAGAGAGGTGGGAACATGCAAGCTTGCTTTCTTTTACTCACACCAACTTGGTCTATATTGTAAGTCTAAGGCCCAGTCATTTCAAGGAAAAAGAGTAAGCTCTTAGTCCTACCTGTAGACCTAAGAAGCTTGTTCTTAATCAAAGGAGCCCAGTCAATGAGGCAGAGACACTGTGTGCTCCAGCTCCCTGACCATCTCCCTCGAGTACAAAACTGGTGCAAAGACTTCATGGGCTGGAGGTGATATGACCATTGTTCCCCAGAATCCTCCTAAGGTCTGCTGATTCTTGGGATTTTTTTTGGGCGGGGGTCTCAAAATGCTCTCACATTAGTACGTGCTTTATGGGATCCTTCCAACCAAACATAACCCTGAACAGAAGTTTAGTGTTGATATCCTCATCAAAAAATATTTATCCTGTGCCAAGGGAGCTTCAGAGCCATGCAGTGTTTATCAAAAAATATTTGGTTCCTGGTCTCCCTGGACTCCCCCCCATACAACCCCAATCCCACCCCAAGACAACACCACCACCAGACACACACTGAATGGGGCTCTGAGCAAAGCAGGGGAGAGGGGGTGAGAGTGAGAGACAGAGCATGATGATTTCTTGTTTTCCCCTCTTTCTCTTTGTTCTCAGATAATTTGGGAGCTGTTATATTATTGCTGTTGGTTTTCATATTTTCACAAATAGGATGTTGCCTGCTTGCATTCAGAGGCCCTCTCAACAAAGGGAAGACAGAAACCTGTGAATATACAATGAAGGCAGAAAATGCGTCTGCCTCTTGTCTGTCTGGTGAGCCCACTGGGATGGAGTTGACGCTGGGCCATGCGGGAGCTGGGGAGCAGCCTGAAAGGAGATGCTTATGTCCAGCCTTCTTGCTGTGATGGAATTGTATCTTCCCCCCCTGCCCCTGATCTGTACCACATTCTTGGGGTGATATACTTGATTATTAACTGTTGCTGTTGTTGTTCTTATTGAAAGGCAATACACATACATGGCGCCCAATTCAAGAGGCACCAAAGGGTCTCCATTCTACTCATGTCCTCAGCCCTTACTTCCCTTCCCCAGAGGCAGCCAACACCATCGACTATCTTTCCTCTTTGCAGAGACAGCCTTTGAGCACTTTGTGATGCAATGATCCAGCTGGTGTTTGCAGCAGACACAGGCTTGAATTCAATAAACAGTCGCTTGCAGATCCAAAGCCTGTCCAGCTACATGACAAAACCCCAGAAGCAGGGGTGTTTTTGTGAGGTTTTTTTTTTTTTTTTTTTTTTTTTGTAGAGAGGGGGCAGGAACATGGAACACAGGGAGGGTCTATTGTCTCAAAGGAAAAAATAACAGTACCATAAGAAAAGAGAGAGAGAGGTAAGACAAGAGAGCAGGATGGAGAGGAGAAGAGAGACTGCTCTATTTTGAAGCACTCCATCTTCTCAGCTCTCTCCCAAGGCATGATTCTGGAGCATGAGTGCTCTGCTACTTCCCAGGGACTGAGCTGGCGTTGGTGAGGGACAGGCAGAAGCCATCCTACCATGGGTCCAGGCCTGGCGTGCCTCCCCTCCACCAGTGGCTTCCCCACCTCTGTGCTGGGGAGCTCACTAATTCACATGGCACTCCTAGAAAACCTGGAATTGTCTGAAAGTTTCTTCTTCTATTTATTATTATTTATTTATTTATTTATTTTGAGACATAGTTTCGCTCTTGTTGCCCAAACTGGCACAATCTCACTGCAACCTCCGCCTCCCGGGTTCAAGGGATTCTCCTGCCTCAGCTTCCAGAGTAGCTGGAATTACAGGCATGCGCCACCACGCTCAGCTACTTTTTTGTATTTTTAGTAGAGATGGGATTTCACCATGTTGGCCAGGCTGCTCTCAAACTCCTGACCTCAGGTGATCCACCTACTTCGGCCTCCCAAAGTGCTGGGATTACAGGCCTGAGCCACCGTGCCCAGCCTATTTTTTAAAAATAGAATTATTGCATCAACTAGAATCTCTTTCCACAAAATTTTATGGAAAGTGTAACTCTTTTCTTCTGGAATCAAGCTAACAGCCTGCATGGGCAGGTGGGGTGGGAGGGAGGTACTGAATAAAGGTAAGACTCCAGTTATGGACACCTGAGAGCAAGCGGTCATCTGGGGCAAAGCCAATGTGAGAGAGCCCCCCTTCCCCACTGCCCAGCCCTCACCAGTGGGAACTGCAGAAATATGGGATGGGATGCAAGAGGTGCATTGAGGCCAGTCCTGCCCCTGCTGCCAGCTCGGGGCATTCTCCTAGCAGAGAATGTGACCTGAGAGACAGCCAGGAAAGATAATCTTGCCCTCAACTCAACTTCCCATCAACTCAGCAAGAAGGAAGGTTGTCTGCACCCCGTCTCCGACCCAGACAAGGCTTTTCCAAAGAGGCTGTGACATAGAATTGGCATTTGCTTTGCCTTCCCATTAAATATAGAATCTTCACTGTTCTGGGTATAGAACATACTAGACCATAGAAGGCCTGGACTTTGCCCTTCAGAGCTTATGGCATAACTAAATAGACCATAAACATGGTGAAAGTTAAACAGATGACTTGGCTGCACTTTGATGGTGGCAGAAAGAAATGCTACAAGACAGTTCATGATGAATTGCCAAATGAACAGGAAAAGTATCATTGCCATAGGAACTCCACAGATGGAGCAGACAGCAAAGTCTCTTCAGAGAAGCCGAGATTTGAGCTGCATCTTGGAGGGTAGATAAGTTACACAGAGAATATAGAAGGTTATTGAACCCATCAGAGAAAATCAGCAGTCACCCAGAGCTCAGAAAACCCGTCCCCCTGCTCGGCCATAGACACTTAGGCCCTGACATCTGGGAGAATCAAGACATTGCCCAAGGTCAACAGTTGAGGCAGGTCTAACATTAGAGCCTTCACTTCCTGCTTGCCCCAGTCATGGCCTCTGGGGTCTTCCTCTCTCCCTTTGCCTTGTGGTGTTCCGTCACCTGTCCCTGGTGGTGGAGGGACAGGAGGAAGGGTTTTCAACAAAGCCCTAGTGTGGATCTCTGGGGTCTTTCCTTGGACACCTCTCTCCCTTAGGAGAGCCCCTCAGCCTCCTTCTTTCCTCCCACTCGCCAACAGCTGGGGGCATACACTCTTTGTGCTGCTCCCTCTTCGTGTGCTCCCTCACATCCAGGCGTGGGGGTGCAGAAAGCAAGAGACACAGGAGAAAATTGCTACTCATGTTCCCTTGCCTCCCTGCATTACAGCTGTCACTTCTAAATACATATGAGAGAGCCCAGCTCCGCCAAACTCGGTGAAATCCGGCTGTCTCAGGTGGCTGTTAACACCCCGTCCTCCGTCTCCAGGGCAACCCCTCCCTGGAGGTGTGACAGAAGGTACCCTGCTCCAGAAAGCCAGGCAGGCTGGCTGGGGCAGGATCACAGCAGGGAGACCGGAGCCGGCCTGGTCACTAGTGAGGGCCAGAAAGCCTCCTCCCATTTTGGTAGCTGGCTATGCCTCAGAAAGGTGGAACACAGGCCCAGAGACCCTGAAAGGGAACTGGGATTCTCTGGAGAACAACATTTTGGGAAACAAGTTACTAAAACCAAAGGGACCCAATAGAAAGAAAAAAACAAAACTAGCTCACAGCCACCCTTCCCACTGACTTCCAAGTGAGATCCTGAGCAGAAGTGACGGGATCCAGCAGGTGCACACGGGCTCTGCTCTCCTGAAGTCACACAAGAGGACACTCAGATTCCTGGGGCTGGGGGAGTCGAGCCATGGTTACCCGGGCCTCCTTGATTCACAGACCCAAACAGAAGGGAGGCCAGCACAGGACGGGGCCTTGCCAGTGGCCGTGCCCACCCCCGCGGAGGGCGGGGGTAGGGTGAGGAGTCTTACAGCGACTGGGCCAGCCCCCATGCCTGCCTCCCCAGCTTGGCATTACCCTTGAGGCTGCCTCCCACTCATGAGATCAAGATCTTCTGCTCCCTGAACCCCATGCCCTCCCCCAGGCCTCTCAGAGGTATTCCCCTACCAGGCTTTGGCACCCTGGACTGTAGAGCCTCCTATTGAGGGTAGGCATGGAGCTGTCAGGGCGCATGCTGCACCCAAATAAATCAGTGGTCTGGTCCCAGCTGTGCCCATGTCAGCTTGTTAGCCTGGCATAGATTACCATATAAATTGGATTTTTACTGCCATTCCCAGTTTTACTTTCTTAATTTTCCTGTTCTACTTCCCTCGGCCCTAGTGAGCCTCTTTCTCAAAGCTCTTCTATTCAGGGTGAAGATATATCCTTTCTGTCTGGACTCCAGGTCCACCTCACCGAGCCAGAATTTTTCTCTTCTCACCCATCTGATCCAAAATGGTGGCACCTCTGGATCGGGCCCACAGAATTTCTCTGAGTTAGGCTAACATGTCATTCTCAGTTTTGAAAGTAGCCCCTCCAAGACATGGTGGTGTGGTTTTTGTTTGTTTGTTTCGTTCTCTTTTAAATACCTGCAGTCTATTTTGACCTTGCCATCCTACCGGTCCTCTTCTCAGCTTGAATGGGCTTCTTGGGGGAAACCACATCATGGGCAAACACATCAAACCAATCACAGTTCAGGTACTTTGCCCTACACAGACTCAGCTTCCCTCAAATTAGAAATCATCAGTGAGCAGGAGGATTTTTGCCCCCACCAGTCCCTTCATCTCTCCAGCCCCAGCCAAGTCATCTCGTTGCAGCAACTTGCTGCAAACCATCCCTGCTGCAAGAAAAGGAAAATGGCTCTGAAGCTGGTAGAAAGAGGGAATGGGCAATGATATGGTTTGGCTGTTCCCCCCTCAAATCTCATCTTGAATTAGAGCTCCCATAATTCCTAAGTGTTGTGGGAGGGCACTGTGGGAGATAATTGAATCATGGGGGCGGTTTCCCCCATAGTGTTCTTGTGGTAGTGAATAAGTCTCATGAGATTTTATAAGGTGTTTCCCCTTTCGCTTGGCTCGCATTCTCCCTGTCGCCATGTAAGATGTGCCTTTGCCTTCTGCCATGATTGTGAGGCCTTCCCAGCCACGTGGAACTGTGAGTCCATTAAACCTCTTTTTTTAAATAAATTATTCAGTCTCAGGTGTGTCTTTATCAGCAGCATGAAAATGGACTAATACAGGCAAGAAGCTGAATATAATAAACACCAGGCTCTGATGATTCCTGTTCAATTCCTCATCTTTTCCAGGCTGCCAAGGACTTTCACTGTCTCATGGAAAGATTGAGAACCGATGCTCAGCCCCAGCCCCTTAGCGTGACTCACAGAACCAGCAAGGCAAGGCCTTCCCATTGCCCGCTGCCTGCCCTTCCCTACGCCACCAGCCAGGAGATGCAGATGGCCGAGTCTAGGAATGAGGGTCCGTGAAGGGAGCTTTAGCCCTGATCAAAGAAAGTCAGGCTCTCAAGTCAGTAGCTTTTTATCTTGCTCACTATTGGACAACCAAATCAATTCTTTCTTTTTTGCAACAACTTCCACTCTCACTCTGATCAGCTCACAGCTGGTGGAGAGAGATACTCATCTCTTGAGGCCACCTCCATGATCTCGGTTGGGGTTTCTTAGAAAAAGGAAGAGAAGACTCCAACTGCTTGTGATCGTTTTGGTACCAGGAGTTATAATGATATGGTCCCAGGGAAGCCACTGAACAAAAACATCTCTAGAAACTGAACAATTAATATGCTCTAGGGGAGAGATTCACCTTAAAGTAAGAGAAGACAAAGGAAGCGGCTGGGAAGAAGGAACTGTCCTTGAGTGTTTACCTTGTATAAAGTGTTGGGAAAGACAACTTGTACACACTATAAAAATAATGTTTATTACCCCATCATTTCATCGCCTCTCTCTTACCCTTCAAACTTCTGGTCATCCAGAACTGCCTCTGTTCTCTCCCACTGCCCCCACAACTCCCTCTATCCCTCACAACCACCTGCCCTCTCACTACCCCTGCACACACATATAAACTCCAAAGGAAAAATTTTCAGCCAGGTTCTCACATCTTTTTAGATGCAATCAGGAAAATAGGTGGATAGAATCAGAGAGGTTAGAGGTGAGGGGAAGCAGGAAGATCTGAGCCAGAAAGGCTAAGATCCTATACATTTTTTTAAAAAACTAGAAAAGAAAGAGACAAAAATAAAAAGGAGAGAGTTTGGGGGATTTGTTTGTAGGTTCTGGAGAGGTACAAAATAAACAAGAATTAATTGAACAGAAACAAAGAGCTTTCAATAATTGCTATGGGTTTGAGAATGTGTTAAACATTAAAGAGATGTTCTTTGAGAGATACAAGTAAAGTCTGAAATTCCTTCTATATTGCCATTTTACTGATGTCTTTCTGTACCTTTTTACATGCAATTCTGTAGAGAGACTGAGCTGTAAGGATCCACAATTATTCAGGTGACATAGCAAGACTCATTTTGGATCTAAGATGCAAACTGCATGAAAAATTTCAAACTTTATTCTAGACTTGAGTCAAGAGCAAAGAGCACAACTTCTCCATGACAACCCAGCTACTAGAGTCACATCTGCAAAGGTGTACAGGAGGGTCAGATACTAGCCAGAGGGGCAGAGCAGTTACCTCGAGTGAATCTGAACAGGCCAGACATTGGCATTCTCTCATCGCCTAGCAAGGATTCCAGTTTCTTAGTAGAGTCAGTTTTTGTTGTTGTTTTTGTTGTTGTTGTTTCTTGAGACAGGGTCTCATTCTATCACCCAGGATGGACCAGGCTGGCTCACTGCAACCTCTGCCTCGCAGGTCCAAGCAATTCTCCTGTCTCAGCCTCCCAAGTAGCTGGGATTATAGGCATGCGCCACAACACCCGGCTAATTTTTTGTATTTTAATAGAGATGAGGTTTCACCATGTTGCCCTGGCTGGTCTCAAACTCCTGAGCTCAGGCAATCTGCTGGCCTCAGCCTCCCAAAGTGCTAGGATTACAGGCGTGAGCTACTGCATCTGGCTAGAGTCAGTTTTATTGAGGTTAGGATGAAAACAAATTTCTCAGCTTCATAAAGGATATTTTTTGAAGTATCTTGATTTCGTGATCTCACATGATGCCACCTGGAACATTCTGTTCCAAACCCTGCATTCTCCTGCAAGGTGTAATGCTGCCTTCATAGCATCTCCCTGATTTCTCTGACTTTGAGGTTGCACTGAATGAGCCACTTGGGGCCTTGGGATTTATTTTCATTCCAGGTACATTTATCCCTTAATGAGATGAAGAAGCAGTTTTGTCTTCAGTGTCTGTTGTTGGTACTTGATGCTTTAAAATAAAATTGTGGCATCTGACCCTTTTGAATCCAGTGAAGCTGGGATAATTATGAATTTAAAACTGTTTCAGCAGTGATACACAAAAGTGAAAATAATTAGGAAAAGACTTCTGTCCTCCTTCAAGTTGCCCCATCTTATTCTCATCCCCACATTTTATTATGAAAAGTCACACATAAGGCAAAGTTGACAGGATTTTACAACAAACACACATCTCTCCACCAACTAAATTCTTCCATTAACATTTTCCTATATGTGCATTCTCATGTTCCTGTCCGTCTGTACATCCCTCTATCCATCCATCACTCTGTCCTATTTTTGATGCATTTTAAAATAAATTATAAGCATTAGCACACTTCTCCCTAAATACTCCAGCATGGATATCATTAACTAGATTTCAAGATTTGTTACAGATTTCCTTTGAGGTACAATTTACATATGATAAAATGCACAAATCTTAAGAGTACATTTGCTAAATGTTGATAAATGCAGATACCTGTTGCAACCCAAATCCACATGAAGATACAGAACTTTGCCAACACCCTTGAAAATTCTCTAGTGGCCCTTCTTCAGGAATTCCCTCCTCCCTCCCCCGGATACCTCAAGGCAACCACCTTCTTGACCTTTTCTGCAATAGACTCTTAGTCTGTTCTAGAACTTTATATAAATAGAACCACACTTCATTTTAATTGCAAAATAAGCTAACCTCTAGCCCCATTCAGTGTAGGCAATACTTAAGTATTGTTCCTTGCCTGGATCTAGAAAATGTGGAGTTTGCTTACTCCCCATAAAGATCAGAGTTCTCTGATCATCAGTGCTTATGCTGGATGGTTTTGTGGAGTTGTCCAGTACAAAAGAGGCTTGTGAGAACATAGGGAATATCTAGGTTGAATGATCATCATGGTGGCTCCCCATAGCCCTTCCCTACTTAATTAGCATCTGGATCTTCCAGAGTTCCAAGCGTCTTCTTGGGTACAGTTGTGCTCAAGGTTAGGAATCAGGGTACACAAGCCACTTGGGCTCATGGAAACCCAGCTGGATCCTATTTGCTTTATCTGTTCACCATGGAGGACTGTGGGCATTCCACCTTCGGTTCTCGGTCCTTGAATCTGAACTAAGGTAGGAGAGGCCTGCAGCATTTGTAACTAGGGAGAGATGCCTCATTCTCCCCGTGCTCACTATAGGAGGGATCAGCCCAAGGAAGGCGTTGTTAACCTTGCTTGTCGCATAAGACCACCCACCAGCACAGGATGGGAAACAGAGGGAAGTAAACAGACCAAGTTCTGAAATGTGCTCATCTATGCAATCTGTTCTCTGAACATTTTTGCAGCAAGAGAGCGGCAGGACGCAACTGAATGGAAGAAACTAATCAACTAGCTTGGCTGACAGCATTAAAGGTGGGAGAAGAGGCTTCCAGATGGCGGTGCCACAGCTACACAGACGTGTCAGGGCAGGATGCTCTGCCTCAGATGCAGAGGGCTATCAGCTGAGATAGTCACATTTCCTCCCTGTGCATGGATTTTTCCATCAGCCACTATGGCTGTGAGTTTCAGCACTATGGAGCTCTAAGATGATGAAGATAGTGGTGGCAGTGGTGGTGGTGGTGGTGGTGATGATGATGATGGTCATGATCATATGGGGATTAAGGAGAAGATGCTGAAGAACAGAATATTTCCAAGAGAGAACATATTCCAATATTTTGCAGTACAGCCACAGATTTATGGAGCACCTACTCTGTTGTAAATGGTGTTTGGTACTATGGGTTCTAAGAAGACTGAGAAAGCTCACTGAATAGAGGTGTGCTGTCCATGTGAGCCTGGCCAGCCCTTGCTGGGTCTAAATCAACCTGCTGTAAAGTGAAGATTTTTTTGGAAACTCCTATGCCTGTATCTCACGGCTGGATAAGACTGGATATCCACAGTAGAAGTTAAGCCAGAAGAGTGTAAATGTTAATCCACACGGGCAATGACGGGGAGCAGGAAGGAGGAAGAAGAAGAGGAAAAGGAGCAGGAGAGAGCTAATTGAAATTAGCCTAATGTTTATAAATATTAAGGCCCAGATCTTGCTTTGATAGGACCGCAGGTGCAGAGATCGCTAAAGAGAAGAGTCCACAGGTTCAGAGTTCCTGATGTGGAGCTAATAAGAATGCTAATGGAGGTAATTAGAGACCAATTGATTAGCAAGGATGAATTGAGGAGTGTCATAGGTTGGTATACATTAAAGCTCTAGGACTGTGTGTCCTGGAGGCATGAACCACATTGTGAAAGCCCCAGCTTCACAAGATAGAGTGGTGAGGCTAGGAGTCCCGCACACACAACAGACATGTGAAATAAAACTACAGCAGTTGGCAGTTGAGGATGCACCAGCAACTTTACATAGAGGCCAAGGGCAAGTCAGTGGGAGACCAAAAAAGATGATTTTTTTTCTATGTCCTTTTGGCTATACATTCCCAAATTTGATCCTGGGATCTCTGGATACTTCATTCAACAAATATATAATTACTTTGTATGCTGTCCCAGGAAGTACTCTGTCCTAATCTAATTGAAGAACAGCAGTTTACTTTCTTCCTATTTCCCTACCTGATTTATTTCCCCCATCTGCTTTCAGAAGACAATGCACAAAAACAGAAAACAGAAGGAGCCTTATTATTTAAAAACTACGGCAAGAGGAAGGGAAGAGTGGAATGGGCATTTCCCTGCTTCCTATGCCCTGGCTGCATAATAAATGCACACATAACAACTGTCCTCAAGGAAATTACTAACAAAGGTCAGGCTAAGAAATAAACTGGATGAATCAAAAGTGTTTCAGATGTGGCATATGAAATAGAAAATAATGGACTGGTCCAAGCTCCGAGTAAATATGTCAAGGTCATGAACTGATCCTAGCCTTCCATGGTATCCTTCTCAATTAAGAACCCTCTAGGAAAACTTTCTTTAGGATTTACTCACGACCTCACCTATTTCTACCTTTTTTTTTTTTTTTTTTTTGAGATGGAGTCTCGCTCTTCCACCCAGGCTGGTGTGCAGTGGTGCAATCTTGGCTCACTGCAACCTCCACATCCCAGGTTCAAGCTATTCTCCTGCTTTGGCCTCCTGAGTAGCTGGGATTAAAGGCGCGTGCCACCACCCCTGGCTAATTTTTGTTTTTTAGTAGAGATGGGGTTTCACCATGTTGGTCAGGCTGGTCTCCAACTCCTGACCTCATGATCTGCCCACCTCAACCTCCCAAAGTGCTGGGATTACAGGCATGAGCTACCGCACATGGCCCTATTTCTACCTTTCTTCACCCAAGTCCTAATCTTTTGCTGCCTCTGCTCCTGATTTCATCTGTCCGCTATCACATTCCTTCCTTTCCCCAGCCCTGTCCAGGACTCTCCTTCCCTTAGTGGGAAAACCTAGAGAGGTCTCCACACATGTGCCTCCTGGCTCCCTATCATCCCAGCCCTAGGACAGCTGTTCAGATGAAGTCTCACCCCAGAAAGAGCCCTGAATCATCAAGACTTGGATCACCAGGTGACACAACTTTATGCTTCAAGGGGCAGAACCATGGGGAAACAGCCAAAACATGGCTCAGCCCCGGCTGTGCCCACAGAGTGTCAGCTGCACTCAGTTCACATGGTCCTGGCACTGGATAGCAAAGCCAGGTTTGCCTTCCCCAGGATCCTCATGGCCTGACCATAAAAAGGCTCGTTGAGCTTATGTTGCTCATCGTGCTCCATCTACCTGTTCATTTCTCTGTTGCTGTTTCTTGTTCCCAGAACATTCAGAAGCAGAGGCTGGAAGGCGGAGGAGACTCTAAGATGGGTCCCCCTGCACTCCCAGCAGCTGCAGTTCAGAGCACATTGCCTTCCTTGACAATTTAAAGAGCAGGAACTGTCATATCCCAGGTTTCTGTGCTCAGTGAAGCATTGCCAATTAAGTCTCTCTGGAGACATTGCCTCTATGGAGAGCCATTTGCAAGAGGGCTGGGTCTCCAGGGATGAAAACAAGGATCCCCTATCTGGAGAGGCTGAGGGGTTCAGCTCCACAGAAGGGATGCTGGGGATGCTAGTGTTCTTCTCCGGCTTTCCTACAGATGCTGGAGCTGATATAAAAACTCACCTTCTTCCAGGCATTTGGAAGCCTGGAAGCCCTAACCAACCACATTCTTTCTAACTTCACAAACACACATACTCATACACACGCACATGAATGCACACACATATGCACACACACCAGCATCCACTGTCCTAACAGGTGCCATTATCCCCAATAGTACCTCCCTACCTGAGACATTCACAAGACCACTGCCCAATAAAAAGCTATGAAGTAACTTCTTCATAACTTCATTGTGCCACCGGGTCTCCATTGCACTTTGCTTATCCACATCAACGTCATCTTTCTCATAGAGGTGGCTCCTAAAGGGCCCTGACAGGGCTTTACATTGGGGATCTCAGTGCCTGTTCAAGTCAACTTGCAATTATTCTAATGGAGCAAATGGATGATCCAGTCCTAAAAAAGAACATCCTCCCAAATCACTGCTAATTGGATTTTAAAGGTGCGATGGGATTTTGTGGCAGATGCTTTGCTTAATATGAAAAACGGTTTCAATTCCCTGATTCACAGTGGCACTTGGGATGAGGTTAGGGAGAAGGCAAGCATGTGCACAGGTGTACTGAGAGGAGGGAAGGAAGCCAGGCTGGGACAAAAAGAAGCCTGGAGGGACCATTTTCCAGGAGACCAGTAAGGGTTGATAGTGTTTGCTTCTTTCCCACAGGAGCCCAAAGAGAGGGACCCTCCCACCTAGAAGAGGGAGCTGGAGGCTCAAGGGGAGGCTGGAGGCTGAGGGTTTTCCCCTTGTGCATGAAGTCGGGAGCTCATGGGGTTGAACAGAGTTTGGGTAGCCACAGCAGCAAATCCAGAGGGGACCTCAGAAATGAACTCTTCCAACCACTTTGTGCACAGATGAGGACATGTATGCTGTCCTAGAGAGGTCAGGACATGCTAGAGAGGTCAGGACATGACGAAGCTAACACGGCCAGTGAGTGCAAAGGCCGGGCTGGGTCTTGGACCTCCAGGCTGCCCTCTGGAGCTCCTTCCACCACACCCCACAGATGTGCAGTATATGGTCTCACCCCAGCAAAATATGTGGTAGAAGCCTCTCTCGCTGTGACAAGTGGAAAAGGCAGGTAGAAGCCATGTCTCCAGCCCCAGGGCCATGAATGAGCTCCTATTTTCTGCTTTGGACAGAGGGTCCTATGTGGCCACATCCACACATGCTCCAGGCCCAGCATGGCCAGTGGGAATGGGACCCATAAAAATTTTGGAAAAGAGAGTCCTTGATTTCCTAGAATTAGGTTGTCTGTGCATTGCCTTATTCCCTCCCACATGCCACCTCTGTCACTGTCCAATCCTTACCAGGCTGTGGGTTCCTCAAGGGCTGGGACCATGCACAGCTCTCTTTGATAACTCTGAGCCCTAAACCAGTGAATTACACATACAGGTGTTGGATATATGCTGAATCAAGCTGTACTGGATTAGCTGGTCAACAGCAACTGGCTCTGCAGTGACTTGGATACATAAACGGTGGCAGCAGTACCTGGAAATGGAGAGACAGCCCTTAGGCTGGGCTGCAAGGACAAAGAAAGAGATTAAAGGGCTGGGTTCATAGTGAGGGCATGGCCTCATGTGAGGGCCAATGCCAATTCTAAGAAAATACATGTAAAATGTTCACAGGAATTTAAAGGATACCTATGTGTCCATATGTACTCTAGAGAGGCTGCAGGTTGATTTACAAGAACACGGTTGTAGCTTTGAAGAGTTGTGTCGCCTCCAGTCAAAGGAATGCAAGGGCTGCAGTGTACCTCTTAAGGAAGCTCAGAAATTAAGAAATACTGGGGTTGGGAGGGACCTCAGAAATCACCTGGTGAACCCCTCCACCTACAGATGAGAGACTGCCGGTGAGAGAAGAGAGGCAGAGAGGGAGGACGTGAGGCCTGGGCTGGAGCCCAGTTCCCTGCAACCACCTCAGCAGCTGCTCCCCGCTCTGCTCCGTGGTGCTCCGTGAGGATAAGGCTCAGTGCACCACTGGACTCTTGAGCTCCTAAGCTCTCAGCTATGGAATGTGTGGAGACTTCCATGGATCACAGCGAAGTGGCCACCTAACAGCCCCATGAAACTTGGGTAGCGAAACAGCAGGATCCAAGCCAGATTTCAGGGGAAAGCAAAGGCGATTAGAGAGGCCCAGGTTCCTCTTTTCTCCCCACTGTCCCCTCCTGGATTCCTCTAACTCACTGGCCCTTACCCCCACTGACCCCCAAAATCTCCTACACAAACAGAAATAACAGAGAAGAAGTAAACTGTGTATGCAGACAGAGCCAGAGAGTGTGGAGGAGGGTGAATTCAGAAGACCCTTAGAAAAGGTTTATTCAGCCAACAACAGTGCCCAAGGCTGTGCCAAGGACGGGGGTCTAAGTGGGAACAAATGGGTCCCTCTGCACTGGAGGCTTTCCCCTTCAGGACCTTTCACTCTCTCCTCCCTTTCCGGCCTGGAGACACAAATGCAATGTCCTTTCCCATGGAACAACTCACAGGGACAGAGTGGCGGGGTAGGGACTGTGCAGCCAGGGGAAGGGGTCCCTAGCATGGCCTTCCTCCAGGTGCAGCTACCGGCCTCTGCTTTGCCCAGCACGGCTCCCTCCAAACCCAGCAGGACTCCCAGATCACAGCCAGCAAGAGGAGGCTGCCTTGAAGCTAACAGGTATGACCAGCTGCAGATCCTCCTGGGGCTCTCCAGGTCAGAGAGCAGATGGGACTCCATGGTGAGGAGCAGAGGCCCTCGGGTGGGTGAAGTGTGTGGCAGGTGAGCAGATTCCTGGAGGCAGGCTGGCGTTAGGAAGCCACTCCCCTCTGGGACTGCACTGTTCACAGGGCCAGGTGTGGTTGCTGCCACCTCATCCTTCCACCTGTGTCACTGCTGCCTTCGGGGGATGCAGCAGAGAGTAGCAGAAAGAGCACTGGCCACGGAACTCTGTGGATATAAGATCTAATCCCAGCTCTAGCCTACCAGCTGTGTGACCTTGACCTTGATCAAGACTCTCACCCTCTTTAAGCCTCAAACTCTTCATCTGCAAGAGGAAGATAATACCTTCTCCCTCAGCTTCCTGCAGAGGATAAAGGGAATCCTGAATCTGAAGCAGATGTGGCTGAGATCTTTGGCCCATGAAAGGTGCTCAGTGAGTGCTTCATTTCCTTTGTCTTCCTTTCATGGCCTCTGGAAGGCTTAGCTGTTGCCCTTGGGAGCCCCCTTTCCAAACTATGATATCATGGCAAACAGGAGAGGAAGCAAATAATAACAGAGTTTACAACAAGGGAGTCACCATGCCAAAAGGTTTATAAAAATCTCTGTAACTCTCTGGATAGTTTGTGAGTGAGGAAGCTATGATTCTGCTTTCAACAGCTAGTAAGAGGGAGGAGATGAGTACTTGAGGAAGAAATCGTGCACAAATAGAAAGAAGACCATTGCATCTGGCCTGTTCCATGGACCCAGTCCTGTGCCTGGGCTCTGTGTGTGAACAGAGGGTGGGGAACAAGAGGCACGCTGGTCACCTCTGCACCTCCGCTGGCTGGGCTGGGATTGAGTAGGTTTGATGATAAATATTTGTTATGAAAATTACCTAATGAGCTACAAGATGATTATCTAGCACCAAAAGAGTATTATCATAAATGTACAAATTAAATTAGGCTGGCTTTGCTAAATCAAACAAATAATAAGAGTAATTGAAATTCTGATAAACCAAAGGATTCCAGACCACTTGGTTCCTCAAGATGTTCTCATTGATTTATGTATTTGCTTTGGACTATGCGGGCTAAAGATGAAAACACTGATCTGGTCATCTGTCAATCCAATTGTTTTAATGAACTTCTACCAAGGAGTGAAGTGAATGTGTGTGTTGAGTGTGGTCTAAACTTGGGAAGTTCCTCCAGTTATTCTAGTTCCACATCTCACAGTGACTTCTGGCTTTGGTTCTTTGGCAAAATTATATCATTCTTCACTTTTAACTTGCAGACAGAGATGGATTTTCACTTTTGACATTTTTTTCCATAGTTTCAGAGAAGACCATTTTCTTTGGGGATTGGCTGAAGTGAACGAGACGGTTTTCTTTATCATTATTAAAATGTCGAAGCCCTACTTCAAATAATTTATTATAGAAGAAATTGGTCTTCTCTCTTTCAATTACAGGGAGATCACCCTTTCTCTTCTTGGTCTTTCAATTCAGCCACTATTTGAAATAATCAATATCTTATTTTCAAGCAAAAGCACTTAGACATTTTCATTTGCACCAGTACAGAATTGAATTGAAAAAATCATTTTCGAAACTGAAGGCTTTTGTTAGGATGATCGTGTGGAGACTGTGCTCTGTGCTTACTACTCCATTTCCACTTTCTAAACACACAAAGGAAAATCTTATTTCCCAGGCTCCCTTGCAGTAAGGCCAGGGCCACGTGAATGAGTTCTACCAATAGGATGAATGGATATGAATGAATGAGCTCTACCAATAGGATGAATGGACATGATGCAAGACATTTCTAGGCCTGATCTTCTACCACAGTGACCTTAGAGGTCATGTGTTTCAGACGTTGTGTCTGCAAGATGAAGACTTAAGTGAAAACCTTTGTACACTAAACACTAACCACTAACACAATTATGCAACAGTATTTCAGATTCAGCTACCATTTGCAGAGCTTAGTCCATGTTATAGGCAATAACATATCTGAAGATGCTCTCTATGTCTATCCTCATCACAAAATAATCTGACCTTCTTTCCAATTCTGGCCACACTTTTTGGTCAAGAAAGCAATCACCTCTTCTTTGTTTTTATAATATTTTATCAAGAACTTGTTCCTTCGATAAGTCAATTGGCAATAAAGAAATAAAGCTGGCCAGGCGCCGTGGCTCACACCTGTAATCCCAGCACTTTGGGAGGCTGAAGTGGGCGGATCACGAGGTCGGGAGATTGAGACCATCCTGGGTAACATGGTGAAACCCCATCTCTACTAAAACTACAAAAAATTAGCTGGGCGTGGTGGCGGGTGCCTGTAGTCCCAGCTACTCCGGAGGCTGAGGCTGGATAATGGCGTGAACCTGGGAGGCGAAGCTCGCAGTGAGCCGACATTGTGCCACTGCACTCCAGCCTGGGCAACAGAGTGAGACTCCATCTCAAAAAAAAAAAAAAAAAAAAGAAAAGAAAAAAGAATGAAAAGAAAAGAAACAAAGCTTTAACTTTAATAATGAGATACCAACTATTGGCTTAGGGCTTCTCTTGCTCTAATTTTCACAACAATCTAATGGATAAATATGATCATCCCCATTTTACAGATAATAATTTAATTTCTTTGAGACTCGAAGAAGTTAAATAACTTGTCTTAGTTAAATAACTTGTTGACATAACTAGGCAAATAAAAAGAAGCCAGGGTTTAAACCCAGACTTTCTAATTTCATGCTTTTATTAAACAAAAACAAAAACAAAACAAAACAAAAACACTACGTTGTCTCTTGACTGTAGGATTAAAAGACAGTAGAAGAATTCACAACATGATGTGATGAAGGGTGTCCTTTATGTATCCTCAAGCCAGACCAGCCTCAGGCTGAAGATAAAGAAATGAGTAAAAATAATCCCTGCCTTGGAGGAGCTCACATGGAGACAAGTCAGATCTTTGTTTTTAATCGACGTTGTTTTTTAGAGCAGTTTTAGGTTTACAGAAAAATTGAGTGAAAAGTACAGACAGCTTCCATATACCCCTCCTTGTCCATCCTATTATTAACATCTTGCACTGGTGTGGTATATTTGTTACGATTGATGAGGCAAAATTGATATACTATACATTTTTCTTCTGCACAAATTTATTTCCATACGATATTCTAAAATCACCCCTCGGTTTGTGTGTAAATTCTTTCCCTTCATTTTTAAATTGCCTTATAACAACTGGTTTCTTGCTTTTTTTTTTTTGCTTTTTTTTTTCATTTGGGCTGTTCTCTGAAATCTGCCTTTTTTTTAAGGGAAAAAAGAGAAATAAAAATGCTGTGTCTAGAGGACAGGGTGGAGAAAAAAAGACAAAAATAAATAAAACATCAAATATGAAGATTCTCAGAGATAATGCATTTATAAACACAGAAATGGTTACAACAAAGACAGCCATGATGAGTGGGTATATACATATGTACACATATATATGTAGAAATCCTTGCCCAGCAACCAACTATGGCATCTAGGGAGCTAAGGCCAGTCTTTGTATTTGTCCTGAAGGCTCCCTTCTCCACAGCAGCCCCTTTTCTGGGGTTTCATGGAGTACATAAAACTCCCTCAGCTCCTTGGGGGCTGGGCGGGGGATATTGAGATGAGAAGGTCTTGGCTGGCAGAAAAGGGAGAGGGAGGATCCAAGGAAAACCATAACCCACACTTCTAAGACACCCTTGACCACCCTGGGAATCTTGGCCCCTTGGGAACCATATCATAGCCCTTGTCCCTTTACAGATAAAAAGGAGATCTATTCCCCACCCAAATCTCCTTCTTCCAGAGCAGGTAGGAAGTAAGGGGAGATTGTGAGGGGAAGAAAATGGGTCCCGGGGTTGGGGCACATGAGAAACCTCTGTTCTTTTGTAGGCAAGAGCAGAAGAGGAAGCTGGCTGCATTAGGGTTTCCTTCTGTCTGATATCGGGGAAGGCCAGCCGCTAGTCCTCCATAGGCCCAAACCTTGAGGAAGAGGGGGTAGGGGGTCAGTGCTAACACTTGACTTTTCTATGAAGTCACAGCAAATTCCTCCCTGGAGCACCAAGCCCCAGTTTTAAAGCTTTGCTTGGGCAGGGAGGTTGCTCGATGACACCACCATCCCGGTGCTCCTGGGCCAGCCAGGAGGGCTGATGTTCCTTTTGGAGAAGGGTAGAGAATGAGGATGAGGCTGGAACCCTTTAAAGGAAGACCATGCCTCAAGCCCAAGGATGGAGCCAGCACCTGTCAAGGAGGGAGAGGACTTTTCCCAGCAAGAGATGCTGGAGAAAGAAGAGACTAGAACTTCTTTCTCCTCTTTCCAGCAACGAGCAGCTGGCCAGGTGCTCATCTGGAGGATGCCGGTGGTGACAGTGAAACAGATGTCCTTATGATGCCCCTCTACCTTGCTGGGAGTCAAGTCAAGGGACTCTGGGATGGAAGGTTGATTGCTGTCCCTATCCTGGGAGGATACTGCAGGGGACTGGATGGGTGGTGGCTAAGGCTGCTACTGCTATGTCTGGGAGGCCTGGACCTGGGCCTGAGCCACCGCTGCTGTCACTGCCACCTGCCCATGCTGCTGGAGATCAGGAGGGCTGTGTTTGTGCCTGTGTTTCCTAAGGGATGTTTCAGACGGACAGGCCCAACTGCAGAGAGTTGGGTGTCCTCCTTGGTGTGCTTCACTGTAGCATAGACAGGTAGACAGGTGCCCCTCTATGAGGCCACATCCATGCATGCTGGATGATAGCTGTGGCACTTGGAGGGCTAGTGTCTGCTGTGCTGCTGTGTGTGAGGCAGTGAGCTAGAGGGTATGTGAAGGCCTTCTCACATCCCGGGGGCACATGCACATGGACCATCCCTGGCCTGGATCTGTGTGTGCTGCTGGAGGTGGGAAGCCCCCTGGCAGTTGGAGCAGTGGTAGGGCTTGGCCCTGAGTGAATACAGAGGTACTGGAGGGGTAGCAGCTGTTGGCAAAGGTCTTGGAGGAATGTGGGACCTGTGGGGCTTACCTTGGTGTGGGGCTTGGAGCACATCAGCATCTCTAACTTCCAGTAGGATGTTAGTGAGCACATTGGCACCTTTATAATATGATGTCAACATTTTCCAGAAGCCCTCTTATTGTATAAAGCAGGGTACACCCATGGTCATATAATAAGTTTGTGATAGAGCTGAGATCTGAATCCAGGAACCCAAGGCTCTGTCCATTTCCTTTTGCCACAGTTCCCTTCACTCTCGTAAGTCATTCCATCTTTCTGATGGTCATCATTCTCCGTAGGGAAGAGGGCCTAAGGTTCATTTATCTCAGGCAACCCTGATTCCAGCATTGCTGCTTCTTTTGGCCCTCTGTGTGGGCAGGGGTTGGGGTGGGGGATGGGAGATTAGAAACCACACTGCCACTTCCATCACCTTCTACCTCCCTCTCGTTAGGCCAACACCATCTTCTTGGAGAGGTCACGAACCACCTGCAGGACTTGTGAGGCAGAGGGAGGAGCAAAGACAATCATGGGAAGCCAGATGGGGAGGTTCAGAGCCGATCAGGCTGTAGCCCCAAGAAAGCCTGAGGGGACTGGACTGGCAGGGGTCAGCCCCGTGAACAGCATGGGGACCACCAGGATGCGTGGGCTAAGCTGCTCTGACTTGGCCTCCATCCACACCCATCCCGAGGGCAGGGAGGGGTCCAGGACCCAGGGCCCAGGGGCAGGTGCTCCCAGCAGGGCAGAATGGAGAGATGGAGCTTTATGTTCTTCATGAAACCCCAAAACGAGGGGTGCTGTGGAGAAGGGAGCCTTCAGGGCAAATGCAAAGACTGGCCTTAGCTCCCTAGATGCCTTGGTTGGTTGCTGGACAAGGATTTGCACATATACATGTATACATATGTATATACCCACTCATCATGGCTGTCTTTGTTGTAACTGTTTCTGTGTTTATAAATGCATTATCTCTGAGAATCTTCATATTTGATGTTTTATTTATTTTTGTCCTTTTTTTCCTCCACCCTGTCCTCTGGACACAGCATTTTTATCTCTCTTTTTTTTTCCTTAAAAAAAAGAGGCCACAGCTGGTGAGGGCTCAGCCTCCATCCTGCTGACAAGCATGGTGTTCTCAATTGGCCCTGAGATGGTGGGGATGCAAGGCCAGACATACAAGTTAGGATTTAAGTGGGAGTCTTCCATTCTACCCTCTCTCTTCTTCCTGTCCTCTTATTCCTTCTCCTGTGCAGAACTCTAGAACTTCACTGCAATGATTGCTGTGGAGACACCAGGGCCAGAGCCAGAGTGCAGGAGGGTCAGCATTTGCTAGAAGCAGTGCTGCAGTGCATGCTACCAAAAACTCCAATTCCTCCACACCCACCTCCCTCGGGCGCACTGGACAGGAGAGGGTGGAGGAAAGGCAGTGCATTATTGTGAACGAAAGCTCACAGTTAACACTGGGGCTCACTCCTTTTGTTGTACATTCTATAGGTTTGGACAATGGTATGAGGACACCTTTTCACCACTACCATTCCATACAGAGCTGTTCCACTGGAGTGGGAATCAGAGAAAGGTTTCATGAAGTCTAAATATAATTTGGACTTTAAAAAGAGAGGCCAGGCATGATGGCTCACATCTATAATCCCAACACTTTAGGAAGCCAAGGCAGGAGGATCACATGAGCCTAGGAGTTCGAGAGCAGCCTGGGAAACAAAGTGAGACACTGACTCTAATATAGACATAGATATAGATATAGATATAGATATAGATATAGATATATAGATATAGATATATAGATATATGGTCACAGTGGTATGCACCTATAATTCTAGCTACTTGGGAGGCTGAGACAGAAGGATCCCTTGAGCTCAAGAGTAAGAGGCTGCAGTGAGCTATGGTGGAGTCACTGCAGTCCAGCCTGGGCAACAGAGCAAGACCCTGTCTCAAAAAAAAAAAAAAAAAAGGTGGGGATCAGATTTTCAGATAGACCAAGAACCACAAATAAAACCAAAAAAGAAAGAATGTACAAGGCATTATTTGACAGATAGTGGGTATGTCGCTCTGTCTTAACCAGAGGTTCATATTTGGAAAGGTGACACTGAGAGTGAACACTAATTTGGCACTATTATATGCCAGGCAACTGATAAACATTTTATATTGATTATTTCATTTAATCCACAGCATAATTTATAATATAGGTATTACTGGTAGAGGGTCTTGACTGCAAGTTGTCCAGGTTCTTGGTGTTTTGAACAAAGAATTGGGCAAATTGCACAATAAAGCAAGGAAAGAATGAAGCAATGAAAGAACAGAAGCAGGAATTTATTGAAAACGAAAGTACACTCCACAGTGCGGGAGTGTGCGGGAGCAGGCCTGAGTGACAGCTCAAGGGCCCAGATACAGGATCTTCTCGGATCCAAATACCTCTGAGAGGCTTCCCATTGGCCACTTCATGCTCACCTCATGTAAATGAAGTGGTGGCCTGCAATCGGTCTGATTGGTTGCAGAAAGCAACCTATCAGAGGCTGAAGTGAAGTTACAAAGGTCACATTCCTGTGCAAACCAATCAGAGGCTAAGGTGAACTTACAAAGTTGCACTTCTATCCAAACGAAGATTCCGCCTGCAATCAGTCTGATTGGTTGCGGACAGCCAATTTCCCATCTGCTAGGTAAAAAGGTGGGGGGTTTGCAAAAGTAGTAGCCTCTGGTCCTTTTGATACTTAGGTGTGACAGTAATTCCTTTCAATTTAGTTCAAGGAAGTCCATGTGAAACAGACTTAGGTTCCCCGCCTCCAGACTCTATTTTCCTGCCTCATAGGTGTCATCATTACCATTTTAAATTAACACGTGTACAAATTAAAGTTTGGAAGGGTTTTTTAAAACTTTTGCAAGGTGACACAGCAGGTATTTGGAAGATCTGGGATGCAAAGTTGGGCAGAATGAGTCCAGGGTTCTTTGTCTCAGAAACTACGCTATAATCCCTGCATGGTAAAACCAAAATCAGACAGCAGACATGTGGAAAAGGTAAATCGGGAGCTGTTTGAGATTGAATTGGATGTCATGTCAGGCTAAATAATTGTTTTCTTTCAGCAATGTGGTTTTCAAGAAACGTATATACAAGTATTTTGTTTTAGTAGTTGAGACCAGAAAGCCAGGATAGGTATGGATTTTTAGAACCTTGTCTGTTTCATAACAGCTCATCAAGGCTACAAAAACCAAAACCCTGTTTAGGGGAAGGGCCTGAGAAAACCCTACTGGGGGACTTTGTCTCGAAGATGATCTGTCAAGTAACCCGAGGAGAGAGGCAGAGAGCTAAAGAAAAACCAGTAAGAGGTTTCTGACATCATTCACATGCTGGCCCAGAAAGGTCTCGGCATGAGATGGTCGCCGTAGGGATTGAAATAAAAGGGAGGTTATGGCAGGAAGTGTGAAGGAAGAAATGAGCAGTCCTGGGGAAGAGGGAAATGTGTGGAGGGGTAAAGGTAACTGGAGGAATGATGAAACTATGTTTAGAAATCCTAAACTTCAGAGGAGGGGATAGTGTCAGAGAGAACACAAGCTGGGATTTAAACTCTTAGACAACATCTGGCCAGGGACAATCTGGTGGCACTGTCCCTAAGAGTTGCAAATAAAGTCTGGAGTTTGACAAAAGGGTCGATTGTAGAGTTCCGGATCTGAGCATCGCCTCCACAATGGAGATGAGGAGTGCATGAATGAAACCAGAGAGGGGAAGAGAAATGCCTGGAGCATGCGTGGAGGAAGTTAGCATGACGCAGCAGGGATGGAGAGGGACACTCAGAGAGGTGGCAGGAGGATCAGGTGGCCAGGGCTGAGCCTGGGACTAAGAGTTCCAGAGGGAAAATTGAGGCACACTTGTAGTCTACACTGCTATGAGAGTGGAGGGGACAGAGGCTAGGACAAGGCCTTTGGGGTCATGAACTGGAGGTCACAGAGCAGAGGAGAAGGGAGAAGCGGCAGCCTTGGAGTGGGAGCAGCATTGGGGCTGCTGGAAGCAAAGCCAGAACGTGCCTTTCCTCAGGCACAGAAGGCCCAAGAGGACAGGTGTGCTCGAAGCTCTTGTTCAGATGCCAAGGGGATGCACGACATCAGAGCTCAGTGACTGTGAGGACTGGACCCAAGCAGCTGACTCCAACGGGCAGCAAGAAGAGCTGGTCCCCCCAGAGCCCCCAGACACACTTGCAGAAAGTGCTGCGTTGGTAACAGCTGCCGCCACCAGAGAGGAACAAGTGGGGCTACGGGGTGGGGGAGGGAGACCGACTCCATGTATATTTTGACTTTCATACCGTATACAAGTATTAGCCATTTGAACAAATGAAGCATTAAAAATAATAACAGATGGAAGAAGTACTGATTAGGACCAAGAACCAGGGCTAAAAGGAGTTAGGGAGCTCCAGGGGAAACAGGTTAGAACTGTGAAAGTCAACAGCATCCCACGCACGGAGCCGCATGGAGCCTGGCTCAGCCACTCTGCCGTGTGTACACGCACAGGTATCCATACACAAGTTAGAGGTGGGAAAGCAGTTTTTTCCTCTGAGTAGAGAACATGCAGGAGGCTTAGATCCTGAGATCTGGCTCTACTTTTAATTCCTTCATGAGCTGTTGCAAGAAAAATCAATAAGAAGCAAAGACGAGGCTCCTTCCTCCTTTTTCTTCTTTGTCTTTTGGTCTTTTATTGCCTCCTTTTTATTTTTTTTTCAAGGTCTTGTTATCATATGCAGTGGATTTAACAAAGTATTAAGAGCCGGTTTTATTTTTATTGGAAAGAAATGTTAGTTTAACATCAGCCCAAGGAGAACATAATTAGGAAGGCAAATCAGCTCCCAGGAATGATCAAATGGTACATTTCAAAACAGATGGTAATGATTTAGGGATTATCCACTGGCTTTGGGTTACTTGTGCTAGTGTTCACCTCCATCAGCTCTGCTAACCAGGAGGTAACTGTGGAATCCATAAAATCCTTTAAAGCAAATTTAACACTCCCAGCAGTCACCCAAAGCCTAGTGTTTCCCCATGGGGTTGAATGTACTGTTATCCATTATTTGTGTACTCAGAGGGGACAAATGTTAGAGTTAGTACTCAGCATCAGGTCATCAGTATCTGGGGATAGGTTTCTTTGAAACTCATTTTGTGCTCTCACTCTGTCACCGTACACACACGTGCATGAACACAGCAAGTGTGAGAGATTATAATATCCCAGAGTAATATCATTGCTGAGTATGGGTGTTAATATTTCAGTTACTCTCTTCAAACCCAAGTCTATGTCTTACAGTATCCCTGGGCCCCAGGCCCACACAGACAGGAAGCCAGCTTTGCTTGGGATGATTGGTTGCTGCTTTTTGCTCCCTTAGATATTTTATTTTAAGTTCCAGGAGTCTCTTGAGCTCTAGAGTTAAGTTACTGAAATGGGAGAAAAGGCCAGTGACAGAAAAGGTAACGTATGGGCTGGATTCTGCCAGGAACTCAGAGCTGGGTGCAGGAGCTGGATTGCAGACAGCATCTCACTCATTGTTTATGTTTTCTGATGCCATCATGGCAGCCTCATAGAGCAAGGGAAATAAGCTGGCCAAGTCCGGGGCAGAATGGGGCTCCAGGAGGAGAGGGCTCCTGGAGGCTGAGCTCAGACTGCACTTTACTCTGGCAAGGACACCAGGACCACAGGCTTCAGTGGTCAAGTCCAATACAAGGCAGGTGGTCAGGCAAAGATTCTGTGCATTCTGAGTGTAAGAGACAGTCTTGGAGATGCAGTTTGTGGACTAGAAGTTTCAGAATTTAAGGACTTTCCGAAACTTTGCAGAAACAATCCAGCAGCCTGTTTGACAGCGTAGACCTGTCCTGAACACTTTGGGATGTTTGTTCATCCTCTACACCAAATTCACTTCTCACTCACCAGATGTGTCTGGAGTGCTTTAGGATAAAGAGGCTCAAAGTACTACGGGAGCTTCAAGGAAGGGGCCGTTAACTCTGCCTGGGAATTCTGGGGAAGGCTGCACTTTGACCTCATGGTTCCTGGAGGAGTTCCTGGCAGCAGGAACCAGTTGTCTGCCAATTGCCTTCTGAAATGAGCTCAGAAATCCAGAAACAAACCTTTCTCTTGAGAATTAAGCCTTATTTGGGCATAATTAGGCTTCTGTGTTTGGAGGTACCAGGGCTGGGTGTAGGACAATCTGCTTCTTTGGATGACTCCACCAACTGGAGAGAAACCAAGTACCTTTCACAACCCAGGCAGCAGGATCAGGATGTGGGATGTTTTGCACATTCCAGGAGCCATTCTGGCATAAGAGCTTTGGAGAGAATTCACTAGTATTAATGTTGAAGACTCTGGCGTCCAGACAGGATCATGCGCTCTGAAAACTCTGGCCCACCATGAAAGTAGGCAGCAATGGGAAATGGGTCAGAGAGTGATTTATCTTCCTCCCCAAGGAGCCTGCACAGCTTCACAATGCTTATCTCTTCTAGGTGATCCTGCTTTACTAAGAGTTCCAGATTCCAAGATGGCCCCATACATGCAGCCCAGGAGAAAGGAGCTGCACCAGACACACTGGGATTTGAGCTTTAACCGTCCTACTAAAGCTTGTCAGCTGTGTGCTCCCCAAAGGAGTACTTCCCTCTCTGTAAAGAGAAAGAATTAAAGACTCTCCTTCCAGTAAGAGGATCACAATGGCCTTTAGCACACACTTCTGCCCTGGCTGTGTGTGCCACTGAAGCAAAACCAACCTCCTGCCAGAGGGTGCCTGGCAAGAGGTCAGCAGCAAGATAAGCCACTCAAGGATTACTGGATCCAGGTGTGGACAAGGGTAGATCAGAAGCGAGAAGGCCAGGAAAGCAATTCAAGAGGGCAGGAAACATCTGGAAGGTTCATGCCTCCCTTGAGGGCTTTGAGGGGTGGATGTTGTCCTGTCTAGTATCAGGAAGCAGGGCTCTAGCCATGAGCTCCAAAGAGCTGGTACAAAACTGTTTCTGGGGCTTGAATGGACCAAGCCCAGAGGCCAGTATCTGAAGCCAGGGAATAAAGTCAGAGTGGGAGAAGAAAGGGCAATTAGACACTGAGTTGGGTTGGAAAACTACTGGGCTAGGACCGAGATTATAACTTAACAGTCAAAAACAACAATAATGGTAAACATAAGGGGTTCATTCTTCTAACATTCAACAATCTTGCTATGCTCCAGGGGTACAGATAAATAAAACTATTCCCTTATGGCAAGGAGCTCACAGAAAGCTGGAGGAAAACAGCCCTGTAAACTCAACATTTTAACAGAGCAACTGGAATGCTTTAGGATAAAGAGGCTCAAAGTACTATGGGAGCTTCAAGGAAGGGGCCATTAACTCTGCCTGGGAATCCTGGGGAAGGCTGCACAGAGACAGAGATATTTTGAACTGTGTTTTGAATGATGAATACCAGGTTCCTCTGTTGGAAAGAGAGGCAGGCATTCCAAACAACAGAGAGAACACCATGGGCAAAAGCAGAGCTCTGTGCAGGACGGTGGCACATCATCAGAGTACGGAGCATTGGTAGGAGGGGTCCTTAGAGGAGAAGCAGAGGGACAGGAGGAGGGGAGGAGAGGAGAGAGAGGACAGGACCAAGTCAGGGAGAGTCAGCATAGCTGGTCTGAGTGTGGACCTGACGCACAGGTGGCAAGGGACCATTGAGAGTCTGTTGACATTGATTAGGCTTCTTTGGTTATAAGCAACAGAAACAAGTTCTCACTTACTTAAACAAGAAAAAAAAAAACATGTCATAGAGGGAAAACAGGTGGTTCCCACACCTGTTGGAGAATGAGGAGTGTAGGGAAGGGACTGGAATCAGGGCTGGCCTGGACTGCAGACTGCAGGAACAGGCCACAATGTCTTCAAGGAGCTGTTGCCCCCAGGACAAGTCAATTTCACCCCACTCCACTGGCCAGCCACAGTCCAGGGAAGAGTCTGACACAGGGCTGGGGTCACATGCCCGCCTCCTGGTTGGCAGTCTCACCAAGATCATCCACTGTGGGTGGTGCTTCCCCAAAAGGAAATCAGGGTTCTAGAACCAGAAGGGGATTGACGCAGGTGCTGCCAGAGCTTGATACTTGTGTGCCTCTAGTGTTTAAGCCAGAAAATGACAAACACACAGTGCAGGGATCAGCTAACTTTTCCTGTAAATGGCCAGAGAGTAAATATTTTCAGCCTTGTGGATCATATGGTCTCTAAGGCAGCTACTCAACTTGGCTGTTATAGCCCAAAGCAGACAGACCACACGTAGACCAATGTCTTTACTGCTTGCCAGGAAAGCTGTATTAATAAAAACATATAGTGGGCCCGATTGACCCCTGGTTTAGAGCCATATTAGGGCATAAGAGAAATACAGAAGGTTAGGAAACTGAAAGGAAAGAGACCAAACCAGAAACTGGTCTGTCTATAAAACCACGTCCTGGCCAGGCGCGGTGGGTCACGCCTGTAATCCCAGCACTTTGGGAGACCAAGGTGGGCAGATTGCCTGAGCTCAGGAGTTCAAGACCAGCCTGGGCAACATGGTGAATCCCCAACTCTACTAAAATACAAAAAAATTAGCCAGGCATGGTGGCATGCACCTTTAGTCCCAACTACTTGGGAGGCTGAGGCAGGGGAAATGCTTGAACCCAGGAGGCGGAGGTTGCAGCAGTGAGCCAAGATCGCGCCACTGTGCTCCAGCCTGGGTGACAGAGTGAGTGAGACTCCGTCTCAAAAAAAAAAAAAAAGCCAACAAAAAAACACATCCTATGGGCTGTCATGCTAAGTGCGTCCTATGGGGAAAAAATTCTCTACATTTTTCCTCTTTGGGACACTCCCAGGCAAAGCATCCCTTTTACAAACTTCCTTTTCACAAGCATTAAGTTCTGTTTCTTCATGCATTCAACTTGTTTCTTAATTGTTTGTTTCTGAAGTGGGTTCTATTTGTTTGGTGTGTTTTGTAAGCCTTTCATTCTGGCAAAGGTAGCCACAGTTCTCCTCAGCAGGATACCAGGCACGTATTGACTGTTTTTTGAAAAAATTGCACTGTAACCACAGGTTTCCTGGTGTGGTACACCTGTATTTATTGGAGTCAATTTTTAGAAATACAACAATACAACTGCTTCCACACTTTCCGGGTTGCTGTTTCACTCACTGCTTGCAACCCTCAGAGCCTTTCTCCATACTGCTCTAAGACATGACAGCTTGGGCAAGAAGTGGCTGGAACGTGGAGATGGCGCGCACAACCGTGGCCAGGCAAAAGCCTAGCCCTCTTTTGTAATCACCTCTTCGGTGTGAGGCAATATGCTGTGAATTAGTGTGTTCCAGGCCCAGAGTGGTAACATATGGTGTATCTCTGCTCATTCTACATTAAATCCTGACATTTTGCAGCTGTCAAGATAAAGCTGTTTATATGAGTAACATTGTAGTTTGTTTATAGGGAAATAATGTGTAGCAAGTTATGATTAATCAAGGTGTCTCAAATCTGCTGGAGGCTTCTAAATAGATTTGTTTTCACTGCCGTGCTTTTTGTCTCCTAAATCAGGGGTTTAGTTGCCCCTACCTCCTTTGTCCGGCTCCTGTTTGTGGTCTTGTCCCCTGTGAGATGGATGAAGAGTGAAGCCAGGCCACAGAGAAGCAAGAAAAATCAGGATACGGCATGGGCTAGGTGACAGGAAGGACTCACCTGAACTCTTCCAAACCCCAGAAAGCTCATCAGAGAGCCGCTGTCTTCTTCATTCCAGTATCTCTGTGTTTGGAACCCAGATCTCCAATAGCCTATCCTCCTGAGGACTTGCAAGTAGGTGTCCAAGGCTCCTGCAGGACATACAGTCCATTTAGTTTTGGTTTTCTGGGGTCCAAGAGGTCGTGGGGACTTGAGGCAGTACAGATTTGAGGGGTCTCAAGTTCTAGATATCATAGGAACTCCTCCTTGTGTCTGTAGTTCTGGGTTCGAATGTGCTCTCTGGAGGATAATTACTTGGAACTCCAGACTCCTGAAAGTGGGGAAGACCCTTAATGAAGTCACACAGGACCTTCCTCTTAGAGCAGGAGTCCTTCAGCATTCCTGACAGCTGGTCTCAGGCCACTGCCTGCTCCCTCTCGACAGGGAAAAGCAAGGTAACTTGTAAGATTGGGGAAGGTCAAAAACTGGGAGGAAATCTACCTCTAACCTTATGCTACATCCGTCCTAGTTTTGCCCTCTGGAGAAACTTGGAACTGACTGATTTTCCACACAACCACCTTGGTTGACAACCACCATCTCCTCTGCAGGCCAAGCCTCACAGCTCTTAGGAGTAATCCTTGCAGGGTCTAGTTCCCCTCCACTCCAGCCACACTCCCCAAGCACCTGCTGGCTTGCTTTTATTCACCGGAGAAGGTGGGCTCAGAATGGACACATCTCAAGTGTCCAAGCTGGCTAGAAGCACCAGCTGATCTCTCTCCCTCATTTTAGTCCTTTCTGAGGCTCACCATGGAGATGTGGTCTGATGCCAGTGTGAGTAATAGAGGTCTTAGAATAATCATCATTACTACCAGCCCTGACATTTCTATAGAACTTCTTGACATTTTCAAAGTACTTTCCCTTTGTTCAGGTGCAATTATCCTGCCAACGCAGCATCTCGGCACCAGAGTATCTCTTAAGCACTAGGTATGCTTATTCTGTGCCTGGGAGCCAAATGTGCAGACATTGTTCCAAAATGAATATTTGCATGCATGGATGCACGCTTGGATCTACACACATGCACATCTCTCTGTGCTGGGCATGCAGCGATCCCTGCCCCTAAGCTGGCCACATGGTGAAGTGACAACCAACAGTCCAGGCCACTACGTGGAGTTTGACCTGTGGACTGGAAGACGCACACATGCAGACATGTTCCCCCAGCTCTGCTGGTGGTGCAGCAGAGAGGACCAGCTGCCTCTTTGGCCATGGAGGCAGAGCCAGCATTCACAGGAAGAGGAAGGAAGCTGCTGCGGCATCACACGCCTGCTGCCTCCCGTGCCTTCCAAGGAACACAGGAGGCAGCTGGTTGGAAGGCAGCAAGAGGAGAGGCAGGGAAGATAGGAGCTTGCTGCTGAGAGAGCAGGGTGAGTCCACATTGGGGAAGGGATGTCAGATTATCACCCGACTCCTTTTCGGCACATCGCCTGCCCTCCCCAAAGTACTCGCTTCTTGGCTGTGCTTCCAGAAATGTCCACTGGAAATGATCTAGGAAAGGACGGATGGCCCCGAGAGGAGTCCAAAGAGATGCCCCCAGGTCAGCACAGAGGGGAGGTAATGAAGCCACTGGAGAAGCCTGGGCAGTACGGTGTGGAGGGGCAGAAAGAGCATGGGGACAGTTTTGAGAGGAGTCTGCGCAGAGATGTAGGTTAACGGACCTTGCCAGGACCCAGTGGTAGAGCTTAGATTGGAAGATATTGAGTTCAGCATCACCAAGCCCTCCCTCCTGAGGTCCACAGAGTCCCCCAGTCATTTTGTCTCCTTAACCAGAGAGCTTAAAGATCCCCTCCAATCTTGCCATGTGGCAAACAGAGAGAAGCACCAAGCATCCCCTTTCATAGGTGAAAGGACATAGGAAAGACCAAGTAAGGGGCCAAGGACGCCTAGCAAGGGCCGCAGGACACAGGAAGAAAGGGCTACTGCAGAGGGCAGTGCCTTCTGAAAAGGAACAGGCAAATAGGCAAAGAAGGAAAGCCAATCAGGAAATGCACTCTCTCCCTGCCCCCGCCACTGCCCCACCTCCCTGTTCCTGCAGAGACAGCAGAGTGAGCTTCTTGTCGGAAATTAATATTGTATGGGACAGTTAATCAAAGCTGAACCGCCCCCCACCCCAGTGAGTGAGTGGTGTTTGGAGCGGAGCTGACAGCCTGGCAGATGAAGGAACAGAGGCAACCCCACCCCCTGCCAGAGTCCACCTGCAGTGGGGAGGGGGCTGCAGGGGGAAGCACACAGCCAATTTCTCCCCATAAAAAATGATATGAGGTGAAAAACCGTTTACTGCACATTAGGATCCACAGTTGGACCATTTGTACGTTTTACTGGGATGGTTATGTCACTAAATGAAGCCTGAAAAATCCATCATGGGTGGGGAGCCTGACAGTGGCCCGGTCAGGGAAGGGGAGCTGGTAGGGGGTGGCTGGGCAGGAGAGGAGGAAAGGGAAGGGCTGCCCTTTGTTGCTGTTGCGGGGGAACCCACACCTGGGCGCTGTCCCTTAGGTCACTCAGTTTCACAGCAGAGGGTCTTGTGAACCACCCCATCACCTCTGCAGTTAGTTGCCTTCTTAAATAAAAAGCTCTGAGGGTCCCTGTACCACAGTCCTTCTTTGCATCTTCTGGGAATGCACTAATCTGACATGCCCCATTCAATAAGCGACTTTTAATTAAATGCCAGTGTGCTGGGCACTGAGAACAGTCCTGTCCTGGCCATCACTGATCAGGACCTTCCTTCTCCAGCCCTTGAGCCCCCATCAAGCCCCACTTGTTGTTAGAGAATGAAGCCACTAAGAAGCACCTTGAAAGTTGGGGTGGCAGGTAGTGGAGGGAGTGGAACATGGCGGGAGGGAAATGTGGAAATGTCATTTGATCTATTAATCAGGAGCCTTGTTAATTAAACCAGAGCCAGCCACCTGAAATGCCAATTCTAACTTAATTGCCTGCCTATATCTCTCCCCTTGCCTCTGAGCAGAGCCGAGGCCTCAGCAGCCTCTGGCCTTAGCAAATTGGCTCCATGTGGTGGGATTCCAGGGGTGGAGCACCTTCCCGGCCTCCCTGTCATGCCACTGACCCCTGTCATGCATACCTCTTCAATCTGAGCCCAGGGAGCCAAGCCCAAGTGTCTGGCCCAAGTCCCTTGTTATACAGGTAAGGAAACTGAGGCCAGGTACTAGAACTCTCTTCTCCTTATTTCCAGTTTACTCCTCCATGTCCTGCTGCTGCTTTAGACGCAAGCTATGCAAGCACAAAGGTGCACCAGATCCCTCTGTCATCTTCCCTGACCACCCAAGGTATGGCCCTACCACACTGGTCACAAGAAGCAGGATGGGGCTCTGGGCTTTGCTAGTACACAGAGTATTCTGATCTCAGCCTCCAGCTCCACCACTTCTTCTTCCCTTTTCAAATTACATGGTCCCTTGGCACCGCCAAATTGTGAAATAAGGACATCAACTGTGGGGACTAGTATAACACAAGGAATTCAGGGTGCGTAAATAAGGGGGCCAGGAATGTCATCGGATGTCAGGGGAGTAGACGGACTGATGAGAGCGCCTGTCTGGATTCCCAGAAGCATGAACTGCCTTGAGGTGGCTCGAGGACAGGATGAAAAGGACAATCAATGAAGGTCTTTGACCAGAACTGGAAACAACGCGTGGCAGCCAAGTGGACTGGCGTGATGCTGGTTTTGTTACAAGTTCATTCGAGGACAAATCAGACACTGCACTTACACGGAATTGACTCTGCCGTTCAATTCATCTTTCCAGGTGGAGGAAATGGATTCCAGAAGGAAAACTCCTGCATGGCAGGCAGCACGGATGTGGTGTGCATCCTGACACATGCAATGTCCCGCAGAATGAGAGTGAGACATGACTCTCCTGAGGGCCTGAGCCCGAGGAGATTGTCCACAGCACAGAGAGCAGGCCCCGGGTCCGGGTGTGGCCTGGGGGGCAGGCACACAGATTCAGGCACTACATGGCCTTGGTTTAAATCTCACTTCTGCTGCTCACTCAATGTGTGACCTTGAGCAATTTCATTAACCTCTCCCTCAGTTTTCCATCTGTGAAATGGAGAGATTAATAACATTCACCTTGTAAAGCTGTCTAAGAGTTTGGTAGATGAATATTTGGAAGTGTTTAGAACAGTGCCTGGCATAGAAAATGCTATAGAAGTGTTCAATAAACTAAATAAGGCAGGAATGTTTTTCAGCCAGGCATTTCTTTATGGGTAACACTGGAAAGGAGTGAAGAGGACAACCACACTCGCACGCTATAAGTGACTTGGGTGTCCTCATGGCCCCCAGCTCCTGCCATGTATGTGCAGGTGTACTCTGTGACCTAAGGATGTTGCCTATGAAATAAGTTGCTATGACATGCATCTGATTTCTTATTCGATTTCAGGATAAAATTAGGGTTGTGTCTGTTAGGGGGAAAATGTGCCCTCAAATACAAGAAAATCCCTAGAGAAAGCCTGTTAAAAATCACATATTTAAAAGATCAATAATATTTTTCTGACAGAGTATTAGTGACAATAAATAAATTGCCAAATAGGACTGCAGACTAGCAGGACAGCTCAGTATTTGAATGACAGTTAAAGTTCTCATGGGAAATAGCAGTGACAACTGAACATGTCACCAATGATGTGGCCTCAATTGCACAATATATGAGGGGCTCCTGCTGGGAGAGGCAGTCAGGCCAAGGACAGCCAGGCAGGGAAGGTCAAGGCTGGGAGAATGGGCCACCCACTGTGGAGGCTGCCTGCAGCCTAGAGCCCTCTGTCTAGATAGGGCAGAGAACAAGGTCTAGGAGTGGGGCAGAAGAGCCAAGGTCAAGGTATGTCCAGACTGCTGTCAATGAGCCAGAGGCTGACCTGAGTGGAAACCCAGGATGCTATGATAAGACTTCTGGAGACAGATGGTGCTAGCATCAAGGGGACGTTCAGGCCACTTAGTAGGGCTGATGAGGGGAAATCCCAGAAACTGAACCCAGCTCTGGGAAATAAATGAGGCAAAGGGGGTTAGGAGTCTGCGGCTCAGGGGTAGGGCGCAACCCCTGCCATGGGAAGAGAGGAGGAGGAAAAGGGCATGAGGAGCCCAAGGGATGGGGCAGTAGGTTGTTTCCAAACTCTCCCAGGCCGTGGGGCAGGGGCCCTTCCTAGGAAGTATATACTCCTTGGTCTGAACTCAGGGCAGCAGAATGGTCAGGACTGGTATAGATGGGGACAGAGACGTACTGGTGGAACCCTGAAGTCTTAGCACTTCTCCCAGAGGTCATAGTGGGCTTAAAATACAGCAATGTCATAGCTTAAGGTCTGCTCCTGGGACTCTCTAGAAGTAGTTGTCCTTTAGAAATACACAGATCACCCTGGAGATGCAGAAATCTAGCCCAAGGCAAACAGCCCTGACACTGTGCAGGAGCACAGATACCGGAACCCACTATGGACAAAGTAGGGCATGACTTCCCAAACCACCCGGCCTAGGGCACTTGAACCGGAGTCTTTCTACATCACATTGACTTAGCAAGAATGTGAGACATAATTAGCTTACCCCTGATTCACAAACCTTGCTGATAGACATTGTTTTAAAATGTTTTGTGAACACAAAACTGTTTATGAAGTTTTGGTAGGGAGAGAGGTAGAAGACATTGATTACAGACCTTCACCATATATATTATATATTTCATGTTTCAATTTTTCACAATTACCATGTTACTTTTATGATTCAAAGGTATGTTAGGCCAGGCGTGATGGCTCACGCCTGTAATCCCAGCACTTTAGGAGGCTCAGGTGGGTGGATCACCTAAGGTCAGCAGTTCAAGACTAGCCTGACCAACATGGCAAAACCCCATCTCTACTAAAAATACAAAAATTAGCCTAGCTTGGTGGCAGGTGCCTGTAATCCCAGCTACTTGGGAGGCTAAGGCAGGAGAATCGCTTGAACCCAGGAGGCAGAGATTGCAGTGAGCCGAGATCATGCCACTGCACTTCAGCCTGGGCAACAGAGTGAGACTTCATCTCAAAAAAAATAAAAAAATAAAAACATGAAAAAATAAAAGGTATGTTAAAATTGAACGTCTTATGGAAAGTCATCCAGGACTTTTGGAAAATAACTTCTGGAAGCTTCTGTAGGAGTCCATTCATAACAGTTTCTGGTGATTTTGCACCATTGTAACAGTTGCTGTACCCAGAAAGGAGAGTTTGTAATAGGCAGCTGAAGAGGGAAGCCCCTCCTTGTCTCTCTAACTCACCCCAGGAATTAGGAACTTCTAGCCCTGCTGAGCTGTTAGGAGAACCCTGCCCCTCCAGTGAGTCCCTCTTACTCTGAAAGAGACTGGTCAATGATTGGACGAGCAGGCTTCACATCTCCTGGGATCGGTTCATCTGCTCCCAGCAGAGTTACCTTGTTTAAGATGGCGCACACCTCGGGCCTCTCTCCCTGTCTGGGGTCCCTCTCTGAGTTGGACGGGCAAGGGCGGGATCTTTGCCTTAAGGTCTAGAATTGGGGGAAAGTATTTGGAAGACATGTCCTTGGGTCCGCTTTTTTTTTTCCTAATCCAGCTTTGCCAAAGATTAATCTAATTTAAAAAAAAAAAATCTCTACCTCATGTCTGGTCTATTTCTGAAGGGATTCGGAACTCACAAATAACAACATCAACACAATGACAACTAACACTTATTGAGTTCTTACCAAAGGCCAGACATGGTGCTAAGTACTTTACATGGTTTGGGTTTTTTGTTTTTTGTTTTTTAAATTTCCATTTCATTAGAAACTGACACAGAGACACCAGGATGAAGGTTGGTGACAGCAGAGCTGGGATTCACATCCAGGCTGACTTCACAGCCCACAATCTTCAGCAGCAGCCACTAGAGTGGGCGATTTCACTCTGTCCTCCTGCTTCATGAGAAGGCAGTCTGTCTGTCTCCCAGGAATGGCTAGGACAGACGGCTAGTATAGGTGGAGCTCACCATAGGACAATGCTCAGATCATAGCAGAAATTGGGATGGGACAAGAGCAGGGTAAACAAGGACCAGGACAGGTGTCCACCTGGCCAAGTAACCAGAGGTGAGATGTACAGCAGCCTGGGTGGCGGAGGGGAGGGTGGGCGGGGGGCAGGCAAGCCCAAGCAATGATTCCCGAGAGAGTCACACAGAGGCAGCCCATGGGAGAAGCTTGCAGGACCCCCTCAGGGATCCCTCCAGCTTGGAGCTCAGACTCATTCTATTGGCTTTACCCATTCCCTAAGCCAATAAGTTTATTAAAATACCCTCATTTCCTTTTGCTATGTTTGGTCACAAAACTGTAGACATTAGAACTATAAAGCTTAGAGAGTTATTTAACTCTCTGGTCTTAGAGATGAGTAAATGGGACTAGAGAGGTGAATAAACTACCTAAGGTCACTAAACTATGTGGTGACAGAACCTGGCTGCAAACCCAAGCATTCTTCCTCCCCCTCCAGGGCTCTTCCCATAGCATCATCATAAGGCTCGGGATTCTGGTCCTATCAACCTTTATGGAAATCTACTTTGGGTTAGACACTGTGATAAATGTCAGTGTCTGAAAAGCCTGGAGTTGATTTCCAATCTCAGCTACAGACTTACAATGGGGTTCATGAGATTGAACCCATGTTGCTGGATATGCAAGGTGCACATTGGGCTCTCTGGAGCAGTAAACATACCTCTTAAAACTTGCAGGTTATAAACAGATGACAGCAAATGTGACAGAGGAATATAGGATTGATTTTCTATGTCAACAGCTACTCCTAATTTATATACTCTCTAATAGCCAGTATTCCATATCTTGAGAGACATCTATTCTAGCAATATAAGATATGAGTTTAACCCCCTCCCTCCTCTCCCCTATGTAGCCCTTAGACTGAAAAAAGGCCTTAGAGTTCAATAATCATTCCAAGGTCACAGAGCAAGCCAAAGGCAGGACAGATATAGAATGCTGTGCCCCAAATCCAAATCCCCAGGTCTCTAGTGTTAAGCTCCTCTCACGTTACCTCACTCTGCATAGATTTCTGTCATCATAAAAGAAAAGGTCACTCAATCAGGAACTTTGCTTCACTAGAATAAGGAAAGGATATGGTCTCAGACCCAGGAAGGCCAGTGCAGTCAGACAGAGGTGCAAGGAGAACTACAGGTGCAAGTGTCACTAGGCCAGGTGGTACTGATTTCACCAAGGCTCTATTTGCAGCTACAAAAGAAGACCCCAAACTCTGTCCCTCCTGTCATCCGAGCCAACCTGCTGTTCTTTTAACAGAAGCATTTTGCTGCCTTCCTCTCCTCCTTCCAAAAAACCTCACAAATATGTTGTGTGAAATATCAGAACTAATTAGACCAAATGGTGTTCGTATCTGTCACTGGTTTTTCTCGGGGGAGAGCTGCCTGTGTCGTGGAGGGAGATTTTATTAACTAATTAAGGACAGTATTTAGGGGGGAGTATTTCCCTGATCCTGTAGGAAAGGATGGGAGGACTGGAGAGGGCTCTTGGATGGGCCAATTAAGAAAAACCAAGAATAGAGATAAAGACACAGAGAGAGCAGACCCAGAAGATGGTGTGGGACAGAGGCAGGAACAAGATGGAGATAGCATGGCAGGAAGTGAGTTCCACAGTTCTCCTTACAGTCAAAACAGGACACTTTGCACATAAGTGCATTTACCATTCCAACCATAAAGTACTATAGGAAGGAGGAGGCAGTTTGTCCACAGTCAGAATTTAGTTGTTAATGCTACTGTTATACAACCAAGAGCAGAGACCACATCTTATTTTCTTAATATTTCTCAGCTCTCAGGAGAATATGTAGTATTGGTAGTTACCCAAACATTTGGACTGGAATACAGTAGATGAAGAAGAGGAAACATTTGCATGAGACTAATTTATGCTGGAGACAATCTAGGACCTTTTGATATGTTTTTTCTCTTTGAGGAATATCTGAATAGAAGTAACAGAAAAAGAACTGAAGGATGCTGAAGGATAAAGAAGACTCCAGAGGAACTTCTGCCTTCATAAATTCAGAATACTATCACTTGAAAAACGGAATGGATTAATTCCAGGAGATCAAACTAGGATTAATTGGTGGAAGGTATCAGGAGGGAGACATTGATCCAAAGTAAAGAAGAACGTTTTAATTATTAGAACTATTCAAGAAATGAAACAGGCTATCTGGTGAGAAGGAAGGGGGTGGGTTGGCACCCATCTTCCTGCATCTTAGACCCAAGGCTATGGGGCAACAATCAGAGGTGCTTGAAAGGAATTTCTGCAGTGGGAGGAATGTTTAAGTTCCCTTAAACATTGGGATTCAATGAACCTGGTAGATTTTGAGCTGTAGCAGGCTGCATTTCAGTTGCATACGATGAAGAGTATTCTCCCTGCAGAAGCAATAGGGCAAGGTGCTGAGAAAGTCTGAAATCTTCTTCATGTAGAAGTCTTTAGAAATGGGAAGAGGCAAAACAGGAATCCTTCTGGGAATATCTGGGTGTTTCATGGCCCACGTACAAGGTGGGGGGTACAGGTGCATAGGAACACCAAGAGTTCTGCCTCATTCTCACTCCCTTTGCAACACCCACTGTTACAAGGCAAAGGCATCATTTGGGAGAGCTGAGGAGCCAAAGACACGTTTTGTTCAATGGCTCTGATTTGCCCTTGTCCACACTTTGGCCGTGGTCTCTTCCCATGCATCTACCCAGGCCTGTGTCTCTGGTCCTGAGAGAACCTTCTGATCCTTCCACTGATCCCCAGACCAATCTGAATTCAGTGGCGAGCTCTGAATCAGCACAGAAAAATGGATGATTCTTGAGGAGGGAGAGAGGACGAGGGGGAGGCAGCCTGAGGTAGTGCTAAAATCGTGGGTCAGCCTCTGCATGGTCTGGGCTCCATGTCTAGCTCTGCCACTCACTAGGTATGTGGGACTTCACTGGCCTCAGTTCACTCATCTATAAAGAACATGAGGCCAGGCACAGTGGTTCACACCTGTAATCCTAGCACTTTGGGAAGCCAAGGCTGGCAGATCCCTTGAGGCCTGGAGTTCAAGACCAGCCTGGCCAACATAGTGAAACCCTGTATCTACTAAAAAGACCAAAAAAAATTAGCCAGGTGTAGTGGTGCAGCTATAGTCAGTCCCAGCTATTTGGGAGGATGAGGCAGGAGAATTGCTTGAACCTGGGAGGTGGAGGTTGCAGTGAGCTGAGATCACGCCACTGCACTCCAGCTTGAGTGACAGAGCAAGACTTTGTCTCAAAAACTAAAATAAAATAAAGGAGATGATACTGCTACTTAGCTCATATGACTGGTGTGAGCACAATATGAATTCCTATCCCAAAATAACAGCTAGGAGGTGAATGCCGTTCATAGTGAGTACTTGGTGAGTGGTCTGGTCCAGGACAGCCCTTGCATTCTGTCCTTGAAACTGACACCCACTGCCCTTGAAGGGGAAAAAGGAGAGCCATAGTATTCAAGGACAGCAGTAAGACCTCCATCAAGTGGCTGAAATGCTGTGTGTACAGGACCGTGCAGGGAGTGGCAACAGTTCAAACAAACCGAATTTTAAAGAAGAAACCAGAACAGGGAGTGATCGCAGGAAGACCAGAGCCAAATTTTCCCTGGGAATTGGGGGTGTCTGCATGCCATTTATTTGATGACTGTCCCTTGCCGAGGGGTCGCCTGGCTGCTCCACCGTGGGCGGCCGAGGAGGCTCCTGCTGGGCTCCACTCTGGCTGCTCTGAGGGCCCAATGCAGCCATCTCCCTGGGCTCTTTGCCAGTAACGGTTTTTCTCCTAAGAACTTTTAAGCACCTCCAAGACAGACTTTGTAACTCATATAATGGATGGGAGAGCTGAGACAGGCAGCTTCAACTTGCTCAAAGTCACAGCGTGAGTCTGCATTGGGCCTGAGGCCAGAACTTCCACTCCGCATGCTGTCCCGAGGTTCCCCCGCCAGGACCCTGCTCCCGTCTGCCTGTCTGCTTCACCGCCACCCCCAACATGCATTTCTCCAGTCTAATAAGGCTGCCCCTGCTCTTTGGCTCTGCTTACTTTAATATACACATAGATTACAGCTACATTAAAGGAGCCTGCAAATACCAAAGCAGAACTAAAGCAATTATTATAATGCAGCCTTAACAGCAGCTGTAATGAGACAGAATTAAAAATGTGCCAGCATAATCACAATTCACTGTTCCCAACGACCTTCCAGAACCGCTTTCATTTGGAAAGTAACATCCAGTCCTGAACTGTCAGATGGAAGGGAAAAATTCAATTGTGCCTCCCCGTGTGGCCAGGTCCCTGGCTACCAGTACTAGCTCTTCCATACAAAGGCATCTGTCCCCCTGGCCTGTGCTATGTGGTATTAGCCATTTGCTCAGTGGGGCACAGGGGGAAGGCTGGGTGCTCCTTTGATGGTACCAAGGCTGGCTTATTTCTCTCCTTCTTTGTCACTGGATCTGCCTGTTACACACTGGAGCGAATTCCAGTCTGATCCCCATGGTGCCTGGCTCATGGCATGCACTATGTGTTACAGACAATACCAGTTCACACTTAATATTATTTCCGCTGATCCCCACAATAACCCTGAAAGGCTGGCTCTATCATTTTCCCTATTTTATGACCAAATAAACAAAGACTTATGGAAGGTAAATAACCACTCAAAACCACACCTAGTGGGCAGAAAAGCCAGGACTCCAATCCCTGTCTTCAGACTCCAGACCACAAATTCTTATCCTGATTTTATGGAGCTGATATTCTAATAGAAGGAAAAGAGAAATCAATTTGAATTGGTCTTACATGACTTCATTTTGATGCAAGGGGCAAGGCAGGGGAGGGGAAAGTGGAGGGTGAAATGAGGGAAGGAGACAGAAAGCACAGCCTGCCTGGAGAGGCCATTCCTGCCAGTGAGTCATGGGCATCCACATAGCAGAAGCGTTTAATCATCTTTCTTTCTCTGGTTCAGAGGAGAGAACAGAAATAAGAAGGCAAAGTGCCCGGAAATGAAGGAGCCAGTGGGGGAGGATGTAGAGAAGGGAGGGGCTCCCCTCCCCGAGGATGCTCAGGAGGAAACACTCATACTCAGCGATTTTGCCCAGCCTGCCCCAAGACCAAACCAAGCCTCTGGTTCCTCCACCAAAGGCAAACCTGGCCATGCCCTTCAGAGCATGCTCAGTTCCCTCAAGAGGCAGAGATGGGGAAGTTCCCAGCACTTTATTAGCGCTTGCTTTGCCAGAATTGCCTTAACATCTCTCCATGTGAGATAGTTTCCATCTCACCCAGCTGGACCAGGAGCAGGCACAGGGAAGACAAGTGAGGAAGAGGAGACAGCTCCTCTATCTTCCTCCCAGCCAAGCTAGGCCGTGACTCTGGGCAGCCAGCCTTTCTTCTTCCCCAAGCTGCAGGCAGGTGGAACCCTACAGCACTGGTGCTGAGGGCGATGACCTGAGAATTCTGGCTCTAGAAGCCCCACAGCCTCGAATGCCTTCTGATGTGTTGCTCTAATGTTGGGAGGTCAGAATGTCTTTAACCAGCCAGCCTGGGCCTCCAGAGAGGGTCTTGAGCCCCAACCTTCAACAACTACCAAAATCCTGTTTACCACCCACCTAATGAACTTCATGAACCATGGCTTCCCCTCCTGGAGTGAGCAATGGTAACAAAGCATCTTAGAGTTTGACAACAATCACAGGTAGGTTTATGCCATTTCCAGGAATCTGGCTCTACAAGGTCATTATGAAACTCAATTATTTGTCACACTAGGATGGCTGGTCCCCAATGTGTCCTGCCTCCCAGGTAGGCGGGGCCTCAGAATCCAACTGCAAATGATGGCATCACTGTTTGTCTTTGCTGGGAATAAGAGTCATTAAGAGAAGCCACCTGTACTTCTTTCTTAGGGGCTGCCATCCCCTCTGTCTGTGAAAGTCCCACCTCCACCGCCGTTCCCATTTTATAGAGACAGACATGTGTCTGATTCTGAGACTCAAGTAGAGTAGGATGATGTGCGATAGTTACTGCTATTGTAAAACAAGTGGGTAGGGGAAGTCTGGGAGAGCCTGGGAGGGCAGAGTGTCCCCAGGAGGAGAAGCCTCTGCTCCTCCTGAGTGACAGGACAGACATGACCACAGCCATGGCAGGTCTCACTCCCAACTTGATGAGCTTTCTTAGAAGGCTAAGATGAGCTTTCTTAGAAGCCTGAGATCTTGGGAATACAAACATGAAGGGATGAGGAGCAAGTGAGAAAAGAAATGGGGGAAGTGGCTGAGGATTTTCTTGTCTACTTTCCAACTTGGACAAGGAAGCTTGACCTCTGGAGGCAAATGGGGGTCTTCACTATGGCAGCGAGTGGGGCGTCTATGGGAGCACTTGACTTTGAGTCTGCAGCACCAACTGTGGCAGTCTCAGCTATGATGTCAACAGTCCACAAAGACAGGATTCTGATGACTCGCTTTTCTTCATAGAAATCATATTCAAAACCCAAGTTTTAAAGACACGGAAGAGACCTTAGAGCATTGACTCCAAAAACAAACAAAAAGTGTCCTACACAGAAAGAATCTGATACCTGTTCTAAAAATTCACACACAAGGGAACAAATGACAAGCAGAGCATTGGAAAGATCTTTCCTAGGCTGGGAGCTGGGCCACTCTGCGCCTCCCACCCGCCCACCTCTGTGGGCATGCATTGGTTTTCAGGACACGTAGGTGTAGGCAGTGCCTGCCAGCCCCCTCTCCTCCCACCCCAGGCGCTAATGAGATGCAGGGAGGGGTCTGCAGCCCGGATGGAGTGGCTTGCAATTTTTGTTGCTGTTGTTTTTGAAAATGTCTTTCTCTAGTCCTCTGCCAACAGCTTGTTAGCACATGGCTTTGGGCTCCCAAGATGGTATGATGCCCCGCCTCAGCCCCTGAGGGGGTATTCTCAGGACATGTGTCCACAGTGTCCCCAGACAGATGCTCTGGGGCCTCTCTAGCAGTCCCTATCACGTGGGCACCAAACTCCCCAGGCCCCATGTCCAGGGAGCCAGGTTTTAAAGCACAGCCCCCACCCTAAGTTCCTTTTTCCATCTGTCTTGCAAAGGTGTGAATGGATTTTACAGAGGACAAGGAAGGAGAGAAAAAGGAGAGAAATTAACTGTACCCCCTAGTATCACATCACTGTTACCACTCTCCCTGCCCAATCCCCACCCCTAACACACAAATTCTTACTCTCATACGGGCAGCCAACCACTAAGGTCAAAAGAACAAGCCAGGCAAAAGCACGCCCCCTGTGATTTGTGATGTCTAGAAAGAATCAAGAGATTGGGCTTCTGGTCCCAATTCTGTACCGAGCTAGCTGACATTAGGCCAGGTACTTCATTTCTCTGAACTTGAGAGTCCTTCTTCCCAGGGTTAGTCATCCATAGTTTTCCAGAAGAACACAATGGCTGTTGCAGGCCACCTGTAACTAAACACTCAGGCCCATCCTAGGCTATTCATTCACAGGAGGCTGGCTAGAGATGGGATTTATTATATTAATAGATGTGGGGAGCAGAGGCAGACACATAGGCTTTACAGGGATGAGATTGCTGCCCTTGGCCCACCAGCACCAAGATCAAGAGCTGCCCAACCACCGAGGTCTACCCAGCATTTGTTTCTGCTCTTTGTTTATAAAGTCCCAAAATTCATATTTCAGTGTCTCAAACAAGCTGCAATTTACTTGTCGCTTGCTTCATGGCCCACCCTCATGTCAAATCTACCTAAAGCAGCATGTTCTTTATCCAGAATCGATTTCTGGATGGCTTCAGGTCAGATCCACGTCCTCCTCCTCTGAATCCACAGCACTTGTTGTTTGAACTTCTCACTTAACATTCATCTCATGCTGCCTTATGTTGGTATTTAATTTTTTATGTTTCCTCTCAGCTAGATTGTTCTGTTTGTCACAAAGCAATGATGTGCTTTTTTCAGAATTAATGGGGAGGTTGATGGGTTTTTTTGCCTTAAGTATATTTTTTCTAATATTTGTTTTGATGCATCAGTTTTGTTTTGGTGGTACTTGCAGAGTATGCCATTCTTCATTCCTTCTACTTTCAAACTTTCTGTGTCTGTCTTGCAAAGGTGTGAATGGATTTGACAGAGGATAAGGAAGGAGGGGAAAATGAGAGGAATTAGCTGTGCCCTGATGCTACCATATCACATTCGACACACACACACACACACACACACAGACACACAAATTTGTATTTTACAGGCAGCCAGACATGTGCCAAAATATAACACAGCCAAATCACTAAGGCCAAAAGAACAAGCTCTATTTTACATGTTTCTTATAAATTGCATTTCTTATGCCTAAACTTGGAGTTTCTATCTTTAAAAAGGCAAGTTTAATCTATTCTGTTTATTATGATTGCTGATGTGTTTTGATCCATTTCTATCATCTTGTTTTGTGTTTTATAATTGTTTGAAGAGAAACTCTTTGGTGGGTTTCTCATGCTGCTTTGTCTCTTGCTGGGCATGCCAACAAGGCAAGGATCTGACTGCTCACCTGGGTCATTTCTCAGGGTTGCATTTGCACCAAAAACCCTTGCAAACTGAGGTGATGTCTCCCTTTGAGTCCTAGAGAAGGCTCACTGTCTGCTAAGAAAGAGGTGGATTTCCCAAGTTCAGTCTTCATTGGCAGCAACACAAACCCATTACACATGCAACATTCATTGCATGTGTCACGCCCGTGAAACTTAGCAAGCAAGGGGAACTGGAGCACATGTGAGGCTTATGGTGGTTGCTGTGTATATTAAAGTCCTTTGACCCAGGCATCTCATGCCTTCTGACAGCATCCATGAAACAGCAACAGGCTAATTTATTAGCTTGGAAGTAGGGTAAAATCAAACTTCAGCTTCACAGACTCAACAATAATGACCATGGTTGTTTTCTCCTTATTTCCTCATATCATGCCTCTGATGATCAGAGTGATTCTTTATTTTCAGCCTCTCCTATTTTAAAAGTGTTGCATCATATTTCTTTTATTTTAATGGTTAACACTAAATTAAGCACATCTGACTCTAAAAAGTTTGAAATTAATTAATATCTCCATCCCTTTTCCAGACAAGAAAACTGCTTCCCCATTCCCCACCCTCATGCTCATCTTCCATGTTACTTATTATTATTCAACATTTTAACGTTGCTTTTAATGTACTTTTGTTGTTCTTGTTATTGTTACAGTCACTGCATATTTAGATTTATCAAAAGGTTCATCTTTTCACTGTTATGCTTCTCATAATTGCTTCTGACATTCTACACCTTCCACCCAGTGCAGTGTCCACCTCACCAAAATGTATTCTCTAGTCAGTCTTTCAACTAGTAAGAGCTGTAAGTAATAAATTCCCTTGGAATATGTTTGTATTAAAATCCTTTTCTCCTCATTTTTAAATAAGTATTGATTTAGAATTCAAATTTTAAGGTGTTAGTTGTTGTCCTACAGCAATTTGAAGGTGTATTTCCTACCATTATATATTTTTCCTGATGATAAATTTGCTTTTAGTTGAATTGTCATTCCTTTGAGGTAATCTGACTTTTATCTGTGGAACTTTTTACAACTTTTTTCCTGCAGTGTATCTACAAAATGCCTAGGTGTGCGTTTACTTTTACTTCTTCTTGGAAGCTGATATTTTTCCATTTAAAAATTTAAATGTCTAATTCTAGAAAGCTCTCAGCCAATATCTTTTCAAATTTTGCCCCTTTAATATATACTCTGTTATCTTCTCCTGGTACTTGATTAGACATATTTTGACCTTAGTATTTTAAGCATATATTTGTGAAGCTCTCTTTCATATTTTCTATTCCAATTTCTGAGTGACAGTATCAATATATCTTAATTTTGTCTTTGACCATGTCCAATATACTACTTTACACATACAACAATTTTTTGTAATATCATTTTTATTTCTAGCAGTATTTGCCTAAATTTCCAAATTCATTTCTGTGTTATTCCGCCCTTTGTCATTCTTATTCATGCTTTTAAATTTTTAAACATTTTAAAAATAGTTTAATTATAATCTGTCTAGGATTGTTTTATTTTCCCTAGATCTTGGAATGCTAATTATCCTATTTGCTGCTGCTTCTAAGTGTCTCTCATCATACCTTGTATTTGTCATAGTTTCTAATTTTTACTGGGAGTTCTTCAGTGAAGTTAATTTCCTTTGAGAAACTTATTTCCTCTCTATGAATGGTGGCGACATCTTTCTTTATAAGACTTTTTTTTCGCCTCGCTAACACCCCACTAGTTTTACCAGTTCTGGACCAGTATGTTAGTTTCTAGGCATTACCTATGTAGTATGAATTTGTGCAGGTAGTGCAGGCTTAGATTTCAAATTTCTGCTATATGACTCTTTCCCACCCAAGGCCTACATGGACAGCAAACTTTCTTGAAATTTCCCCAAACAGATTTGCTGAGCTTTTTTAATCCCCTCAGAGGCTCCCAACTATGCCAAGTGTGCATTTATCCCTGCCTCTCAACTAACCTAGATTTGAGGGCTTAAGTTCTGTCCTTGGGTGGACATGAACATCCCAATAAGAGAAATTCAGCCTGTGTCTGAGTGCGAAACCCTCTTTAGGCTGTTATGGTCTCGGCTCCCACCAACACCCGGGCTTGAGTTCCTGCTTCATCACTGATGCTGGGACATTCTCTCTCTTTCCTCAGAGCTCTGTGTGTCCTTGAATTTAGTTTTGTTATATTGCATGCAGATTTATATACATTTGGATGGAAGGAACATTTTTCCATATCCATGCAGTCTGCCATATTGAACTGGAAGTCCTCAAATTGTAAACTAAGGACAGGAACCATGTCTCATTCTCATGCTTCATGTAGTGTATGCCTGCACTCTAGAGCCTGGCCCAGAGTCATACACAAAATCGGAGCTCAAAAAGAGTCGGCCACGATCCCAGGGTCTTGACGTAAGGGCTTTGTTAACTAGACCGTGGTACAACAACGCAGTGGAATGGGGTGCAGCTATTTTAAAAGATATTGTGGGAAATTTGTAAATTATACAGAGAAATGTCAATATCACTTTTAAGTGTAAAAGACAGGTTAGAAAATAGTATGCACTGTCCTATTATATAGAAAACAGACTAGAAGAAAAATACACTAAAATGTTAAAACCATTAAATCGCTGAAAAGGAAAGTATGGGCCATTCTTATTTTCTTGTTTTGATTTGTATTTCCTAGAGCTAACATTATTTCTTGTATAATATATGTGATGAATATAAAGTTCACCACAACACTCAGGGTGCAAGTCCTGTGTCCCGAGTGTCCTATGACACTCAAGGTGACACATCTCTTTTGATATTTGTATTAGTCCATCTTCACACTGCTGATAAAGACATACCTAGACTGGGCAGTTTACAAAGAAAAGAGGTTTAAAGGAGAACTCATAGTTTCATGTGGTTGGGGAAGCCCCACAATCGTGGTGGAAGGTGAAAGGCATGTCTCATATGGCAGCAGACGAGAAGAGAGCTTGTGCAGGAAAAGTTCCCCTTATAATAACTGTCAGATCTCATGGGACTTACTCACTATCATGAGAACTGCATGAGAAAGACCTGCCCTCATGATTCAATTACCTCCCACTGGGTCCCTCCCACAACACGTGGGAATTCAAGATGAGATTTGGGTGGGAACACAGTCAAATCATATCATTCCACTCCAGCCCCTCCCAAATCTCATGTCCTCACATTTCAAAATCAATCATGCCTTCCCAACAGTCCCCCAAAGCCGTAAGTCATTTCAGCATTAACTCACAAGTCCATAGTCCAAAGTCTGATCCAAGACAAGGCAAGTCCCTTCTGCCTATAAGCCTATAAAATCAAAAGCAAGTTAGATACTTCCTAGATACAATGGGGGTACAGGCATTGGAAAAATATAGCCATTCCAAATAGGAGAAATTGGCCAAAACAAAGGGTCTACAGGCCCCACGCAAATCCAAAATCCAGCAGGGCAGTCAAATCTTAAAGCTCCAAAATGATCCCCTTTGACTCTATGTCTCACATCCAAGTCATGCTGATGCAAGAGGTGGGTTCCCATGGTCTTGGTTAGCTCCTCCCCTGTGGCTTTGCAGGGTAAATCCTCCCTTCTCGCTGGTTTTGTGAGCTGGCATTGACTGTCTGCATCTTTTCCAGGTGCATGGTGCAAGCTTTGGTGGATCTATCATTCTTGGGCCTGGAGGATGGTGGCCCTCTTCTCACAGCTCCACTAGGCAGTGTCCCAGTAGGAGCTCTGTGTGAGGTCTCCAACCCCTCATTTCCCTTCCACACTGCCCTAGCAGTTTCTGCATGAGGACCCCACCCCTGCAGCAAACTTCTGCCTGGGCATCCAGGTGTTTCCATACATCTTCTGAAATCTAGGCGGAGATTCCCAAACCTCAATTCTTGAGTTCTGTGCACTTGCTGGCTTCACCACCATGTGGAAGTTGCCAAGGCTTGAGGATTGCACCCTCTGAAACCACGTCTGAGCTCTACATTGGCCGCTTTCAGCCATGGCTGGAGTGGCTGGGACGCAAGGCACCAAGTCCCTAGGCTGTACACAGCACGGGGACCCTGGGCCCAGCCCACAAAACCACTTTTTTCTCCTAGGCCTCCAGGCCTATGATGGGAGGGGCTGCTGTGAAGACCCCTGATATATTCTGGAGTAATTTTCCCCATTGTCTTGGGGATTAACATTTGGCTCCTCATTACTTATGCAAATTTCTGCAGCCGGCTTGACTTTCTCCTCAGAAAATGGGATTTTCTTTTCTACTGCATTGTCAGGCTACAAATTTTCCTAACTTTTATGTTCTGCTTATAAAACTGAAAGCCTTTAACAGCACTCAAGTCACCTCTTGAATGCTTTGCTGCTTAGAAATTTCTTCTGCCAGATACCCTAAATCATCTCTCTCGAGTTCAAAGTTCCACAGATCTCCAGGGCAGGGGCAAAAATGCTGCCAGTCTCTTTGCTAAAATATAATGAGAGACACCTCTGCTCCCGTTCCCAACAAGTTCCTCATTTCCGTCTGAGACCGCTTCAGCCTGGACTTTATTGTCCATTTCACTATCAGCATTTTGGGCAAAGCCATTCAACAAGTCTCTAGGATGTTCCGAACTTTCCCAATTTTCCCTGTCTTCTTCTGAGCTCTCCAAACTGTTCCGACCCCCACCTGTTACCCAGTTCCAAAGTTGTTTCCACATTTTTGGGTATCTTTCCAGCAGCACCCACTCTACTGGTACCAATTTACTGTATTAGTCTGTTTTCACACTGCTGATAAAGACATACCTGAGACTGGGCAATTTACAAAGGAAAGAAGTTCAATGGAGAACTCACAGTTCCACATGGCTGGGGAAGTCTCACAATCATGGCAGAAGGTGAAAGGCACATCTCACATGGTGGCAGACAAGAGAAGAGAGCTTGTACAGGAAAACATTCCCTTTTAATAACCATCAGATCCCATGAGATTTACTCACTATGATGAGAATAGCACAGGAAAGATCCGCCCCTGTGATTGAATTACCTCCCACCAGGTCCCTCCCACAACATGTGGGAATTTCAAGATGTGATTTGGGTAGGGACGCAGCCAAACCATATCAATATTCCAAGTAAGTTAAAACTTGGTAAAATCCCAAATGCCAAATAAGCAGAAAATCTATGATGCTCTTTCGATTTTCTTCCTTCTCAGAAACTTGGTGGGCTTACACTATCTCAAAGGAACATCCATTTGACATCCACACCCAGATGGAAATGTTACTGCTTTCTGAGTAGTCTGAAGCTGCCCCACTTCTCTTCGTATTCCAAGAATGCTCTTCAGCACTGGGCCTGCCCGGGCTGGCAGTTGCCCATGGGTCCCTTGTCATGGTGCCTGCTTGATCCATGTTCTCACAGTAGCCATCAAGGGAGTATGATCCGAGGGCACTCCCTGCCTAGAATCCCTCTTCAGTTTCCACCCCCACCCTAGTTATAGCCCTACATGCTCTTGGGGCCCAAGTGCTGTGCCATGCTGCTGGGTCTAATGGGATTCTGGCATCAGCCACACACTATACACAAGCCTTCCCCTCCACTGCTCTGGGCTCTTCCTCATTAGTCTATGTTCCTTTTTTCCTCTAGTCTATTTCTGGACCCTCGTTACCCTTACTGACACCAGGACTTGATGGGAAACTCTCTATTCTATTCTTGACAGGCCTTTCTGGCTTTGAATTTCAGGAAGTAGGGATTGGGGTGTCTGTCCTCCCTACCCAGAAGGTCCTCTGTGCTTCTTTGGAAAACCAAGTCAAGTTCATCAGTGACTAGCTTTTCCAATTCCAGTAAAGGCATATTTGCTTGGGTTGTAAGAGGTATTTTTATACCCTGACTACATAAAAGTGGCTTTCTACCATCTATAAAATTGCCCAATTTAGAGGGTAACTCAGGTAGCCCTATGCTAGGCTAAGAAAGACAGCATTTCTCATATGTATATATACCCCCTATATATAAGAGCCATACCTAGGAGAGAAGCCAGGTGGTGTTGAGGTGTGGCCCAGCCTCCAGCATCACCTGCCTGGTCAATGAAGGATTGGTAGTTTAGATTCTCCCTGCAGCAATGTCCTTCTTTGCCTAGCTCCACTTTTGGCTGTTTTTGTTTCCTGAAGCATCCTCCAAGCAGAGATCAATTAAAAGTAGGGGCAAGGAACACAGGAGGGATTGGGGAAGGAGGTCTGTAGAAGGCCCTGGAGCCCTTTTGTCTTTTTCTCCACCTCTCTCCATTCCCCTTCCACCCCCAACTCTTGTGAAGTCAGGGAGGGGCAGCCATGGAGCAGGTGGCCCTGGCTGGTGCCTGGGTTGGTGGCAGGTTGGGTGGGAGGATGCTTGTCAGCATATGGGCCAAGGGAACACATGGCCCCGAGTTCCTGGGGACAGGAGGGGAACAGGCAGGAGCAGATGAACTGCTAAGCAACAGGGTTGGTGGTTTCAGCCAGAGAACTTTCCAACGATAAGAAATAAGGGACAGCAGCCAGTCGGGGAGCTGGGGAAGGGAGGCTGAGGGACTCGGTTGCCCATCTCTGCACAATGATATCTGTGTTTATTTTCTTTTAAAAGTAAAATGTTATTCTCTCAGGAAGCTTTTGCTTTTCCCAACTTGCAGAGATGAAAACAATAGGAAACCATCAATACAGTCTCCCCCCTCTCTAGAGGATGCACTCACGAAGCTCCTCACGCTCACGTTTAAATTATTTCTCAGCTACAGGAGGCACAATGGCTGAACTTCAACATGGGATCAACATACCGAAATGGAGCTGCTGCCAAATTTTAAAAATAGCACAGAAGGAAACATATACCAGAGGGCCAACAGCGGTTGCTTCTGGGTGTTAGGATTATGGATGATTTTTTTTCCTTCTTTATATTTTTCTGTACTTTTCATGTTTTTAACATGTGCAGATATTGTCTGATTTTTAAAAGCTAGTTAAAAACATAGACAAGTGCAACACACTTTCATAAAAGAACAAAGCATACAGACTGGTATGCCCAGAACCTATCATGTGGCAGAATCTAGGGTAGATCTTTATGTCTGTTGTTTGATTTGGCATCAAACATCCTGTGAGATAGGTTGTATCCCTTGTACAGATGAAGAAACTGAGTCCCAGGGAAGTTAATGAGCTTATCCAAGATGACATAAGTGGAAACTGGCAAAGTGAGATCTCAACCCAGGTACGTCTGCCACCAGGCTGTGTACTGGGGTGACAGATAGTGTCCATGTATCTCTCACGGCTGGGTTGCTTCTTCTTGTATAGCTAAGTTCATATTGAAAGGGCCAGGCTAAAGAATCATATTGAAAGGGCCAGGCTAAAGAGACACAGGGAAAAGCTCACTTCTGAATATCAACAAGGCAATGCTTACAATAGTTCAGACATCTGCTGCTGTTGTCTGAACTATTGATGATGAACATCACTCAGACACAAAGCTGAATTTTTCACACTGGTTAATTAGCTGGTAACTAATGTTCCATTAGTTCAGGAACTCAATGTATCATCAAAATTGTGTTGCATTGTACATTTTAGCTTTTCCTCAAACATAGAGATAAGGATAGTGGGTATAACAGTAATAGACTCTTGAATGAGGGATATTATAGGAACAGATACTAGCTGGTCCTTACATTGGAGCGAACCCCTACAGAACATGCATGTTGCCTCCTCTCCAGCACACACTGGGGAGAAGAGTTGGTAAGGAGACAAGCTCAAGGAGTCCTTTTCCATTTAGATTCCTTCATCTCACCACTGTTACTCTTCACTGTTCCACACCATTTTCCCTGTTAATTTGGGGGTCTTTAGCCTGTGTTCTCTGGTCCATAGATAGGGCTTTAGGGATTCCGTGAACCCACTGAAATGTATGCCACCATCATATTTGTGCATGTTGGTGTGTGTAAGTGTGTGTGGAGGGGATCCGCAGCTTTCACCAAATTCTCAGAAATGTGGAGAATCCCTACTATAACACATATTCCTTCTCCTCGTCCTGGTCTGTGCCTATTCCCACCTCTCCTGCCTGCTCTTCCTCTCCTTCATCACTCCCCACCCCTTCCTCATTCTATCTCTTTGCCTCCTCTTCCCCTGAATACTGCTTTCCTTCCCTGCCTCCCTCCCCTCTTCTTCCCCCTCCTCTCACTGGAATTCCTCTCCCCTTTGCCACCCCTGTCTGTGGTCTCCAGTCAGCCTGACCTTCACTTCAACATTCAGCAAGTTTCAGGCCCTGCCAGGCAATCTCTGGCCAGACATGGGAACCACAAGCACCATCATCAGACAGCCTGGTAATTTTCTTATTGTTTATTCTCAAGAAGGCAATTTGGCTGCAGCTGAGCTGCAGAGGTCCTGGAGCCTGGTCACAGTCTCACATGTCAGCAGAAGGAATGAAGAGGTCGCCAAGAAGAGCAGCCAGGAGCCTGTTGCACCCGCTTGGCACCCACTCCTTGCTCTCTTATGCAGCCCACTGGCTTCTTGCCCCTTTGGGGGAGCAGTCAGTTGTTATAAGCCCCATCCCACTCCCACCCATGAAAGAGATGGGCTCAAACTGGAAAGCTTTTAGGATCTGCATAAGGCATTACCTAGAACAAGGCAGGACAGGCTCTAGATCATTTTTCATGGGGTACAATAACTAGACAGTGATTTCATGTTGTCAAGTCACTCTAACAGCTTTATGGCTTCAAACATACCTAAAGACCCATCCATCCCACTCCACCCTACCTAGGTCCCAGCCCAAACTAGAAGAAAGCAAAAGGAGAGCAGGCAATGGTGGCTAACACTTGTTCAGATCATTTCAACCAATATTCCTTGGATGCCTACTGGGTGTTGGGTGCTGGGGCAATCCAGTAATGAATAAACAAATATCTGCATTGAACACATTTCCTCTCTAGTGGGAAGAAGTGATGTTAGTAGATTTTCATGCTGCTAATAAAGACATATCCAAGACTGGGTAATTCGTACAGGAAAGAGGTTTAATGGACTCACAGTTCCACATGGCTGGGGAGGCCTTACAATCATGGCAGAAGGCAAGGGGGAGCAAGTAATGTCTTACATGGATGGCAGTGGGCAAAGAGAGAACTTGTGGAGGGAAACTCTCCCTTATAAAAACCATCAGATCTTGAGAGTTATTCACTATTATGAGAACAGCATGGGGAAGACCCTTCCCCATGATTCAATTACCTCTTATCAGTTTCCTCCCACAATTCAAGATGAGATTTGTGTGGGAACGCAGCCAAACCATATCAAGTGGCTAATGCTGCATGTTTAAGGAAGAGTCAGGAGACAAGAGCAACTGACAAAAAGAGGGCAAAGGATGGATGGTGGGAAGCGAAACCAGGAGTTCGTGGGACTGGACCCTGCAGAGCCATATGGACCTTGGATAAACTCATAGGGTCCACTCCTGCTGATATGCCCACAGTTCAGCATGGGTGCCTCCACCCTACACTTTGACAATCTTTCAACACAAACAACCTCCAACTAGAAAGTTCTGCTTCTCTTAGTTTAAAGTACCAAGAGAGAAGTCTAGCTGCTGAGCCTAGCTGGTGGCCAGGCTTCACCAAATCAGGCTCAGTTCCTCTGAGTAGGGGTTTGGTGTGGACTGGCCACCCCCTCCTTGTTCTGGGCTCTGACTGATCAGGCAGTGACAGACATCCTATGAGAGGAAACTCTGAATGGGGCCTGGACTACTAATGGGATCCAAGCAGTCAATTCAGGGACAGAATGAGAGAATCTCCCATTTCTCTCCCTCAATGGGAGAAAGTATCTCCCTCTGTTTCCCATTCTGCTATAATCCCCTGATGTCACTTGTTGGAAAGGACATTGGAAAGGGGCAGAAAGTCCTTTGTACATTGTTTGTGGGCAGTTTGATCCTAATGAAGGATGATAATAGGCAGGGGTAGTGGGTGGAATCTGCATTTGTCAATTTGCTTGAAAGTACAAGGATGATAACACCTTCAGATGGATATGAAAGATTCAGAATCCTGATTTGCTGAATCTCCCCCACTCCCTCCCCAAAGAAACCTCAGTAACAAAAAGCAAACTCTTTTCTGCTTCTGATTATGGGGTCTCTAAAAGCCCTCGTCTCTGAGTTTCCCTGTGACACACAATGATTTTCTAAGCATCCAGGAAAAGCTTTCGTGAACCCTGGTATTGAGTTCTGATCCTAATTTTCTCCACTGAGAAATGGCACAGCCTCCTGCCACTTATACTATGCCATCTGACCCTCAGAAGCCTTTGCAGGCCAAAAACAAGAGACAGCCCTCCAGCACAGGGGAGTGGGTTCATGCAGGTCATGCACCAGGCTAAGTCACTCCTGCTGCTCCTGGGCCTGGGACCAGGAAGGGCATCCTTATCCTGGGCCCCTGCAGAGATCACAGAGAGAAAGTCTGTGTAGATCAGCACCAGGACAATTGCCACCGTCTGTCCTCTTGCCTCCCTGGAGCCCCTCACAGCCACGCTGTCCTTGATCTCCCTCCAGCAGTCCATGCCCTTATGTCCAGAGCCAGAAAATCCATCACTTGCTGCTCGTCTTTACCAAATCTTAATTTCCAAGTGTCAGGAAATTTCACTTTCTCTATGATGGAGTTCACGTCTCATTTTGTGAAGGGAACTGGACTCAAATGTCAGAAATAGTATTCTTCTTTTTTTAATACAACAGCCAGGGTCTGTTTCTGCTTTCGTCCTTTGGCAAGAATGGAGCCTGGATGAATAATGGTGGGAATGAAGGGAAATAGGCAGCAGCCTGGCTCTGTCCCACTGTCAGATTTAAATACTAGCTGTGCTGCCCAGCTCTTCCCACCCATCTGGGCCTGGACCTGCCCCACTGTGCTCTTCTTGTTTACATCTTAGGGTCAAGCCGAGCGATCAGAACTCCAGCTGCTGAAAAGAGCAAAGCCACAGAATAAGGAGCTGAAGCTGGCAGATGCCCATAGGACAGGAGGGGTCAGCTGAGCATGGTGGTGCATGCCTGTAGTCTCAGCTACTAAGGAAACTGAAGTGAAAGGATTGGTTGAGCCCAGGAGATTGAGGCTGCAGTGAGCTATGATGGCACCACTGCACTCCAGCCTGGGTGACAGAGAAAGACCTTGTCTTTGAGGAAAAAAATTAAAAATTGAAGATTGAAGCGTATGAGGTTTTACCCTCCCTGCAAGCTAACCAGTTAACCTGCCACAATTTCATGGGTGCTAGCAGAAGACTCAAGGTATTCTAGGTGAGGGACAAAGGTCTCTCTTATTAATAGCAATAGCCAGGATGTCACCATTTGCACCAGGTCCCCAAGGCTCAATTTCCACAGGAATAAAGAGGGCTATGTGACACCCACACAATCAGTGGATTGAGTCACAGAAGAAAGCCCTGACAACTGGGAAACTCGAATCAATTTCTATCGGGCAATTATTAGCCGATTGTAATCCATTCTAAACCTGCCTGACCTTTGTCCTAGAGGGAGACATAATCGTTATACTGGACAGTAAATCAGCCTCCCCCTTTGCAGTGCAAAGAAAAACTATATCTTCCAAAGGTGTTTCCTATATAAAAATCACTCAAAAGATATTTCAGAACAAAAGTAATCAGTACCTCTGCGCACAAGATGTACAGAAAAACAAGACATCAGATGAGAACCATCTCCCAATAATGGTTACACAGTGCATGGCTTCAGTGAAAACTTCTACTACCAGTAATGTCAATAAGTAATTTTGGGGAACTGACAGTATGAGCAGACAGAAGGTAAAATATCACTGGGCTGGGTATATGAATATAAAAATCAAACATACGCTTATAGGTGCAGTGGTTCCCCTTGGTGTCTATAACCAGACAATACAGTAACAATTATGCTCACCAGGAAGGATAGGTCAGATAAACCTTTCAAGCGTTGCATTTGATCATAGAGCATCTACACTATATCACTTGATATGGCCCCACGGACCACTGGGGCTGTATTGATTTTTTTCCAATATCTTTTCTCTTCATTCTTCAGATTACATCATTTCTGTTTATTTATCTTCAAGTTCAATAACTTTTTCTTTTCTCATTCCAATCGACTGCTAAGCCCATCCAGTGAATTCTCTAAATCAGATCTTCTTTTTTAGTTCTAGCATTTCTATTTTGTTCTTTTTTTTTTTCCTTTTTCATTTCTCTGCAGCAATTCCTCATCTGTTCATTAGAATCATATTTGACTTCAAGTTCTTACACATTTTGCATTTACTGTGTTGGGTTATTTCTCTATGGACTTCTTTTTCTCTTGGCTGTGGGTTATATTTTCCTGTTTCTTCCATGTCTGATAGTTTTTTATTCTGTGCCGGGCATTGAGAGTGATACGTTGCAGAATCTTGGATTCTTCTTTCTCTGAAGAGTGTTATTTTCATTCCAGCAGTGACTTCAATTGACTGGACTCAAACTCCAAATCCTGTCTCTCCTGCAGGGGGCAGCACCAGAAATCTCTGCTCAGTTCTTTCAACCTTCCAGTTGCACTTTTTGCTGGGGTCCTTGGTGCCAAATTCAGGGGTCCTCCAAGAATTTGGTCAAAGTTTATATGTAGATTTTGGGGCTCCTTCTTCTCTGGACCCCTTCTCTGAGATTTCCACCATGACTTTGTAGTTGTTCTGGCTACCGTGAACTCTGTCTCCTGATGCTGCAAGCGGTGCTTCTCAGCTTCTGCCAGGACTCCAGCTCTATGTCAGGTTGAGTGCCTGGGAGTGGCCTAGGGACTAAGCCATAAACGTGAATCTCTCCCTGCACAGTTCCCTACTTTCAAGAGTCAATTCCCCTCTAACCATGCCTGTCTTTGATCCTTCTCCAGCTCCTTCAAATTGTTGTTTTTTTAATATTTTAACTCGTACACGAGTTAGTCTACTAAAAGCGGTTTTACCACTACAGGGAAGTGGAATCATTCCTTATAGTGCTTTCGAATCCATTTCTTTCTACACTGTACTGTTAAAATGCTATACATTATTCCATCATATTGGCCATTATATCAAACAAAACTTATGTAACACTTAACTATTGGTAGACATTTAAGATGTTTCCAGCTTTTGATATAATAAAATTTGTGGTTTCCAGAGTCAGGAGTTTCCACTGCAGGAATTACACAAGATAATTCCTTTTGTTTGCTGGGAAACATACATATTAGTATGTCTTTTTGTTTCTACTTAACTCAACTTTTAACATATCTATTTCATATGTTTACAAGTTCTATATTATTATGATGCTACGCGTAAGTAATTTATTAAAAATATATAGATAGATTAGCGTACATGCTTAATTTTACTTAGTTGTTTTTTACTGATAGGGATATATGACTTTAAAGTCTGGAGGGTACTATTATGAATAATGCTTTAATGAGTATATATATATTTGGCATAATACTTATTATTTACTCAAGAAATTTACTCAGAAGTAGAATTGCTAGATCAAAATATGCGCATATTTTTAAAATTTCTGATTCATAGCATCAATATTTCAACTAATTCTCCAGAAGGGCTGTACCAATGCACCCTCAAAGCTGCAGAATGTGAGCGTATACTCTCACATCCATAATCTGCTAACACTGACTATAGTTAGTGGAGTTTTTAATCCCATATTTAAAAGTTTTATAGATGAATAACAATATTTTGGTTTAATGAGAATATCCTCCTCTACGCATGGAGTTGAACATTTTTCATATAGTAACCATGTTAAATTTCCTTTTAAATTGCCTGTTTATTTCCTTTGCTTTGTTCTATTAAAATAATTCATCTTTTATTTAAAAATTAATTTAGGAGCTCTTTCTATAGTAAATATATTCATCTTTTGTTTGATACGAACGTTACAAAAATGTTTTTCAGCTTATTATTTGCCTCTTTATTTGCTGATATTTTCACATACACAATGCATTAATGTCATCAAATTTATCTTTTTCTTCATGGTTGATGCCTTTTGAATTATACTTACATAGTCATGCTACACCCTAAGATTATGTAACTATAACAATTTTTCTTTTAGGATATTTACATTGAAATCTTTAATTCATCTAGAATTTATCATGATAAATTATCCAAGATAGAACTCTTATCACATACTAGAATCATATATATATATATATATATATATATATATATATATATTTGGGACTATTTCTGGGTGTTTATTGAAATTCATTGATCTGTCCAACTAATATGTTACTATTGCAATCCTCTAATTTTTATAATTGAATAATACATTCTAATGTGGGACATTACATTTCAAGAACATTGACAAACCAGAAAGCACTCAAAAGTGGAGCTAGAAAACCACTTCATGTAATAAATATTTTTAAAACTAAGAATGTTTAACTTTGAGAAGAGAGGACTCAATTCTTGTCAAAAGTAGGAATTCAATAAGTAACCTAAAGGGATATATCACAGCTATTTTTCAAATAGTTAAAGTTCTGTTATATGGATTGGAATAGATCTGAGTGACTCTAGAGGATACAACTAGGGAAAATGGGTGGAAATTACTAGAGGAAAATTGTGGCTTATTAAAGAGCTTTTCTAACGACTACAGTTGTTTAGCAAGAAAACAGGCTGTCTTGAAGGAGGGTGGGGGGTAGGAGCAGGCTTCTCTTTGCTGGAAAATTTAAAAAAACAGGTAACTAATTTTTCAAGGATGCAGTGAAGAGGACATGTGCAACAAGTAACGAACTAGGCTACTTGAGGGACATTCGAACACTAAAATCCTGGCACCTATGATCTTGCTGTCCTAAAAAATCAATGTCATAACTTCATTGACATCAAACCCTAGCCAGTGAAGAGTCAGTATTGAGAGGTCCCTAAGGCAAAATAGCAGAGTCATTGATTTCTGAAGCTGTAGAAGCTGTGGTTCACTTTTCCTTTGCCTATGAGCTAGTGAGTGCAGGGCTACAGCTGGAACGCAGGATATAAAGAAATAGAAATTTAATGGGTGCCCACACAGCCCTCATTTTTGCTAAACCTTTTAGGTGTGACTCAGGGTGCCCTGTGGCACAAGGATATATTTCCCCTAACCAACAAGAAAAAAAGTGGTCCAGGATCCTGTGTCTCATTTTCATTCTGCTTCTGCAGACACCAAAGCACTGAGCAAAGATATGCTCTGTCCCCTATTCACCACCATAGGGTATGGAGAAGAGAATTTTCCTTTAATGCCTCAGTAAAATATTCCAAGGTCCTGAGGGCTATCCTATTTAAATGCAATGATTTTATCTATTATTTATCCCATGGCTTTTGGAGAGAAGGTGTTTCAGTCTTGCTAAGAAGAGAGGAAGAGCTTTGAAGCAGTCCTCTTTGGGCTGGATTTCCTTGGGAATAAGCAGTGGCCTAGAACAGGACAGCAGAAGTATTGTCCTCTAGGGCTGAGGAACAGTGTATCTGAGGACATTGGCTCAGTGAGTATCCAGCCACCTAAGCAGTCTGGCTACTGTCCTCTGAACACCCACAGTTCTCATTTCATTTAAAGGCATGGGTAGATGGAGAAAGCATCATAGTAGGTGATAATCTCCATAGTCCATCAGATGTCTAGCTTTGCAGGACACAAATAAGTATTTTGTGGACATAAAATATGAGGCAGAGAGTGGACAGTACAAGATGTTACAAACTATTAAAATTGATATAATTAAGCATCAAAATATAAATGAAGAAGTACATGGCCTTATAAACATAATATTGAATGAAAAAAGCCAGACACAAAAGAGCTCTGTATGAATCCATTTATATAAAATTTTAAGGCAAGCAAACTAATTTATGGGGGTTTGAAGTCATGATAATGGTTATCTTTCAAGGGAGGGCCAGTGGTGGTGCCTGGAGGGGACCCCAGCGGCCTTGGGGATGCTGGCAATGTTCTTTCCTTAATCTGAGAGCTGGTTGCTTGGGTGCACTCAGTATGTGAAAAATTCATTGAGTTGTACTTTATGCACTCTTCTGTACATGTTTTTTTAAAAAATTCAAAACAAGAGGAGAATGGTAAGTTGGCACTTCTTGGCACCATTCCGAGGGCTCCCACGTGTTTATGCCATTTAATTCTCCTAACATGTAAAAGAAGTGATGCTTTCTTCATTTTTTGATTTTTTCAGTAGGGGTTATGGTAGCACTGAGAGATTATAGAATAGGGTAGTAGCACATTGCTGGCAAGTCTGAGTAAACCTGGGTCTTCCAAACTTAAATCCTAAGCTCAAGTTCTCACCAAATATTTACAATAGATGGAGCAAAGTTATAACCCCAGAACCAAGGAGAGGAGAGCCAGCAATTAGACCCTCCCTAGGATTTTAACTAAAATCCATGACCCCAAGGAGACCTTACAAGTCAGGAAAGAATCTGTGTTCCCAGGGTTGTGGTGGGTTCTGAGCTACTTAGGGACCCCTTGTAGGCTCTCTGCAACATTCAAAATTCATTTTTGGGGTCCTCTGTCATCAGCCTATAGAAGCCGCAGCTGAGTCACAGTGCTTCACAGACCCCTCCCAAGGCCAAAGTAAGGGAAGAGAGATGGGAGAGAAAATGCAAGTGACCTGTTCCATTTCAGATACTTAATCAGATCAGTTAGGCAGAAACATGGGCCTCAGACAAAACTAAATTATTGCTTCTTCATTTCCCAGGGGAAAGTTCTTTGCCCCAGGCTTTAGGAAACTGTTCCAGTAGCTACTGATGTTGGTATATTCAGAAGATATTACTTTCCTGGCCAGGGGCCATCTCCCTGTGCTCCTATAGCTCCAAAACCCTGAAAGTGCCAGCAGGGCTACCTCCCCTCAGCCTGACGGAGACATCATTTCTGCCCAGAACAGCAAGACTAGCCCTTGCTGCTCTTGTCACCTGGGCCCTGGTGTAGCACTGTTTGTATCCTTCCTGGGAATATTTCATTGCAGAGACCATGTCCTGGGTTCACCATGCCCCTTTTACTGTCCTGGGAACATGGGAAGACTGCATTTCCAAGCTTCTTTGGAATTAAGTTGGAGCCATATGACTAGTCGTGACCATTGGTCTATGAGGGAAATTAGGTGTGTGTAACTTCTGGGCCAAATCATCAAGGAGAGACTGTGAGTTCTCCACACTTGATTCTCTTTCTATAAAGATGTGGGTGACACGTGTCCCAGGGGCTGGGCAAGTTTCAAGTGACCAGCATTCTCAAGTCACCTTACAGAAGGAAGTAGCCTTGGAAATGGGCAGTTGTTGACTTAGAGAAAATAAACTGTTATGTGCAAACCACTGAGATTTTTTTCCCCACAATATAACTTAGTGCAATCTAATGCAAGGTTCCCTTAACTTTGCTTATACCCTCTCTAGGAACCAGACAAAAACTTGGGAAATAGATACCCTAAAATCTTCCCCTCTTTCCCTTTTTTTCTCTAAATATGTTTCTCTCCTACTCTACATAACTATCATCTGGAGACAGTCCCTGGGAAACAATGTCATAAGCCCACCTGTTCAGGAAACGAATTAGATTTTAAGACTTGGTTGGAGCTGGCTGGTCTTGGTGGTGGTGATAGTGGTGTTGGCAGTGGGAGTGGTGGTGTGTATATGTGAGAAAGAGTATTGGTTCTTTATTTGGGAAATGAGGTAGTAATATTGTAGCACTGACTCACAAACCACTCTCAGGAATCTGATGTTGCCAGGTAGGCCTGAGAATGAGCTATGTCAGAGGGAATCAGCTTTTCCTTGGGGGCTGACTGGTTGTATGGCTTTCTTTTGGGGACAGACCTACTGCAGGGAGAAAAAACATGTTGGTTCCCCTCAACTTGCAGCTGTGAGAAAAAGAAGAGCATCAAGACTCTTCACAAGCCTGATTTGAACATCCTCCAGTGGAAACTCTCTTAGCACCTCACTGACATTCTGGAAAATGTGCGTGGATCCTATTTAAGTTCTCTTCTTAGTTTCTGGGCAAAAATAAATAAATAAATAAATAAATAAATAAATAAATAAAATTTGGCAAATCTCTAGTTATGTAGTCATATCAGCAGTGAGTGGGTTTCAAAGTCAAGAGAGGAAGAATGCCTGGCTCAACAGGTAGGGTGGGGCCAGGATAGATAGGATGCAAGAAAGTAGAAGCTTCCCAGAGTTTGAACCCAAGTCTATGCTGGCAAATTCAGAATTTCTGGAAGAAAATTCTGAAAGAACAACAGATAATCACACCATATTTTCTGTGCAGTCGCTTCTGAGGTCAAAGAAGAAGTCAGCTTCCATAACACAAATAAACTAAAATTACTGATAAAATTTGCTTTGGAAGCAGAAACTATTCACCATAATAATAATGCTTTGCATTTTAAAATAGTTATCTGCATTTCCTTCAAAGATTGTTTGCATGCCTTTATTATATTTTATCCTTACAGCTATGCTATCTGGTAGGCATAGTAAAAGTGAAAGGCAAAATAGGAGCTAGTATTTACCTGGTCTCCAATATTGCCAGGCACTGTGCACAGGACAAGCAATGTCATTTAATCCTCACATACATTTTATGAGAAATAGTATCTTTAGTTGTAAATTAAGAAATTAGGGGTTAGAAAGGATAACTCGTCCACTGTCACCTAAGTCGTCATGGCAATACTCAGATTCTAACTGTCATGGTTTTAATGTGTTCCCCAAAATGTATGCATTCGATGACCCGGTGCGGTGGCTCATGCCTGTAATCCCAGCACTTTGGGAGGCCGAAAAGGGTGGATCACAAGGTCAGGAGTTCAAGACCAGCCTGGTCAGCATAGTGAAACCCAGCTCTACTAAAAATACAAAACTTAGCTGGGTGTGGTGGACGTACCTGTGGTCTCAGCTACTCAGGAGGCTGGGTCAGGGAATCGCTTGAACCCAGGAGGCAGAGGTTGCAGTGAGCTGAGATCGTGCCACTGCACTTCAGCCTGGCGACAGAGACTCAGCCTAAAAAAAATAAAAATATGCATTTGAAACTTAATTCTGGTACAACAGGGTTTGAGGTGGGGCCTAATGAGAGGCAATTAGGCCATGATGGCTCTGCCCATGAATGAATTAAAGCCATTATTGTGGGAGTGTGGTCCTTATCACAGGAGTGGGTTCCTTGTAAAATGATGGGTTCCTCCCCATCATCAGGTTCCAGACTGTTGATCTTGGACTTCCCAGCCTCTAGAAATCTGACCCAATAAATTTCTGTTCATTGTAAATTACCCCATCTGTGGTATTCTGTTATAGCATCACAAAATGGACTAAGACATCCTGCCAAGTATATATGACCTCAAAGCCCATTTTTTTAATGGTCGTTATTGTGTTCATTGACCAATGTCATAGAACAAATCAGTGGTGGAATCAGGCCCAGAAGCAGGTTCTGCTAAGAGCCTTGATACCTAATTCTGAGCTCTGTTGGGTAAGCTATTGTGCATAATAGCATCTTATTGCAAACAAAACATGCTGCCACCCAAATAAAATCCACAGTGCCCAATAGTGGAGGGCAAGCATCTACCTGCCTCCCACTGTTTCCCCACCCTGCACCTACTCTCTTCTAATGCCCAAGCAAGCTCCAAGGTACAAAGCAAAGATGTTTTAAGAGCAGGTATACCAAACTACGTGCCAGAACCCAGTTTTTAAGATTATACCAATGACACCCTCCTGTTTTACTATTCAAGTTCAGAAATGTTAGAATTAGAGAATAAAGTAGCTATTTTAAGTTAAGGATTTGTTCCCTGATTACTTCCCAAGTTCATTTGAAATGGCTGTGAAATGAGATAGTGTATGAAATAGGATAATGGAGGGGAAAAAAGCACATACAAAAGGATCAGACAAATAGAGATTATCAAGCACTTGAAATGAGTTAATTATCACTGCCAAGGCTAAAATTTAGCTGCATTTCCTAGCAGGTAATGCATAAAAAGGAAACACAGTTCTCATTATCTAATGATAATAATTTTTAAATAATTAATTAGCTTTTAAAATCATGTTATGAGTGTCTCTTGGTGTGTGTGTGTGTGTGTGTGTGTGTGTGTGTGTGTGACTGATTTCAAGGAGAAATGTACCTTGAGCTTATTTATCTGTAAGAAACAATAGAAACTTTAGGTATTATTCTTTCTTCCCTCTTTCCTTCACTCTTTTCTTTCGTTTCTTCCTCCTCCTTCTCCTCCTTCTTTGGTTTAAAAATATAGAAAAGTACGAAGAATAATAAATGTTATGCACTCAACACCCCAAACTAATTTGTGCCTTATTTTGTAATATAAAATAAATAGAATCTCTAGATAAAATGGAAGCTTCTTCTCTTATCATTTTCAATTCCATTTTCTATCCTCTCTTCCAAGGTACTACTACTATCATTAATTCAGTGTGCATTTTTTTAAAATCTTATTTTTTATATTATATAAAACACAATACATATACACATATAATAGTATTAAGTTGTGTGTTATTTCCATGAATGGGATAGTATTGAGCACAGCATCCTGCAACTTACATTTTTCACTCAATATTATGCTTCTATTCATGATGATACACACAGATCTAGTTAATTCATTTTACTTGCTGAATAATATTCAATTATATGACTATATCACAATTCATTTCATTATTTACTGGACATGTTTGTTTCTCGTTTTTCAGCATTGCAATCAAGTTTACTATGGATATTCTTGTAACTGGCAATTTGAACACATGTTAGCATTAATATCTGGACATGGAATCATATGTTCATTTTAAATTCCTTTAGATTGCAGACAACAGAATCCACTACAGCTTGTTTAAGCCAAAAAAAAAAAAAAAAGGCTTAATTAAATGATCTTGGATGGCCATTTGGTTTGGCTGTGTCCCCACTCAAATCTCATCTTGAATTACAGTTCCCATAATTCCCATGTGTCATGGGAGGGACCTGGTGGAAGGAAGGTAGAAGCTACTTGAATCATGAGGGCAGTTTCCTCCATGCTATTCTCGTGATAGTGAATAAGTTCTCATGAGATCTGATGGCTTTACAAGGGGCTTTCCCCTTCACTCAGCTCTCATTTCTTCTCCTTTCTGCCGCACTGTGAAGGAAAACATTGTATGTATGTACATTGGTAGTATGTTTCCTGAGGCCTCTGTAGCCAGGTTGAACTGTGAGTCAATTAAATCTCTTTCCTTTATAAATTACACAGTCTCAGGTATTTCCTTATAGTAGTGAGAGAACAGACTAATAAAGACGGCCTATAAAAATTCTGGGAAGGCCAGAGAAGTAGGCTGGAACAACATTGTCAGGGATGTTTTGATTAGAAAAATACTTCAATACATGACAGGATTGTTCTCATAGAAACACCAAAGTTGCTGCTTAGAAACCAAGACTCTTTGGCCTGGACACCAGAAATTTGAGTTCTGCTGCCACAGAAGAACTGGATAACTTTCTTCCCTACCATTTTGTAATGCCTCCTTTATCAAATATCAAAGACCCACATATGCTTGGATCTGTATTTGGACCCTCTATTATGTTCTATGGATCTAATTGTTTATTCCTACAGCAATACTACATTGATTTAATTATTATGGCTTAATAATATGCCTTTATATTCAGGAAAGCAAATCTATCTTCTTTTTCAGAATTATTTTGATGGTACATTTATATGAATTTTAGAATCAATTTGTCAAGTATGAAAATTGTGTGGCAATTTTTACTATATTGAGATTGAATTTATAACCTAATTTTGGGAGAATTAATGTATTTATAATAAGATCTTGCCATCCACAAATATGGTCTAACCCTCTAGTTATTCAATTCTTATTACATTACTTAAACTCTTGTACTTACTTTATTCTAATTATTCACAGGTAACATTTAGGGATTTTTTGGCTATTGTTAACACATCTCTTTTAATTTAAGCTTTCTAATATGGTTAATACTGATGTGTGGAGTGTTATAAGTCTAGATATGTTGATCTTCTAACTCACAAAACTAAATTTTAAAAATATTGATAGCTTTTCCACAAGTCATTTTTTAATTGAAAATCAAGTATTGTACAAATAATAATTGCATCTTTAGCTTTCTTATATATTTTTGTGTTCAATTGCATTTGTTAGAACCTTAAGCACAATGTTGACATGTGGCATGATTGATAGTGGGCATTCTTGTCTTTCTTCCTTTAAGTGAATGTTTTCAATATTCTATAATTAATTATAATATTTGCTATAAGTAATAGATGGCCATTATTAGGTTGAGGGCTTATTCTTAATTTGCTAAAAGATTTTTTTAATTATGACTGAGTATTGAGTTTTATCCAACCATTTTTCTGCATCTATTGAGATAATACATTTTTTTCTCACAATGTTTCTAAAGAAAATAGACTATCACAGCCAGAATGGAATAATAGAATATTAGATTTTTAGCAATGGAAGAATCCTGAAATATCATCCAGTGTTCTTAATGGGACACCATTGGCATTTGGAGCTAGGAAGAGTATTGTTTACCCCACATAGTATAGCAGGGCTAGCAAGCCCGGCTGCCACTCACTAAAAACCAGATGCACCCTTTAAGTCATCTGGAAATCAAGATGCTCCCATGTATTTACAAAGGTCCCCAGGAGGTGCCACCATGTCACTTTGACATCCCAAGGATCCAAAGACAGTCTAGAAACCTGCAGGGGCTTGTCCTAAACCTGGGAATTACTAAATCTTTCCTTTAGACTTTCACAAAAGAGTTTTTATGATGCTACCCTGCTGTGAAATCTTCACTCCCACACTTCTCATCTTTGTTGAAGGGTTAAGGTATTCTGATTCGTTCTCATTTTCTTTTGTTCCTGCCCTAGGCAATCCTGCTGAGGATCTCTATTTTCCCTCATCGTAAACAATCTGTCTCTTCTCCCCATCCCTGCTTGCTGTTCTCTGGAGAATGGTGCCTGACATGACACCAGACAGCCCACCAGGAGTCTTCTTGAATCCATGGATCTTAGTAGAGAAGCGGGTGTTCAAACCAGCCTGGCTGGGGAAGTAGACCCAGTCATTCTCTCAGCAATGAGGACTGGCTAGAGACAGCCTGAGTCCAACATGGACTTCTTTTGGTTCCTAAAGGAGGAACATTTGAATCACAGAAGCAAGCAACTGGAAGACAGGTTAGAAATCATTATTCCAACACTTCCTCAATATAAAATCTGGCATGACAATTTCCTAAGTTTCAACTAATTTTTTATGGTCATGAAATAAACAAGAATTGTCAATGAAGAAGAGAGAAAAAATAAGGTTCATAAACCCCTTAAAAATTTACCTTGATGGACAGCATGGTATAAAAGATACTCTTCTCCTGCCACCTACTAGCTGTGTGACCTGGTACAAGTGGCCTAGCTTCCCTGAGCCTCATTCTACTCCTTTCTAAAATGAAGATGAGGAAAACCATGTGGTGAGGACAAAAACAATGTGCATATAGCAAGTACTCAATAAATGCTAGCTAGCGTTATTTTTCCTGGGAACTCAAGATCGCATAGACAGCTCCTGTGTCTGCCATTTCTAGCCAGAGCTTTAGCACAGACCAATCCTAGCAAGGATTACATTCCAGAATAAATCAAATTAGAACTTCAGTTAACAAAAGTCTTGCCTGGTCAGTAAGGCAGAAGGGAAAGCTATCATCAGTTTCTTTATTGAAGACCTCGCAGGAGAGACTGCAGGAAATGTAATCCATCCATACATTCATTCATTCCAGCAAGGGAATGGAAGCAAGAAGAGCTCTTGCATGTTAAAACCATGCCCTATCCCAAGGACATGGACAGGAAAGTCAGCAAAGAAGAAATATAGCTGGCCTGTTAACAAATTTAAAATTAGCAATTTTAAATTTATTAAAATTATTAGCAATGTAAAATTTGCAAATAAAAATGTCATTTTTCCACCTAAGAATGAGTCAATGATTTTTAAAATGAGAGTTCTCAGTGTTTGTGAGGGTGTGGGAAATGATCACTCTCAAGATTGGAGGTGAGAATTCAAATTGATGAAACCCTGTGGCTGGGCAGGAAAAGTGGGTGCAGTGGGGAGGGGATGGTACAGCAGGGTCTGCCTGGCCCTCAGTGCCTCTGAACTGGCTCCACCCAGGTCTGTCTGCTCTGCCCCAAACAAATCCTCTTGACCCAGAAAAAAATGTGCATTTGCATTGACCTCACGGCCTCATTTCTAGAGATTTATCCTTGAAAGTAACAATGGGGTATGCAAAACATATAGCTATAATGATGTTCTTCACAGCTCTGTTTGTACTATTTAAACACTGGCAGCCACCTAAATGACAGCAATGGGCACTTGGCTGAGGTGGCCACACAGCACGGAATCTCAGGGGCTCCAGAGCCAGAAACAGCAGGGTCAGTTTCAAATTCCAGCTCCTCTATTCACTGTCTATGTGACCTTGAGCAAAACATTGCCTCCAAACCTGTTTTCTTACCTATAGAAAGTGGATGATAATAACAGTATTTACCTCATAGAAATGTGGCTAGGAATAAATTAGATGATGTGTGTAAAATGTAGCCCATAGGAAGTGTTTTATAAGTGTTTTCTATTATTAAATAAATTATGCTATAATCATGATGAAATTCATTGCAAACATAAAAAGGATGCTGTAGAAAACTAATGACAATGGAAAATGTTTATGGATATTGTTATGTGCAAGGAGGTTATATTACTGCAGGATATCCATTTTTGCTAAAAAATATATTTTTCAGAGGGGAAAAAAGGTGAAATAATTTTTACATCAAAATGCTAACCATAGTTATTTCTGACTGATGGAGTTATAGGGGATTTTTGTTTTATTATTTGGGTTTTTCTATATTTGCCAATTTTTCCTTAAAAGTAGGGAGGTGGAAAGAGAGTGCCATCAATAACATGACTTTCGTTGCTGTCTAGGTTAATTATAATTGTTCATGATAAATATGCAACAATAATTGTTTTTATTTATAAAGATGCTGTAGAAAATGGAGATGGAGAATGGTGTCCTACAAAATTCCCAGCAAAGTGTCCCTGCCTCATCCCCTTCATGGAAGGAAATAGCCTAAGAAACCCCCCATTCCAAAGGACAGCAGGTTCCCCACCCTGTGAGACATCCTGAGGGACCTCACCTGAGTCTGTGGGTACCACTTACAGTGTGAACGTAGGCAAAGGAAAGAGAGTACAAGGGACTGGGGGCCAGGGAGGAAGTGGCTCTCAGTGGTCTCCTTTCTTTACATGTCCCATTCCACCTTCCTTCCCCTGGACCTTGTCTTCCTCTTTGGCTGCTGCTGTTTTTTGTCCAACTTGCCCAGGGTCCACCATTTCCCCACTGTGTAAAGTTTTGATGTGTGTCTCTTGACTATTGGATCTCCCCGGGCAGAGCAAAGAGACTAGAATTCCCCCTGGAGGCATCTTGGCCCCAGTTTACCATAAAGGAAGGTCCCAGGCAGGACAAGCAATTTGCTAGCCAGGTCCCCTTCCAAGTCAGGCCAGACCAGTCTTAGAGAGGAGTTAAAAAAAAAAAAAAAAAAAGGCAAAAAGAGGAGTGGAGGCACATCCTTTCCCTTGGGCAAAGGAAAAAGAAGATGGGTCTGGGGACCCCTGAAATGAAGTCAAGTGGCCTTCTTTCCTTTCACTAGATCCACCCTCTCATCCCCCAAGGAAATAACATTTTTCATGAGCACAGAGAGGTGGGGGCCACCCACACATAAATGGCATGCAGAAGTAGTTTTCAGGGTTTGGTTGTTTTAGTCCAGAGGCCATGGGGGGGCAAAGAGTTCTCATCATTTCCATGGACCCCATCATTGTTACTTAGCATTTATATTGCATGGCTACAACCACAGAGTGCCTTCCAATCACATTTAAAAACTATTTGTGGAGCCAGCTACCTGCAATTATTCCTCAGCCTATTCCTGGGTATTTGCATACTCCAGGATGGCTTTGTGAGGAAGATTTTCTAGGTGATTAACCCCTGACTCAATGATGTTCCTAAAGAACTGTGATTTAGGTTGATGCTAAGAGATTAATAGGAAGCCTCTCTCCCCTGTCTATAAAACAAAAAATAGTGATATTTCCTGACTTGCCAAAATCACAAGACTACAGGTAATAAATGAATGAGATTATCTGGGAAAGACTTGAAAACCTCCTAAAAAGAGGTATTTGAAAGCACAGAGAGGTTTTAGGCCCAATTCCATCGGATTGCAAAGCAGTGCTCTTGTAGATGCACCGTACTACCTTGGGAAAAAAAGTGGTTTCCAGATTGAGCCTGCTGACAGGTCCTAGGGGACTCCAGCTGGCATGACTGCATTGCAGCCACAGCCTTGACTTTTTCAGCTTTGAATACTTTGAAAGGACAAAATGTCCTTTCCTGTTCCATCTCTACTCGAGACTGTTGACTCCCACTCGCTCAATCCTTGTCATTTCTCGGTTTCAGGGAAAAGAGTCACAAGGGATGCTGTTTGTGAATAAAAGTGGGAAACAGAAAAGATACTCAGAAGAGCTACATGGGGGCCAGAGGCAGCCCTTCCCTGGTGTCAGGAGCCTGTCGCTCTTCCCTCCCTGGCCCCACCTGCTTTCCAGCATTGGCTGGAATGTGAAGCAGATAGTAAGCACCCCACTTATAAAAGACCCTTTCCTCTCAGTGGGAGATGTATCTTTTGTTCCCAAAAGCTTAGAGCGTAAAGCATTTTGGACTCATTCAGGACTCTGAATGGCGCTACCTGGGGCAACTCAGGAGTGAGTCATAAGCTGTGTTTTACTAATTGAGTTAGGACCTGTCAGTCATCAGTTATGCCAGAAATACACTGTGAGCTGGATGAAGCTTCCCAGGAAAATAATGGGCTATGCAAAGTGGATGCAGGGCATTGAGACAGAAGAGAGAAAGGTGCAGGCAGAGTGGCAGGTGCATATGTGGCCTCCAGGGAGGCAGACACAACCACCCATTGCCACAAGGCACTCTCTTGCTCTCGCTCGCTCGCTCTCTCTCTCCTTGCACCAGATTTTTCAGAAATCAGGCCAAAGCTATTTTAAACATTGTGATTACGGTAAAAGAATGAGCATGGTCAATGCACCTGGGAGTGGGTGCAGGACGGGTGGATGGGTAGAGACCCATGCTGGGCAATTTTGATTCAAGGTGCTGAGAAATATGATGGCAGAGCAAGCTCCCATCCCTCAGGGCCCCCATAACAGATTTGCTGTTGCCAGAGAGGAATTTCCCATCATCCTCCCCTCCTCTTGTCAATGGCTGGCACTGTCTGTGCTAGAAGGCAGGCTGACAAGGTTAAGGGGAGAGAAGATCTGATATGCTATCATACTTCCCAGGTCCATTACAGGCAGGCTTGCGTGGAGTGGGCCCATGGCTTTCCTCTGCTTCCCTTTCCAAATAACCCCCCAGTGTGCCTCAGACAGTTCTGCCAATCAGAGACAGAGATAAGAAGCTGACTCCGAGTCCTCTTCCCAGAGCCTAAGCTTCAAAGGCAATTATTTATGGGAGCTCTTGGGTGTCTGTCAAACTCCAGTCTAGGGCTTGCAGTAGAACCACATGGAAGCTGCCACTGCAGCATGGAATGCACTCTGCAGAGCCAGGTGGGGTTGGGGTAGCTCTTACACATACCCTCTGCGCCATGTCAGTCACGTCATTCCCATCATTGACAAGGCATGGCCATTAAAAGGGTCATGTCCTTTGCTGAAACTGCTGTGTGTGAGTCTGTGGATGGGGGGGCTCTTGATCTCCTCGAGCTAAAGGGTCCACACTGCCACTCCCACCCCAGATCATCAGGACCAGGGCTACTCAATGTGTGTATCAGAGCCCATTTGCAAATTGCCTGTTACTGGTCCACAGCGAGGTCAGTGATGAAATTAAGGGTAAGCATTTTGAAACTTGTATAGTAATCTGACAGGGCAATCAAATGTGTTTATCCTAATAATAAAAAAGGGGCTTTGCATGCTTATATTTTTATTTCCCCACAAATATATTCTAAAGAATACATTTTTAACAAAAATACGTATTTTATTAAAATATTCTATAACACATAAACAGATATTTTATTTTAAAACTCATTCAACAACAAATTGTAAAAGAAAAATTCTTGTGGGCATTTAGTGCTATAAATTTCCCTCTACACACTGCTTTGAATGTGTCCCAGAGATTCTGGTATGTTGTGTCTTTGTTCTCGTTGGTTTCAAAGAACATCTTTATTTCTGCCTTTATTTCGTTATGTACCCAGTAGTCATTCTGGAGCAGGTTGTTCAGTTTCCATGTAGTTGAGCAGTTTTGAGTGAGTTTCTTAATCCTGAGTTCTAGTTTGATTGCACTGTGGTCTGAGAGACAGTTTGTTATAATTTCTGTTCTTTTACATTTGCTGAGGAGAGCTTTACTTCAAACAATGTGGTCAATTTTGGAATAGGTGTGGTGTGGTGCTGAAAAAAATGTATATTCTGTTGATTCGGGGTGGAGAGTTCTATAGATGTCTATTAGGTCCACTTGGTGCAGAGCTGAGTTCAATTCCTGGGTATCCTTGTTAACTTTCTGTCTCGTTGATCTATCTAATGTTGACAGTGGGGTGTTAAAGTCTCCCATTATTATTGTGTGGGAGTCTAAGTCTCTTTGTAGGTCACTCAGGACTTGCTTTATGAATCTGGGTGCTCCTGTATTGGGTGCATATATATTTAGGATAGTTAGCTCTTCTTGTTGAATTGGTCCCTTTACCATTATGTAATGGCCTTCTTTGTCTCTTTTGATCTTTGTTGGTTTAAAGTCTGTTTTATCAGAGACTAGGATTGCAACCCCTGCCTTTTTTTGTTTTCCTCCCTCAATAGATGCAGAAAAGGCCTTTGACAAAATTCAACAACCCTTCATGCTAAAAGCTCTCAATAAATTAGGTATTGATGGGACTTATCTCAAAATAATAAGAGCTACCTATGACAAACCCACAGCCAATATACTGAATGGGCAAAAACTGGAAGCATTCCCTTTGAAAACTGGCACAAGACAGGGATGCCCTCTCTCACCACTCCTATTCAACATAGTGTTGGAAATTCTGGCCAGGGCAATTAGGCAGGAGAAGGAAATAAAGGGTATTCAATCAGGAAAAGAAGAAGTCAAATTGTCCCTGTTTGCAGATGACATGATTGTATATCTAGAAAACCCCATTGTCTCAGCCCAAAATCTCCTTAAGCTGATAAGCAACTTCAGCAAAGTCTCAGGATACAAAATCGATGTACAAAAATCACAAGCATTCTTATACACCAATAACAGACAAACAGAGAGCCAAATCATGAGTGAACTCCCATTCACAATAGCTTCAAAGAGAATAAAATACCTAGGAATCCAACTTACAAGGGATGTGAAGGACCTCTTCAAGGAGAACTACAAACCACTGCTCAATGAAATAAAAGAGGATACAAAGAAATGGAAGAACATTCCATGCTCATGGGTAGGAATAATCAATATCGTGAAAATGGCCATACTGCCCAAGGTAATTTATAGATTCAATGCCATCCCCATCAAGCTACCAATGACTTTCTTCACAGAATTGGAAAAAACTACTTTAAAGTTCTATGGAACCAAAAAAGAGCCCGCATCACCAAGTCAATCCTAAGCCAGAAGAACAAAGCTGGAGGCATCATGCTACCTGACTTCAAACTATGCTACAAGGCTACAGTAACCAAAACAGCATGGCACTGGTACCAAAACAGAGATACAGATCAATGGAACAGAACAGAACAGAGTCCTCAGAAATAACACCGCATATCTACAACTATCTGATCTTTGACAAAACTGACAAAAACAAGAAATGGGGAAAGGATTCCCTATTTAATAAATGGTGCTGGGAAAACTGGCTAGCCATATGTAGAAAGCTGAAACTGGATCCCTTCCTTACACTTTATACAAAAATTAATTCAAGATGGATTAAAGACTTACATGTTAGACCTAAAACCATAAAAACCCTAGAAGAAAACCTAGGCAATACCATTCAGGACATAGGCATGGGCAAGGACTTCATGTCTAAAACACCAAAAACAATGGCAACAAAAGCCAAAATTGACAAATGGAATCTAATTAAACTAAAGAGATTCTGCACAGCAAAAGAAACTACCATCAGAGTGAACAGGCAACCTACAGAATGGGAGAAAATTTTTGCAATCTACTCATCTGACAAAGGGCTAATATCCAGAATCTACAATGAACTCAAACAAATTTACAAGAAAAAAACAAACAACCCCATCAAAAAGTGGGCAAAGGACATGAACAGACACTTCTCAAAAGAAGGCATTTATGCAGCCAAAAAACACATGAAAAAATGCTCTTCATCACAGGCCATCAGAGAAATGCAAATCAAAACCACAATGAGATACCATCTCACACCAGTTAGAATGGCAATCATTAAAAAGTCAGGAAACAACAGGTGCTGGAGAGGATGTGGAGAAATAGGAACACTTTTACACTGTTGGTGGGACTGTAAACTAGTTCAACCATTGTGAAAGTCAGTGTGGCTATTCCTCAGGGATCTAGAACTAGAAATACCATTTGACCCAGCCATCCCATTACTGGGTATATACCCAAAGGACTATAAATCATGCTGCTATAAAGACACATGCACACATATGTTTATTGTGGCACTATTCACAATAGCAAAGACTTGGAACCAACCCAAATGCCCAACAATGATAGACTGGATTAAGAAAATGTGGCACATATATACGATGGAATACTATGCAGCCATAAAAAATGATGAGTTCATGTCCTTTGTAGGGACATGGATGAAATTGGAAATCATCATTCTCAGTAAACTATCAGAAGGACAAAAAACCAAACACCACATATTCTCACTCATAGGTAGGAATTGAACAATGAGAACACATGGACACAGGAAGGGGAACATCACACTCTGGGGACTGTTGTGGGGTGGGGGGAGGGGGGAGGGATAGCTTTAGGAGATATACCTAATGCTAATTGATGAGTTAATGGGTGCAGCACACCAGCATGGCACATGTATACATATGTAACTAACCTGCACATTGTGCACATGTACCCTAAAACTTAAAGTATAATAGTAATAAAAAAAAAAGAAAAGAAAAACTCTGTCCCATCATCCAAGAGAGTTTGAGAAGCACAGATCTAGTTGCAATCCACTGCTCCAAGAATTGGCATCTAAGACACCAGGCTGTGGACTAGCTGTTTTTTTTCATAGGCATTCTGAGAAACAGCAAGAATAAGAGGCAGGGAGAGAGAGAAAGAGAGAGACAGTAGAAGAGGGAAAGGAGAAAGAGCGAGGCAGGCTGATGGACAGAGAAAAAGTACCTCCTTCCGGTATAGCCTCTTTCACCTGAAACTGGAAATTCCACATTCCAATACAGTGATACTAAATCTAATCCTTTCTGACACCCTTTCCTAAGATTATGGTTATGGAGCAAGTCAAAATGAAGGGAGTACACTGACAACACATCCTCTCTGGGTGGCTGCCCACCTAGAATGACCCAGAGCAGAGAACAACCATGCCCAACACTGAAAACACATCCTCATGGACAGCCACTCTCCTAGCACAGCCTGGCTGCTCCAGCACCCTCTCTCCTCCATGCTTCTAGTCTAGATGTTCTTGCTTCTTTAAGAATTTAAAAAGAGACCATAATCCAAACCTCTGCTATAATTCCCACTGAGCAAAACCTCCTGCAGAAATTTTTCAGCTCAGGCAGCATACCCAGTGATTAAGAACAAAGGCATCACAGTCAAACATACTTGAGTTTGAGTTCTGGCTCCTGCTCTCCCTGCCTAGGTGACTTTGGGCACACCACTGACTTCATTAAAGCTTCAGTGTCTGCATCTATAAAATAGAGATAACAATGCCTAATATTTACTGAGTGTTATACCATATGCTTGATATTGGCTACCTGCTTTATCTGGAAAATCTCAAATAAATAATTTTATGAGATAGATACATCTATCCCCATTTTTCAGGTGAGGAAACCGAGGCTTTGAGAGGGTAATAACTTGCCAAGTTTACACAGTGAGTAAAAATCAGGACTCATTATTATGCACTCTGCTTCCCAGTGCTGTTTAATTAATATAAGATACCACCATACTATCTAATTCATAGGATGGCTGTGAAGATAAGATAATGCATTTATCACAATGCTTTGCTAGATAGTCGTTGCTATTGCTTTTGACATTCTTTTCCTAGGGCTATCTTGGGGCCTCTGAAAGTCCCTCAGCTTCAAGGCTACAACCTAGGGCAGCAAAAACTTGGCAGGCTCCAGAAGGAACTGAGCCAGGGCTTTCTTGGCAAGTGGCCCAGCCTGCACACCCTTCAATAGTCCAGGGTCTCCTATAAATATGCCAACACCAAATCACAGGCTCAGAAGCAAATCTCAATAGTTACTCAATTTCAGGCTCGAAAGCACTTTTCATCTTGCACTTTTAACATCAGCTAAAAAGTTCTCCCAGGTTCCCTGCTTCTGGATCCTTCCATTGAATCTTTTTAAATGCTGAGCCCCTCTCCGCAGAATATCGTTAAATGTCAACTATGAAAAGAGGGGAGTAGAGCCAAAGGGTAGGGAAGAAATCTGGGGAGATTGCCTGACTCTCGTAAGTATTTATTCCCACTTGGTGAGTCAGTGTTTGAGCCAGAACTCTCCCCTGGGCTTCCCAAGGAGGATTTTCGATGCTAGGTGATGGGAAGGCTGAATGCCAACTTCTTCCCAGCCATGCCCTTGAAAACCCTTGGAAACCTCAGACCTTGCTAATAGGTTCAGGGCTGACTCTATGTTGAGCAAGGTGACCTTGTTGTCTCTAATCCATACACTATACAGCAGAGTAAGTATTATTATTCTCACTTTAGAGATAAAGAAACTGAGGCTAGAGGTGTTAAGTCACTGGCCTAGGGCCATACGGCCAATGAGCCAGAACTTGAGCCAGGTCTATTTAGCACTGGTGTCTGAGCTGTTTCTCTCCAAAGGCCCTGCGATTTCTCCCACTGGGACAGGACCCTAGACCTCTAATAGGACTGAGATGCCTTTCCTCCAACCTCTTTCCTGGTCACCTGGACCAGCATATCATCATATGGTCCTCATGAATTCTAACCTCTGCACACCACCCTATCTGAGTGGAAGTGGGCTCCTTTCATGATTTCCTTTTTTTTTTTTTTTTTTTTTTTTTTTTTTTTTTTTTTTTTTTTGAGATGGAGTCTTGCTCTGTTGCCCAGGCTGGAGTGCAATGGTGCAATCTGAGCTCACCGCAACCTCCGCCTCCCAGGTTCAAGCAATTCTCCTGCTTCAGCCTCCCGAGTAGCTGGGATTACAGGCGCCCAACACCATGCTCAGCTAATTTTTGTATTTTTCAGTAGAGACAGGGTTTCACCATGTTGGTCAGGCTGGTCTCGAACTCCTGATGTCAGGTGTTCCACCTGCCTCAGCACTTGGCCACAATTTCCTCTTTCAATTTCATTTATTTTATTTCTAAGGTGGTTATATGGAGAGGAAAAGATAATCTCATTCACTAGGCTGATGCAGGGTGATTGGAGCCCTTGTTTATGAGGTTTTTAGCAGTTTCCCAATTTATCAAAGGGACTCATGTCAAAACCTGTTGGAGGTACCCTCAGTATAGCTTCGTTCTAGGTTTACAGGACTTGAGAGACATTGAGTGGGAAAGGGTCATATCCCTCATCCCTCAGGGGTCAGTGAAAGGAACATGGCGATGAGATGAGACACAGTCAGTCTAAGTCTCCAGGTAATTGTTTTCCATGTCAATGACGGCACAGTGACTCATGGTGCCACCTGCATCAGAATCTCCTTGAGGGCTTGCTAAAGCAGACTGTGGGGCCACGGCCCATCTCTAAATCACAATGCAATCTGCAACAGAGTTCAGGAAAAGTCCTAGGCTCCAGGCGATTCTGATTGGGCAAGTTGCCCAACCTCTTGTGCTTCAGTTATCTTATATTGTAAATTAAGAATAATAATAGTACCTAGCTCCTAAGATGCTGAAAAGAGAGAGAGAAAGTGCTTATCTGTGGGAGCAAAAGTGTTCTAAGCATCTCTGCTTCAGAGCCCTCCAATCCAAAGTTTCACTATAGTCCCTAGATGTAGTAAGTATTTAAGTGACTTGGTTTGCTACTGCAAGCTGGGAAAATGGTAAAAACTAACTGATGATGTCATTACAGCTGAAGAAGACAGAGTAGAGGGTCAAAGTCTTTCTAACTCTAAGCAATCAATCAACAAATATGTAGTGAGCATCCAGTGCGAGCCCAACATCACGGAACCACCAAAGTTCTTACCTATAGCAACTTAATTCAGAGTTGAGGAGATGAGAAAAAAAAACACACACAAGGTTAAATAAGAATTAACTAGAGAACAAGAAAATCATTAAAAGATGTCCCATGTTCATTTATTCGTTCGGCATATATATTCATTAATTTCCTATTGTGTGCCATGCACTTTACTAGAAACTGAAGATACAAGGTTGAATAAATGGTCTCTCCCTCAAGATATTTAAAGTCTAGAGAAAGAGACAGATGAGCAAATCGATGTTCATGATTAATTTACTTTCTTCTGGCTATGAGTATTGACAAAGGATAAGTTTCAGAGTATTTGAAATACTTCATTCAGGGCCTAAGAGATCAGCTCTAACACTTTAAGCAGGAAGGCATTCAAGGTCTGGTTCCTGGTCTCAGAGAATTTAGAGCTCCAGATTCAAAGTCTAGAGATGAATATACTAAGTGGATCACTATCAAAGTAGTAACAGCAGACAGTTTTGAAATCTTATCTAAAGGTAGCTGTGAAGTCTGAAAACACAAGTAAATCTGCTCTAAATTGTTTACCACAATCCATGGGAGGGGGAAATAGGTAAAAGACCCAACCCACCTTTAATAACCCATTCAATAAAGCAGGAAGGTAGAGATGAGAGAATCAAATCACGTCCCCGCTTTCTGCAAAGCTCATTGTCTTGGTTCCTTGACGGGAGGAATAGCACCTGTTTATTCACTGCTATAGAGCCAGCACCTAGCAGACTACCTGGATCTGCTGCCATGGTCGCTGGTGTCTAATCAATAATTGTTGAATTAATCAATGAAAGAATTGATGATACAGTTGTTCAGACCAGAGAGTACAAAGTACTCCGTATGTGGCCAACCATCAGACCAGTGAATTTTTAGCAGACAGCTCTTTTTAGAGAGCTGTCTTCTCTGAGCTCTAGACTTGTGTATCCAACTGTCTATTTGTCAACTCCTCTTAGCTGCTGCAAAGTCTCCTCAAACTCAGAAAGGACGGACTCATGATCACTCCTTGCACATGCTTTCCTAGGTCTGCACATCTCCATGAATGCCACCAACTCGGCCCAGTGACAGAAGCCAGAAACCAAGGGCACATGACTTCACAGCCCTCTCCCCATTCCTTCTCACTCTTCCATCCCTTGGTGCTATCTATTCACTTCCTAAAATTCCCTTAAATCCAGCCCCTGCCATTGTTCTAATCCCTACTAGTATCTTTCTCCTGGGCTAATTCCATTGCATCCCACTCATCTATCTTCATCCTCTCTCCCTAGTATCTCTCTACCTTGTCTTTGCCTCTACCTGCATCACTCCTTATTTCCATCTTTACATTGCTAACACTTTCTCATCCATCAGATCGCAGAGAAACCTGCCCTCGTCTTCTTGACTAGGGCAAGGCTGTCTGCCATGAGCTCTAGCTAACTTCACTTTCATGACATTAGTCATAGCTGCAGTTTTACAGTCACCCATATAGTGGCCCATGGCTGGCTTCCTAACCCAGAATGGCCAACTACATCCATGCATCTGGTAGCAAGGAGGATGGTAGAAGGAATAGTTAGGAATTCAGTTTAAGTAAAAGTGTTTGGGGCAGGAAAGGGAAAGAAAACAATCATTTTGTGCTGCAAAAGTTTTCAGGGTTAGGAAAGGAGTGAGCCCCAGACCCCTGGTTTGCTTGACTCATGGGAGGTGCCTTGACTCAGAAGCTGCCAGCACCCAGTTAAGTACCATCAGTGAGCAAAGCAGGTGCAGGGGAAATGAGAGGGGCACCCCAGAAAGCTCGTGCCTGCCTGAAAGTCAGCTCCAGCTGACTGCTGCCTTGTGGGAACATCAGTCCCGTGTGGTCAGGTCTGGATTTATTTTTTCAGAAGTCTGAAATCAAAATTCTTGGTTATGTCTCCTGCATTTTAAATGCTGGCAAATAATTCAAAATTTAAAAAAAAAAACAATGTGATAGTCAAATAAAACATATCTGTGGTTCCAGTTTCCATATGCAGACTTCGGTTTGCCATCTCTACATTAAGTTATTTCTCTATTTTCCCTACCCCAGCTCTACACAGCCCTATAGTTAATTCCTCTTCTGCCCCTCCGAGTACTTCACATAAACCAGACCCGCTCTGGCTGCTGGTTTGCAGTGCGTTAAGCTCCTTAACTCGTTTCTCAGTGGATTCATCCCAACTTGTCCCTCCCTTCCCAGCCCCCTCTGCTGAAAATTTCATGCTAGATTCCTTACCAGGTTATAAAGATCTCTTAGGCCTAGTCATCACTTATCCACAAATGTCTTTTTCTTTAAAACAACTTTTTAAAAGAGCCTTAGCAGTGGGTTCTCTGAAGGGCCAGAGCCTATCCTGCATCTCCACTCTGCCCCCACCTCCTCCATCCTCATCTTTCTCTACCCTCAGTCCTCTTCTGAGCACTCTCTAAACCCAGAAACCCAGGTCGCTGAGGAACACAGTTTGAAAACTGCTGTACCATTCATCCACCTAAAGACTAGCACTTGAAAATAGCTGTCACAGATCATACCAGTGGGCCAGGTGTGGTGGCTCATACCTGTAATCCCCTCACACCTGTAATCCAGGCCAAAGCAGGAGGATTGCTTGATGCTAGAAGTTTGAGACCAGCCTACGCGATGTAATGACACTCTGTCTCTCCAAAAAAAAAAAAAAAATCCCTCAGTTGTAGCAGTGGGCACCTGTAGTCCCAGCTACTTGAGAGACTGAGGCAGGAGGATTGCTTGAGCCCAGGAGTTTGAGGTTGCAGTGAGCCACAATTGTACCACTGCACTCTAGCTTGGGAGGCGGAGCAAGACCATCTCTAAAAAATAACAAAATAAAATTAAATTAAAATTTTGAAAAATTTAAAAGGCCAGGCCACTAGAAACAAGAGTCCTTACGGCATGAAATCAGATTTCTTCAAATACCACCAGGCAGCCCATCCTGTAAGTCCAACAGGAGGGATGCTACCGCTTAGAATAGAGGTGAGTAGAGCCCCAAATGGGAGTCTTGGCCGGACACAGATGGTGCCCACTCATGGAGATGGGAGTTACCAGCAAGAGAGAAAAGGGAGAGGCTCTACCCTGCCTGGTATCTGGATGTCAATCCCTACAGGTGTTAAATTGTCCCTTCCACGCAGCCTAAGCCCTCCTTTTTCCTCCTCTACTCCTCATCTCTGAGGACGGCCCCACTTGATCACCATGTCGGACATGTGACACACCACACTGAAACAGTCAATCCCCAAGTCTATGGTTTTCATTGCTTGGTTTCCTTCAAATCCATCTCCTTTCCTCCATCCCCACCGACAACCTTAGCCCAAGTGTGTCCCATGCCACAGCCACACAGGACTGCTGGTGTTTCCTCAGAGCATGTGCAAGCTCCCTTTCACTTCATGTCATCACAGATGCTATTGCAACTGCCTCCAGAGTCCCCTTCCTCCTCTCTTCATCAGCTTGATAACTCTTCCTGGTCCTTCGAGTTTAGCTAAAGGGTCTGATTCTGCAGAAAGTCTTTCCTAACTTCCCATACTAACTCTTCTTTTACCCTGCTTCCTTCACTACCCTCTTGGATATTGTTATCAGATTCCTTATCCCATGATCCTGCAATATCCTCTGTCTCTGTGCATCTTCTGCACTATACTGTGAGTAACTCTAAGGCAGGGACCATTCCTCTGACTCAAACTGGAAGCCCAGTGCCTAGCATAGAGGAGGTACTTGCTGTAAGTGTGTTGAATGACTGAAGTGTTCTAACCTTCGCTTGCCCTGAGGGTCGGCAGATTTCAAACAATCCCTTCCTCAGCACACACGGCTTATTTTTAGCATTAGTGGTTTATCTCCCAGCGAAATTTGGTGCCAGCTGTGGTCACCTGTTTGATTGCTCTCTGAGCTCTGCCTTTAACTAGAAATTAATTTGGATTACTTAAGCTTTCCTTGCCCAGCGGAGAAACACCGGCTGGGTAAATCCAAAGCTGCTGGCAATTTTTCCTTTTCTGTTTAATCTCCTTCTCTCATGCACTAACTCTAATTTTGTGCTTTCTGGCTTTCTCCCCGCTCAGTGCCCATTTTTAATCTGCCACATCTGATCCTTCCCAGATGTTAACTCACCTCAGATCTTTCACCTTCTCATCTGTTCATTCACTTCAGGGAAACTGAGGCTAGCCTTGCCAAGGGACCCAGCCACATCACTCAGGAAGTCTGGGGCAGCTCTGACAATGGGAACCAGAAATAAGAAATCCTAAACCCCAGTCTGTTGCCCTCTCAGCCAGATGTTTAGGAGAGTCAGGAATTTTAAAGGCCAACTCTTTGCCCAGAAGTTCTGACCATCGGCAATGCAGGCACGGAACATGGCAGGGCAGATGGGAATGGGCACAGAACATGGCCCCTACCAAACTCTCTTTTTGGCAAGACTATGTCCATTCCTACCTGGGGTCCCCTACTAGCCTCTGCCTGATCAGGGACTGCTTTCACTCTCCAGCTGGCCAGAGAAGACTGTGTTGTGCCAAGCTGTCTGAGAGCCAAAACAGAATTCATTCTAGTCATGAATGCCTACTTCTCTCCCACCTCCCCACCACATCAGCCTTCTGTCCTGCTGTCTTGGCAACAGACTGTCCACACCCTACACTGTCTCCAAAACAAGACTGGCTAGTCTCTATTGAGAAAGGGAGGGCTGGAGTGGGGACACCTATTGATCCCACAGACAACTGAGAGCTGGAACTTTAAGAAAACCAGAGACAAAATGTCTGGTGAGTTCTCAGGGCACTGGACAGGGCAGCTGGGCCTTTATGAGGAACCACTGATTTCTCTAAAGACAGCGTTAAGATAGTTAATTAAATATCAGCAATTTTCTTATCATTGTGAACCTGAATCTGCTATATTTTAAATTTCTACCCGTTGGCTTTAATTTGGTAGAATGTTAACCCATCTTAATTTGGATGCTATAATCCCTAAGTGCATCTAAGAAAGCATTTTTAAAAAATCATCTACTTCAGACGGTTGACTTATCTTGGACTTTTGTGGAGCTGTGCTTGCCTTATCTGTGCACCATATATGTCTTCAAATCTGGATAGAAACTGTCTCCTTCTTGATTTGTATTCTTTGTTCTAACCTCTTGAAATTTTTTAAATAACTGTTTTTTGTTTTTGTTTTTGTTTGAGAAAGTCTCATTCCATCACCCAGGCTGGAGCGCAGTGGTGCAATCTCAGCTCACTGCAACTTCCACCCACCAGGTTCAAGCGATTCTTGAGCCTTAGCCTCCTGAGTAGCTGGAATTACAGGTGCGCCACCACAACTGACTAATTTTTGTATTTTTTGTAGAGATGGGGTTTCACCATGTTGGCCAGGCTGATCTCGAACTCCTGACCTCAAGTGATCTGCCCACCTTGGCCTCCCAAAGTACTAGGATTACGGGCGTGAGCCACCATGCCAGCCCTTTTTTTTTTTTTAAATAATGAAAGCAATATGTGTTCACTATAGAAATTTGGGGCTGAATGCGGTGGCTCACACCCATAATCCCAACACTTTGGCAGGCCGAGGCAGGAGGATTGCTTGAGCCCAGGAATTTGAGACTAGCTTAGATACCAAAGCAAGACCCTGCCTCTACCAAAAAAAAAAACAAAAATTTAAAAACTAGCCAGGCATGGTGGTACATGCGTGTAGTCTCAGCTGAGAGGGATGGGGCAGGGGGAATCACTTGACCCCAGGAGTTCAAGGCTGAAGTGAGCTATGATCAAACCACTGCACTCCAGCCTAAGGGACCAAGTGAGAGTCTGTCAAAGAAAGAAAGAGAGAGGGAGGAAGGGAGGGAAGGGGAGGGAAGGGAAAATGGAGTAAAAAGGGTCTCTCATTGCTGCCTGATATGAGAGTCTCCACGGTTGTGTACAAACCCAACTATAAGGTAAGGTTCTAATTAATCCCCACCCCAACTTCCAAAGCTTCAAGGATACCAGATAAACCCCTCCAGCAAACTATGCCAGAAGGAGTAAAAGCTAAGTGATAAAAATGCTACCATAAATCTTCTTAAAGTGCCCTTCTGCCATGGGCTCCCCATATTCCTGCTCCCCATCCCTTTTCTAGCTCCTGCATTTAACTCTTCTGGAATTTTTTTTTAAGGTATTTCTACTGACCTAGTAGATAAGTGGACCCAGATGGGGATAAAAATTGGTGGCCTTGATTTGGCAATACCTATCAAATGTTTAAAACCTTCATATCTTTTGACTCCAAATCAATACTCTCAGGAATTTGCCCAAAAGAAGTAATCAACCATGAATATGAATATGTACCTGCCAGTATTATTTAAAATAATTTAAAAATTTAAAACAACTTAAATATGTATAAATGTTGATCTTAAGTAAAGTATGCTCTGCCAATACATTGAATTGAAAGTAATGTAGAAGATATACAAGAAAAGATTAATATAATTTACTGTATAAAAATACAAAAAAAAAATTATGGCAAAAAATAGCATTTACAAAATCAAGACAAATGAGTAAAATATTTGCAACATATATGACAGGCAAACTAATTTATTTGATATAAAAAGAGCTCTTTAAAATCAATAAGAAAAAATCTAATAAGTATTGGCCAATAACCAAGATGCTCAATCTTACACAATTAAAGAAATGTAAACTATGTTAGTAGCTACATTCCATTTTTCATCTATAATAAAGGCAAATTAGTATCCAATTATGACCAGAATTTAGAGAAAAATTTGTTCTCTTCATTTTTTGGTAGAAATATAATTTGATGCACTCTCTTTAAAAGATAAGTTGATAATCTACCAAAATGTGAAATTCTTAAATATTTCTACTATAGGAATGTATCCTCGTACACATATTTACACAGGTGGATTAAAATATATACATAGGATATTTACAGCAGTGTTGTTTATAATATCAAAAACCTGGAACAAAATAACTTAAATAAATTATGGCACACCCACACAATGGAATACTATGCTGTTATTAGGCAGAATGAGCTATCTGTATATATACTGATAGAGAAGGCATCATTCAACATATATGAATACATATGATTGATAAATAAAAGACAAAGTTAAAGAATATTTAAGTGTAAATAATTGCATCTGCAATACACACACACACACACACACATCTTTTTCCACATAAGCATAGAAAACTTCTTAGAGGATATGAAAGAAATATGAATAGTGGTGACTTCCAAAGAATACAACTTAAGGGTAAGGGAGATTTTATACTTTATTTCACACCATTCTGAACTATTTGATTTTTTTCTTTCAATACAATTTTTAAAAACACTAGCATGAACCATTCATTGAGCCATTATTAATCACTGACTGTTCCAGGAATTGCTTAGATGCTGAGGTCATAGTGGTGAGCAGGAAGACACTATCTTTTCTCAAGCGGTAAATAATAACATGAAATGAAAAGACTCTTACGATAGAGGGAAGGAGACTATGGTCACAGGGAGAACTGTCTGACCTTAAAAGCTTCAGGCAGAAAGAGGCTTAGCTATTTTTTTTTTTTTTTTTTTTTGAGATGAAGTCTTGCTCTGTTGCCCAGGCTGGAGGGCAGTGGCACTATCTCAGCTCACTGCAACTTCCACCTCCTGGGTTCATGCGATTCTCCTGCCTCAGCCTCCCGAGTAGCTGGGACTACACAGGTGCACACCACCATGCCCAGCTAAATTTTGTATTTTTTATTTTTAATAGAGACAGGGTTTCACCATATTGGCCAGACTGGTCTTGAACTCCTGACCTTGTGATCTGCCCACCTTGGCCGAGGTTTAACTTTTATAAGGAGGAGTAAACAAGAACGGGTATGATGGCGTTATCAGACAGTTGAAGAAAGACTTTTTCTTTGTTGTTGCCCTATTTTCAGGAGGGATCCTGAAGTGGGGCTATTTCTCTGGGTCAAGGTTCAGTGGCCTGTGGGGAGAGGAGAAACGTAACTAAAGTTTGACCAAGACAAGTTAGCGGGTATTTTGTTCAGATTTATCTGTAGGAATCAATAGTCCAGCTGTTCATGTTGAGACCAGGGTCTGTGTCTGGGCCGTTCATAGGTAAGTGAGGGGGTTATCCATGAATCTTGGATACATGGATACTTGGATCTTGATTACACCACTGCACTCCAGCCTGGGCAATAGAGTAAGACTCCATCAGGAAAGAAAGAAGAGAAAGAAAAGAAAAGGAAGAAAGGAAGAAAGACAGAAGGAAAGACAGAAATAAAGGAGGGAGGGAGGGAAAGGAAGGAAAGAAAGGAACCGATTAGAATCCCCAAAAGCCCTAGCAACAGAGCCAGTCTACTCCTGCTACATGCCAATGCTTTCTCACAGTTCTTCCTCAAGTGCCAAGGGGCAATAGGCCAAAGTCTAAAGGCAAGGCAGGAGAACTGAGAAACATTGGGAATGTTTGTTCTTTTCAGTAAGCCATTTCCAGAACACAAAGGGAAGAGGGGACTTAGCCATTGCTGTTTCCAAGGAGGATGGGGCTCAGGAAGAATTTAACACTGTCAAGGACAATTACAGCCCTCAAAGAGCTTTAATTGGGGGAGGGGAGATTTATGAATTAAACCATCAAATAATAGAATCAATAATAAATAAAAGTTAAATAACTGCTTTAAGATGCTTTCACAGTGACTCCTGGGCCCAGAGGAGGCTGTATCAAGTCCACATTTAGCTCTGTGGTTTTGCAGTTTCAAAAATACATCTGTATCTGTCCAGGACCAGAGATCACTGTAATAGAACAGATGGCACTGAAATGGACCTGATTATGTACAAAGATGTAGGATTCATTACAGCTCAATGAGGGAAGGAAAGGATTACCCAATAAATGGTGTTAGGACAATTAACTACCAATTTGAAGAAACAGTAATTTCAAAATCTCACTTCATGTACGCACTGAAATAAATTCCAGTTGGGTGGAAGTTAAATGTTTTCTTTCGAAACATCAAAATCTCAGAAAGAAATAGAATTGGATAGTCTCCCAACCTTTAGAGGAAAAAGAACTTTAGGCCGGGCACAGTGGCTCATGCCTGTAATCCCAGCACTCTGGGAGGCCGAGATGGGCGGATCACTTGATGTCAAGAGTTTGAGACCAGCCTGGACAACATGGTGTAAACCCGTCTCCACCAAAAAACACAAAAATTAGTCGGGCATGTGGCGCCAGCCTGTAGTCCCAGCTACTCAGGAGGCTGAGGCAGGAGAATCACTTGAACCCGGGAGACAGAGGTTGCGGTGAGCCAAGATCATACCACTGTACTCCAGCCTGGGAGACAGAGGAAGACTCCATCTCAAAAAAAAAAAAAAAAAAAAGGAACTTTACAAGTTTAGAAAAAATGCAAGGCATAAAAAGAAAGAGTAAATTCTATAGGTTTGACTACAAAAAAAGTAAAATACAGAACCAAACAGCAAATAAAAAAAGTTTCTGCAAACATAACAAATAGGCACTATGTTTAATATTTAACATCTAATATATATTGCTCAGAAAAAAAGTTAGGACTCTAAAATATCAATGGGCAAAATATACCTACAAAAGAAGTGCTGTAACTAGCAAAAAAAGATTTGCGACGTTTGGTTCCCAGAGAATAAGAATGTAAATTAAAACACCAAGGTATCATTTTCCTCCATTATTAGGTTGGTGCAAAAGTAATTGCAGTTTTGCCATTACTTTTAAATGGCAAAACTGCAATTACTTTTGCACCAACCTAATACATTGCCATAAACTTAAAAATAACACCTCTGGGGCTTCTGTTTCTGCTTAGGATGTAGAAAGCCACAGGTAAAGGCCGGGCATGGTGGCTCATGTCTGTAACCCCAGCACTATGGGAGGCTGAGGCAGGTGGATCACTGGAGGTCAGGAGTTCAAGACCAGCCTGGCCAACATGGTGAAACCCTATCTCTACTAAAAATACAAAATTAGCTGGGCATGGTGGCACGCACCTGTAGTCCCAGCTACTGGGGAGGCTGAGGCAGGGTAATCACTTGAATCCAGGAGGCAGAAGTTGCAGTGAGTCAAGATTACACCACTGCACTCCAGCCTGGGCAATAGAGCAAGACTCCATCAGGAAAGAAAGAAGAGAAAGAAAAGAAAAGGAAGAAAGACAGAAAGACAGAAGGAAAGACAGAAGTAAAGGAGGGAGGGAGGGAAAGGAAGGAAGGAAAGGAACCGATTAGAATCCCCAAAAGCCCTAGCAACAGAGCCAGTCTACTCCTGCTACATGCCAATGCTTTCTCACAGTTCTTCCTCAAGTGCAAAGGGGCAATAGGCCAAAGTCTAAAGGCAAGGCAGGAGAACTGAGAAAATCATCTTGGGGTACAGAGGACCTTCCCCAAGTGAGAGACAGTGGTTTGCCAAAGGCTGGGTACAGGAAAGGAGAGCTGAGAAAAATCCCTTAAGGGACATAAGTGCAGCACAGTGGCCTTCCTAAGACTGAAACCAGGGCCCAAGGGTGGAGAGAGGTCTCCCAAGTTGCAAAAACCCAGGAGCAGGACCCCAAACCCAAGCTGGCAGTTGTCTGCAAAGCGGAAAGAAAGAAAACCCTCCCATGGTTCAGAAAGCCGGCAACAGGGCTACAAAGTATCAAAAGGATTTTTGTTTTGTTTTTTTAAGTCTCACTAATGCTCAGATCCCAAGACCTGATGAAAGGATAGTCCTGATACCATTCTCAAAACATTCGAAGCCAGTGGTGAATTGGATCAAACTGGATCAAACCTTGCTCAAATATAACCTTTCATTGACTCAGATTCTTTTTTTTTTTTTTTTTTTTTTTTTGAGACTGTCTTGCTCTGTCACCCAGGCTTGAGTGCAATGGTGGGATCTCAGCTCACTGCAGCCTCTGCCTTCCAGGTAGCTGGGATTACAGGCACATGCCACCATGCCCAGCTAATTTTTGTATTTTCAGTAGAGACGGGGTTTCACCATGTTGGCCAGGCTGGTCTTGAACTCATGGCCTCAGGTGATCTGCTTGCCTCGGCCTCCAAAGTGGTAGGATTACAGATATGAGCCACAACACCTGGCATCAGTCTTTTATGCTAATAGTATGATCAAAGGGACATAACTGTTTTTGTTTGTTTGTTTGTTTGTTTGTTTGTTTGTTTTTGAGGTGGAGTCTAACTCTGTCACCCAGGCTGGAATGCAGTGGTGCGATTTCATCTCACTGCAACCCTGCAACCTCCACCTCCCAGGTTCAAGCAATTCTCTCATCTCAGCCTCCTGAGTAGCTGAGACTACAGGCATGTGCCACCACACTCAGCTAATTTTTTGTATTTTTAGTAGAGGCAGGGTTTCCTCATGTTGGACAGGCTGGTCTCTAACTTCTGACCTCAGGTGATCCACCCACCTCAGCCTCCCAAAGTGCTGGCATTACAGGCATGAGCCACCACTCCTGGCCAACATAACCTTTTCTGTGGGCAAACATTATTTACTTCAGACACTACTGTACTTTTACACACATTGCCCAACATAAAGAATTAAAACATCATAAGATAGCAAGAAAAAATGTGGCACATGGTCAAGAGAGGAACAGTAAATAGAGACCCAGATGTTAGCTTTATCTAGACAGCAACTATATGATAAATAGAATACATTAAATATATCAAAGAATTCACTTATATGAAGAATCTAAAAAAGTCAAACTCATATTAATATAGTAGAATGGTGGTGACCAGAGGCTGTGGTGGAAGTTGGTGAGAGTTAGGGGGATTTAAGGTGATGTTAGTCAAAAGACACAAAATTCTAGTGAGGCAGGAGGAATAAGTTTGAGATCTATTGTACAAGATGGTAACTATAGTTAATAACAGTGTACTGTATTTTTGAAAATTGTTAAGAAAGTAGATTTTAAGTGTTTTCACCGTAAGATAGGGTACGCACATGAAATAATCCATATGTTAATTAGCTTCATTTAGCCATTTCACAAATGTATACATATTTCAAAACATCATATTGTACACCATATGTATGTGTGTGTATATATACACACCATTTTTAGTTGTCCATTTTTATTTTTAAAATTTTTTTTATTTCCACAGGTTTTTTGGACACAGGTGGTATTTGGTTACATGAGTAAGTTCTCTAGTGGTGATTTGTGAAATTTTGGTGCACCCATCACCTGAGCAGTATACACTGAACCCAATTTGTAGCCTTTTATCCCTCACTCCCTTCCTACCATTTCCCTCTGAGTCCCCAAAGTCCACTATGTACGCCTTTGCATCCTCATAGCTTAGCTCCCACTTATGAGTGAGAAAATATAATGTTTGGTTTTCCATTCCTAAGTTATTTCACTTAGAATAATAGTCTCCAATCCCATCCAGGTTGCTGCAAATGCCATTAATTCATTCCTTTTTATGGCTGAGTAGTATTCCATAGTATATACATAGCACACTTTCTTTATCCACTCAATGTTTGATGGGCATTTGGGTTGGTTCCACATTTTTGCAATTGCAAATTTTGCTGCTATAAACATGCATGTGCAAGCATCTTTTTGTATAATGACTTCTTTTCCTCTGGGTAGATACCCAGTAGTGGGATTGCTGGATAAATGGTAGTTCTGCTTTTAGTTCTTTAAGGGATATCCGCACTGTTTTCCATAGTGGTTGTACTAGTTTACATTCCCACCAGCAGTGTAGAAATGTTCCCTTTTCACTGCATCCACACCAACATCTATTTTTTTTTTTTTTGTATTATGGCCATTCTTGTAGGAGTAAGGTGGTATCACATTGTGGTTTTGATTTGCATTTCCTTGATCATTAGTGATGTCGAGCATTTTTTCACATGTTTTTTGGCCATTTGCATATCTTCTAACAAAAAAGAAAACTACAGACTAATATCCCTGATGAACATAGATGCAAAAATCCTTAACAAAATACTAGCTAACCGAATCCAACAACATATCAAAAAGATAATCCACCATAATCAAGTGGGTTTCATAGCAGAGATGCAGGGATGGTTTAACGTATGCAAGTCAACAAACGTGATACACCACATAAACACAATTAAAAGTAAAAATCACATGATCATCTCAATAGATGCAGAAAAAGCATTTGACAAAATCCAGCATCGCTTTATGGTTAAAACCCTCAGCAAAATCAGCATACAAGGGACATAAGGTAATAAAAGCCATCTATGACAAACCCACAGCCAACATAATACTGAATGGGAAAAAGTTGAAAGCATTCCGTCTGAGAACTGGAACAAGACAAGGATGCCCACTCTCACCACTTCTATTCAACATAGTACTGGGAATGCTAGCCAGAGCAATCAGACAAGAATAAGAAAAGAGGAAGTCAAATTGTTGCTGTTTGCTGATGATATAATTGTACAACCAGAAAACCCTAAAGACTCCTCCAAAAAGCTCCCAGAACTGACAAATGAATTCAGCAAAGCTTCAGGATACAAAATTAATGTACACAAATCAGCAGCTCTGCTATACACCAACAGTGACCAAGCTGAGAATCGAATCAAGAACTCAAGCACTTTTACAATAGCTGCAAATAAAATAAAATACTTAGGAGTATACCTAACCAAAAAGGTGAAAGACTTCTACAAGGAAAATTACAAAACACTGCTGAAAGAAATCATAGTTGACACAAACAAATAGAAACACATCTCATGGTCATGGATGGGTGGAATCAATATTGTGAAAATGGCCATACTGCCAAGAGCAATCTACAAATTCAATGCAATTCCCATCAAAATATCATCATTCTTCACAGAACTAGGAAAAACAATCCTAAAATTCATATGGAACCAAAAAAGAGCCCACATAGCCAAAGGGGCAAGACTAAGCAAAAACAACAAATCTGGAGGCATCACATTACCTGATTTCAAACTATACTATGAGGCCATTGTCACCAAAACAGCATGGTACTGGTATAAAAATAGGCACATACACCAATGTAACAGAATAGAGAACTCAGAAATAAACCCAAGTGCTTACAGCCAACTGATCTTCCACAAAGCAAACAAAAACATAAAGTGGGGAAAGGACACCCTATTCAACAACTGGTGCTGGGATAATTGTCTAGCTACATGTAGGAGAATGAAACTGGATCCTCATCTCTCACCTTATGTAAAAATCAACTCAAGATGGATCAAGGACTTAAGTCTAAGACCTGACACTATAAAAATTCTAGAAGATAACATCTGAAAAACCCTTCTAGACGTTGGCTTAGGCAAGGATTTCATGACCAAGAACCCAGAAGCAAATGCAATAAAAACAAAGATAAGTGGGACTTAATTAAACTAAAGAGTTTTTGCATGGCAAAAGGAACAGTCAACAGAGTAAACAGACAACCCACAGAGTGAGAGAAAATCTTCACAATCTACACATCTGACAAAGGACTAATATCCAGAATCTACAACAAATTCAGAACAAATTAGCAAGAAAAAAACAAACAATCTCATCAAAAATTGGGTAAGGACATGAATAGACAATTCTCAAAAGAAGATAATTGTCCATTTTTTAAATGCATAAGAGTCTGGGGAAAAGACGTACAATATGTGTGGAAAATGGGGAGTTTTAACAGAGATGGAAACTATTTAAAACATTAAATGGCCATGTTATTAATTTTTTAAAAAACATTAATTGTTTAAAACAATTATAACAATGAATTATAGAGTTTGGAGCATATGTAGCAATAAAATATATGACAACAGGAGCATAGAGGAGGGGAGTGAGATAAATATAATGATACTATTGTAGTGTTCTTACCTTGTTCGTGAAGTAGTTATTATTTTAAAACACGTTGCTAAACAAATGATTCACAGAATCATCTATAGAGAAATTTCATAACAAAAATAGGTATAGTTAAAAGGCTGTTGGGTGCAGTGGCTCGTCCTGTAATCCCAACACTTTCACAGGCCGAGGCAAAAGAATTGCTTGAGCCCAGGAGTTTGAGACCAGCCTGGGCAATGTAGTGAGACCTTGTCTCTACAAATAATTTTTTTTTAAATTAGCCAGGCATGGTGGAGCACCTGTGGTTCCAGCTACTCAGGATGCTGAGTGGGAGGATCGCTTGAGCCCTGGCAGTCAAGGCTGCAGTGAGCCATGATTGTACCATTGCACTCTAGCCTGTGAGACAGAGCAAGACTCCGTCCAAAAAAAAAAAAAAGCTAATGAAATACTTAATCACTTACAAGGATACAGAAAAGGAGGGAGGAAAAAAATAGATGGGATACATAGAAAACCAAAATCAAGATGGTAGAACTAAATCCAATCATATTAATAATCATATTAAATGTAAATAAACTGTTCTAATTTAAAAGCAGAGATTATCTGGCTGTATACAGAAACAAAACCCAACTATAACCATTTATAAGAAAGATACTTTAAACATAAAGATGCAGAAGAGATTAAAAAAAAAGGATGGAAAAAATATACCACACAAATGCTAAACATAATGTGACTATACTGATAATACAGAAAGTAGTTTTCAAAACGAAGGGTAGTATTATTGAAGATAATTGGGACATCTTGTTACAATACAAGGCTAAATTCATCAAGATAACAATCAAGAATGTCTATACACCTAATAACGGAGCATCAAAATAACAGAAGCAGAAAATGAGACTAGTAAAAGGAGAAACAGAGGAAATCCACAGCAACAGAGACTTTAACATCTCTCTCAGTAATTTATAGAATGAGTACACAAAAATGTCAGTAAGGATGCAGACTTTAAAACAATTTGATGTTTATAGAACACTGCACCCAAACATTTCAGAAAGATTTTGTTCAATTGCCTATGAAATAAACACATAGATAAATCATATTCTGGGCCATAAACAACTCTGAATACACTTCAAATAATATAAACACACAAAGTATATTATGTGACCACAAAAATATAAAGTTTAAAATCAATAACACTAGGATATTTAGAAAATCTCAAAATATTTTGAAGTTAAAAAACACATTTCTAAAATATTCATGGACCTATAAAAGATCACAAAAGAAATTAGAAATATACTTAATTGAATGGTAATACAAACACAACACATTAAAATTTGTAAAATGCAATTTAAACAATATTTTAATGGAAATTTATAGCATTTAATACCTATACTAGAAAAGCAAAAAAATAAAAAATAAAAAAATTCAATTATCTAAGCTTCTACCTTGAGAAGATTGATAAAGGAGAACAAAATGAATCCAAAGTAGAAAAAAGCAAATAATAAAAATAAGAGTAGAAATCAAAGTATGAGTAAATGAACAAATGACAGAGTAAATTAGTAGAGTCATAATTAGTGTCTGAAAAAATTAATGAATAAACCTATACCAAAATCTAATCAATAAATAAAAAGAGAGAACATGAAGGCTCAGGAATGGAAAAAAAATACTTTCACTGCAAATCCTTTCAATATTAAAAGGAAAATAAGAAATAATTATGAACACTTCAAAGTCAATAAATTTCACAACTGATATAAAGTGGACAAATTTCTTGAAAAAATTAAAACTTTTCAAAACTGAAACAAGATAAAATAGAAAATCTAAATAGTCTCAAACTTATTTTTATAAATTGAATTTGTAATTTTGAAAAAATTTACACCAAAGAAAAGTTCACTCCCAAATAGCTTTGCTAATGAATTATATCAAGCATTTAAAGAATAATAATGTCACTCTCCAAAACAAACTTTTTTAAAAATAGAGGAGGAGAATGCACTCCTCTACTTGTTTCATGTGGCACTTTTTCAAATAGAGGCAGAGGAAACACTTCCCTATTTGTTTTATAAGGCAATCTGAACCTTGAAACCGAATCCTAAAAAAGATATTACAATAAAAGAAGATTACAGAACAATGTCTTTCATAAGCATAAACGTGATGGTCCTTAACAAAATATTTCTGCATCAAATCCATATATGTATAAAAGAATAATACATCATGAACAACTAAGATTTGTCCCAAGAATGCAAGGTTTTTTTAGACATACAAAATATAATCGATGTAATTCACAAAATTAACAGAATATAAAAGAAAATCTATGTATTTATATCAATAGATGCAGAAAAAGCATCTGACAAAATGTAATATTTTTGAGCATTGTTTTCAATATCTAGGATTTTTTCTAGGAAGTGGTTCCCAAGAACACCACTTCCTCACTCTCATAAAAGACAACAAAAAAGCTAACAACAAATATCCTACTTAATAATGAAGTAAGATTAGGAGCAAGGCACCAATATCCACTCTTACTACTTCTACAAAACATTATATTGAGCTCCTAGCCAATACAATAAGATAAGAAAAAGGAAGAAAAGTCAGACAAATTGGAAAGGAAGAAGTAAAGCTATCTTTATTTACAAACCACATGATTTGTATGTAGAGAACCTTCAGAAATCTATAAAAATATTATAAGTAATTAATGGTAAATGTATTAAGATTACAGGATAAGATATCAATATACAAAAATTAGCTGTATTTTTATACTCTCAATGAATACTGTCAGTGAATTATTAGAAAATATAATTTAAAATATTATTTAAAATAGCAAATAATTACAAAATATTATTTATAATATCAAATACTTAGGAATCAATCTAATGAAAGATGGGCCAGACCTCTACACTGAAAGTAAAAAACATTGCTAAAAGAAGTTAAAGATCTGTTAATAACTAAATGGCAAGATACATCATGTTTATTGATTGAATGACTCAATGTTGTTAAATGTTTATTTTTCCAAAACTGATCTATAAATTTACAACAATCCTAATCCAAATACCAGCAAGCATTTTTGTAGAAATTGACAAGTTAGTTTCAATATTTGTGTGGATATGCGAAGAGTTTAGAATAGCCAAACAATATTGACCAAGATAAACAAGGTGGAGGAATTACATTACCTTATTTCAAGATTTATCATAAAACTAGTGTAATTGGCACTATGTAATCACATTTATAAAGTGTTTAAGCTCACTGTAAAAGGCCAGCTGCTCCTGCTCAGATGGATAGAGCAGCATGCAGAGACTCACATTGTAAACCTTCACTCCAAGAACTACCTCAGGAATATACCAGGAAAGCTGAGAGAATCCACAGACCCTTTGAAGGAACTGGATTACCACTGCAGTCTCCCTGAGATGCCAGAAAACTGAGTTGGCTTGCTTTCTCAGTAGGGAGGCTTGTGGTCTGGGACAAGTTCTCAACCCTGGTCACCGGCTGCCTGGAAATAGACTTGGTGCCGTTGTGGGGTCACAGTGGGAGTGAGACTGGCCTTTAAGACTGTGGGCTGCATGGGAGTTGGGTGAGGCTTGTGACTGCCAACTTTCCCTCATTTTCCTGGTGACGTGTATGACTCAGCAGAGGCAGCCATAATTCCCCTGGGAACATCATTCTATTGGCCTGGGAACCATACTCACATCCCCCACAGCAGCTGCAGCAAGCCCTGCCCAAGGAGAGTGTGAGCTTAGACACACCTATCACTGCCCCCACCTGTTGGTCTTTGTCTACCCACCGTGGTAGCCAAGAACAAAGGTTATAATCTCTTGGGAGCTCTATGGCCCTGTCTACTGCCTAATAAACCTGAATACTTAACCAGGCATTCCTAGGGAAAGTTTGCATCCTCCCTGTAGTACTGCAGCTGATGTGCTCTTAAAAGTGCCACCTCCTGGCTGGAGGCCAACCAACACAAAACCAGTGCACTGAACAAAAATACAACCAAGGACCCTCAAAGAATCCACTTCACTTCCATGCTACCTCCACTGGAGCAGGTGCTGGTATCCGTGGCTGAAAGACCTGAAGATGGATCACAACGCAGGCCTCTTTATGCATACTACCCAGTACTAGCCAAGAGCCCAGTAGCTCCACTGGGTGGCTAGATCCAGAAGAGCAAAAACAATCATTCCAGTTTTGCTCACAGGAAGCCCCATTCCCAGAGGTAGGGGAAGAACACCACTTCAAGGGACCACCCCCATGGGACAAAAGAATCTGAACAGCAGCCCTTGAGTCCCAGATCTTCCCTCTGACCTAGTATACCCAAATGAGATGGAACCAGAGAAACGATTCTGGTAATATGACAAAATAAGGTCCTTAACACCCTCAAAACATCACACTAGCTCACCAGCGATGGATCCAAACCAAGATGAAATCTCTGAATTGCCAAAAAAAGAATTCAGAAGGTCAATTATTAAGCTAATCAAGGATGCGCCAGAGAAAGGTGAACTCCAACTTAAAGAAATAAAAAACATGATACAGGATATAAAAGGAAAAATCTTCAGTGAAATAGATAGCATAAATAAAAAACAATCACAACTTCTGGAAAGCAAGAACACACTTAGATAAATGCAAAATGTACTGGAAAGTCTCAGCAACAGAATCAAACAAGGAGAGGAAAGAACTTCAGAACTCAAAGACAAGGCTTTTGAATTAACCTAATCCGTCAAAGGCAAAGAAAAAATAATCTTAAAAAATGAACAAAGCCACCAAGAAGTTTGGGACTATGTTAAATGCCCAAATCTAAGAATAATTGATGTTTCCAAAGAAGAAGAGAAATCTAAAAGTTTGGAAAACATATTGAGGGAATAATCAAGGAAAACTTCCCCAGCCTTGCCAGAGATCTAGACATCCAAATACAAGAAGCTCAAAGAACACCTGGGAAATTCATCACAAAAACAACATTGCATAGGCACATAGTCATCAGGTTATCTAAAGTCAAGACAAGGAAAGAATCTTAAGAGCTGTGAGGCAAAAGCATCAGGTAACCTATGAAGGAAAACCTATTAGATTAACAGCAGATTTCTCAGCAGAAACCCTACAAGCTTAGAAGGGATTGGGGTCTGACTTTTAGCCTCCTTAAACAAAATAATTATCCACCAAGAATTTTGTATCCAACAAAACTAAGCTTCATAAATGAAGGAAAGATACAGACTTTTCCAGACAAACAAATGCTGAGAGAATTCGCCACTACCAAGCCAGCACTATAGGAACTGCTAAAATGAGCTCTAAATCTTAAAACAAATCCTCAAAATCTTAAAACAAATCCTCAAAATACAACAAAATAGAACCTCCTTAAAGCATAAATCTCACAGGACCTATATTACAATAACACAATGAAAAAAAGGTATTAAGGCAACAAATAGCACAATGAATAGAATAATACTTCACATTTCAATACTAACATTGAATGTAAATAGCCTAAATGCTCCACTTAAAAGATACAGAATGGCAGAATGGATAAGAATTCACCAACCACATTCCTGCTGTCTTCAGGAGACTCACCCAACACATAAAGACTCACATAAATTTAAGGTAAAGGGGTGGAAAAAGATATTCCATGCAAACGGACACCAAAAGTGAGCAGAAGTAGCTATTCTTATATCAGACAAAACAAACTTTAAAGCAACAGCAGTTCAAAAAGACAAACACGGACATTATATAATGATAAAAGGACTAGTCCAACAGGAAAATATCACAATCCTAAATATATATGCACCTAACACTGGAGCTCCCAAATTTATAAAACAATTACTATTAGACCTAAGAAATGAGATAGACAGCAACACAATAATGTCGGGGGTCTTTAATACTCCACTGGCAGCACTAGACAGGTCATCAAGACAGAAGGTCAACAAAGAAACAATGGTACTGTGTGTGGTATTGGCATAATGATAGACAAATAGATAAACTGAATAGAACAGAAAGTTCAAAACTGGAGCAAGATATATTCAGTCAGTTAATTTTCAATCAAGTTGCCAGGTCAGTTTGAAGGGGAAAGAATTATCTTTTGAACAAATTGTGCTGAAACTGCTGAATATTCACAAAGATAAAAAGATCTTCGATCCTTACCTCACTCTCCACATGAAAATCAATTTGAGATTTGACGAAAACCTAAATATAGAAGCTAGAAATATAAAGCCTCTAAAAGAAAGCACAGAAAAACATCTTTCCAACTTTAGGGCAGCAAAGATTCCCTAGGACACAAAAAGGAATAATCTTAAGATTGAAAAATTGGTAAATGAGAGTACATAAAAGTTAAAAATTTCTTCTCATCAAAGACAATATTGATAAAGTGAATAGGCAAGCCACCAGCTGGGAAATAATATTCTCCACATATCTGAAAAAGAAATTGTATCCAGAATATATAAACTCTTGAAAGTTTATAGCAAAAAGACAAACACAACTCAATTTTAAAGCATGTTTTATAATTTTTTAAAGGGAATATCCAATAAGTATATAAAAAGCAAGTTTAAAAGGGGTTCAACACTATTGGCCGTCCGGAAAAAACACATATATATATGATATGATTTCCCTCCTACTAGAATGGCTAAAATAAAACATATTGGCAATTTCAACTTTTGGCAAAGATATGAAGCAACTGAAACTCATATATCTCTGATTGACATGTAAAATGCACAAGTCTGGATATTCATATAAAACTAACATACATCTATCCTCTGTCCCAGATATTACATGTCTAGGTATTTACCCCAGAAAAATGAAAACGTATGTCACAAAAAAATAGAAAATATTTGTCAATTGTATATGGATGTTTATAACAGCTTTATTTGTAAGAGCCTAAAATTTGAAACAACTCAAATGTTCATCAACAGGAGAATGGATAAACTGGTATATTTATAAAACAGAAAACTACTCAGCCAAAGAAAGGAATAAACCAGTGATACATATAAAAATACGGATCAATCTTAATAACATTGTGTCATACAAAAATAAAATCTAGACAAAAAGAATGTGTTTATTGGATTCCTTTCATATGAAGTCTAGGAACAAGCAAAAGAAATCAATGATGATAAAACTACATTAAAATCTAACATTGGATAATAAACAAAACGTGATAAATCTACTTTATAGAATATATTTAAGCCATTAAAATTATATGTATGAAGATTATATAACAAGCTGAGGACATATTTATACTGTAATCTTTTACATTCCTATAAATATATACATATATGTTCCCAACACAAAGAAACGACAAATGTTTAAGGTCATGGATATTCCAATTACCCTGATTTGATCACTACACTCACATTGTATGCATGTATCAAAATATCACAAGTACCCCAGAAAGACATACAATCATTATGTACCAATTTTTTTAATTAATTTAAAAATACACACAAAAAAATAATAGAAGGAGATAAACCATAATGATAAATTGTTCTTGTGTTGGTTTTGTAGAGTTATTTCTTTCTCTTTTCAGTTTGGTCATTTAAATTTTAATATTTTTCTTTTTTAAAATATCCATTTTTTTCAGTTTTTCTTTTTCTTGATATTTTTGTAATATTATATTTTTCTATTCAAGAATAAGGTATTTCTGATTATTCATGCATCATTTATGCCCTTCGGTCATTTTCTCCTTTGTTTAAATTGGTTTTTTACTGCACAAGAAATCTATGACTCACTTTTCATTATTTTTCTTATGCAGTCCTTTCTCAGTATCCAAAGGGAATTGGTTCTAGGATGCTCATCAATACCAAAATTTACACCCATCAATACCAAAATTTACTCTTATATAAAAGGTCATAGTATTTGCGTATAACCTACACACATCCTCCCATATACTTTAAGTAATCTCTAGATTACTTACATACATAATACAATGTTAATACTATGTAAGTAGTTATTTCATAATTATTTTAATTGTATTATTTTTCAAAATGTATTTTTAATTTTTTTTCCAACTATTTCAATCTAAGTTGGTTGAATCCACGGATGTAGAATCTACAGACATGCAGGGCCCAACTGCATATAAAAGGAACTCTGTTTTACCCCATGGTTCTTAATTTCTAGAAAATAAATTTTTAAACTGGGTTTTAATTTATGAATATAATAAATGGAATAGGTCTTTCCAGTGACTCAATACTCATGCCTACAGATCGAGTCATCATATGTAACAAAATGTTATATTATTAGTGGAAAAAATTAAATAGATTTACTTTGAAAACATCTGAAAACATCAGCAGTGTTATTCTCTGGGCAGTGAGATAAGGCTAACTTCCTTTGCCTTGCCTGCTTTTTCCCACAGTGAACATGTATCATTTTATGGTAAATATAAATGGCAAAATTAAATCCTCATTTCAGGCTGAAGCCCTCCCAAAGCCCTGGGCCAACCCTGATCCCCACCAGGGTCAGGGAAACACAGAGCTCCCTAGGCCTGAAGCTTCTCCATTGCCCACTGCATCTCCCTCCTGATAGTCTCTGACTTAATGCTCTACTTCTGGTCACCAAGGCTTCAACTTCCTCTTCCTGGGCTACTCCCTGGACCTTAATAACCTGAAGCTCTGGAGCTTCCTCTTCTGGCTCTCAGCCTTGCTCCTGCCAGACCCACTGTCCACATAGCCATGGTGGGGGATCACTTTGTGCAGGTAGTGCACAAAGTCCAGTAAGTACAGGAAGAAAGGACCCTCAGACTGGCTCTCCCACTTGGTGTCTGGGCTCCTTGGTGTCACGCAGGCAGCTAGACCAATAGCTCCACCTACCTTCCCTCCCCTAAGCCCCAGCACCAAGAGCTTGCTGAGCCATCACAGCTCCTGTTCCTGCCAGACCTTTATTAACCATGACAAGGGTTTGGAAAGCCTGCGAAACATCATAATCTCTCCTGTCTCCCTGTAGAAGCAAATAGAGTTAAAAGAGGCTGTGAGGGTGGAGTGGTGGCAGATGCATCCCTGGAGAGCCCGGCTCCAGCCAGCCTTTCTCCTTGATTGTGTCTCCCCCTCTCGGCTCAGATCTTCTCGCAGGAGTCTGGCCAAACCTGCTGAAGAGGAGCTAAAGAGGTGACTGCAAATTGAAATGAACATGCTGCTGAAAAGAATTCAGAGCAGTGACAAATCGCTTTATGGGGCCCCAGCGTATTGCAGACAGCTGAGGACTCTCTCCCCACGCACCAGAGTATAAATTCGAGGTATGTGTTCCTCACCCCTCCCTCCTCCTAACCCCAGGAGTACTTCAAAACAGGGAGAATGACCAAGCCCAAAGAGGAGGGGGAAGGAATCACTCAAATTAGAGGGAATCTTATTAAAATATGGCTCTTCACTAGCTATTCAATCACTAATTTACTTTTCCTCCTCACTTTAATTTTGATGCTGGTGTCTTGCTTAATCAACTCTGTCACCAGGGCCCCACGGTGCCAAAGAAGGACTCACCAGGAGTTTCCTTCTCCAGGTTCCAGCCAGTTTGACAGGTAGGCTCTCCATGGCCAGCTGCATGGGTAATGGCCTGAGCCCATCTCGGTCCCTTGAGGATACACTGAGACACACTGTAATTCTCTAACCACTGGCCAAGGGGCCCAGCTAGCAAGACAGCCAGAAAGTCTAGATTATTGCTTTCCTTCTCTGACAGCATAATAAATTCCCTTCTCTCTACATTCTTACACGTATAGGAAGTTCATCAGGAAGACTCTGGCAGGTGGGAGAGATGGATCACCAGTGTTGTTTCTGGATATGCCACCTGGGAAATCATTTGTCCACTCACTCATTCAGTCATACAGGGACTATTTGCTTGTAACTGGCCTGCGTTAGACCAGGAGGGGAGGAAGTTCAAAAGAAGTATAAATTATGGGTCCTACACTTGAGACATTTATGGTTTTAGTTGAAAAGGTGTGATATTCTCTTATAAAAACAAGTCAAGATTTGGTGTTCCGAAGAAAATCTCTAGGTGAGGGAAGCCCATTTTCTTAGATGTTATTGGCCATGTTTCCCCTCCTCATTTCTGGGACCATCTGGCATATCTGAAAGGTGCACTGAGGAACCACAGTGGAGCCACCAGCGAGTGGAGCTTTGGGAGAAGACAAAAGGTCCAAGTCTCTTCCTCTGCCTGGCTTTCTCCATCCCCTCTCCTGAAATGAAGGGATAAGGGAGCAGCAGAAAATGTACTAGGGAAGAGAAGCTCCCATTTCACCTCCTCCCCACTCCACCCCACAGAGGAGGAAGATTGATCCATGCTGGTTGGATTGATTGTTTTGCCTGGGCCAAACTGGGACATGGAGCCACACTGCCCTAACAGTGGGCTGGGGTCTGCCTCCTGGTCTACACTGCATTGGGGATGCTTTGACAGGGTGCTTCATATTCCTCTTTCACTTCAGCTTATGTGGCAGAATAGTGCTCTGCCCCAAGACCCACTCCCCTTGAGCAAGCCCAATCATCTTGTCCTCTTCTCTCTCTTCCTTCCACATAGGAAAGAAAGAAGATTTCATGACCTGAGGTTGATTTTTTGTATAAATAATGGCTGGTGTGGGGATGGAGAGAAACACATAAGCCACAAGTGTGACTGCTTCCTCCAGGCTAACTTACAAAAGCCCTCTGATTTGGGGCCGGGGGTCCACCCTCAGTAGCAATAAAGTGACATTTTGTTTTCCTTTTCCAATTTTCATCTTATACTTCTTTCTCTAGGAGATTCATGAGGACGAGTGCTGTAATCGTGGGCAGGATCTCAGTATTCCAGGGTCTTCTGTCCAAAGGCCACCCAGGAGTTCCTGATACCTTCTGCAAATGGAAAGCCTAGGAGACCAGGCTAGGACCAAATGACTCATCCAGTGTGCCTCCTGCTGTGGGCCTGTCCTGACAGTATTTTCAGGGCTCTACCCTAACAGAACTTCCTTGCCATGTGCTCAGTATCTGAGACAACCTTTTCTAGATTACCCAATTTATCTCATCTCTTATTTTTATTCATCTATTTTTAACCTACCTTGGCAATCAACATTGATGCCCTCTAGTTAAAACACACACACACACACACATACACACACACACACACATACACACACACACACACACACAACCCTAATGCCTTTCGGTAGCACTTAGAATAAAATCTGATCTCACCATAGCCTATATGGTAGATTAATTGTATTGTTGATCTCAACATCTGTTGCTCCTCTCTATGGGAAACATACATTCAGACACCAATGACATCACACTTGGCTGTATAATTTGCTTTGGCCAATGGCATTGGCACATCCACTTCCATGCAGACACTTTAAGGCCATTATGTGGTTCTCCACTTTCTCTTTTCCCTCTTCCAGAACACCAGAAATGTCTCAGATAGGAGCTATTCCATTCACTTGAGTCCTATAGTGGAGAAAGTGTGTAACTGACTCACAATGGACCTGCAGCATGACTGATAAGTAAATGTGTTCATTGTATGCTACTGAAATTCGAGGGTCATTTGTCATCATGTGCTTTAGCCTAATCTGAATTATAATTTTCTGCAATGTGATCTAACCCCTGACCACTTCTCCAATCTCATAGCCTACTTTCCATCCCCTCACCTGCTCCACACCACACACTCTGACCTGTCTCTGAACACACCAAGCTTGTTCTCACCTCAAAGCCTTTGCACATGCTGCTCCCTCTGCCTGGAATGCTTTTCCCTGACATTTTCACCTGGCTGGTTCTTTTCATTTTTCAGATCTTGGTTCAAATGTTACCTTCTTAAGAAAGGTCTTTTCTGAACCCATATCTAAGGTAATCTCCCACTCACTTTCTCTCACGTTTTCCTGTTTTATTTTGCTTTTGTTCCTGGGTTTGTTTTCCCTTATTGGAAAGACACTTTATGAGAGTAGAGACCTTGTTCATCATATTTAATGCTCTATCTCTGACACTAGAAAGTCACCTGATACATAGAGAATAAATGTGTGTTTGCTAAATGAATCTCTCTCCTAAATTTTAAATGCATTCAACCTCCAACTGGATACATTTTCCTAGAAGTTCTCACACTCAACAAATCTGAAGCAGAATTGATAATTCTGTCCTCTCGTCCCTTAACCCCACCTCCTCCTCACCCTGTGCTCCCTGATGGACACTGCCCAAATCGGAAACCCCAGGAAATGTTCCCTTCCCCTCTCCCTGACCTCCCCCACCCTCAATCAGTCACCAGGCTGATTGTCTCTTTAAATCTCTCTCCAATCTGCTTCGTCTCCATTACCATGCACCTGCCCTCACTCAGACCCTCATCATCCCTTGCCTGGATTATCACAATCTTTGCAGAACAGGGTTCCTTGTTTCCAATTTTCTCCTCTCCCATCTGTGCAGCACACTGCCACCAGAATTATCTTTCTAAAATCTAATCATGTCACTCCCCTGTTTAGAAGGATTTCAAAGGAGCTGCAGGATAAAACTTAACTCCTTGGAGGCTGGGCCATACTTTTGCTTTTTTTGCTCCTGCCAGCCCTGACTCCCAGCATGTCTCCCACCCCTGTTTGCCCCTTGCCCCATCCAGCCATTCTGAAGCAGAGCAGCAGGTCCAACACGGGTTGGCACTCATTGTTACCTCTCCCTGTGATGCCCTGCTCCCTGCTAACACCCTGCCCTAACCATGCACGCACGCACACACATACATACATACATACACACACACACACACACACACTCCCATGGCACCCACCTACTGAGAGCTTTCTCTGCTACAAAATCTGGATCATCCCAGTCTTCATCACTCCCTCTGTGTAGCCTCTCCTGATCCTCCCTTTCCTCCTCCTATAAAAATCAGAATGCTGTAATTATGATTGCCATCCTTCTTTCACCTTCAACACTTTGTGCAAACCTCTTATCACGTGGTTTGGGTACAGGTTTGTCTCCTCCACAAGTCTGTGTGTTCCTTCAGTGCTCACACAACCTTTCCTGATGGAGCCCTGAGCATGTCACAGAATGCTTGATAGATAGTATGTGCTTGATAAATCTTGCTCCAGTAAATGGATGGATAAAATAGATGGTATTAGGCATAAGGAGCGTAATCAATGGGCTAATTACATTAGAAGCTAGAGCACAGGTTTGCATGATATGACCAGGAAAATAATGCAAATGATAGTTAGTGGGGCCAACCCTTAGTCTCATGAACAATTCTGTCCTAATTAACTGACCCTACAAAATGGACACTCACCTGGTATAATAGGAAGAGAACCAGGATTTGAGGAGCCCTATGGACCTATTTGACTCCAACCCTTGCTTGCACTTTGACCTTAGGTACAACTCTTAAACTCTCTGGCCCAGACATTCTCATCTACTGCATATACAGCTTTTCCCCACATGTATCTTATAAGAAAGGGCTTTACCAATGTTTCTCCCATTTTACGTATTCTAAAAGAGGAATTAAGTAATATCCCCAAACCACACAATTAGTAAGTGACAAAGTTACAACTTGAACCCAGGGTCTCTGTTTCTAAATTCTGTGCCCTCCTCACTCCACTAGGTTGACTTTCCCTCAAATGACAGTGGTTGTAAGGAGATTACCTCCCTGTTCCCACAGCCTTTGAAATGCTCTGGTTTCAATACTCTCTTCACCCAGGGTTGCCTTTAATCACTTCTCCCACCTCAGCTCTCAGTCTTCAAGCACCTATTAGGGCAAAGCCTCTGGAAGAGTGAGTCAGGGGCCCTGGCTCCTCACCTTGGAAATGGAGGTTTCCCTCAAACTGGAGGAAGATCCTCAGCACATCCCGTCAAAAACCCACACTGTGATCTTAGGAAAATTATCTTCCAACTGAATGCTATGTGAGGCCCAAAATAGCCCCTCCAGCCTTCCTGCTTATTTCTTAAATGCAGTTCTTAACAGTAATGAAGGCACCTGTCGGGGAGGGAGAAAGGGGATTTAGGCTGAGAGTTGGTTTCATGTCACCTAAAAGGATTATTCTACACCATCGGAAAGATAATTCCTCTCCTACTGGAGGAGAATGGATTACGTCTTTCCTTCAGATAGTACTTCATGAAAAGATTGTTTAAAGATTATAGGACAAAATGGATACATTTGACAACATCTGCTAGGGCCAGGTTCTTTGGCTGTCTGCAAAATGGTTGTTATTTATGCAATTAGCAGATTGCTTGCTCTGGTGCTCATCTAGAGGCACACAACATGTGTGCAAGCAGCCTCTAGATGAGCACCAAAAATCCTGTTGTGAGTCTCCTTCCCCATCTCCTACCATTGTTAACTAAGACTGACACAAAACGCCACCACCTCCAGGAGGCCTTCCCTGATCTCTCCATCCAGGAGCAGCTACTCTTTCCTCCAGACTCATGCCTCTCCTTGAAGTTCTCATTGCACTCTGCTTTGTGAAGAGCTCTTCCTGCCTGAGACTTCTCCGCCTGGACCAGACGCTTCCTCTCACGTTGTCACTCAACCCCCATCAGGCCTTGCACAGAATAAGCAGTGAGAAGTGGAAAAGCCTCTCTGTGCACCACCGAGGCTATGGAGGAAGGAGGGTCTCAGAGGGTCTGCTTGGGGAGGTGCTCTGCAGATCTGAATCACGCCATATTGTTGTTGCCCACACAAGGGCTTTGGGGGCTGAGAACACATGGTGTGATTTGCCTCCAGGAAACACTGCTGCCCACAGCATCTTGGTCAAATGCCCCGGGACTCATGCTGCTCACTTATTTTATGGTGAGGCAGTTTGGAGAAAAGTATTGAGGAATGATCCTGGATTGCTTGTCTGAATACCTCTTGGGCATGGCACAACAGGAGCACATCTGGCCTTACTCAGAGCTCCAGAAAGCTGTCTTCTGAATCTGCAGACATCTGTGACTAGCACCCATATTTGTTCATACCAATGCCATCTCCAATGGCTACTAACTCTTCCAGTCTCTCCCCCACCAATCCTCTCCCAGCCACACTGAACTAATGCCAGTTCCCAGGCCTCACACCCTTCCCTGAATCTAGAGTCAGCACACACAGTTTCTTCTGCTTGCACTGCCCTCCCCTCTCCTTCTCCATGCCCTGAATTCCCTTTACACTCTTTTAGACTCAGCTCAGATGTCACCTCTTCTATGAAGCCTTTCCTGATGCCTCTAGGTGGATTCAGGGCATCCTTATTTTCCTAGTATCCATTGTCTGAGTGCCTAAGACTGTGAGGTATGGAAATGCAAAAAGCACCATAATCGGAAAACATCCACTAATAAATGGCCACTCCTAATAAATACTTAACAAATAATTTATTGAGCACCCATTTTGCCCCAGGCCCTGATCACAACAATGAATCAAATACAAATTTCCTCACCTGAGTGCGACTTGCATTCTAGGGAGGATTGGGAGAAGGGACATGGAAACTCAATAAACGTAAAAATGAGTAAATGATATAATATGATAGAAGTTGCTAGGTGTGTGCAAAAAGGAAAAAAAAAAAAACAAGGTAAAGATGACAGAGAATATTGAGCAAGGTAGGGAGAGGGTGGTCAGGACAAGCTGCATTAAGAAAGTGAGATTCAACCAAAGACTGAAAGGGATAGAGGAGGAGCCCAGCAGATGTCAGTAGGAAAAACATTCCCTGCAAGGAACACTTATGGTAGGCAGCAGCGAGCTGTGGCCTAGGGGTCAAATTCAACCTGCCGCAAATTTTTAGATGACCCACCAGCTAAGACTGGTTCTTACATTTTTAAACAATTGGCAGCAATCAAAACTGTAATAATTTATGACATATAAAAATTACACGAAATTCAAACTTCAGTGTCCATAAATAAGGTTGTGTTGGAACATAGCCACACTCATTCATTCATGTATTGTCCGTGGCTGCTTTTGCACTGCAACGGCAGAGCTGAATAGCTGGGAAAGAGACTCTACAGCCCACAAAAGCTAAAATATTTGCTATCTGGCCCTTTACAGAAAAACTGTAGAGCAAAGGCCCTAGGGCAGAAGCAGGAATAACAAGGAGAAATTGTGGCTGGAGCAAACAGGAGTGATGGATGGGAAAGAGGACACAGTGCAGACAGGCTAGGGAAGCAGATCATGGAAGGTCTTTTAGACCATTTGGTTTTAACCCGGGCAATGGGGAACCATGGTGAGATTTGGATTAGAGGAGTCACATTTTTTGACTTATGTTTTAAGAGAAAGGCTTTGGCTGCTCTGTTGGGAATAGGCTATTATGTTAGGGGGCTATTGCCATTATTCCAGCAAGAAAGGATAGTGGCTCAAACCAGGGTGATAGTGCTCAATGTAGGTGATAAGAAGTGCTCCAGTTCTGTATATGTGTCGAACATAGAGCAAATAGAATTTCCTGATGATTTGGATTTGGGATGTGAGAAAGAGAGAGAAATCAAGGACTCTAAGACTTGGGCATGAGCAATTGAAAAGTGGACCAGGCACCGAATCCCATTTCAGCATGGTAGGTTACAAGTGTCTGATAGACAAGCCAGTGGTGATGTCGAATGGTGGTTGGAGATATGAGCCAGGAGTTCAGAAGAGAGACCTAGCTGAAGACATAAATTTGGGAGTTGTACGCATAAAAATGGTATTTTAATCTCCAAGCAAGTGCATATAGAAAGAGAAAGAGAAGAGGACCAAGGACTGAGACTTGGATGGACCAGCTTCCAGAAGCCAGAGAGAAAAGGGAGGAAGCAGCAGAGTACAGAAAAAGGAGTGTCCAATGAAGGGGTTGAAAACAGGAACAAAGAGGTGTCTGGAAGCCAGGCGGAGAAACTGTATCCATCTGGTGGATATGTAGAGGTGGAGAACCTGTATCCAGGAGGAGGGAGAAATTATCTGTGCTGAATGCTGCTGCTGTGTAAGTAAGATGAGGGCAGAGAGGTGACCATTCACTTAGCAACATGGAGACATGGAGGAGCTCTACAAGCACAGGCTTGGTGGGGAGACTGGGGTGAGAACTGATTGAATGAGAGTGTGTGGGGGAAAGAGGAATTGAGGACACTAGATCTGGGCAACTCCTTTGAGGAGATTTACTGCAAAGAGGAACAAAGAAATGGAATGTCAGCTGGAGAGGAAGGGCACATTGATGAGAATGATCTAGTAGAGAGTGAAACATTGATGCCAGGGTAGAAAGGAGGGTTATTCCAGAGGAGCCGAGGCTGGAAGAAACTAGTGCGCCCATGCATACACCATGGGAAGTCCTCACTCCCTGTGTAATTTCAGCACCCATCCGTGCTCATGCTCACCATGTAAGGGGCTTCATGTCACTCTGTTCAAACTTATTTATTCATTCATTCAATTGACTTTTACTGTATGGCCTCCATGTACCTGGTTCTGTTCTAGGCACTCAGGGTACACACCAGAGAGCAAGCTGATTGTCTCTTTTCTCTTGTAGGTTACATGCTAGTGGAGAAGGCTGGTAGGGTAACTGAACATCCTGTGTCCAACAGGCTCAGAAAATAGGGACACTTAATGTCTCATATAGTGAAAGTCCAGATAAATGTTCACAGTTATGCAATTATTTTGGCTTTAATCAGAATGCATTACCACTTTCTGCTTATCTATCTCTACACTGACGGTGATGTTCTTTAAAGGTATAATATTTATAACTCCAACACCTACTACTAAAGTTTCTGACACAGGAAAGGAAGATTTAAAATACTTGAGTGAATACATAAGACCCAAGAGACAGAGAAAATCCTCTCTTGAAATTCCTCTATAATATTCAGCCATGTGAGCTACCAAACTACACTTTCAAATGCAAAACCTCCCTGTGACGTTTAACACCTCTGCAAACAGTTATCCACACTGAAGCATGAATTAGGTTCCTCAGACACCTTTCTTTTAGGAACAACCAGGTGAGAGTGATTGTTTCTTATCAATTAGATTTTTCCATGAAGTGAGATGAAGTGGAAATCTGGGAAGGATAATTTGGAAACTGAAGCACCACAGGTAACATAGGACTAGGTATCCTGACCCAGTGGTTGGTCCTGGTGACAGCATGAGGACACCAAATACAATTGGAGGGGACTTTGGACAGGGAAGACACAAGAAGGAGCTCAAAGGGAGAAAAGAGGTGAAGAGCTCCTGAATTTGAGGACACAGCTTATCTGAGGCAGGGCCACTGGGAGGCCCCGTCCTGCACAGCTGACTCAGTGGGAGCCTGAGGCTGACTGTCCTGAGCTGCATCCCAAGCCACCAGGGGACTCCTGACACAAGTCAGAGCCCTCTCTCCAGGCTTCAGGAAACAAAGCTTCTCATTACAAATTGGTCTTTCCAATTGTTTTAATTAAGAGGCCGTCTATCTCTGATTAATTTTCTACTCTTGCAGACATCCCATCAGCATGTATATTTGGCATCATGCAAAAGCTGCTCACCTCTAAATGACTTGTGCTTTTTCTTTCTTTTGTTTAGAAACAGGGTCTTGTTCTGTTACCCAGGCTGGAATGCAGTGGCACAATCATAGCTCACTGCAGCCTTGAACTCCTGGGCTCAAATGATCCTCCCTCCTCAGCCTCTAGAATAGCTGGGACTACATGCTATGCTATGGTTTTTTTGTTTGTTTGTTTTTGTAGAAATAGGGGTCTTGCCATATTGCCTAGGCTGATCTCAATCTCCTGTTCTCAAAAAATCCCCCCACCTCAGCCTCCCAAAGTGCTGGGATTACAGGTGTGAGCCGGGACTACACCTGCCCGCCACCATGCCTGACTAATTTTTCTTTTATTTTTAGTAGAGACGGGGTTTCACCATGTTAGCCAGGATGGTCTCAATCTCCTCACCTCGTGATCTGCCTGCCTCAGCCTCCGAAAATGCTGGAATTACAGGCGTGAGCCACTGCGCCTGGCCCACCCAGCCTATATTTCTGAAGACAGGCTATAAAGGAGACTAACCAAGAAAACAACTTTACAATGGCCAAGAGGGTGCAGAAATTGGTATTTAATCTTACTCTTATTTCTGAGTAATGTTTTTGCTTTCTATTTTTAAAATAAGAGTTCTAAATAGTTTAAAGTGGAATAGTTTTTACATTGTACTTTCTGGGCTTGTATATAGAGTTAACTTATAAGTTGAGATCTCATCATGATGCTGATTTCCACACAAGATCATCTCACCCTGGACCCATCTGACTAGGGAGTTAACTGCTGAGGCCACCAAAGGAGCTCATTATCCTAAGATTTAAACTATAACCATGCTGTATGGATACCAAGGAGGGCCACATCATAGCTGATGAGGTGCGGGGCAAGACCGTGATCAGAAGACCCAACTAGGTCTGAAGCCACCTCCACCATTACTACTTGTGTGACCTTTAGCCCATGCTTAACGCTCAGAGTCCCAGGGTTTACTTCTGGATTTTTTATCATTGTAAAATATACATAATATTTATTTTAACCATTTGTAAGCATACAATTCAATGGCATCACATTCACAATACTGTGTTACCATCACTATGATCCATAACTTTTATCATCTTCAACAAAAATTCTGTACTCATTAAACTCCCCTCCCTCCCTCCCGTGATTCCTGCTAAACTCTAATGTACTTTCTGTTTCTATGAATTTGCCTATTCTGGGTACCTCATATAAGTGGAATCATACAATGGCTGTATGAGGTAGTTTGTGTCTGGCTTATTTCACTCAGCATCATGTCCTCAAGGTCCACCCATGTTGTAGCATGTGTCAGAATTCCCGTTCTTTTTAAGGCTGAATAATATTCCATTGAGTGAATAGACCACATTTTGTCTATCCATTCATCTGTCAACAGACACTTGGGCTATAAACAATGCTTGACTATTGTGAAGAATGCTGCTATGAACATTGGTTTACAAATATCTGTTCAAGTCCCTGCATTCCATTCTTTTAGATATGTACCTGAGTGGAATTTCTGGGTCATATAGTATTAAATAGTACCATGTTTAATCTTTTGAGGAACTTCCTGTTTTCTATTGTGGCAGCACCATTTTATTTTATTTTTATTTTATTTGAGAAAAAGCCTTGCTCTATCACCCAGGCTGGAGTGTAATGGCACAATCTTGGCTCACTGCAACCTCTGCCACCCAGGCTCAAGCAATTCTCCTGCCTCAGTCTCCCGAACAGTGGGAGTTACAGGTGTGCCACCACGCCCGGCTAATTTTTGTATTTTTAGTAGAGACAGGGTTTTACCATATTGGCCAGGCTGTCTCAAACCCTTGGCCTTGTGATCTGCCCACCTTGGCCTCCCAAAGGCAGCACCATTTTACATTCCCACCAAAATGCACAAGGATTCCAATTTCTCCATTTTCTCACCAATACTATTTTCTGTTGTTGTTGTTTTTATAATCATCCTAGTAGGTGTGAAGTGACATCTCATTGTAGTTTTGTTTTGCATCTCCCTAATAACTGATGATGTAGAGAACCTTTCCTGAGCACATCTTTTTATATCTAAAAAATAAGTGTATTAGCCTATTTTCATGCTGCTGATGAAGACATACCCGAGACTGGGTAATTTATAAACAAAAATAGGTTTAATGGACTCATAGTTCCACGTGGTTGGGGAGGCCTCACAATCATGGCAGAAGGGAAAGGCACATCTTACATGGTGACAGACAAGCGAGAATGAGAGCCAAGCGAAAGGGGAAACCCCTTATCAAACCATCAGCTCTCGTGAGACTTATTCACTACCACAAGAACCGTATGAGGGAAACAGCCTCTGTGATTCAATTATCTCCCACAAGATCCCTCCCAAAACGTGGGAATCATGGGAGCTGCAATTCAAGATGAGATTTGGGTGGGGACACAGCCAAACCATGTTAGTAATGATCACAAATATCTACTCTGCTTGCCTCAGGAGTTGATGGGAAGGGCAGTTGACACAAGAGATATGAACAGATTTGCAAGACTCTATGCAAGTTATTAATAAGATGATGCTTCCACATGAGGCATTGATTTATGTCTTTTACTCCAAGGTCTAGATGCTTTTACACAACAGTACAACTACGCAATGCGGAGAGGTGGTGAGAGATGACAGATACCTTGTTTTCACTGCAGTCCTAGCCACTTCCACAATTTCAATGATTGAGGGAAGGAGGGCTGATGATGCCCTCTCAGTGGTGTTTTCCAGCTGTTTATGGGGCTCCTAACCTGAATGATATCTGCTTCCCCTTAGTTGCTGCTCCAAAGCTATGGAATAGAAGTGGATCTTAAAAAGATTTCATAATTTCTTCTAAGCATACCTGTGTGTGGATTTGACCTTGTGGTTTTAGAAGTTCTAAGCCACCATTACCAATCCAACACTCTGGCTACATGAACCCATAAGAATTTTATGTTCTAGCTTATGAGGCCACAGTAACAGTAATGACTCAAATTTCACTGGCTACAGCTCATTCAGAGGCTCAGAACCCTGTCAAATGCCTCTGGACAAGTGTTTGGAAATATACTCATCCAACAATCATCCACCCCATGCTCCAGAACCCTTTATGGTGCTTTGACTGAGGTAAAAGTAGAGAGAGTCCCCTAATCCTCTATTCTGGATACCTGAGAACTAAAGCAGTGCCCCTGACCTCACAGAGCCCTTCGGGATGACTGACACATGGGCTCTGTCCACACCTCCATTTCTCACAGACTCCTGTCTATGGGTCAGGGAGGGACAGACCCCAGCTGTCTCCTACAACCCCCTCCCTCCTACATGGGTTCCTCTGGCCCCTCTGCCCTTACTCATCCACTCTACTCTGCCTAAGGTGGCCCCTTGACCCACTTCCATTCTAGAATGACCAGCTAATAATGCTACAGGAGCATACAAAAGCCAAAATCACAGGTTCCAGAGTCAAAACAACCTGGGGTTTAGTCACAACTGTGCTACTTACAAACTCTATGACCTTGGCCATGTGACTTAACCTTCATAGGCCTCTGTTTCCTCAAGTGTGAGCTGGGAATAAGCATGCCTTTTTTTTTTTCTTTTTTTTTTTTTTACAGAGTCATATTGAGAATTAAAGGAGACAATGTGTAGAATGCATTTAGGATAGCAACAGGTATATGACATGGTGCCATAAATGTTACCCTAGGTTTATTCTTATTTTTTTCTTGCAATTGCTCCAGGACTAAATCCAACCAATTCTTTTTTTTTTTTTTTTTTTTGAGACAGAGTCTCGCTCTGTCACCCAGGCTGGAGTGCAGTGGCACAGTCTCGGCTTACTGCAACCTCCGCCTGCCAGGTTCAAACAATTCTCCTGCCTCAGCCTCCTGAGTAGCTGGGATGACAGGCATGTGCCACCATGCCCGGCTTTTTTTTTTTTTTTTTTTTTGTATTTTTAGTAGAGACAGGGTTTCACCATGCTGGCTAGGCTGGTCTCGAACTCCTGACCTCATGATCTGCCCTCCTTGGCCTCCCAAAGTACTGGGATTACATGCGTGAGCCACTACACCCGGCCCTAAATCCAACCAATTCTTATCACTTTCACCGTTAATAGCTCAGACTAAGTCCCCACCATCTCATACCAGATTTCTATGAGCCTCCTTACTTTATTCCTGCCTCCCTGTGGTGAACCTATGAAGAGCAAACAGAACGAATCTCTCTGGATGTGTATCCAGTCATTATCTGTCCTCTGCTTGATACTCTTAGTACATTACATTCAAGCCAGCCTGCTCCCCACCACCCCTCCCTGGTCCTGAACCATCTCCCCAGCCTCTGCCCACCTGTCCTTGGCCATCTTGCTTTTTCCAGGGACACTATTATCTGTACTCTTTGATAGCCTTTACACCTGCTGCCTGGAAGATGTTTGTATCCTTTATGTCTCTGCTCAAATGTCAATCCTTTGTCCTTCCTTGTCCACTTTATCTACAATAGGCACCCCTCTCCCAGTGGCACTCTCTATCTCCTTACTCTGCTTTAATCTCTTCATAGTGCTTACACTGTGACATTTTACTAGCAATGTGTGTATTTGTTAATTATCTACCTAAACTAGTAGTCTCCTACAGGTATTCCCTATCTCTTTAGCCTGCTTTATTTGTCTTCATAGTTCTTACCATCACCAGATATATTATTGTTTTCAAAAATTATTTATCGGCTGGGCGCAGTGGCTCACGCCTGTAATCTCAGCAATTTGGGAGGCCGAGGTGGGTGGAACACTTGAGGTCAGGAGTTCAAGACCAGCCTGACCAACATGGTGAAACCCCATCTCTACTAAAAATACAAAAATTAGCAGAGCATGGTGGCATATGCCTGTAATCCCAGCTACTCGGGAGGCTGAGTCAGGAGAATCACTTGAATCTGGGAGGATCACTTGAACCTCTGTCTCAAAAAAAAAAAAAAAAAATATATATATATATATATATATATATATATTTCTAGTCTCTGTCTCCATTAGAAAGCAGGCTCTCTAAGAACAAGAACCTTGTTTTATTTACTTTTCTAACTTCAGTGCCTAACTAGTGGTTATTATGTAACAGGCATTCAGGAAACATTTGTTCCATCAGTCAATAAGTCCATGCCACTTTCAGTCTTCTTTCTGAAACACAAGTCACCTCTCTGGACCCAGTGAGGAAATGAGGCCCCATATCCTTGTCTTCCACATCCCACTTGCCCTAAATTTGAGAAGTCAGGGGCTGGTTCTCCACTGTGATGGGAAGGACCTCTAATCTCTGGGCACCAGCAATCCATGTTTATTTAAATTCAACATGCCTGCTACAGAAGACATTGGTGAGAACATTCACTGCTTGTTGGGTGCTCCAAGTTCACAGAGCACAGTCACAGTTATCAGACCGACAGGTGGGCTGTCCAGACATGGTTTTTCTCCCCAAATTCTCCAGCCCAGCCCTCACATGCAGCCTCCACTGGGTGGGGGATGCCTGAGCTGACAGCAGCCATGGACCAGGGGCCTTTCCTTGGAGTCAGGAGAGCCCACTGTGGCATGAAGGGCAGAAGGCACAAGGCTGCCTGTTACCTCTCTCAGTTCAAGACCAAAATGCCTGCCCACGACCTGCACCCGCCCATCTCTTCTGAAGCTGCTCTTGGATTTGGGTCAGTTTTCCTCTTCCAAGTATACCACAGGACTGTGTCCTTCACTCTTGGCCAGTTCAGGCCTCTTCTGCCTTTCCATGTGGAGCTATCAACACAACGCACTCATTTAAGTCACTATTTTAAGTCAAACAAATTGCTACTTCTCTGTTCATGTGGTAAAATATATATAACATGCAGTTTGCCATTTTAACCATTTTTAAGTGTACAGTTAAGTAGCATTAAAGACATTCATGTTGTTGTACAACCATCACCACCATTCATCTCCAGAACCTTTCACCTCCCCAAACAGAAGCTCTGCCCCATTAAACAACTCCCCATTTCCCCCCTCTCCCAGCAGCCCCTGGCAAATACAATGCTACTTTGTCTCTGTGAATTTCACTACTCTATGTACCTCATATGAGTGGAATTGCACAGTATTTTTCCTTTTGTGTCTTAACACAATGTCCTCAAAGTTTATCCATGTTGTAGCATGTATCAGAATTTCCTTCCTTTTTAAGGCTGAATAATATTTGAATGCAGGATATACCACATTTTGTTATCCATTCATCCATTAATTGACTTTTGGCTATTTGAATAATGCTGCTATGGACATTGGAGCATTAAATACCTATTCAAGTCCCTGCATTCAATTCTTTTGGGTATATATGCAGAAATGGAATTGCTAAATCATATGGCACTTCTATGCACTGTACAATTTTTTTGAGAAACAGCTATATCGTTTTCCATAGCAGCAGCACAGTATTACCTTTCCAGCAGCATTGTGCAAGGGTTCCAATATTCCCACGCCCTTACCAACACTTGTTATTTTCTGCCTTGTTTGTTTATAGTGGCCATCCCTAATGGGTGTGATGTGGTATCTCACTGTGGTTTTAATTTGCATTGTCCTAATGATTAGTGATGTTGTATTAGTCTATTTTTGCATTGTTATAAATGAATACCTGAGGATGGGTAATTTATAAAGAAAAGAGGTTATTTGGCTCATAGTTCTGCAGTCTGTATAAGCATGGCACCTGCATCTGCTCAGCTTCTGGTGAGACCTCAGGAAGCTTACAATCATACAATCATGGCAGAAGGCGAAGGGAGAGCTGACACATCACAAGGCAAGAGAGGAAGCAAGAGAGAGAGAGAGGGGAGCCATGCTCTTTTAAACAACCAGCTCTCACATGAACTCAGAGTAAGGACTCACTCATTACTGCGAGGATAGCACCAAGACATTCATGAGTTATCTGCCCCCATGACCAAAACATCTCCCACTAAGCCTGCCTCCAACATTGGCAGTCACATTTCAACATGAAATTTGGAGGGGACAAAACATCCAAACCACATGAGATGTTGAGCCTCTTTTCATCTGTTTATTGCCCATACAAATTGCCACTTTACTCTTGTAAGAAAAATTGTGCGTAACAAAATTGCTTACAGTCTAACAACCTACAGAAATACAGAAGACTTACAGTCTAACTTGGCCCCACTGAACACATCTGGCTTCGTTTTGTTCTCCCGGCTTCACAAATCCCTCTCCTTCTAATCCAAAAGAGTTGTTATAACAGATCTTCCAGGACTTTGCATTTCATCACACTGCATACAGCCTCTTATACCCGACCTGATTGTTGCTTCCTTTTAGGTTCCCATAACATAACCAAAAACCTCTTCAGAGGTCTTCCTTGAGGCATCTCAAGGACAGCCTAACCAATCTGCCTCTCTCTTCTGGTTCCACTTTCCACTTCCTTATTCATTATCTTCAGCTGTTATAGTGGTTCACCTCTTTCATCAATGCCTTTTTCACAATGTCTACCTCCTCATTTCCCACTCTTACTCTTTAAATCAGTTCAATCTGGTTGGTCTCCCTCATTTGATCACATCTGCTCAAATTGTCCGGTTTTTTCAGCTCTGTGGTCAGATCCATTGTCTACTCTCTGCCCTTGATCTCTCAGCCTCATTTAGCTGAGACAACAATGTCTTCCTTACTGACACAAGTCGACCTGCCCTTGGGTTTCCTTCATCTACCCTGGTCACTTCTCAGTCTTCTTAACAAGTATCTCTTCTTTATCTGCCCTCCAAATGTTAGCATCTCACAGGACTCAGCCTGCACACTTCTCTCTACACATTCTCTCCCTAGGTGATATAGATACATTCCCACTGTTTTCAATATCATCCATAATTTGATGACCCCCCAAATTTAGATCTATAACCCACATCACTCCTCTGAGTTTCAGACTCACATATACAATTGCCTCCTTAAAATGTCCCACTTGGATATTCCATAGGCACTTTCAAGTTAATAAAGCAAGTGCCCAATCCTTGATTCTCCCACTCAAATTCTCAGCCTTCTCCATCTCTGTAAATGGTACCACTATCCACACAATTCCTGAATAAGAAAACAAGGCTGCCTCTTTGATTCCAATCTCTCTGCCCCCAATTCAATCCATTACCAAGTCCTGTTGTTTCTACCTTCAAAATATTTCTTGACTTCATCCACTTCTCTTCCGTTCCATTCCAAATACTATGACCCACACTATCAGCGTCTTTCATATGGATGGCCATGGTGGTCTCCTCATTGGATGTCTCAGCTTCTGCTCTTTATCCCTCCAGTCTAGTGTCTCAATAAAAATCAGTTAATGGGACACCCCTTCTTAAATCATGTAATGACTTCCCATTGTGCCTCAAATACAATACAAATGTTTTATCATAGGTCAGTAACTACTAAATGATCCAACCCCGACTACTGCTCCACACTCATCTTGGCTGCTGTCTCCTCCCCGCTGTACTCCAGCCACACCAGCCTCCCTTCCCCTTGAGCATACAGCACATCCCCACCTCATGACCTTTGCTCACTGTCATCCTTTTGCATAGCTAAGCATGTCCCCACCTTTCCCATGGCTGACTCCTTTTCATCCCTCAAAACTCAGTTAAATGTTACCTTTCTAAGGATGCTTCATTAATCATCACCTATATTTTCTATTTCTGCACTCTGGTAACTGCTTTCATAACATGTATTACAATTTGTGTTCTGTTGATCATTTTAAAATATGTTTTACACCTTCTTAGTGTCAGACACTATGCTAGGCCCAGGGGATGCAATTGTGAGTGAAATGTGATATAGCCCATAATCTCCTGGAGATTTTAGTGCAATGTGGAAACATTGTAGTATAATATGTAAACATATATTAATTGTTTAAAAGATCACAAGTGTGGGCATATAATACAAAGTGACATGAGTACTAGGAAGACATTTCTATTTCAAAACATAATTAAGCTAGCACTTGACCGGGATGCCAGTTGTCTTCCCCCCGAGAAGTGAGGCTTCCACTGGCATCTGAAGGACTAGCAGGGGCTGACTAGGCAAAGGGAATGGGGTAGTTTTCCAGGCAGAAGAAAGGACACGTGCAGTGACGCTTCAGCAGGAGGAAGAAAAGCGCTTGCAAGGCCAGGTTGGCAGTTGCTCAGAGAAAGAAGTAGAGGGTGGTTCATGATGAGGCTGGAGAGCTAGGCCAGGCAACACCATGCCAGGCCTTGTAGACCATGATTAACAACTCGGTCTAATCCCAGAAGAAAAGGAAGTTGTTCAAAGTTGTAAGTAGGAAGTGGGTGGGAGGTGAGGAGTCACATGGTTATATTTACTTTTTAGATTATTTCAATTGCACTGTGGAAACCCATTTGGAGGGAACATAGAAGTGCCACAAAACCAATAAGTCATCTTTTATGGTCGTCTAGGGGAGAAATGATGGGAGCTTGGATTGGAGGGGTAGCAGTGGAGACAGGAAGAAGTGGATAGATTGGGAAGATATTTAGAAATCAAATCAATATGAATTTCCGATGGATTAAATATACATAGGGAAGAAAAAGGAAGTTTCAAGGATAACTCTTAGACTTCTGATTTTAAAAACTGAATGGATTGCGGTGCCACTCACTGAAACAGGGCAAACTGAAAAAGAAAAACAAAAAATTAGACATGAACCAGGAAGAGGGTCCCAGGGGGGCATCATGCGTTTTGGTCTTATACATTCTGCGTTTGAGGTGACTTTGAGAAATCAAGTAGAAATATAGTAGGATTCAGAACAGCAGTGATATAGTGCACTGGGGTCAAGCACCTACAAGAGAGGTATAAGCTGAAGATATGATTTCAGGATCCATTGATATATATATCAGCATGTTTTTTTCTTTTTAATTTTTGCGGCAACTCATTGGTTTGTCATGAAACCCATTTTACACATCCTGACCAGCCTTTTCTAAAAAAGTAGAAGAAAAGAACAGATATGAGTATTACTTACTTTTGATTTGGTTTTCTATATATGTATGCATGTATTGGGTCCCCATGTAAAAATCTATTCTTACCATAGGTTCATATTGTTTAATAAAAACAACATGAATGCTACTGATGGAGTTGAAGACCAAAGCTGTGGGTGTGGATGGTTACCCGAGGTGAGTGGTTAGATTAAGATGAGAGGAGAACCCAGGACTAAACCCCAAGGAACCCCAAAAACTACTTACTGAACAAAGCAGGATGAGCCTGCAAGGGAGAGTGAAGAAGAGACTCTTCCTGAGGAAACCAGGAGCATGCCATGTCCCTGCACCAGGGGCAGAGACTGTTCTATAGGGCAGCAGTCCCCAAACTTTTTGGCACCAGGGACCAGTTTTGTGGAAGACAACATCAGGCATTAGATTCTCATAAGGAGCATGCAACCTAGATTTCTCTCATGTGCAGTTCACAATAGGGTTCTTGCTCCTATGAGAATCTAATGTCACTGCTGATCTGTCAGGAGGCAGAGCTCAGGAGGTAATGCTGGCTCCCTCCACCACTCACCTCCTGCTGTGCGGCCCTGTTCCTAACAGGCCACAGAGTGGTAACATTCCATGGCCCAGGGGTTGTGGACCACTGCTACAGGGAAGCAGTGATGATTAGCAACAGCAGCTACAAGGTCAAGTAAGATAAAAACTGAAAAATGCCTACTGGATCCTTAGATACCTTAGAAAAAGCCATTTTGGTGGAGTTGTGAGGATGGAAGCCATAATAGCATGGGCTGAGGGTTCGGAAGCAGGGAAACTGAAGCAAAGAGCACAGACAACCTCCTTATAGTAACCTGGTGGAAAAGGAGGAGAGAGAGAGCAGTATGGTGGTAGCCGTGATTGCTACCATCTTGGTGGGGCCAAGATTGCTGCCTGGTGTTTTATTTTGTTGTGTGTGTTCTACTAGCTTAAGCTGTAAACACTTGGCAATGTTTAATACTCATATGAGGGGTGGAGCCAAGATGGCCAAACAGGAACAGCTCCAGTCTACAGCTCCCAGCATGAGCGATGCAGAAGATGGGTGATTTCTGCATTTCCAACTGAGGTACCAGGTTCATCTCACTGGGGAGTGTCGGACAGTCGGTGCAGGACAGTGGGTGCAGTGCACCAAGCGTGAGCCGAAGCAGGGTGAGGCATCGCCTCACCCGGGAAGCACAAGGGGTCAGGGAATTCCCTTTCCTAGTCAAAGAAAGGGTGACAGACGGCACCTGGAAAATCGGGTCACTCCCACCCTAATACTGTGCTTTTCCAACAGTCTCAGCAAATGGCACACCAGGAGATTATAACCCGCACATGGCTCAGAGGGTCCTATGCCCACCAAGCCTTGCTCATTGCTAGCACAGCAGTCTGAGATCAAACTGCAAGGCAGCAGCGAGGCTGGGGGAGGTGTGCCCACCATTGCCAAGGCTTGACTAGGTAAACAAAGTGGCTGGGAAGCTTGAACTGACTGGAGCCCACCACAGCTCAAGGAGGCCTGCCTGCCTCTGTAGACTCCACCTCTACGGGCAGGACATAGCCAAACAGAAGGCAGCAGAAAACTCTGCAGACTTAAATGTCCCTGTCTGACAGCTTTGAAGAGAGTAGTGGTTCTCCCAGCATGTAGCTGGAGATCTGAGAATGGACAGACTGCCTCCCCAAGTGGATCCCTGACCCCCAAGTAGCCTAACTGGGAGGCACCCCCCCAGTAGAGGCAGACTGACACCTCACATGGCCGGGTACTCCTCTGAGACAAAACTTCCAGAGGAACGATCAGGCAGCAACATTTGCTGTTCACCAATATTGGCTCTTCTTCAGCCTCTGCTGCTGATACCCAGGCAAACAGGGTCTGGAGTGGACCTCCAGCAAACTCCAACAGACCTGCAGCTGAGGGTCCTGAATGTTAGAAGGAAAACTAACAAACAGAAAGGACATCCACACCAAAAACCCATCTGTTCGTCACCATCATCAAAGACCAAAGGTAGATAAAACCACAAAGATGGGGAAAAAAACAGAGCAGAAAACCTGGAAACTCTAAAAATCAGAGCACCTCTCCTCCTCCAAAGGAATGCAGCTCTTCACCAGCAACGGAACAAAGCTGGACGGAGAATGACTTTGGTGAGTTGAAAGAAGAACTCTGCAGATGATCAAACTATTCGAAGCTAAAGGAGGAAGTTCAAACCCATGGCAAAGAAGTTAAAAACCTCGAAAAAAATTAGACAAATGGCTAACTAGAACAACCAATGCAGAGAAGTCCTTAAAGGACCTGATGGAGCTGAAAACCACGGCACGAGAACTACGTGATGAATGCACAAGCCTCAGTAGTCAATTCGATCAACTGGAAGAAAGGGTATCAGTGATGGAAGATCAAATGAATGAAATGAAACGAGAAGTTTACAGAGAAAAGAATAAAAAGAAACAAACAAAGCCTCCAAGAAATATGGGACTATGTGAAAAGACCAAATCTATGTCTGATTGGTGTACCTGAAAGTGATGGGGAGAATGGAACCAAGTTGGAAAACACCCTGCAGGATATTATCCAGGAGAACTTCCCCAATCTAGCAAGGCAGGCCAACATTCAGATTCAGGAAATACAGAGAATGCCACAAAGATACTCCTCAAGAAGAGCAACTCCAAGACACATAAATGTCAGATTCACCAAAGTTGAAATGAAGGAAAAAATGTTGAGGGCAGCCAGAGAGAAAGGTCGGGTTACCCACAAAGGGAAGCCCATCAGACTAACAGCTGATCTCTTGGCAGAAACTCTACAAGCCAGAAGAGAGCGGGGGCCACTATTCAACATTCTTAAAGAAAAGAATTTTCAACCCAGAATTTCATATCCAGCCAAACTAAGCTTCATAAGTGAAGGAGAAATAAAATACTTTACAGACAAGCAAATGCTGAGAGATATTGCCACCACCAGGCCTGCCCTAAGAGAGCTCCTGAAGGAAGCACTAAACATGGAAAGGAACAACCAGTACCAGCCACTGCAAAAACATGCCAAATTGTAAAGACCATCAAGGCTAGGAAGAAACTGCATCAACTAATGAGCAAAATAACTAGCTAACATCATAATGACAGGATCAAATTTACACATAACAATATTAACCTTAAATGTAAATGGGCTAAATGCTCCCATTAAAAGACACAGACTGGCAAATTGGATAAAGAGTCAAGACCCATCAGTGTGCTGTATTCAGGAAACCCATCTCACGTGCAGAGACACACATAGGCTCAAAATTAAGGGATAGAGGAAGATCTACCAAGCAAATAGAAAACAATAAAAGGCAGGGGTTGCAATCCTAGTCTCTGATGAAACAGACTTTAAGCCAACAAAGATCAAAAGAGACAAAGAAAGCCATTACATAATGGTAAAGGGATCAATTCAACAAGAAGAGCTAACTATCCTAAATACATATGCATCCAATACAGGAGCACCCAGATTCATAAAGCAAGTCCTTAGAGATCTACAAAGAGACTTAGAATCCCACACAATAATAATGGGAGACTTTAATACCCCACTGTCAACATTAGACAGATCAACGAGACAGAAAGTTAACAAGGATATCCAGGAACTGAACTCAGCTCTGCACCAAGCAGACCTAATAGACATCTACAGAACTCTCCACCACAAATCAACAGAATATACATTCTTTTCAGCACCCCACCACACTTACTCCAAAATTGACCACACTGTTGGAAGTAAAGCACTCCTCAGCAAATGTAAAAGAACAGAAATTATAACAAACTTTCTCTCAGACCACAGTGCAATCAAACTAGAACTCAAGATAAAGAAACTCACTCAAAACCACTCAACTACATGGAAACTGAACAACCTGCTCCTGAATGACAACTGGGTACATAACAAAATGAAGGCAGGAATAAAGATGTTCTTTGAAACCAACAAGAACAAAGACACAACATACCAGAATCTCTGGGACACATTCAAAGCAGTGTGTAGAGGGAAATTTATAGCACTAAATGCCCACAAGAGAAAGCAGGAAAGATCTAAAATTGACACCCTAACATCACAATTAAAAGAACTAGAGAAGCAAGAGTAAACACATTCAAAAGCTAGCAGAAGGCAAGAAATAACTAAGATCAGAGCAGAACTGAAGGAAATAAAGACACAAAAAAACCCTTCAAAAAATCAATGAATCCAGGAGCTGGTTTTTTTGAAAAGATCAGCAAAATTGATAGACCACTAGCAAGACTAATAAAGAAGAAAAGAGAGAAGAATCAAATAGACACAATAAAAAATGATAAAGGGGATATCACCACCAATCCCACAGAAATACAAACTACTATCAGAGAATACTATAAACACCTCTACACAAATAAACTAGAAAATCTAGAAGAAATGGATAAATTCCTCAACACATACACCCTCCCAAGACTAAACCAGGAAGAAGCTGAATCTCTGAATAGACCAATAACAGGCTCTGAAATTGAGGCAATAATTAATAGCTTACCAACCAAAAAAAGTCCAGGACCAGATGGATTCACAGCCGAATTCTACCAGAGGTACAAGGAGGAGCTGGTACCATTCCTTCTGAAACTATTCCAATCAATAGAAAAAGAGGGAATCCTCCCTAACTCATTTTATGAGGCCAGCATTATCCTGATACCAAAGCCTGGCAGAGACACAACAAAAAAGATAATTTTAGACCAATATCCCTGATGAACTTCGATGCAAAAATCCTCAATAAAATACTGGCAAACTGAATCCAGCAGCACATCAAAAAGCTTATCCACCATGATCAAGTGGGCTTCATTCCTGGGATGTAAGGCTGGTTCAACATATATAAATCAATAAACATAATCCAGCATATAAACAGAACCAAAGACAAAAACAACATGGTTATCTCAATAGATGCAGAAAAGGCCTTTGACAAAATTCAACAGCGCTTCATGTTAAAAACTCTCAATAAATTAGGTATTGATGGGAAGTATCTCAAAATAATAAGAGCTATTTATGACAAACCCACAGCCAATATCCTACTGAATGGGCAAAAACTGGAAGCATTCCCTTTGAAAACTGGCACAAGACAGGGATGCCCTCTCTCACCACTCCTATTCAACAGTGTTGGAAGTTCTGGCCAGGGCAATCAGGCAGGAGAAGGAAATAAAGGGTATTCAATTAGGAAAAGAGGAAGTCAAACTGTCCCTGTTTGCAGATGACATGATTGTATATCTAGAAAACCGCATCGTCTCATCTCAAAATCTCCTTAAGCTGATAGGCAACTTCAACAAAGTCTCAGGATACAAAATCAATGTATAAAAATCACAAGCATTCTTATACACCAATAACAGACAGAGAGCCAAATCATGAGTGAATTCCCATTCACAATTGCTTCAAAGAGAATAAAATACCTAGGAATCCAACTTACAAGGGATGTGAAGGACCTCTTCAAGGAGAACTACAAACCACTGCTCAATGAAATAAAAGAGGACACAAACAAATGGAAGAACATTCCATGCTCATGGGTAGGAAGAATCAGTATCGTGAAAATGGCCACACTGCCCAAGGTAATTCATAGATTCAATGCCATCCCCATCAAGCTACCAATGACTTTCTTCACAGAATTGGAAAAAACTACTTTAAAGTTCATATGGAACCAAAAAAGAGCCTGCATCACCAAGTCAATCCTAAGCCAAAAGAACAAAGCTGGAGGCATCATGCTACCTGACTTCAAACTATACTATAAGGCTACAGTAACCAAAACAGTATGGTACTGGTACCAAAACAGACATATAGACCAATGGAACAGAACACAGCCCTCGGAAATAATGCTGCATATCTATAACTATCTGATCTTTGACAAACTTGACAAAAACAAGCAATGGGGAAAGGATTCCCTATTTAATAAATGGTGCTGGGAAAACTGGCTAGCCATATGTAGAAAGCTGAAACTGGATCCCTTCCTTACACCTCATACAAAAATTAATTCAAGATGGATTAAAGACTTACATGTTAGACCTAAAACCATAAAAACCCTAGAAGAAAACCTAGGCAATACCATTCAGGACATGGCATGGGCAAGGACTTCATGTCTAAAACACCAAAAACAATGGCAACAAAAGCCAAAATTGACAAATGGGATCTAATTAAACTAAAGAGCTTCTGCACAGCAAAAGAAACTACCATCAGAGTGAACAGGCTACCTACAGAATGGGAGAAAATTTTTGCAGTCTACTCATTTGACCAAGGGCTAATATCCAGAATGTACAATGAACTCAAATGTATAAGAAAAAAACAAACAACCCCATCAAAAAGTGGGAGAAGGATATGAACAGACATTTCTCAAAAGAAGACATTTATGCAGCCAAAAGACACATGAAAAAATTGCTCATCATCACTGGCTATCAGAGAAATGCAAATCAAAACCACAATGAGATACCATCTCACACCAGTTAGAATGGCAATCATTAAAAAGTCAGGAAACAACAGATGCTGGAGAGGATGTGGAGAAATAGGAACACTTTTACACTGTTGGTGGGACTGTAAACTAGTTCAACCATTGTAGAAGTCAGTGTGGCGATTCCTCAGGGATCTAGAACTAGAAATACCATGTGACCCAGCCATCCCATTACTGGGTATGTACCCAAAGGATTATAAGTCATGCTGCTATAGAGACACATGCACACGTATGTTTATTGTGGCACTATTCACAATAGCAAAGACTTGGAACCAACCTAAATGCCCAACAATGATAGACTGCATTAAGAAAATGTGGCACATATACACCATGGAATACTATGCAGCCATAAAAAATGAGGAGCTCATGTCCTTTTTAGGGACATGGATGAAGCTGGAAACCATCATTCTCAGTAAACTATCGCAAGAACAAAAAACCAAACACTGCATGTTCTCACTCATAGGTGGGACTTGAACACTGAGAACACATGGACACAGGAAGGGGAACGTCACACACTGGGGACTGTTGTGGGGGGGGGGGAAGGGGGAGGGATAACATTAGGAGATATACCTAATGTTAAATGACGAGTTAATGGGTGCAGCACACCAACATGGCACATATATACATATGTAACAAACCTGCACGTGGTGCACATGTACCCTAAAACTTAAAGTATAATATAAATAAATAAATAAATAAATAAATAAATAAATAAATAAATAATAAAAGCTAATTGCAGAAAGAAAAAAAAATACTCATATGAATGACCTGATTGAGACAAAATGTATTAAATGTGCAGGAAAAAGAAGGAATATTTCATAGTCACAGTTCCTGAGAAAAGAGGGGAAAATGGGCAGGCAGGTTTTGGAGCACAGATGGGCTGCATGACCTTAGCTGGGTCAGCATAGATATAAAGATAAGACATGGAGCAAGTTCCTTTTTGGTAGCTCCAGTTTTACATGTGAATGAAGATTCTAGACCAATGCCATCCGACAGAACCTTATGCAACGATGGTGATGTTCTCTATCTGTGCCATCCAATATAGTAGCCACTACCCACATGTGGCTATTGACACTTGAAATGTGGCTAATGGAATAAGAAACTGAATTTTTAATTTTCTCTAAATGACTATGAATATAAATAGGCACATGTGGCTGGGGGCTGCTACATTGGACAGCACAGGCTCAAGACCAAATGCAGAGGTAGTGGCAGGGCACAATTGGAGGAGAATAGAAAGAGCTTGAAGTGGTCATCCCAGAAAGTGAAGTGAGACACATGGGAGGACCTCAGGGGAAATTTGAGCCTCCTTTAAACATTGTTGATGAATTTATGGTGATGTCAATCCATGCTGTGGAGTAACTTTCTCCAGCAGCATTCATTTGCTGTGTTGCTAGTACAGAGAAAAGGACAAAAGAGTTCATGCAGGTTTTCCTTTTTCAATTGAGATAATGAAAGGACAGAAGGTCAAGGGAACTTAGGAAATGGGTTAGAAAGTTTCAGAAAGCATGGGCTTTGAACCAAAACCACATAAAGCAACAGTTGAAATAGAGGATGTTTGATTGGAAGAGTAAGCAGTCAAGGACCCAGATCAAGATGAAGGGTTACAGGAGAAGCAGTTTAGGAATAAGTAGAGGCCAGGCGCAGTGGCTCACATCTGTAATCCCAGCACTTTAGGAGGCTGAGGCAGGTGGATCACGAGGTCAAGAGTTCAAGACCAACCTGAACAACATGCTGAAACCCCGTCTGTACTAAAAATACAAAAATTAGCCAGCCATGGTGGTGCGTGCCTGTAATCCAAGCTATTCAGGAGGCTGAGGCAGGAGAATGGCTTGAACCTGGGAGGTGGAGGTTGCAGTGAGCTGAGATAGCACCATTGCACTCCAATCTGGGCAACAGAGCAAGACTCCATTTCAAAAAAAAAAAAAAAAAGCAGGAAAGGGAAGATGAGACATCATAGGGTGTTTATTCACTCATCAAATATTCACTGAGCACTGAACAAGTATCAGACTCTATTTTGAGTACTAGAAATGTAGCAGTGCACAAAGAGGTTAGAAATCTGTCTTCACAGAGCCTAAATTCTTGTTGGAGCAAGATGGACAAAATAAAATATACATTGCATCTGTGATTAGTGCTAAAGAGGAAAAATTCAAAAGGCAGGTGAGCTAGAAACTTTCAGTGGTTCAAATTTTTTGACTGGGTAGCTAGGGAATGCATCACTGAGATCTTTGAGTAAAGATCTAAAGGAAGTGTGCCAGTTATGATTTGATGGCCTCTTACCTGCCAATCCACTCCTTATTACCAGCTCTGCAACAGTGGGGATGAGCCCTTTTAGCACTGCTCCTTTGCAGTTAACACAATATTAAGCTTTGTCACTGGAATGGTGGGGGTGGACACAGTAGAAGGAAGGCACCTCTGTTCCTAGTTCTGGTGTGTTCATTTAGTCAACGTGTAGCGGGGGTGTTTTGTTTTTCTGTAGCTCCCTTGTGGCACCAGCATGTGCGCCTTCCCAAAGGTAGCTTCCTTTAACATCCATTCAGGTAACTTCACCATGGAAATATGATGGTGGGACACCTCCTGTGAATGGCTTTCTCAGGCCAGCCTCCCCCAGTTGGCTTTGCAGCAGAGTGCCAAAGGCTTGGTAATTCTTGCCTGGCTTCACAGTACCCCTGTGGACAGATTATCACTGAGTTCTGAGGGGAAGTACCTCTATGTGGATGGTTTTCCCTAGAGCTCCAGATGGTGATTTCAGTGATTCCTGCCAGCCTTTTACTTCAATCAGTTTATCTGACATGCAGCGAGCCATAGATACTCTGAGGTCTGATCTCAGTCCTAGCAGTGGTGGCTGCTCCCTATGTCTGCTATTCTTCTAGAGTTCTCTTTACCACTTAATTATTTACTTACTTTACCCATCTCTTCCTTACTGTAGCAATCCCTGATCACTCTAATCCCATTAATATTTACACTTAATTGTCTGTGTTTACATTATTATATGACCTGTCTCCTGATTGGACCCTGACCAATACAAGATGGAGGGGGTGGACCATGTGGTTATCTGAGGAAAGAGTGTTCCAGGCAGAGGGAACCGAAATGCAAAGCCTGTAAGACAGTAGAATTCATGGCCAAAGTGGATGGAGCAGAGTGAACAAGGGAGAGAATGAGAGCAGGTGAAGTCAAAGAAGTAAAAGAGAGCCATTGAAGTAAATCTGACTTTTTTGGAGGTAAAAAACTTCAGAAGTTTTGGAGCAGAGAAAAGGCTGACCTTACATTTTAGCAGGATCACTCTTGGTGCTGTGTTAAGAATATGCTGGTTGGGGGACAAATGTAGAAGCAGAGAGACTAGTCAGGAAGCTACTGCGAGAACTCAAGTGAAGCAGAACAGTGATTTGCTCTAGGATGGGAGCAGCAGTAGTGGTGAGAAGTAGCTGGATCCTAGCTCAACTTTGAAGGTAGAATCACTATAACTTTTTTGACAACTTGAATGCTTGGATATGCATTTTAAAAGGAATCAAGGTTAACTCTATGGTGTTGAGTCTGGGGAACTGAAAGAAAGGAGTTTACCTTTAGCTGAGATGGAAAATCTATGGGAGGAGTATGTTTGGGGGAAAATCCCTAGCTCTGTTCTGACTTGGTAGGTTGGAGGTACCTTTTAGAACCGTTAAAAGGCTGTAAGGTAAGGATTTCTAAAGACAGTCAGGGCTGAAGATAAAAAATGTTGAGCCATCAGCATATGTATGATGCCTTAGTCCTTTCCTGCTGGCATAAGAAAATATCACAGACTTGGTAATCTATAAAGAACATAAAAATACTTCTCACAGTTCTGGAGGATGGAAGGTCAAAAATCAAGGTGCTGACAGGTTTGGTGTCTGATGAGGGCCCAGTCTCTGCTCCCAAGATGGTGCCTTGAATGGTGTGTCTTCACACAGCAGAAGGTGGAAGGGCAATAGAGGGGCCTAGCTAGTTCCCTTGAGGTCTTTTATAAGAGTGGTAATCCCATTCATGAGGGCTCTGCCTCTTAATACTATCACATTGGGTCTTAGCTCCCAAAATATGAATTTTGGAGGGACACATACATTCCAACCATAGCAGATGGTGTTTAAAGCCAATAGGATTAAATGAGATTACCCTGAGAGTGAGTAAGGTCGTAAAGAGAAAAGCCCTGAGCATGAGGCCCTGGGACATTCCAAGGTTTAGAGGACAGGAAGATGGGAGAAGCCAGTAAAAGAGACTGACAGACCAGTGAGGAAGAAAGAGAACCAGAAGAAACACGTGTCCTAGAAGCCAAGATAAAACAAAATACTTCAGGGAGGGGGGAGTTAAGAACCAAATTAAATACATCTGGTAGGTCTGGTTAGAGGACAACTGAGGATAACCATTGGAAGGGTAACCTGGACATCATCAGTGACCTTGGAAATATTAGTTTCCACAGACTGGAAAAGGCTCGAGAGAGGGCTCGGGAGAGAATGGGAGGAGAAATACTGGGACCAGTGAGTATAGACAAGTTTTCTAGGAGTTTTGCTATAAAGAGAAGGAAATAAACAGAGTGGTAGCTGGAGAGGAGAATGGGGCCAAGAGTAGATTAGGGTTTTTTTTCAAATGGAAGAAATAGCAACATGTATGAATGCTGTCAGCATGGTAAGCATAATGCAGAAATAAAATTAATAGAGGAAATAAAAATCATTAATCCAGGAGACTGTGGTGAAAACCACTGTAACAGAACCCTTGAGTAGGAGAGAAGGGATGGGGTCAAGGCCTCCGTGGAAGGGTTGGTCTAAGGCTGAACCAGGACCTGCTCATCTGTAGTGGCCAGGAAGAAGACAGGGCTGTGGGTAGATTAGGTCAGGGTGCTGGTTGGAGCTTTTGAACATTCTTTGCAGACTGTGCTAATTTTCTCAATAAAACAAGAAGAAAACTCATCAGCAGAGAGTAGGGGTGGGATGTTGGAAGACTGAGAAGAGGGGAGGAAGCACAGAATGCATGTGAGAGGAGGGGAACAAGTGGGCCAGGGATGTGCAGGGAATTGCTGGGCAGTATTAGGGCTCCACAGAAGCTTGGCAATCAAATCTTTAAAATGACTTTGAACAATAGGGGTTTTGAAGGTGGGGCAGATTTAAGTGATGCTGATGTCCAGCCTATGTTTCTGGGAATGAGTAGTTGAAGTGGAATGAGGACAACATTTGACACTATGACTCCTTACTGGTTAATCTCCACGGCAGGGACCATGACTCTCTTTTACCATTGAGTACAGAGCCTGCCACAAAGTAGGTGCTAAATAAGCATTTGCTAAAATACAAATATTTCATAAATTACAGAGTATTTAATACACGACATTAAGCCCTCTCCCACTTCTCACATCTTCCTGTCATTGATCTTCTCCCCAACCCTTAAGGTTACTTGCGAGTTCAACTTCACACTGAAAATGCATCTGCATTTATGGATGATAACAGTAGTTTCTCAGCAAAGAAACCCAAAGACCTATATTATGTGTAAAGTTAGGAAAGGGGCTATTCATTCTGGTCCCATCTTTGACAATAATACAAAACTCTTTTCTATAGGTCTTTTATTTATCAAAGCATGTTCACAATGATTCTCTCCTCTCATCTTGAGAATCATCCTGAGAGACAGTATCATCCCTATCTCACAGACGAGGAAAGTGAATCCATGATGTTCCTGGGTCACGGGGCCAGTTAGGAATTCAAACAGTAATGCCTGACCCACACCCCAAGCTGCACAGGCCGTTGACCTTGGAAGGTCACATGATTTTGCTGCTTCTTATGACCTCATTGGCTTTTTAAATGTCTGCTCGCGCTCTCTCTCTCTGGTATTGACCCCCTACAATCCCTTTTATACTCCTTTCCAGCTTCCTTCCAGTGATACATCTCAGGCCTGGGTATAAGGTTTAAAAAATGTCCCTATCACTCCAGATCTCAGGAACGGAGTTGATGTGTACATGTAACAAGTCAGCAGCTCAAAACTCAGCCAGTCATGACTCAAAATTCTTCAAAAGAAGCCAAGCTTCTCAGAGTGCACGCCCTGGGGCACCTGGCCCCAACTCTCGCCTCCTATCCCAGCGTGTGGATATTTACCAACATCCATTCCTTCCCTGAGATCAGATCCTAAATATTTCTTACCATTTTCAGAGTGATCACTAAGATGTGGGGACACCACTGTAGGCACCACACATATTATTGCTTTTATTCTTTTACAGTGAAAACACTCTAAAAACAGTATTTTTACCCATATTTTACACAGGAGGAAATTGATGCCTGGGGAGGTTAGAACTTGCTCAAGGTTACTCAGCAAGTAACTGATGGGGCTGAGACTGGGACCCAGGTCTGAAGACAAAGTCTGTGCTTTAACTGCTATTATACCATCTCTCAATCCTTGCTGAAGAACACAACAGGAGTGACTTCTAGATCAAAACACTCAGATTTCAATGAGCATTTCCTGTCCTCAGTAAAATTACGGCAGTTATTCAGTTTCCTCTAAAGCCACATCTCAACCCAAACTTGACAGGGGAAAAGATCAACATAGGAAGGGCAGGTCACAGGGGCAGGGGATAAGCGATTGAAATGTTAATGTGCCTGCCACACAGGTGGGAGTGGAGAAGACAGGTGGAGGCAGGGAAAGCAGGAGCCAGGTACTGTGGTCCAGGACCACCATGAGGAAGGCAGAAAACAGGAGTTGGAATACCTGAAAGGGAAGGGACACTCCCAGTCTCTTCTTCCAATGAGCTCCCATCCACTTTCTTTCTCCAAATAGGCTGCATAGTATTTGCTACCCAGTGCAGTAATTTATCTACTGCCTACCGGCCCCGCTAGGCCCTAGCTCACAACCATTCCAATGAGGCATTCCACTTCCTCTAAGTGTTCTTGCTATGCCTAATGGCTACCTGGATCATTCTTCTCAGACTAGGCTACCATTTAAAATTGAACTGACAAAGAGCAGGACACCCATAGAATAGATGAAGGAGAGGGAAGTTTGCTTGGCAGGACTGTGAAGAACCCCAGTGGGGTACCATCCAGGTAATTTTAGGCTCTCTCAGGGACCCAGGCAAGGAAGAAAAGGACTATTAAAATCAAATTTCGCTTACTTTCCCCAATATACATTTCTATGAAAAGAAAAACAAACAAACTTGCACCATCTTTTAAGCAAACACATGCATTTAATTCCTTTTCCTTTAAACTTAAACCACATGACCTCAAATTACATTTTGTTTTCCACAACAGTTTTTATCTTTGAAAATTTCTACAATGTGCGTATTCCATTTACAATGTGGGGTGGGGGAGAATTCCATTTTCACTTGTTTTTAAGGGACAAGCTAGAAGTAAGATGGCCAAGAAGGTAATGAAATGGTCTGTAGGCAGTAAGAAAGACAACCTCCTGCAGAAATGCCTCCCCCAGGTTGGAATTCCACTCACTGGTGAGTCCAGAAGTCATAAGAGCAGATGCTGCAGTAGCAGTTTGGATCATTAGTGTGAATGTGCTGGGGGACTGTGCTATGCTCAGAGGTTCCAGGAAAGATATTGGGCTGGTTCTGGGAGCTGGGAAGAGCAATTTCACTCATCTCAAGCTACTTAGCAAGGAGAGAATTAACCCACACAGGGAGTCAGCATGTGATTGAGTGAATTAATCCTTCCCTGGCACTCAAAGCCTCTTTAAGAAGTTGCTTTTCCTTTGAAGAAGAGTGGTGGATTTCCAGACATCACAAGGGAAACTTGCTGTATTTAAAGAACATATATGTTCCTGAAAAGTTGTTTTTGTAAATTAAATTTTCATATACCAAATCCTACTTTTCCAGACTTTTTTATTATCAAATCAAGAAATCATCTTCAGAGAATACAGTCAATCCACTCTTGGGAATAGAGCACAAGTGACATGCAGCACACTTATTATAACATTATGCTTTATAAAAAAAAAAGATAAAACTCTCAAAATAAGTCACAAAATATAAGTAGCCAGAAATATCTGCTTCCTTGGCTAAACAGCTTTGTGGTCCAAAGGAAACCCAATGATACCTGAAAAAAGAGACTGAAACGTCCCTAGAAGAGTTGTCTAAAAACCCAGTGTGTTTGGATATTAAGATATTGTCTCTCAGCTTCACACCTACGCTTTTATTCTCTTCTCAGATCTCTGGAAACCAACTTTGTACTTTGCCAACTGGATCTCTGTTAGCCCAGGAATAGGAAGTGCTGGAGAGAGGCTGGGCGGCTAGAGGAGAAAGTATGACTTGATCCTTCCTGTGCACTTCCTGTTCCTGTCAGTGTCACCCCCAGCCAGGGTTCTCCATTCTGCAAGGGGCAGTTCGTTCTAGTTTCCACTTGTTTCCATGCTCATAGAACTCGCCTCATCATGACCCTTGCAATGGTAGATTACAGCAAGCATGTACCAGCTCAACAGAATTTCAGGAATTTTATGAGCTAATTTTAAGCACAGTTATAATTTATAATTAATTATATATACTTATTTTATTGTTCTGTTAGGGTTGCTGCAACAAAGTACCACAGATTAGGTGATTTAAACAACAGAAATGTATTGTCTCACAGTTCTAAAGGCTAGAAGTCTAAGATCAACTCCTCGGCAGGCTTGGTTACTCCTGAGGCTGTGAGACAGAATCTGTTCCATGACTCTCCCCTTGCTTCTGGTGGCTTCTTGGAAATCTTTGGCATTCCTTGGCTGTAGAAGCACCACCCTGAGCTATGCCTTGTGTCCCAATGACATTTTCCCTGTGTGCTTTAGTGTGTCTGTCTCCAAATTTCTCCTTTTCATAAAGACACCAGTTGTATTGCAGTAGGCTCCTAATGACCACATTGTAACTTGATCACCTTTATAGTGAAGACGCTGTCTCCAAATCAGCTCATATTCTGAGGTACTGGGGGTGAGGACTCCAACACACCTTTTGGGGGAACACAATTTAACCTATAACACTTACAATTAAACAAATTCTATTTAAAAAAAATTATAGAGGGGGGAACAGACAACGTTTGCTAGTGACTAGAGGAGTGGGAGGGTGTGGCTGTAAAGAAGCATGAGGAAGTTCCTTTGTGGTGATGGGACAGGTTTCCATCTATATAAGCATGAGGAAGGTCCTTTGTGGTGATGGGACAGGTTTCCATCTATATTGTTGTTGCGGTTCTACAAATGTGATGTCATAGAATTATACACGAAGACAGAAAGACATGAGTACATCCAAAAACTGGTCAATTCCAAGTCTGTAATCAAAGTATTTGGATTGTGCCAACCTATTTTCTAGTTTTGGTCTTGTACAGATGTCACTATTGGGGGAAGCTGGATGATGGGTACAGGGGTACTGTTTTTGTGACTCCTTCTAAGCTTATGATTATTTCAAAATACAAAATATTTTTAAAAACCAACAAAGATAGTAAATACCCAAAACTCATTACTTCATATTTTACATTTTACTATCAAATGTGCTCCTGTCAACCCGGCTGTGCAGGTCGCCTCTTCTGAGCTTCTACCTCTTTTCTCTGTTCCTCAGCCTTGGGAATGGCAGCTGTTTCCTGCAGTTATATCTCCATGCCACCTCAGTGTTTCCTCTTTGTTTCTTCAGTTCTCCTATACCAACTTAAATAAATCCTTATATTAAATTATTTGTGAACTATGTTTGCTTTCCTGACCAGTCCCTGACTAATAAGTCAACACAAATGTTCTCCAAATCATCCACATGGCTTACATATTTTTAAATGTTTCTTACAACTAGAAAAGGCCCAGACCTCCATGCCTCTTCTGATTATCACAGGATTTTATTTTGGAAAATTGATATTCCCCCAAGAAGGGATGTCAGGAAGCAAAGCTTCTGTTGGCCCTGAAGTAGCACAGGCAATAGCCAGCTATAGAGCCCAGATCTGTGATTGTGATTATAAAGCAATCTCAGCAACTTTTTTTTTTTTTTTGAGACAGGGTCTCATTATCACCTAGGCTGGAGTCAGTGGTGTGATCAGAGCTCACTGCAGCCTTGGCTTCCTGGGCCCAAGTGATCCTCTCACCTCAGCTTCCCTTGTAGCTGGACCATAGGGGCATACTACCACAGCCCAGCTATTTTAAAAATTTTTTTCTTTTTTTTTTTTTTTAAAAAGAGATGAGGTCTCCCTCTGTTGCCTAGGCTGGTCTTGAACTCCTGGGCTCAAACGATCCACCTTCAGCCTCCCAAAGTTCTGGGATTACAGGAGTGAGCCACCAATGTTTATTTATTTATTTATTTTTTTGAGACAGTCTCTTACTCTGTGGCCCAGGCTGGAGTGCAGTGGTGCAGTCTCAGTTCACTGTAACCTCTGTCTCCTAGGTTCAAGCAATTCCCATGCCTCAGCCTCCCAAAGTGCTGGGATTATAGGCATGAGCCACTGTGCTTGGCCCACTTTTTAAAAATGATTTCTCTGATTATAAAGGTAATCCATGCTCATATATTACAAAGAGTATAAATAAATGGACACATAATCCCAGCATCCAGAGAGATATTTCTGTTGATATTGATGTATTTTTCCCATAAGTCTTGTGATATAATTTATATTTGTCCATATGTGTATTCTTTTAAATACGTCAAATGAAAATGGATTGACAGATACTGCTACATTTTGAAGATATTTATCAATCACTGTTTTTCTCCCAGTTTGAATTGTTTGAATTCCCCGTTTGAACTATTTCAATCCACTGATTAATATAGACTTCAGATACTGATAGAAATATCAGCCTTAATGCTTGCAGGAAAAGCTTTGTGAACATGGCTGGGATCTGTGGCCAAATAAGCTTTCTCATTGTCATCCCATTTCTACTTCAGTCCTGAGAATGGGGTTCTGAAAGCAGACACTTTACCAGCCAGCTGCAAGTGAGATGATTGATGTATCCTTTCATTTCCCAGAGGAGAGGCAGAGCAGAAGGCAGGCCTGGATCCACCTGTGAGTTCAGGCATGGAGGCAGGAGCACAGCACTTCCCACCTGTGTCATAGACCTCTCTCCAGCAGACAGACCTGTTCACTGGGGACCAGCCAGTACACACTTAAACTCCCCCAAAAAGAGGGATGAGGAGCAGCAAGAGTCCAATCCCAATATCTCACCAGCCAAGAACATTATTCCCTCTCTTTTGCAGAGAAGTGGGTGAGACAAAATGAAAAGAAAAGCTGAATGGGTTTGTGTGCCAAAGTTCTCCTCTTAGAAACACAAGACCTAAGGAATAGGAAAGTCCCTCATAGATGCTGTTTGCATCTTGTTCTTTTTAAGTAATGCTGTATTGTAGCATCTATCAGTCATCAAAATATCCTTAAAACATGATTTTGTACTTTTCTTAAAACAATACACAGTCTTTGTAGAAATTTGAGAAAGAAGGCAAGCTACAAGAAAATGAGAAGCATAGTAATCCTGCCATCCAAAAATAACCAGTGCTACATTTTGGCATCAATCCTCTCTAATGTTTGTTCTATGTATATGTACACATTTGTCCCAACTGAATTACATAGCACATATTGTTTTGTAACATGTTTTTCATTTGATGTTTCTAAAACATCTTTATATATTTTTCCCACTTGTCTAGTGCTGTGTAACAAACTACATCAAAACTTCATGGTTTAAGACAATAATTTATTTTGTTTATGATTCTGTGGATTGGAGCCCAGCCACATTCAATGAGATGGAGAAATGGATTCCAGCCCTTGAAGGCAAGCAGCAGGGTCACGCTACAGAAGAGCATGTGGAATGGAAGAGATTTCACAGCCTTCTTTGGAGAATACAGTATGCTACTTACGTTATTAAAGAGTCTTCATAACTGCAGTGGCTGAATAGTATTCTAATTAAAAATGTGTCATCATTGATTTAATGAATTTCAGTTTGTGGAAACTTTAGAAACAATATTACAAACACCTTTATGATGAATATTCCTCTACAAAAAACTTTATCTGTACCTCTGAAAATTTTTATTAGGTTAATTATTAAAAGCAGAATTACTAGGTGATACAGTTAAAACTGCCTCATATAAATGGCCAAATTAATTTCCAGAGAAACCCTTATTTAGATCCAGTTCACTTAAAAGTGTTTTACTCTTTGAAAGAAAAATATTCCCATCAATACTCTTTAAAAATACTGTTGACAATTGTCATCCATTATTTTTACAGATAGTTTTTAAATGTGAATGAAATTTCCACTGAAATTTGTATTGGAGTTTAATTAAACCCATAAATGAGCCTGGGATGAAGTGGCCTGTCTAAACTATTTGGTCTTGTGGTCCAGATGTCTTCTACCCTGATCTTCTTTTATACTCATTGGGAGAAATTTATAATATTCATGATTGAATTATTTTTTAGCATTTTATACTTTGTAATTGCTTAAGGAGGAGCTCTTTCCCCTGCTATACGCTTGAACTGATTAACAATGTGTAATTGGGTAAGCAATTGTTTTATATATCTATACATGTTCGGCCAGCTTTCTAAATTCTTATTAATTCTAATAGTTTTGAATTGATTCTGTTAGGCTTTCTGGGTAGACAATCATATTAACAGCAAATAGTGAGACTTCTGACCTCCTTTCCAGTAGCCCTTATTTCTGTTCCCTATCTTTTTGCATTGGCTAGAATATTCAAGACAATATTAATAGTGAGAATAGGCATTTTATCTTATTCCTGATTTTAATGAAAATATATTTAAAGGTGTTTCCCCATTAAATAATGATATATTATTGTTTAAAATATTCTTTACCATTTAAAGAAATCCTCTAGTTTCAGTTTCATACATTTATTTAGAATTGGTACCTAATTTTTTCTGAAATGACTTTTAGCCATCCACCGAGATCATTTGGATTTTCACTTTAGATTTACCGATATATTTCATAATATTAAATGATTCTTACATCCCTGAAATAACCCAATAAAATCATCATGAATTGACCTTCTCATACACTGTTAAAATTTTTAGCATTTTATATAGAAATTTTGTGTTTTTATACATAGTGAGAATGGTTTGTAATTTTCTATTTTACGTCTTCTTCCTCAAGGTCTGTTACAGAATTTTTGGAGGTTCTTACCCCACCATTTCAGAAGAAGTTTCTTCATCTTTACCCCCAATTTGTTTGATTGAGACCTGTATCTTTATCTTAAAAAGCTGAAGAGATAATTTAAGGCTTCTCATAGCGCTGTCTTTTCAGAGAGTAATTTGCATTTGCCTCAGTCAGGAGGGAGAGAAACTGTCAATCCCAGATCACTATAATCCAATAGTGGTGAGGTGATTTAAAGCCAACGTGCAATCCTTTCAAGGGACAGGCTACCTGGTTCACCTTTACTCCAGTGATGTGTCCATTCACAGCCTTTACCCAAATCATGGAGTTTTATCAGGGGCCCCATCCCTGAGAGGCTCCTGGTCCCCCTAAGTCTGCTGAAAGTCCTGCTCAGCATCTTAGTACCTCTGCTGCATCTTCTGGCATTGGAAGGCGCTCTTAGGAGAAAACTGGCCAAAAGATCCAAGCTTTCCCCGATGGGTTTCCCTCTTCTCACGGAGCTTGGCCCAGTAATTCTTGATTGACTTCTATTTTCTCTAATACTTTCAAATATGCTTTTAAAATATATTATTTTGTCTCGCTTTTCTGTTCATCCTCAGCTGGAGAATGGGTTTGAACTGCCAAGCCAGTGACTACCGGAAAGAGCGCCAGGTCAGCCATCACATCTGCAGGAAGCAGGAAGCAAGAGATGATGGGAGGGGGATGTACCTCCCAGCTGAGTCGCACACATTTGCTGAACCTTCTTGGATGGTCCACACAACACTCCTGCTTGTACCTCATTGGCCAGAATTAGTCCCAGGGTCACTCCTGGCTTCGAGGAAGGCTAAAGACTTTTAGCACAACATATTGCCACCCTAAATAAAATCTGGATTTTATTACCAAGAAAAAAAAGAGAAGAGCAGCTATTGAGTAAGCAGCAGAGTATCTGCCACATTCCTCGTCCATAAAATAGAAATAATATTAATACCTAACTTATGGAATTGATGCGAGTATTCAAGGATATAATGCAGGTAAATGTCTTAGCACAGTGCCAGAGTGGACATTTGATCAATGTTAGCAATAACAATATTTATTGCTATATAGTAATTTGACTGTAATAGACTATTCTATGACAAACAGGAAAAAGAAACAATCTTTTTAACTTCCTTTCTCTAGTTTCACATAGTTACCTGAAGCCCCGTATAAATTCACTCAGATAAACTTAGGAATGAAATTTCTACTATTATTGTTTTGTTTCAAATGGAGTATTTGCTTAGTATAGAATAGCTGTTTATAAATCTAGCAATTAATAGGTATTAAAACCATGTAATTACACTCTGGATTTTCTTGCACTGTCCACATTTTTACACAGCTTCATTCACTTCAATCTAACAAATGTATAAATAAATGTGATTTACTTTTTATGTCTAAGATCCACATCCTATTAAACAATGCAACCCACACTTCAGCACAAATCCTCTTGTCAGATAAAGCTTGATTTTTAGTTGGAAATATATAGGTATTCGGCATTCTTATAATAGCTTCTGTATGATATTTGGAGATGTTCTGAGAGTTCTTTGCCCTTATTTTTACCTCTTACCACAACCACACCCACAGTGTTATACATATGGGTATGGATAAATTAGAAGGAGTCACAGAACTTTTCATTCAAGCAGCCACAACAAAACAATAAACACTATGGTATCCACCTTCCTCCAGGGATCGGATATGAGTGAGGTAGTAAGTGTACGTGTGTGTGCGTGTGAATGTGCATGTGCGCGCATGCATGGATGTATATTGGAACCCCAGCATGGCAATAATGTCACTGCTGGTGATTATCGGAAGAAAAATTACCAGAGTGACACAAATTACTAATTACTTTATTATGCAGTGAGAAGAATAAGAAGCTGAAAGTTGTTTCAGCAAATTCTATTTTTAAGCAAATAATTATTGGGTTTCCAATGCTCTAAATTAAGTAATTCTCCTCAAAACTTTCCTTAAGTCTCACTCTTTGAACTCCAGCGGCTGGCAAAGAATTGCAGCTGGCTTTGGGATGGGCTTTGGATTTCATTTGTAATTATTTCTTTCAACCATGCTATCCTCAAAATGAGATCTCTTCAGCAGTGTTTTTCTTCCCCCAGTAATTAGGATTTGTTATACTAAGTCATTCGCAGTTTTCCCCCCTCATTTTACAAAAGGTGGTATTGAGTAATATAAAGATTAAAAAAAAAAAAAGAACTTGGGGCTAGGCACAGTGACTCATGCCTGCAATCTCAGAACTTTGAGAGGCTGAGGCAGAAGGATCACTTGAAGTCAGGAGTTCAAGACCAGCCTGAGCAACACAGTGAGACCTTGTCTCTACCAAAGTAAAAATAGAAATAAATAAGCCTGGCATGGAGGTACACACCTACAGGAGGATCACTTGAGCCTCAGGAGGTCGAGGCTGCAGTGAGCTGTGATCATACCACTGAACCCTAGCCTGGGCAACAGAGCAGGCCCCTGTCAAAAAATAATAATAACTTGGAACCAAGTCTAAGACCAGGTTATGCCACCTCACTGGCTTTGTGACCTTGGATATTATATTAATCTGGGTTCTCCAAAGAATAGGATATAAATATATTCTACTTCTTTGGAGAACCCAGAATATATATGTAGTATAAGGAATGGACTCTGCAGTTATGGAGGCTGAGAAGTCCCAAGATCTACAGTTTGTAAGCTGAGACCCAGAAGAGCTAATGGTATAGTTCCAGTCTGAATTCAAAGGCCCAAGAACCAAGAAAGTCAATGGTCTTAAGTTCCAGTCCAAGTCCTAGTCCAAAGACAGGGAAGGACTGATGTCCCAGCTCAAATAAGTCAGGTAGAGAGTGAATTTTCTCTTAGCATTTTGTTCTACTGTGGCCTTCAAATATGTATATGAGGGCCACCCACATTGGGAAGGACAATCAGCTTTACTCAGTCTATAAACTTAAATGTTACTCTCATCTAGAAACATCCTTACAGACACACCCCAAGTAATGTTTAACCAAATATCTGGTCACTGTATAGCCCAATCAAGTTGACACCTAAAATTAACCATCATAGGTATCCCATAACCTTCACCTGTGCTGAAGAAGTGAGGTAAGTATACGTTAGCACCTTTGAAACTAAGAAGTACTGGACACACTTATTACGTATTGTTAAGATGGCCAAAAATGGCAACAAATAGCTAGCTACATAAGAATTATAATGGCTCCTATTTTTAGGACATTTTGAGGATTTATAATATGCTTGGTACTGACCTAAGGGCTTTATGTACATTAATTTATTCAACCCTCACAATAACCCTTTGAGGTAAGGATTAGAGTTTCTCTAATTTACCCATCAGCTACAGGAAGGTTAAATAACTTGACCAAGATCACAGAATTAGCAGGTGGCAGACCCCAGTTTCAAACCCAGATGTTTTGGATCTAGAGTCCATGCTCTAACAGCCACATACCATCACCTGCCTGAGGCTAGTGGGAATGACAACCAGCCCGAAGGTCTGAACACATCTGCTCACTTCTCTGGCCCTTTGCTTTTCAGCCATGGCGTCAGGTATCCCTTTAAAGCATCCTAAAGATGTCCTAATGCAGAGACGGTTAGAAACATGGCCAATTTTAACGAGAGGGTACTCAAGATGGAGAGAAAAGGCAGAGAGGTCTGGGTATGAAAAACCCATTGGGGTGTGGGTAGAAATGGTTAGAACTAGGCTAGTGAATCATTGCCCATCAATATCCACCATCAACCCATGCCCCCCAAGGTGGGGATATCACTCAGGGTAATTAACTTCTAATTCTTAGATTATTTTATCTGGTCACCAGCAGAACCTGAGAGGATGGAGATATAGGGTTGGTGAGATTACCTAAGGGGAAGTAGGGAGAGAGGGAGGTCTGAGTGGAGGGACGGATGCTCAGTGGCCCAGGCAGGGGTACCCTGAGGGCAGGTTTACTGGTCAGTGGGCAGCATGAGAGCTCTGGTCTGAAGGCCTATGTGAGATGAGCTCAGAGGTGGTGGTGGGCAGAGCAAGGGAACTCAAGACAGCCATTGTCCACTGCAAGATCTTGTCTCTGCCACATCCAATAAGCATGATGTTCATAATTCCATTAACAAAAGTTGTTAGATTGTGCAGAGGCTGGCTCCTGTGCATAGGAGGCGTTGTGGGAGGCTGAGGAGGGGACAAGGACAGAGCGCAGGCAGGGCCAGGGTCTATAAATGACCTTGGCAAATCAGGTGCCTCACTGAACTACCATTGACCCATCTATAAACTAGAGAGAATAATCCCAGCCTGGCTCATCTCACATGGTAGTCGCGAGAAACAACCGAGACAATGTACTTTGTAAATAGCATCTGGGAGAGCCAGTGAAGACACAGCTCCAGGTGCCTGGACTCCGGGGCATCGCATTTCTGGCTTGCCAAACCTCAACTATACTCACAACTTTTCAACTTGAAACCAGAATAGAGGGGCAACCAAGCAAGCAAAGCATGATGTGCATGCAAAATCGCCTTGTATGATCTCAAAGTCGTGGGAGCCAAAACCACGTAATGAAGCCTCTGCAAACTCTGGAAATTTGATCTCATTCAAGGACGGTGTTCAATAGAAGAGGTGTTCCTGGGCCCCAGGCAGTTCAAAACCTTGGCTCGATTGGCAAATATTTCAGCAGGAGGTTAGCAAAATTGATGCCAACTTAAATGAGCCTCCTCTGTGGCCCTGCAGACGTCCATGTTTGCACTGCAATATTTTCCGTTACTATGTAAAGAAGAGAGTGTCCCAGCACATCATCAGTGCAGGCTTTCATAGTAAGTGCCTGACAGGGGTGGGCAACACATAGAAAGCAGTGCTCAGAGGCAGTGGTAACACAGCCGAAGCTGGTAACACTGGGAGACTTGGGGAAGCATTTCCAGGCTAGAGACTGCATTTCTGCAGCCTCGTGAGGACCCTCAGCCAGCAAAGCAGCAACACTGCAAAGTGCATGAGCACAGGCAGACCTGGTTCAAATCCCACAGTGCCAGGATTTGTGTAAACTTGGGACAGTGAACTTGAGCCACTGTTGCCTCACTTACGTGAAATGAGTGAAATAAGCCTACTCCTAACCCTGATTCCCACTTTCCTCTGGGCTGGATAACGGACAGATATCTGAATGATGTGATGATCGAGCAGATGATGGGTGTATGCAGCCTAGTCTACAGGACATGTTCAGTCATTCCTGGTGCATTTGCCTGCCCCACTCAGACCACTGAATTATATTAGAAGTGATTTCTGACAAGTAACTGATGGTCTGATTTTTAACAAGGTAAAGACTGGGAGGCTTTAATGCTGGCTACTCTGGAGAGCCTCAACCACAGGGAAGAGCTGCTAAATGTGTGTGCTGGTAGCCAGTGACCGAGCCCAGGTGGTCCTGAGCATCTTACTCTGTGCCTTCGACTCTTTCCCTTGATCTGAGGAACAAGCCTGAAGGAGAAATAGAGGAGGACCAGGAGGTTAAGGAGTCAGTGGGCTCCAGCTCCCGAGGCCTGGAAACACTAGAGATTGGTGTTAAACATTAGGGGACAGAGGTCTCAAGAGAATCTTCAGCAATCTCTCTGCCCCCAGGGGCCCACAGTGTGCAGAAGGTGCCAAGTGGTGGGAGTGGACAAGCTCTGGCAGGCCAGGGGACATCAATAGAAGGAACTCCATCTCACAGCCCATCATAGACCACTCCCTGTGTCTCATAGCTCCTTTGCCTACCATGGCACAGTGCTTGATGTTTACGAGTGAGCCCCATGGAAAAAAGGGTAAATCAGTGGGAGTGAGAAGATGGGGGTGGAGGTGGGGGCAGAGGACTAGAGCTTATGCACATAACGAAATAATTCATTTAAATGGCATAGCATCGATGAAAGAAGTCATTAGGTAGCTGTGTGTATGTATATTGTGTCTGTCCTCAGTTGCAGAGGTCTTTGCGGGCAGGAGTCTTGCCTCATTCCTGTCTGCAGTCCCACAGGGACTGGAACATAATAAGTATCAAAATCAATATTTTGAAAGAATAAGTGAATGAACAAATGAAAGAAGTTCCTAGAGTCCACGTATGGGCTGTGTCCAAACGACTAGCCCCTTGAAAAAAGTCCGAGACAGAGCAAATGTGGAGAAAAGCAACAGGGAGGCCACTCCTTTGGCCTTCTGGTTATTCTGCCTGACTCCAGGCTCTCTCCTCCTGGTCTTTTCTGCCCACCACTTTCCAGGACTCATATGTCTGCAACACTGCTTGATCCTGAATCTCCCTGCCTGAGCACTTTCTATGGCTCCCTGTTGCTCTCAGCATCAAAATCCTCTCACGTCTTTTAAGCCTTTGCATTCTCCCCCAACAAGCCTCTCCTTGCTGTTCACCGGCCACTCATTCCAGCCAGCTACTCCCACTGGCCACCATCACTCCTGCTCCTCCCTCCTTGTTTCCTGACCAAACCCAAACAGTCTCCAGGGATCAAGATCCATCTAACAGCTGCAGCTGTTAAGGATCTGTTTTGAAACCTCCGGGCTTCCAGTTGGGGCCATGCCATTTAGCAGCCTCAGATTGCAGGTCCTTATTCCGTGGGTTAATCCTGTCTCACCAATGAGACTATTAATTCCAAGAGGAGAGGGAAGCATGTCTACTCTGACCCCACTACCCAGCTTGCAACTGGCTGATAAATCAATTATTACAATAAATTATTGTAATTATAATTGTATATTAATTGTATAATTGTACATTGTATTTATAGTACATTAATTGTATAATTGTATATATAATTGTAATAATTATAAATTGTATAATTGTAATAAATGATTATAATTGTAATAAATTATTGTAATATAATTTATTAAAGTCAATTTTAAAAGTCCTTCTGGGCTTCAGGCACAGGGATGGGGAAGGCTGGGTAACAAACAGATATCTGAATGATGTGATGATTGAGTGGGATGATGGGTGTGCCCTGTCCTGAGGAGGGAGACAAGGACCCCGTCAGCCAATAGTGATGCAGAGTGGTCAGTGCTCAGGTAGAGGTGGATGCCAGGGAGACACCCAGCTCACTCCACAAAGCTTGCAAAGCCTGGTCTTCCCAAGGAGGTGATGGCCGAGGGAACCCCTCTCTCCCTTTCTCTCTGACCCAAATCAAATCAAAACTCACCTTTCTCCATCCCACCGGGTTCATGATTCTCATCTCCCCTGATATATTTGGCCAGTTTACTTACATCTCTGGGCCTCTATAACCTCATTTGTAAAATAATTTTAACAAACCTAACCCTGATCCTAATCCAGTCTCTAACCCTAACCTTAATGGGATGATGAACTGCTAGCAGGACTATGGGATGATTAAGCTGGATAAAGCATGTCCTACATCCTGGACATAAGAAGTGTCCATCATTATTGGTTCCTTTGCCCTTCCCTGCTCTGACCACAGACCTTAAGTTTGGGGACCCAGGCTTATCTTGGAGCTCAGTGTTATTGTTAGTTGAATTTGTCCTGAGAGCAGTTAGCAGTTTCTCAGCTAAACAGATACTTAAATATATGGAGGTCTACGTCTAATTTACCTGATGAGAAAACTCTTCAGCGGACTATAATGCCTAAGAATCTCCAGAAAGGAAATAAAGTTTAATGTACACCTGCAGAAGTGTCAGGGACTTGATGTAAATATGTCTAATCCTCCTAAGAATCAAAGTGGTTATTGCCCCTATTTAACAGATAAGAAAACTGCAGTTTCTAGAGGTCAAGTGTCTCATTCAAGACCTCACAACAAGTCAGTGGAAGAGCTGGGGTTTCAATTTTTCTCCGACTGCAGGAAAACTCCAGTGGAGTCACTCTTCCAGCCAGGATCATTTAGGAGTAAGGGGAGGGCCGTGGACTGATGATGACCTTTTAGTGACTCTTAGGTCATATTCAGGGAGGCATCAATTCTGTCATTTCACTCTTTGCTTGTAAGACTTTAGGTAAATTACCTTTCTTCTCTGTGGACCTCAGGCTGGTCTGTTTTTTAAAGTCTTAAGTTTTTATGGCTAAGATAGACCTAGATGGGAAGGAGTTTGAGGCAAGGAGTGGCAATTTCAGATAAATGATCTCCCTATCAGCACCAAACTTATAGGATTCTCCATGGATTCCCCTAATTTGAATACAAATCACATTTCTCACTTCCAGAACCGGTTTCCCTAAAGCCATCATCCAAATCAAGCCCTGAGCCGTACTTCCTGCCTTTGCAATCCATGCCTTCATGAATCATCAGTGCTCCCTGAGTTCTTCTGCTCATTAACTGGTCAGGCCCCACTGCCTCCCCACCTCAAGGACCATCAACAACATTGGGAAGGAATCGAAAAAAAGAGCAGTGTGGCATGTTAGAGCTGGGAGGCACTCAGGGACCACCTACAGTCCCCTCCTTTTACAGGTGAGGAGACAGGCCTTGGAGGAGCTAACAGACTCCCCACAGCTCCACAAATACCAGCTGCGAAGCCGCCCACACACGTGCTCCTAGGCTCTTACTGTCTGACGGTGGATCACGACTCCATGGAAATTAGATGGATCAGCAGGCAGTGGCAATTGAATGTAGTGGGCTACAGGCGTGGGGGCTGTCAGGAAAAGCAGTGCTCAGAGTGATCGAAAAAGGCTTCCTGAAATAAATGTGTTGTGAAGCCCGCATTGAAGAATGTAAAGAACATGGAGAACTTTGAAGACTTTGAAGCAGAAATACGTCTCAGAAATTGTGGCACAGATCATTGTTTGTGGCTAGTTGTCTATGCCAATATATGATCTCCCTTTTTTCCTCAAAAATAGATTTCCTGATTTTTCCCCACTGGGTACATGAATACCCAGAGTAAGAACTATATTTCCCAGCCTCCTTTGCAGCCAAATATGGCTAAATGACTGAGTTTTGGCCAATGAGATTTAAGATGAAAGTGCTGTGTGCAACTCCCGGGAAGTTTCTGTAAAGAAATAAGCATGCCCTTCTCCCTTCCTTTCTTTTTTTCTGCTGGAATGCAGATGTGATGGCTGGACCCTGAGCAGACATCCTGGGCCATGAGGCAGCATGTTAAGGCTGGCAGAGCTGCAACATAGCATGTTCTTGTCAAAACAACACTAGTTTTGGATGGCCTACTACCAACTTCTTTACATTAGAGATATGAACTTCTGACTTGTTTAAGTCACTTATAGCTGTCTTTTTCCCCCAAACTGAACCTAATTCTAGCTAATTCAGAGGTAGAAAATAAATTCAGAACCCCTAAGAAAATCCAGAAACCTGAAAGAGAAGCTGGTCTTGCAGGGAGTTGAAGTGAATGGAGAAGAATCACTGATTTCTGGTGGATCTAGTGGATGTTTTAAGAGACTTAGTTGCATTAGTCTGTTTTCACACTGCTGATAAAGATATACCCATGACTGGTCAATTTACAAAAGAAAACGGTGTATTGGACTTACAGTTCCACATGGCTGGGGACGCCTCACAGTTATGGCAGAAGGCAAGGAAGAACAAGCCACCTCCTACGTGGATGGCAGCAGGCAAAAAGAGCCTGTGTAGAGACGCTCCCATTTTTAAACCCATCAGATCTCGTGAGACCCATTTACTATCACGAGAACAGCACTGAAAAGACCTGCCCCCATGATTCAATCGTCTCCCACCAGGTCCCTCCCACAACACGTGGGAGTTATAAGAGCTACAAGATGAGATTTGGGTGGGGAGACAAAGCCAAACCATATCACTAGTGGTTCTCAAATTTGAGTGTGCATCAGCATCACCTGGAGAGTCTTTTCAAACACAGACTGCTGGGCCCCAACCCCAGAGTTACTGATTCCATTAGCTTGGGGTGGGCCCTGAAAATGTGCATTTGTAATGAGTTAGTAGGATGCTGATGCTGCTGGTTCAGGGGACCAAACTTGGAGAACCATTGTTCTAGGCTATTCAAAGACACTTACCCCAACTCAGTTTTCTTGTGTGAGTCTCAGCTTTGTGGCTCTAACAAGGAGATATGATTTTCAGCTGCTTTCAAAGATCAGTGAATGTGGGGAGGCAGGAAGGGTCTGAACAACAGCTTGGGCAAGCTGAGCATCCAGCAAAGAGAAGATTTGTGATGCAAATGATTTACTGGTGTTCAGCTGGGAGCAGAAGGGATTTCAATATGGTGAGCCAAATCGAATTCATTACCTGACAATTAGCTCTAAATTAATGCAAGGCTGTGCCGTCTGAATGTGCTGTAAGGGAGAAGGTCCCTGACAGCTTGAGATGGGCAGGATCTGAGACATCAGTCTTGGCTGGATTCAGAGGGCTTTTTCCCAGCTTGCCTGTGTACTCTGAGCTCAGAGAATGGCCAACACTCCACTCAGATGCCCTTTCCAATTGCACTCCCTCTAGGTTTAATCCTCATTAACCCAGCCTTACCCCATCCAGGATGGACTTGGTCTCCTCTGCCCTGGCACCTCCAGGTTTGTTTCTCAAGAGACTGCCTTTGCTTGCACACGGGCTGGCTGCTAATTCTCTTACAGTGAGATGCTGTAGGATGAAACTCATTATGTTTTATAGGAGCAAACTGTTAGCATTGTGTGAGTATATCTGACCTCCTCAAGTGGAAGTTGTAAATCCCCGGAGGATAGAAATTATTTTCCTTCTTTGTTTAGTTAATTATCTCCCCTACTTTTTCCCTCCCCTCCCTTTCCCCTCCTTTCCTCTATCACTTTCCCACAGGGCTCCTGATGCAGTGCACACAGGAGTATGACTGTAATGAATGATGACCTGCAGCTTGAGCATCCTTGGGACTTCATTTATTTATTCATTAAACATTATGTGCCAGGATACAGGTCATGATGGCCTCTGACCACATAACATTCATAGGCTAGTCTAAGAGACAGGCAACTGAGGAGTTAAAAATCAGACCCTAGGGTCCTAGGGCATGTATATGGAGTAGGGGCACAGGGCACTTTGCAGAGAATCCTCTAAGCATTCTAGCTGGCCATGTGGACCCTCTTTCTCCTTCCCAGGACAAGCCTCAGCCCTACCAACTGCCTACAGCTCCCACCCTCTGCTGAGGGTGCAAAGATGTCGCTGTCGGGTTGGCTCTGAAACATCAAGATAAGGAAGGCAAAGAAATGATGGGGAACAGGAGGACCACAGGGGCTAGATCTGCCCCTTCTCTCTCAAACATCCCACAGCCCAAATACCTGTCAAAGCCCCTTCCAGTGGGAATCTTTCCTTCCCCAATACCACCTTCTAGCAAGTTCAATAACCTCATATTTACATCCTTGATAAAACTCTTTTAAAGTCTGTTGACAGTTTCCTTTGGTTCAGACAAATGGCCCCCAGTTTTTTCTCTTCTCATTTTACAGTGCTGAACTGTCACTCAGAGGGAAGATAGCCAAGTCCATTTCCACCTATTGGTCAGATTCTCTCTCAAAAATAATTAACTTAGATCATTTGTGGAATGAATCTGCATTTTAAAAAATTAAGAGATACCAAATGACATTTGCATAGTGCTTTACAAAATGCTGTAACTTTTATATTTTATTTGGTTTCCCTGATCATTCTTGGAATTCCCCCCAGTTCTACAGAAGAACAGTAAATGTCATGAATCAAGACCTGAGCTCTGGCCTTTGGCTCCCCAGTCCAGTGCTCTTCCCAGCAGACCCTCCCTCTTTACTACGTGCAGCAGATAATGTCCACATGACACAGGCTCAAAAAATGTATGTGTGTGCATGTGTGTTTGCATGTCAGCCTCAACCTTCCCCCCACCTCCACCACCAATGTCATCACACCTGCCATTCCTGGGTCAGAGTTGCTAAGGAGAATAAAAATGTTATGCTCAGGGGTTTGTCTGTATCAGCCAGGGTTCCCCAGAGAAACAGAACCAGCAGGAGTGTGTGTGTGTGTGTGTGTGTGTGTGTGTGTGTGTGTGTAAAAATATTTACTTTTCATTTGTTTTGAGAAATTGGTCTATGTGATTTTAGAGTTGGCAAGTATGAAATCTGCAGGGCAGGCTGGAAACTCAGGCAGGAATTCATGCTGCAGTCTTGAGGGAGAATTTCTTCTTTCCTGGAAAAACTTTAGTTTTTGCTCTTAAAGCCTTCAATCAATTGGATCAGGCCCCGCCACATGATAGAGGGCAATCTCCATCAGTTGAAGTGAGCTGACAGTAGATGCTAACCCCATCTATGAAACACCATGGTTAGTGTCTAACATTGCAGCCTTACCAAGCTGACACATACAAATGACCATCCCATCGTGTCCAGTTGCTGGCTAGAAGGCATGATGCAGAAGAGTTTGGGGGAGACAGAAGTATCCCTTCCAACCAGAAACCCAGAGATAGGATGCCAGGAAAGGGAGCATTCCCCACATGAGACTCTGGGGAAGGGTGACTACTTCGGTCCCATCCTGCCAGGAATTTGAGAGGTGCAATCCCACCAGAGAGGGAGTCTGAATAAAACTCCTCTCCCCAGAGCACAGGCCCTGCACCCTCCCACGGCTGCTTCTGTGGCGTGGGTTCCGACCAGCTCTGCTCAAAGACTCCTGTGCTAGGAAGAAGGTGGGGTCATATCATGGCATCAAGATTCAAACACTATCAGGAGCCAGGGATGGGATACGTGAAGGGCTGGGAGCTGTGGCCAGAGGCAAACTGGACAGGGACACTTTGTCCACAAGCACCTGACAGTCATCTTTGAAATCACAGCAGGAACAATGTGCCTGAGAGAGCTGGGGGTCACCAGTCTGCCACCTTACTCGGAGGTAATGAAGGCCACAGCCTGGGAGCCACAAGTGCTGAGTCACAGAGTCTGTGGAGAGATTCTGCAGATACAAAGAAAGTGGGAAAAATACCTGATATCAGCTAGGCTCAAATACCCCAACACCTGCTCCCCATCTGCAGCCCCTCTCAAATCCTGGAGCACCGATGAGCTCAGTCCTCACACTAATCCTCACCCTCCTGAAAATAGTCACCCCAGGATTGATTTTTCCTGATTAAACTATTTCCTACATTTGATAAATAACACCTGCCCTATTCTATCGCTTCCCTCTGACTCTGTTTATTAAACAACGCTCGAGATTTTTCTTCTTGCATGATAGGTACTAAAGGCACAAAATTCAAACTCATTATGTCGAGGGGAGGGCTCCAGCCATCCGTGGTTTTGCACCAGGCAGTGAGTGACGTTTTATTTGCCAAGGACTGAGCGAGGCCAGGAACTGAGGCAGCACAGCTTTAATGGAAAGAGGTTTGATTCTGGAGTCAGACCTGGGAGTCATCCTGGTGCAACCTCAGCCCCTGCGTGACCTTTGACAACGACTTAACCTTCATAAGCCTCAGCATGAAAATCATCTGAAAACAGGGTTTTCCCATCTGTAAAATGAGAATTGTTGAGGCATCCATAGTATGGAAAAGCATCTTTGAACGTGTAAAGTGCACATGAACACAGGAGTTAACCCACTTTCCAACCTGTTTATAAATCCCTCCTGAGCCCTGTCACCCACACCGCCTCAGGCAGTCCCTGCTTTGGGGCTAGCGTGGGTTGCTGTTGCTGTGTCACACACCACCACAAATGCATCAGCTTTTTTTTTCTTTTGGAGGTGGAGTCTCGGCTCTGTCGCCCAGGCTGGAGTGAAGTGTCATGATCTTGGCTCACCGCAACCTCCACCTCCTGTGTTCAAGCGATTCTCCTGCCTTGGCCTCCCAAGTAGCTGCGATTGCAGGTGCCTGCCACCTGGTTGATTTTTGTGTTTTTAGTAGAGATGGGGTTTCTCTATGTTGGTCAGGTGGTCTCGAAGTCCTGACCTCAGGTGATTTGCCCTCCTCGACCTCCCAAAGTGCTGGGATTACAGGCATGAGCCACCTTGCCTGGCCACGCATCAGCGTTTTAAACAACGCTTTTTTATGCTCAAGGATTCTGCTGGTCAAGAATTCAAACAAGGTGTATTAGTCTGTTTTCACACTGCTATAAAAAATATCCGAGACTGGGTAATCTATGAAGGAAAGAAGTTTAATCAACTCACAGTCCTGTATGGCTGGGAAGGCCTCAGTAAACTTACAATCACGGCAGAAGGTGAAGGAAAAGCAAGTACTTTCTTCACAAGGCAGCAAGAAAAGGAGAGAGTGGAGGAACAGCCTAACACTTATAAAACCATCAGATCTCGTGAGAACTCACTCACTATCATGAGAACAGCATGGGAGAAACCACCCCCATGATCCAATCACCTCCCACCAGGTCCCTCGTTTAACATGTGGGGATTACAATTAGAGATGCGATTTGAGTGGGGACACAGAGCCAAACCATATCACAGGACAAGGCAAGAATTTCTTCTCTCTGCTCCACAATGTCTGAGGGCTCAGCTGGAAAGAGTCAAAGGCTGAGATGACTCAGTGACTACGTACTGGAATCATCTAAAAACCTGTTCACTGACACACCTGGCTGTTGGCTGGGGCATCACCTGGGCCTGTTGGCCACAACACCTCCACATGGCCTCCCCATGTGACTGCTTGGGCTTCCTCACAACATGGTGGCTGGATTCCAAGAACAAGTGTCCCAACAGAGCCAAGTGGAAAATGTATTGCCATTTATTTATTTATTTATTTATTTATTTATTTATTGAGACAGAGTTTTGCTCTTGTTGCCCAGGCCGGAGTGCAATGGCGTGATCTCAGCTCACAGCAACTTCCGCCTCCCAGGTTCAAGTGATTCTCCTGTCTCAGTCTCCTGAGTGGCTGGGATTACAGGCATGTGCCACCATGCCCAGCTAATTCTGTATTTTTAGTAGAGACGGGGTTTCTCCAGGTTGGTCAGGCTGGTCTTGAACTCCCAACCTCAGGTGATCCACCCGCCTCAGCCTCCCGAAGCGTTGGGATTACAGGTGTGAGCCATCATGCTCGGCCTAATGTATTGCCTTTTATGACCTAGCCTCTGAAGTCCCATAGCATCACTTCAACTATAACTGCACATCCACTCAGATTCATGGGGAAGAAATACAGGTCCTACCTCTAGATGGAAAGTCCCACTGTAAGAATAACATGTGGGATGGAAGATATTGTTGCAGTCATTTTTGGAAAATTCAATCTGCCATCAGGTCTGAGTCATTAGATGAATGAACAAGCTGGCAAGTTAGAATTTTGAACCAGGAATGGAACTTGGCAGATGTTATCCCCCTCTATTCCTGGTCATCTCTGGCTCCAGATTCCCACTGAGATCAGCACAAGTTGTACCCATATCAGGAAATCTAACCAAGGCAATGTTCAAACCACGAAGTCTTCTAAGGAAAGAGAGACAGACTGCCCTTTCCTCCCACTCCTGATCTCCCTGCCTCCTTGGAGACCTAAGCTTGTCTGGGTATTTATGTCTCCCTATTTTCCAGAATGATTCCCGCCTCCTATTCTATGGGGACTGTTCCCCAGGGTCTGCAGCTTTGAGGTGTTTGTAGCACACCCTGCTACTTGGGAACTTACTGCAAATGCAGAATCTCCACCCCACCCTAGACCTGCAGAACTTGCATTTGAACAAGATCCCAAAGTACTTCTTATGCTTATTAAAGTTGCTGCAGCTCCAGAATAGGGGAAAGAACTTGATTTGAAAGCTGTCACTGGGCTTCAATTCTAATTCTAGCTTTGCCCACTTAATAGCTGGACAAAACCACGCAAGTTATTTAACCTCTCTGGGCCTCGGTTTCCATAATATGTAAATTAGGTATGATGATAGCTGTCTCAGTGTATGTGTATGTGTGTTTGAGAGAGAGACAGACAGAAATAGAGAGAGACAGAGAGAGAGAGAGTGATTGTTCCTCCCAAGGCAGAGAACCAATACATTTCAACTCTAAAGGCCAAGCACCACTGTCAGCCCCACCTTGAAGGGTGGAGACCTCTCCCACAGCCTCTTCCTGCTGTGGGGTCCATCAGGAGGCTGCGGCGGTCGGTGAAAATGGTGAGCAGCTAGCGCTGCAGTGAGACAGCAAGGCAAACCTTTCCTCTGGAGCGGCTGAAGCGGGAGGCTCAGGGAGTCCTCCTCCCAGGAGACAGCTGTCTCTCTGAAAGGCAAGGGGGTCTTAGGAAGCCTGCTCTCCTTTGGAGATGTTATTTATTTTTTCTAATAGAGACTGTTTATCACCCACTTACAGGAGTTTTGACTGGGGCTTTTTGTCACCCCTTAGACTCTGGAAATTAGGTCAATCCCCTCCAGAATTTACTTGAGCTGGGAAACTTTACTTGCAGTGGCAGCAAAGGGGCCCCGCCAGCGGGCTTAGGGAGGATTCACAGAACGACGGTCCTTGTGCCCAGGGCAGTCACAGTGGTCACCTCAGCTCTCCCCGCCATGACAACAGCCACTGATGCCAAGGCCCGCCAGGCTCCAGGTGTCTCTGTGGGGATGGGGGAGGGCTTTAAGTAAAAATCATACACCAGTATCATCCTGGAAAGCAGGAGGAGGACCGGGAGAAATGTTAACAGGATCGTTCAATATTCAGTCCCTCTAAGCCTTTATTCAAAATGTTCTCAAGAATGATCTCATCCTTCCCTGATGATGCAAGCTGTGAAGTAAGCTTGGGTCCTACTATATCAATACCAATAGCTGGAAGTCCTTCCTTATGTCTAACTTAAAGCCTTACTGCTCTAAGTATCTGCAACTAGCTTCTCCCAGCACCTTGAACATAATAAGTTTTCTGTAAATACATGGTGCATTGTTGCTCTGGAAGATTGTCCCCCGAGGAAGGCAGAGAAAAATCTCTTCACAGCTTTTCTGCTTTCCTGGCAGGTCTGGTTTCCTTAAGGCTAGACAGCCCAGGTGTGCTAAGGGTCTTACTAGGCCCACTGGCCTCCTCCCCACAAGAGTCCAGACAGACAATCAATGCTGAAATTTTCCTTCACAATTGGGCAAAAGCTGTGGGGACATTTGATTTTCTTTTCCCAAAGGAAACTGACATTGAGGTGCCTCGTTGAAGTAGAAATAAAAACTAGGGAAATACTGCATCACAGAGATCAGGGATTCTCTAGCAGGAAATTTGTTTCAGAAAAAGATCCGGCTGCTGATCCTCAGGGTGACCAAGCCTCGGTTTGTCTTCTGTACTGTGGCCTTTCTGCGAACGTATGTCTGTTTGTTTAGTTGCCCTGTAAAGTTCAGGCAAATCTAGGTAATTGTATAGATACTGTTCTCCAGTTATTTATTAACACATTTCAAAACATGTCTGCAGAATGTGCTGGTGCTATAGCAGGCATCTCCTCAGAGCCTAGCATCTGCAGGCAGGATTGAGTGTCCTGGGATGGGTCATCTCAGGGTCCTTGGAGCAGGGACACAGAGGTCCTCACCCAGCGTCTTCTGAATCACTGTGAGGCTGTGGGCCAAGTCTCTTTCCTAGCACAGCCACACCCTGCTGGAAATGAGAGGCAGCAGAGGAAGCTGATTAAGTGAAGTTAGGGAGCTTGGGAGCTTAGGAGCAAGGAGGAGGGGCCGACAGCAGATCAAACCTTGAAGGCAGATGCCCCAGGGAGGGAGCGGGGAAAGAGCAGGCCTCCTCCACACCACCTGGCTAATCCAGAGTCACCCAATCTGGGTAATATAGATGAGTTCTGATGATGAGATCCCCACATAACCAGATGGAGAAGCCCAGCCCCACAGCCTGGGGTTGCAACTTGCATGGCTACAAAGGCAAAAGGTTTCCCTGAAGATTTTCTCTCAGCCCGTACAGATCTGGGTCTGGCTTCAGAGTTGAAGGCAAAGATTGAGGGGTCTCTAATAGTGGGGTCCTGAGGTCCCCTGTCTCTGTGGGAAAAACATGGAGGACTTGCTAAACTTTGATCCCAGACTGTGGACTGATTATGGGCTACAATGGGAAAGGACCGAATTAACCAGCCGAAGGGGTCAGTATCTGACCTGTGGCTGACAAGGTCCCCAGATGCCTCACCAGGAACAGCCAGCCTTCACCTTCCTGGAAATTCTCCCATGCTTTCTAATCACAACTTAGCTGCTCAGTGTCTCAGTTCCTCCCGGGAGTATTATCTGTCATTTCAGCATGCCAGCACCCTGTCAAACCCATCTATTCATACAAATGTGCTAATAGGAGAGCCTTCTCTTTCTTCCAGAAGCTTCTGTCATGGGCAGAGGAGGACAGAAAAAAAGGACAGGAGGGGAAAATGGGAGAGGAGCATCCTGCAGCATTAGGGACCCACATTACAGTGATTGAGAGAACAGAGGGAATCATGGCAGACCCATGGGGGGTGGTGTTTACGACAGATGGGGTCTTGCAAGGGAACACTCTGCTCATCAATGCAGAGGCAGATAGCTAACATATCTGCAAGAGGACCAGCTCCTGGGAGCCATCCTGTGAGGTACTATGAAATCCCTGAATGTCATTTCACATGTCTGTATATTTGAGTCTGCATGTGGGGTGATGGAGGTGGAAAAAAGTTTACACTACCCACCACAAAGAATTCCTATCCAAGATGTGCCCATGGAAGTCACCAGAGACTCTCACCATCCCTCCTGGCCTGCCCCACCCTCTCCCTCCTGGGTGATTACCCCACTCTCCCTTCTCCCATTCCCCAGTCAAAATTCCAAGATCTAGGGCCTCCAACTCCATTTCCACCCATAGCTCTCCTTAGGGACTACCTTCCAGGGGCCCTGTTAGAGTGAGCTCATTTAAACAGTAAATGGAGTCACTCAGCAGCAGCTGGCAAGTGTTTTCAATGAGTTGGAAAATCAGGTTGAAGGTATCGTGAAATATGGTGCTTACAGAGAGGCCCAGACGCATGGGCTAAGTACTTTGTGATTAGGCCTGCCTTACCCATTCCTCCCTCCAGCCCCATCTCTTCACCCTCCTTCTTTCCTTCTCCAGAGTTTTTAAAGTTAAAATGTGCCTGCGTATTTTATTAATATCTTGTAAGAGAAGCTTCTTCAAGCAAACGGTTCTTTGCCTTAGGGGTCAATGTGATCTTTTTTGTACATGTGTATAGCAGGATATGTTGGGCTTGTAAATGTGTGTGAGTTTCTGAGTGTAGGTGCCGAATAAATGTTTATTGATGATGCCTACCTATGCAATCTGCATGGTGCTTGTATTTCTATTGCTTGTGCATTTGCACATCATAAACACAAACACACACACACACACACACACACACACACACACACACACAGGCTTGCTTCCAGAGCCATACATGCTCTATTTTCAGTTTCTGAGTGTCCTAAGAGGTTATATCCTGTCTAGATGGACGGACCGAGAGTACACTTGGATTTCTACCAAGATATATTCTCCTAATTCACCAGAACCCCCCGCTTCCTGCCCATCCCCTACACAGAGCATCTCACGCCATGCAGTGCAGGGAAGCACATTCCTCAAAGCTCAGCTGCCCACCTCTGAGCAGGTGCAAATCCACCCACTGCATCCTCCCATCCACCTTTCTCCCCTCTGACTTCTGCTCTCCTCCTAAATGGTCTCTTTTCCCCCTGCCTCCTCCTCCTCCGTTTCCCTTCTCCAGAGAGGCAGAGGTTAGGTGTGCTTGACCATGATTCACCAAGTGCAGACATCAAAACAGCAAAGGGATGTGGACACCATCTCCAGCCTCTCGTTTCATGGACTGGCTAAGGTTCAGGGATGCTGAAGGATTTCTCCCATGTGCCCAAGGTAGTTCACAGAAGAGCCTGCTCCAGAGCGTGTGTTTTCCCAGCCTTTCCCACAACCTGGCCCCCGGTGGAGGAAGCGGTTCCCCTCCACCGACCCCTGCCTCCCACATCAGAGGTACTGCACCCAATGAGTGCGGCCAACCAAGACCACCAGGGGATGAAATGAGTCACATCGACTGTCTCTAGGATGGAAACTTGGTAGGGATTCTGTTTCCTGTGAGCAGGAAGAACGCGAGATGAGACACAGGAGGACCGATCCTGCTGCTCTCAGGCCTCTCATATGACTTCACAGAGGACAACTTTGGCCCCTCCCCGCCCAGCTCTGGCAGGTGCATGTCAGTGGACTCTGTCCAACAGGCAGAGTCCACGGAAAGGAAGGACAAGATGATGTAAGCATGAGATCCCAGATGCTGGCCCTGGGAGGGGTTTTAGGGACCATCTCCTCATTCAGTGTCTTTGCATTACACAGAAACTGGGCACATAGAGGCTCCAGGACTGGCCAAGGCCACCGGGACCGGTCCCAGGCTTTGCACTCCCAGGGTGCTGTCCCATTTACAAACCCTCGCCGTCCATTCCTTTTTGGAGTGAGTCCTGGTGGCACTCCTATAGGAACAGCGTGTGGGGAGGCCTAGGTGTGGCCTGGCCTCAGATGAGGACACCATCCAAGTGACCCGGCCGCTGCATCCCTGCTCTTTGTGCCACACCCCAAGTCCCTTTGCTTCCCGGAGATGGAGCAGATGACAGAGGCGCACGGAGGAAGCGGGCCTGGGGACACACGGTGTGCCGAGCTCTTTCGTCCACCTGGGTCGACCTCCACAAATCTACTGCTCCGGGGTTCCCGCGCGGGTCCCCAGGCAGCCAGGAGGTGACGCGGTCGGCGAGGAAGGGGCTGCGGCCGCGCGGTTCCTTCTCCAATGACAGGCGCGCCCTCTGCTGCTAGAACTAGGAAGCGCGCGCCTGGCCCGGCTCAGAGCCCGAGCTTGGAACCCGCAGCCGCCCGCACCCTCCAGAGAAACCGGCTTAGAAAAGCCTGCCGCCGCGAAAGCAACCAGAGGCCCTCCCGCTTCCGGGGTGCTCTGAGGACTCAGACAGGAGGGAATAGAACCTGGGAGGAGAAGGAAGAGGAGCTACCTGAACTCTGTGAGGAAAGGGAGGGGATCCTTGCATTTGGGATTTAGGACAAAATCCTTGCATTTGGGATTTAGGCTCCTTCCCCATCCTTTGTCCTCTCCACGAAGCTCCTCTCACCCCAACCACCAAACTGTGCCCATGAAGTGAATGGCCCAATAAGGAGCCTGTGGGAGCCACAGTGTCTGGAGATTTTACTCGGCCATCTCTTGAGCCCTGGGAAAAGTTTTAAAATGTTCACTTTGGCAACTTCGAGCCTGGTTCAAAGCATGGTGTCTCCGCAGGAAGAGTACAGGACTGGGAATGAGGCCTCCTGGAATCTGGTTCCATTTCAACCACTCTTTTCCCCTGTGCTAAGTCCCGTGTCCTCTCTGTGGCTCAGTTTCCTGACCTATTTATTACATGGGCCTCTCATGTCCCGGAAAATTCACTGAGGTACCAGGTATGCTACAGCACTAGCAAGCCGTCGTGCCACTGCCCTGCTCTGGCTGGGTTGTCTTTTCCTGGAAATGGGCAGTGGTAAGAGGAGGGTGGAGACAGAGCCTCCGGCCATCTCCCCTGCTCCTCGCCCCTGCTGGGACTCCCACTGCGCAGTGTTTCCCTCTTACCTCTGGACAATCCCACAGACTCCTTCCTCCAGGCAAGGCATCCCCAAGGAAGTGCAAATAAAAATGCTGTTGGTGGTGGAGGCAACATATTCAGTGAAAATCCACCAAGGTTACTGGCTGAGGCTGGAGCAGGATGGGGGTGAGGGGAATACTGCTCGAGGAAGGCAGGAGGGACCAGGGAAGAGGTCCTTGGACAGCACCAGCCGGAGGGTCCTCGCATGGGGCCTTGGAGGCGGCAGGGAAAGGAAGCTTCTCTCTGATTTTAGAATGTCCGTGGAGACAGCCTTGAGTTGCTTTCCATGTCAGATCACAAGCATAGGCTTTGGGAAGAACTGGTGAACAACTATAAGGTGGCATTCTCCTTGTGCCTAGGACAGCTACTGACCCCCTCAGCCTCACTGACCTCATCCAGAAATTGCAGATGTAAAACCTACCCCAATGCAAGTAAATTCCTTCACCCAGTAAGCAGCATAGTAGTGCACAAAATTATTGTTGTTATTATTATCATGATCATCGTGGTCCTATCAGGCCTAACCCTCTCATTTTCTGCATGATGTTCCCTTACTTGAATTTCTGTTTCCTCATCAACAAAAGTCATGTTTGCCCCTCCTTAGTTCTGGGGGTTGTGGTGGGGAGGAGGAAAAAGGCATCCCAGGTGCATCAGCAGAGGAATGTCCCTGAAGGACCCGAAATGCTATTATTGAAGGCTAAATGTTCCGTGGCTAAAAGCTGCTATAGCGATCTTTGCATCCACTTGATTTGAATGGGCACATTACTGTAATGTCCCAGTGCTGCAGTCAACACGGGGAAGGTTGAGCTATTTGTAACAAGATGCATGAGCAGCATAAAGATCAAATGGTGGAAGAGAGCACGTCTGGCTCACTTGAGAAAACAGGGCTAGTGGCTTTGAATATGGCTGGAATCCATCCATGGCCGCCTGCCTCAGAAACCGCTGCCTGGGGCTTGCTGTAGGGAGGACTGGAAAGACAGGAGCAGGTGGAGAAAGAAGGCAAATATGAGGAGGAGAGAGACATAGACAAACCACTGGACACCGTGAGAGAGAATCCAGTCACAATTCCAGCTCCAGGGGCATTATGGATGCTGAGAGTCCCGTCCTCCACCTGCAGCTCTGAGAATACCACCTACCATCCAGCAAGCTTTCTCCAAACCCTCATATCTGGACTGAGCTCCTCATTCTTTGGTGTCAAGCTGTTCAGGTGAGCAGCTCTAGCCTATTTCTCCCCCTGTTCTCCTGTCCACAGGGACAGAGCATGCTACAGCCGCAGGTCTCCAAGGCTCCATTTGGAACAGAGGTGGGGGCGCGATTGATGCCCTGGAAGGACTAGGGAGGTGGCAGGAGAAGGCTGGACAAAAACACTTGCAGACCCTGATCAATACACCCTCCAGGCCAGCGCTGCCTTTTAAGTCATCTCCATTGCCCCCCATCAGCTCCTCCCCAGAACTTCATTTGAAACTAATATTGGGAAGGGCCTGGGAGGAATGTCATTTGGCTGAAATCAAACCCCCCATGGGATGACCAAACACTCATCCTCCTTTTTCTTTTCCTTCCAAACCCTGGGAAAAGCTCTGGGTCTTGGTTTTGTTATCTGCAGATTAAGAGTAGGAGTCCAGGCTCTCTAAGGACCCTACTCACTTCTACCTGGCAACCTGCATAACTCACGCCCTCTCCTGACATCACATGTGGCACGGACTCACACTCACGCTCAGCGTTCACTCCTATTTCTCAGCCTCATCTCCACACGTGGTGTCCCTTTGCCCTCCCCACTAGCAAGGCCGGTGCCTTTCAGCACTGACATTCTGATGGCTGCTTCCGCCCTCCCCACCCTCCCTCTTATCACAGGAGGCGTTCCTCCCAGCTCCCCCTCACCGCATTGGCTGCCTCATGCCACTCTTTTTTATTATTATGGCAAAATATTCATAACTTATTTTTTATCATTTTAACCATTTGTCAGCATACTATTTGGTGACATTAAGTGCATTCACAATATTGCGTAACCATCACCACTGTCTCATCATCCCCAGTGCAAACTCTGTACCCATCCCCAGATAACCTCTAATCTACTTTGTCTCTATGAATTTCACTAATTTAGGTTTCTCATATAAATTGAATATGCAGTATTTGTCCTTCTGTGTCTGGTGTATTTTGCCTAGTACAATGTTTTCAAAAAGTCTGTCCATGCTGTAGCATATATAAAAATTCCCTTTCTTTTGATGACTAAGTAATATTTCATTGTATGGATATACCACAGTTTACTTATCCATTCATCCATCAATGGATACATGGGTTGCTTCTACCTTTTTGCTATTGTGAATAATGCTGCTGTGAACATTGATGTGCAAACATCCCTGCCTTCAATTTTTTTTCAGGATCTACCTAGCAGTAGGATTGCCAGATCCTACGGTAATTTTGTGTTTATATATTTGAAGAGCTGCCAAACTATTCGCAGAGGTTGCACCATTTTGTATTCCCACCAGCATTGTATGGCGGTTCCAATTTCTCCACATCTTCACTAACACTTGTTATCTTCTGTTTCTTGATTATAGCCCCCCTAGTAAGTGTAAAATGGCTTCATTTCTTCTTAACTTCCCTCAGCACTCAAGATCTTTGTACTTGTGTCTGTCAGCCCTAATCTTACAGCACACTAGGCACAAATAACCCAGTTGAAGGCTGAAGGCTCCTTAAGGCCAGTTTCTACTGTCCACAGGCCACCAGGCAGGGCCCAAGGGCGGCGTGTCAGTGGGAATAGCCAGTGTCTCCATGAGCCAGTTTTGGTCACCGTTGTCTGCCTTAGACTGCAAGGTCCTGAGCCCAGCTGTCAGTCCATCTCCTTGGCAGAACCTGGAATGCCCAATAACTTAAGAGTGGTGTTTGAGGAATAGGGAGAAAATTAAATGTAAGACGATTTTTTTTAAGTTGGAGGACACTGAGACTAAAAGGACAGGACCCAAAGAGTGAAATGGGAGAGGAGAAAGATTGAAGGAGAGAACTAATCCCAGAATCCAATCTCCAGTGAGGCAGATTCTGCAAGCTCCTTGGCAGTGCCTGATTCTGATGCCTCATGGATCTGATCTGGGAAATTGAAGAGATGGTGTAGCCCAACTCCACACCTCCTTCACTACAAATCAGCTGCAGGGGGCTGAGGGGCACAGCTTCCCCTGGGGCTCTGCTGGGCTCCGAGGAGCCTGGGTGCCCCCAAGAATTGCAGCTGGGGCCCCAGCAGGCTGTCCAGCCATTGTCAAGACAGCTGTAGCTCTGGGCATTGCCAAGGGAGCTTCTCATTGCCAGGCCCTGGAGGGCTGCAGGCTGCCCCAGGAGAGGGGCCCTTGGGGACTTGGCCACAATGGAACCTGTGTGGTCCTGTTAACCAGTCAGTGGCTTTGTCCTTGCTTCTTCATGTCCAGACAGCCATGGGAAAAGCAAAAGAGATGCCCAGAAGCTCACTAACAAGGTGGGATAAGGGAGATGAATGGAGACAGCCAGAAAGTCCGGAGAGAAGATTGAGAGTAAGCACACACTGGGGCAAAGAGGGAATGGAGAACACTGATCAAAGGTAAAACCAGTGTGTAGGTCTAAATTGCAATGCTTTCCCCTCTCTGGCACCTTCTCACTCCCTCTTTTCTCATCTCTCTCCCAGTTACTATCAAAGGAAAATTTATGAAGGGCTCGAGGCATTGGATATTCCCTGTATTTCAATCTAAGTTTTTGCAATCTCCAGTGAACAGCTCGGCTGCCTCTGCCTGTCAGGGAATTTAAATTGCAGATGGGATGGTGAACCCATGCCCAGAGCAGGAGCAGCCCCTCTAGTGAGCACCAGCATTGCTTAGCAACTAGGTTGGGAAGAACTTTAGGAAGCAGCAGAAAGTTCCACTCTGGAAAGTGCCCTTGAGCCAGGGCATCTCCTGGGAACAGGGAAGGAGTGTCCCGGAAAGAAGCAGCAGCCAGGTTAGAGATCTGCTCAATCCAGGGTCAGGGGTATGGCCAGGGGGTACAGTCAGCACCACTCTGCTCAGTCACCATTGAGTGTGTCCTTCACCGAGGGACAAAATGTCTGCCAGCCTCCATGTAGTTTTTGACATTCATTGTTTTGTAGAGAGCTTTCAAATGCATGGTATCTTCCCTATGTACCCCCTCACACCTCACACACCAACAAGAAGTAGAAATGGAAATGAATAATACCAACACCCTAACATACACACAACATGCACACACACACTTATATGGTTTGGCTGTGTCCCCACCCAAATCTCATCTTGAATTATAACTCCCACAATTCCCATGTGTCATGAGAGGCACCCAGTAGGAGGTAATTGAATCATGGGGCTGGGTCTTTCCCGTGCTGTTCTTGTGACAGTGAATGAGTCTCACACTATCTGATGGTTTTATAAAGGGGAGTTCCTCTGCACAGTTTCTCTTCTCTTGTCTGCCACCACGTGAGAGGTGCCTTTCGCCTTCTGCCATGATTGCGAGGCCTCCCCAGCCATGTGGAACTGTGAGTCCATTAAACTTCTTTCTTTTGTTAATTTCCCAGTCTTGGGTATGTCCTTATCAGCAGCGTGAAAACGGACTAATACACAGACATAATCACAAGCTGAGATAGGTAAGCATTTATGCTACTAAAAACAAAATGCCAGCAAATACCCACAGCAGGTCAAAAGGAACAAACCCATTAAATCTGCTCCTTTTCCCAGCTCAGTTCTTGGGACAGTGTTTCTTTAATTATGGCCTTCCCTCAATAAAGTGTTTGCTACATTTAGCATCCTAGTCTGAAAGGCAAGAATGTCCCAACTATGCTTGAGGCCATCATCAAGGCATATGCTTTTACAGTGGAGCTTGATCAACACGGGTTTGAACTGCATAAGACCGCTTAGACATGAATTTTCTTTCAACTCTGCCACCCCAAGACAGCAAGACCAACCCCTCCCATTCCTCTACATAAAGATAACAAGGATAAAAATGTTATGATGACGAATAGTAAATACATTTTCTCTTCCTCAAGGTTTTCTTAATCACAATATCTTTCCTCTAGCTTACTTTATTGTAAAAATACAGTATAAAGTACCTATAACATACAAAATGTGTTAATCAACTGTTTATGTCATTTTCCACGGTAGACTTTTAATAGTTAAGGTTTTAGGGAATTGAAAGTTATTCTTGGATATTCAACTATGTGGGAGTGTTCAGCACCCCTAAACCCCATATTGTTCAAGGGCCAATTGTACTTAAATAATTGGCTTGAAAATAAAAACATAAATAGTAGTTCAATGTGAATGTTTGGCAAAGTCTGCAGATTCTGTGTTCCATCAACTTAGAACTATGACGTACCTTACACACACTGTCACAGAAAAACACCCCCATGTCAGACACACCCAACTACTCCTGGCCTGTGTCTACAAGAAAGCTAATATATTTTCTGGGTTCCTGTTTTGGTTTGAATCATGTTTTACCTAAAAAAGATACATTGAAGTCCCAATCCCCAGTACAACAAAATGTGAATTTATTTGGAAATAGGGTCATTGCAGATGTAACTAATTAAGATAGGTCATACTGGAGTGTGCTAATACAGTTCTATTAGTCCATTCTCATGCTGCTAATAAAGACATACCCAAGACTGGGTAATTTATAAAGGGAAGAGATGCAATTGACTCACAGTTCCGCATGGCTAGGGAGACCTCACAATAATGTTGGAAGGCAAGGAGGAGCAAAACGATGTCTTACACGGCAGCAGGCAAGAGGGCATATGCAGGGGAACTCCCCTTGATAAAACCACCAGATCTCATGAGACTTATTCACTATCATGAGAACAGCATGGGAAAACCCTGCCCCCATGATTCAATTACTTCTCACCAGGTCCCTCCCACAACACTTGGGGATTATGGAAGCTACAATTCAAAATGAGATTTGGGTGGGGACACAGCCAAACCATATCAACTGTCATGTGAAGATACAGGGACACAAGGAGAACTCCATGTGAAGATGAAGGCAATATTGGAGTCATGCAGCTGCTGAAACACCAAGGATTAGCAGCAACCCAGAGCCTGGCCCTGCCAACACCATGACTTCAGACTTCTGGCCTCCAGAATTGTGAGACAACACAATTCTGCTGTTTTAGGCCACCCAGTTTCACCCTAGGAAACACAGTCCCTTTTTGTTATTCTGTGGGAGTGTCCGGGAAAGTCCTGTTTACAGACGGTGACAACTTGCTGTGGGATAGAAATGAGTCTGCAGAGGAGAGAGCTGGCCTTGCAGGTCGAGCTTCTGGACACAGATGCTCAGATGGAGTTTGAAGGATTGAAAATCTTTGTGACTTGGGGCAGAGAAATTGATATTGACTTTTTGGTTAAACTGTTATTTTTCATTAAAAGTTTGCTCGATAGACAGTTCATGGCCCTTGAGTGGAACGTGGGGAAGCAGTGCTTTTCGGAGGGCTCAGGCTGATGCAGGGCCCAACACCTTTGCCCTCATCTCGCTCAGATGCTGCCTGGTGCAGCTGTTAGCTTGTCCTGCCTCTGCAGGGGAAGGAACATACTCCAGGGCTGGGACCCACCTATCTCCCTCTCTGTATCCCATAGAGTCCTATGCACTTAATAGGTGCTCAGCAAATGTGTGGCAAATCAGATGCATGGGGCATAAAGTATAAAAATCATGATCTGCTCAAACACTCCTAGTGAAGCACCTGTTGAATTAGCACTCAAATCCATTCATTTCTGATTTATTATTACTGCTGTATTACCAATTCCCCATTTGACCTGGGAATAATCCTGTTTTTCCTTTTGAGTCATTCAGAGTATTGTATTTGCATAAAGCTAAACTACCTGACTTTATCTTCCTGGAAATTCCACGAGGTAGTGTGGTGGGTTTGATTACCCCACTGCTGAGCGACTGAGCCAAGTGTGGGATCTGAGCACTGACTGGCAAGGAAAGCTGTAAGGGGCGTGGGCTGAGAGTTGGAAGAAGATGGTTCTAGACTTGCTCACTGGATGTGCAAGTGACTTCACCCCACGACAGGGTATCAGAGGCACCAACCTATTAAACGAAGGCATCAACAGCTTAACCATTCTGCATAGGACTCTTTGACCTGCTGTCTCCCCACTGTGGTAAACAGCAAAGTGCCACTGAGATTCCCCATTTCTGTGGTCAGTAGAGACCCTCCCCTCCCCACCCCACAACTGACAGCTCCTTCAAGGTCAGCTTCAACTGAGCCACATCAGGGGTCTGAGAGGCACAGGCATCAGAGGCCTGGTCATTTTGTCCTGATGGGCAATTCACACTCCAAAGCTTCCAAGGTTTTTGAGGGCCTGTGTGACAGACTCAATTCAGCTTCTGCCTCTTCTCAGTCCTACTTCCTCCCCTTCCTTTCAGAGGTATTGATCCCTAACAACATCTCACAGACCAAACTCCATCCTAGCATCTGCATCCAGAAGGCACAACTTGTGACACCAAGTGCATTAGTCTGTTCTCACACTGCTAATAAAGACATACCTGAGACTGGTAATTTATAAATGAAAGAGGTTTAATGGACCCACAGTTCCACATGGCTGGGGAGGCCTCACAATCATGGTGGAAGGCAAAGGAGAAGGAAAGGCACGTCTTACATGGAGGCAGGCAAGAGAGCATGTACAGGGGAACTGCCCTTTATAAAACCTTTGGATCTCGTAAGACTTATTCACTATCACAAGAACAGCATGGGAAAGGGAAAACCCACCCCCATGATTCAAATACCTCCCTCCAGGTCTTTCCCACAATGTGTGGGGACTAAGGGAGCTACAATTCAAGATGACATTTGGGTGGGGACACAGCCAAACTATATCACCAAGTCTCTCCTCTGCAGACTTTTTCAAAAGTTGTGATTAAATAGATATAGCATAAAATGTACCATTGTAACCATTTTTAAGTATACAATTCATTAAGTGCATTCCCATTGTTCTGCAACCATCACCACCACCAACTCCAGAACTTTTTCATCTTCCCAAATGGAAATGACACACTCAGTAAACAACAACTCTCCATTCTCCCCTCCCCTGGTCCCTGGTAACTTCTTTTCTACTTTCTGTCTTCATTATTTTTCCCATTCTAGACATCTCATATAAGTGGAATCATAAGAGTGTTTGCCCTTTTGTGACTAGTTTATTTTTTCTAGCATGTCTTCAAGGTTCATCCATGTTGCAGCATGTGTCACTGTTTCCTTCTTTGTAAGGTCTGGATAACAATTCCACATGTGTACTTACCACATTTTGTTTATTCATTCCCCCGTCAGTGTATCACTGGACACTTGGGTTGCTTCTGCTTTTCAGCTATTGTAAATAATGCTGTGCAGACTTATTTCATCTCACGCCAATTACCTACCCCCTTATACAGATGGGCCTTCCTAGCCTCCTTCAGGATAACCAAGAGGTAAGAGGAAAGGCAGGCATATTCAGAGTTTCCCAATCATGTGATCAAGAGGGGCAATTGTTCCAGCCCCTCACTGCCTCAAAGTGATTAGCTGGGCAGTGTCCTAAGACCAGATGTAGGCAAACAGACAAGGCAATATTTACTTTCCAAGGATAAAAAAAATGTGCACAATATGCACAGGCGAATGACAGAAAAGCCCTGGGCCAATCCAGGAAAGACTCATGCTCTTGCATCCTTTCTGGGGTCTCTTTCCCCACAACACTATCTGTGATATTCCTTGGAGGGGTAAACAGAAGGAGAGCATCCCGCTCTGGGCTTTGCCTTGTCCTGCATCCCACTCTACACTAGGCAGGGAGAGCCCAGGAAGGTTGATATGTTACAAATAATAATCCCTGACCTGAAAAATAATGATTGAATGCAGTCATGCAACAGCAGCTTTTTGGATGCCTAATGTGTGCTAGGCTCAGTGCTAGGCATATGCCACCTAGTCATCGAGATCACCCTTCCAAGAGCTGAGAAACCCCCAGTGTAGGTCTCCAAATGTAATGGGGCAGTCCCAACCAAGCACAAGACAAGTGCCCAAGGGCGCTGTCCTCTCTGGGATGTGAACTCTGCTCCTGCTCTGAAGACCTGCACTCCTTGACTTTCAGTGCAGTTCCCCATCCATCCATGCATCCATCCATTCATTCCACAGTTGTCTTCTTATCTGCCAGATGCTGTTCTGAGGAAGCAAATGCCTGCCCAAGAATGGTGAAGAATGCTGCCCTAGTGGATAAAAAAAATGCACACATGCACACACGTGCACACACACACACAGAATGAGAAATATTGCTCAGTGATGAAGATGTGCCCTCATCTCAAAACTATAAAATAGAGCCTCTGACCAACTCCAGTAGGAGGAGAAGCACACCTCATGCCCTGCCCACACAGAGTCAACAGTCAGCAGGTGTGGGAGTGCTATCTCTGGCTGCTCCCTCTGTAGGAGACCTTGGGTCGATCAGCCATGAGTCAGTCCCTACCTTCAGAGGGCCCCTCAACTGCATCTCTTAACACCAAGTGGCCCCTAATGAAGACTCGAGGCCACCCATCCAAACAGGATCTTAGCTGTCAGTTGTCACTCAGGAAGGAAAAATTCCAAACTGAAGGTATGTGTGCTCTCCGTCTATGCCAGACAGCTGGCTGCCTGTCACAAGCCAGATACTATGTATAGGAATAATAAGGCCCCTCGAATTACCCATTACGTGCTGTCAGCAAATCACATGATTTCTTTTTTAATATTGCAAATATCTGGCCCCTGGAAAATGATGATGATGCTATCTCCACTCGGCTAGATGATAAACAGAGTTCCTGTGCCAGGGAGCCACCGCCCCTCCTCCAGGGTTGTCTCAGAAAAGGCAAGGAAGGATGGGGAGAGGCTCCTGCAGTTTTGAGCTTCAAGTCCCATCTTCATCTGGCACAAACGCCCCTACATTGCACCTCCCTCCAGCCAATGTTCCCTGGCTTTCCTGACAGCATGGCTGAGGCATAAATGCCACTTCCTCTGAGTGGCCTTCCCTGACTGCCCTACCTAAACAAGCACCTTGCACTGTTGGCCCTCCAAGCACCTGCTTTTTCATTCCCAGCATTACACCCGTTTGCTTGTTTAATGCATCACTTATTAAACAATAAGCTCTGTGAGGGTTGTCTTGTTAATTATTCAACCCATAGTGCCTAGCATATTGTAGGGCACATAGTTTGACCCAAGTAACCATTTGTTAAGTAACTTAATACTCAGTAAACACTGCTTAACGGATCCACACTTCCTAGAACAGTCAGTGCTTCTCAAACTTCATCGTGCATCAGATCACCTAGAGGGTGTGTTAAGCCACAGATTACTAGACCCCACCCCCAGTTTCTGGTGCAGTAGGTCTGGGTGGGGCCTGTGGATTTACATCTCCAACAACATCCAAGGTGATGACAATGTTTCTGGTTTGGGGGCCCCACTTTGAGAATCACATCCCTGAGAACTGCTCATAAATGCAGACACTCACTTCCTGCTTTCCTGCCTTCTGGGCGTATTTATCAGAGCTGTCCATGTGACTATAAGTGAAAGATGCAAAACCGGGTTCTTCAGATCCAGTTTGTCCAAACTGAATAAAAGTATTCTTATCCCTAATAGTGGGAAGGTAACTTGAGGCCAGTAGATGCAAAGTGAGGTGAGTTGCTCAGCAAGTCCTGGCAGATACAGCACAGAACTCTACGTACCAGATACACAGTTTCCTGTTCCAATCACTGAGCTGCACTTTTCTGACACCAACTGTAGAAATGAGTTGGCTTCCAAGTGGCTTATTAGAGAACAAATTATTCCCTGTTTTTCTACTCTTTCCATGTGAGTTAATCTGCAAGTCTAAAGTCCAAGCAGGTGCCAGAGTTATTCCTGCAACTGGCACCAAATTGCATTCAGAAAGCACAATTAGCACTTCGTTAATGTGCCTCAGAATGGGATAATCTACATTTTACCCAAAGGCGGCCTCCATCCCCACTGCATTTTACCCTAATGTGCCAACATACAGGTTGCCTGGCTAACGGGGCCTTTGCACATCCCACCATTTGTCAGGCGACAGTCCTTACCTCTTCAGTGGAGCAGAGGAGGAAGGACCCACCCTCTGCAGTTCAGGATCCAAGAAGCACTCTCTATTCATATTTCTTCTTCTTCTTCTTCTTCTTCTTCTTCTTCTTCTTCTTCTTCTTCTTCTTCTTCTTCTTCTTTCTTCTTCTTCTTCTTCCTCTTCCTCTTCTTCTTCTTCTTCCTCTTCTTCTTCTTCTTCTTTCTTCTTCTTCCTCTTCTTTCTTCTTCTTCTTCTTCCTCTTCTTCTTCTTCCTCTGCTTCTTTTCCTCCTCCTCTTCCCCCTCCTCCTCCTTCTCCTCCTCCTCCTTCTTCTTCCTCTTTTTCCTCCTCCTCCTCTTTCTTCTCCTTTCTCTTCCTCTTCCCCTTCCTTCTTCCTTCCTTCTTTCCTTCCTTCCTTCCTTCCTATTCCTTCCCTGCTTAAACTATTCAATCCGCAAACCATTAGGGAGACCTAGAAGAGCAGGCACCTGTGCCAGAGCAGAGGGGACATGCAGTGGCCCACGGAGGTGTTGGAGACCAACAGTATATCGAGGCTGAGGCTGTGACAGAGGCATGAGAGGGTGGCCAGGGCTAAACCCGGCATGGTGTGTGGGGCTCCACGGAGATGAGGAGCTTGGGCAGCATGAGACAATGAGCATGGAGTGTGGAGACCTGAGGAGTGAGGAGGGCTTCTGCCTTAGGGCAGAGGACAGCCCAGCACAGGCTAGAGATAAAATTGCATGAGGAGGGCATCCATGCCAGGAAGGAGTGATGGCAGCAATGGAAGACTGGTTACCCATAGAGAGATTTATCAATTAAGGAAATATGTTCAAGATGACTAGAGCCAGGATTCCGGCTGGCAGAGAGGGGAGCCACAAATATAAAAAGGGAAAAAAAAAAAACCTAAAGTGAATCCTGAGGTGTTAGAATTTATAGTATATATGTGAACTTGGGATTTTTAATAAATAGATAAATAAATATGTAAATATGAATGCAACTTTATGTGTACACATAGCTATATGTAAACATACATGTATATATTTCTTCACTCTGTCCCCCAAGAGGGCCTGAGGGACACTCCAACACCAGTGAGCACACCTAACCTCCTGGATCTGGGTTTCTAAATAGCATTCTTCTCTGCAAGGAACGAGGACTCTCCAGGCTGGTGCAGGAAGTTATGAGATGAGCCTGGAAAGTCTCGTTGTGCCAGAAGTAAGGACGTGCTCAAAGTGTGAAGGGAAGATGAGAAAAGCACACAGAAGCCAGCCTGGAGGGACTCCTACTGGCCAACTCAGAGGTAAACAGAGCAAAAATAAATAAATAATGAAGATCATAGGTTGCAATTCATTGAACAAGATATAAAACCCTGAGCTCATACCGATAAAAATAGATAAGTGAACAAGGCTGGTCTCCAAATATCTCCACACATGATTACTTACAAAGAAGAAAAGAGTAGCTTGATGGTGGAGACGGCTGGCAGACACTACGGCAAGCAAGTGATCAAAGTCAGCATCCTTCATTCCAAGACAAAACAGAATCGTGTGCCGCCTGATAAGATGCGATGAGAAGTTTCTGTGAAACTCTTGCCAAAGATGTATGGTCTGAAATTAATCATGAGGAAATGTCCTACAAAGACAAAGTGAGGGGCATGCATCAAAACAGTTGGCCTGTAGTCTTCAAAAGCATCCAGATCCCAAGCATTAGGGAAAGACTGGGGAACTATTCCAGATGGAAGGACACCATAGAGACAAAACAAGTAAATACAGTGTGGGATCTTGGACTGGATCCTTTTGCTATAAAGATTATTCCTGGGGCAACTGGCACAACTTAAATGGGGGCTGGGGATTCAATCAGTTCCTTTCCTGCCTTTGATGGTTGTCCTCCGGTCACCTAAAAGCATGTCTTTGTTGATAGGATACATAAACTAAAGTATTCATGGGTGATCAACATCACTTCAGCAACATACTCTGAAATAGTTCTGGAAAAAGAACGATGTTTTGCTGTACTTACAGCTCGTCTTTATGAATGAGATTGTTTCAACAACACCATTTAAGAAGCTATCACTGTGATGACCAGCAAAAGGCTTCAGTCTCCTTCAGCCCACATTATCTGGCCATGCTTGCAATGAGCTCAGTCTGCTTAGAGATGCTGAGTGAGTCAGCCTCACACCTCGGTGCTGAGGTCATCACAATCGTGCCTGCCATCTAAAATATCCTGCATGGAAGAGGGAATTGAGGGGGAGACAGGTGGACTCCATGCCCTTCTGGAGCCCTGCATTGATTTCAGGAAGGATTCAGGCCACAAGAATTGGGAAGATAGATGTCTCCATCATGTGGGCATTGGGTCTGTGGTCACAAGAGCAATGTCCCGACTTCTGGTCTCATGTCTGTCCCTCGCAGGGGCTCTGCTCTCAGGAGTATACCCTGGGAAGCTTCTGCCTCCTCCTCTTCCATGTGAGGAAGGCTGGTAGAGCAGGGCTGTCTATCCTGGAGCATGGGTTGAAATAAAGGGCATGTTCCTCTCAGGGCTTGGAGCTCCTGCCTAGGACAAGAAGCCCTTCCAAGGACAAGAAGCCTCTTCCCGTGTAGTTCTGAGTCTACATCTGTCACCATAGTGCAAACACAGCAAAGAAAGACTCATGTGCACCCAGGAAAGTGTGGCAAGGGTAGTGAAGGATCTGAAAACCATGTCATGAGAAGTGAAATCAGGTGAGATGGAGCATCTGTCTTCACGTATGTGAGGGGGTGGCTCATGGGAGACACTAGACCTATGTTATATAGCTCCAGATTACAAACTAAAACCAACAGTGGGCAATGGAAGGAAGTGTAGTTCAGCCCCACATAAGGATGGAACTTTCCAACACTGGCTCTGTCCAAAACGTCCCAGGTAGCCCGCACAGCCTGAGACCCTAGAAGTGAGCAAGCAAACCCTGAAAGACCACCAGCAAGGGCTGCTGCAACAATGTTCAGACCAGACTATCCTGATGTAGGTCAACTTCAGCATCTAGGAAAAGGAGCCAGAAATTCAGTGAGCAGAGCAAAAATGGAGAATGGCTTTGCTTATGCCAACAGGATGGCCCAACAAACCAGCACAGCCTCTGTCTCCCCAGCAACACACCGTCTGCCCCTCAGCCCAACATTTCCAACATCCAATGTGAATAAGTGTCAAATGCCATGGTCAGGGTGTCTAAGAAATGCCCAGAACTTCATGGTACCTTGAATACCTTACATATGGGACTCAGTGGTCCCAGATTCCTGTGCCTCACCATCAGCACCACAGAGGTTGCTCCTAAGTCCAGCTTGACCACAGATCGACCTGTTTATAGCAAAAGGACCCAGTCCAAAATCCTCTGGCCTCTTGAAAAGGTGAGATGGGACATCTGCATGATGAACCCTTAGCCTCATCCTTCCATCATCAGTTTCCCTTACTTCTACCCTTGACCCTCCATCCCTTCCACATCATACAGGTGAGCAAGGAGCAGGCCTAAGTGGAACAGAAAAGCCGTTCTCTCCTTCTCTCCTTCCCACTTCACCAAGAGTTGGTGATGCAGACAAAATGTCATCTCAGCCCCTGGAGAGAAACAGTAAGGTGCTGAGTCTAGTTATCATCACGATTCACTTGGAGGCAAGGATAAAGCCAACACCGAATGCTTTAGATTTTTCCCTATGGAAAGTTGTAATCCACTGAAGGGTCTGTCATATACATATATACGGTATGGTTTCAAATTTGCATTCATTGTTCCCACTGAACTTAATAAAAGAAGGAGACATGGTGATTTTAAGACAGAGAAGGGGGCTTTCCTGTAGCACATGGAGAAGATGTTAGAGCTTATTGAGTCATCATATGGGATACATTATTCCCCAGGGGCCTGAATAAAGAATCAGAGCAGTGAGATCTTATTCAGCCTTTGATGTTTCAATTTCCCAAGGAACATTCTGCCTGTTGAATTTGCAGCTTGGATGCAATGTTAAGCAGACCCATTGGCCAACCCCTCCCATCTCCACACTCCCACTAAGAGTTTTAAGGAAGATCAGTTAAGATTTATTACACATTTTTATTATTCAACATATATCCCACTCAGATCCATTTGCACAAGTCACTTTTACAGAACTCATGTATTCACATCACATATTGTTAGCAACTTCATTTTAGTGTCTCAAAGTTTACCTAGTAGAAAAGTCCAAAGTTGAGAACAACTGACAACCAGATGTAGAAATATATATATTTTTTATTTCTGGAAACTCTGCTTACTTTTCTTAGCTGTTGTTTCTGCTGCACTGCATGTTGCATGGTACTGCTCACTGATAACCCCTCTCTGTGGCATCATCTGCCCATGGTGGAAAAGCCAGCAAACCTGACCTGGGTAAAAGCAGGCACAAGCAGACAGTGTGCTGGACTGGCCGTCCCAAGACCTGGCATCCAAGTTGGCTCTGCTGCTAACTCACTAGGAACCTTGGGAAAATCCACTTCAACCCCTCTGTCCCAGAAATCCGATCTGTTCTATTTATTTTCCAGAGTAATGGGGAAGAAATATCAAGGTGATGGATGTGAAAGTGCTCAGAAAAATAGGAAGTGCCTTCAACCTGTAAAGTTAAGCCTCTGTCATCAGGATCAGGTTTAGAAAACGAGGTCTGAACACAGGGCTGTAAAGCAGACAGGTTCTGAGACACGCCTAGCTCAAATCCTCATTTTACAGGTGAGAGCACCATGGGATACATGTCACAGCTACTCACAGGACAGCGGCAGGGCCAGTCAGGTTTGGATGGGACACTAGAAGCCCCAACACATATTCAGATGCCCACCCAGTGGCCATGTAGCTGCCACTTGATTATCTTTGCAGACGAGGAGCTCACCTCCTCAAAGGCAGCCCCTTTCACCTTTGAAAGGCTTAGGTGCTTAGGAGACTTTACCAAAACATGAGGAAGAGGAAGAAATTATGGTGGCCTTTTCTCTTCCAATCATTGGTGTCACTGATGCTAAAACAGCCCCACAGACTGCATCTACCTCCTTTCCTATGCAATGTGCATTGAGTCCACCTGTGTTCCCTATGACACTTTTCTTCTCCAGCCTGTGCATCCCTACTTTCTTGGTTCCCACCTCACTTCAGTCTGTGTCATCCTGGTTACCCTGCAATCAACATACTTGAATTTGTCCAGAACTGTCCCCCAGCTCCTCTTCCAGGTGGCCATCTTGTCTTTGGCTGTTGACAATCTGGATGTTCAGGAACTCACCTGTCACCTTCCTTTTGAGCAGCTACTGTCCACAGCTCTTTAATTCCACAGTAAGCCTGGGTGTCAGGCCTGGACAAGGAGAACTCCACCTGTTCCTCATACATGGTTGATACCTAGCAGAAGACAACGACCTTGGAACGACCCAGAAAGGTGGACCCAGAGTCTGAGGCTTGGCTGGGGTGCTGGTCATGGGCCCCCACTCCAGTAAGGAAGCCCCCTACACGTGTAGAAGGCATAAAGAGAGGCCTGTTGCCATGGTGACTGTCAGGCAGCCTACCCTGCCTGAAGCCTGTGAGGAAAAGGCTCTGGGAAGGATCGTAGTGAGATGCAGGAATTCACCCACAACCACTACCAACCTTCCAGGGGCATTTACTGAATCAAGCAGTGCCTGGGCTATTTCACTTGTGGTCCAGAGAGGATGATGGGGCAGGGCTGGCGTAATCCATTCCACAGGAGGGAAGGAGGCCTTCAAGGGCGTGTGTGTGTGTATGTGCACCTGTGCGTGTGTGTGTGCATGTTTGTGTGCATGTGTGTGTGCTTGTGTGTGCATGTGTGTGCACCTGTGCCTGTGTGTGTGTGTGCATATGTGTGTTGACACACTGGACTGACACAGCATTGTTTTCTCCTTGGGCAAAGCCTCTTTCTTCAGGCGCCACTGTGACGTGAAGCATCTTGGAGCAGCTGGGGGGATATGAGTGAGGCTGAGGGAGTCATTCCTCCTCCGTGCCCCCAGAGCGCTCTGCCCACGCCTCCATTAGCACTAATTACACTGTGCTCTAATTCTCTGTTTACACGTCTGGCTCTCCCACCAGAACAGCTCCAGTGCAGGGGCTGCATCTTGTTTTTATATCCCTGATTCCTAGGACCATTTTTGACATATAGTAGGTGTTCATTAAGGGTTGCCTGAATTAACAAATGAATCTCTGCTAAGGACAGAATCAGAGTGTTCTGACTTAAAATGGCAGCATGCAAGATTGAGGTTCAAATCTCACAACAGCTTCGTGCAGCTCCTGCCATGTATAGGATACTGTGCTGGGCATACGGCCTCATCTTTAGGGACATCACACTCAGTGACAGGGACAAGGCAGAGGGCCATCATATTTGTAGGCACAAATACCCAATTACCCAACATATTTGTAGGCTTATTACAAATTGTCTTTATTAACCAGTCATTCCTTCATAGGACTGTAGAAAGCCTTTCTTTGTTGACCTGTTTCCTGTCACTGTCAATACTTGAATGTAATGACAATGTATCTCTTTTAAAAGATTTCATAATTCAAAATTTTCACTAATTCAGACCAAGCTTCCACAAATTAGTCTGAATTAAAGAAGTTTGATTGTACTAGGTTGACCCATATGAAATTGGTGCTATTCGACCATTTCTGACCTAGAAAAATGACAGTTTTATATGGTTCAATCTAACACTTTTCTTTTCTGGTGCCCCTTTCCAAGGAACTAAAAGCATTCTTTATTTCCATGCTTTCCTCCTATGGTATTTTAAAGATAAAAGTAGAAGAGTGGGATTGACTGCCACAGCCCCCAACCACCTGCCCCTCAGTTCACAAGTACAGAAACTGCAGACCTGGTGGGCACGAACTTAGCAGCCAGAGATGGGTGATGAGTACCAGGCAATGACAGAGCTGTGAGAGGAACCCAGAAGACCTACCACCAGGGTGCCTGCTTGATAGGTTACCAAGGAAAGGCCTGGCCTTATTTCATGTTTATTTAGTTGTTTCTAATTTACATACAGTCCAACTACTCTTTTTGATGCATAGGTTTATGCATTTTGACAAACGCATATACTTGTGTAACTGCAATGAAGACAGAAAACAGTTCCATCATTGGTCAGTTTGTTGTTTGTTTGTTGTTTTAAATAATTGCTTTTATCTTATCCGGTTCCTTTTTTATTTCATATCCACGTTAGTGGAGACATGCAACTGAAAACTGAGTCCATTTCTTGTAATAGCCTCATCAGATTTATCCAGCCTTTAAGTCCTATTTGACATTTCAAAGCAAGAGAAGAAGGGACAGGAAGCAGTAGGATGAGATTTGGCACCAAGTTACATTGAGAGAAGAGCAGTGTTTTGCTCTAGATTCCCCATCTCTGATCAGAAGGACATACCAGCCAGGGAGGGAAGCCTGTGAGGATAAACTTTGCCATGCATCCCAGGTGCACTCCTGAAGAATTATGCCTAATTCCAATTCTATCAAAGAGTCTATCAATCTCTGTTTCTGCTGGTCACCAAACGTTGCCTCCTCTCCTCCCACTCATGCATTCCCTAGAGTTTCAAGTAAGCAGAAAATTGATCAAATCACTTGTAAATCAACTTAAATATAATGGACAAATTACTATTATTTAGGAACTTTTTAAAATGTTTTTATATGAATAAATATCTTTCCGAAAGAATGGTTTTAAACCATAATGGATGGAATTTGTACATTCACATCAGGGTTGCTCTTTGAAACATTTCTGTGGGATGTTGTTGGCTTATTCCAAGTTTGCTGCTATTACCCAAAACATTGTTTGAACTTTGCTTCTGAAACTGCCTCCACAATCAGTATACAAGACATACAAGAAAACCAGCCTCATTTTTCAAGTCACATATATTTCCATCAAGTATATTTTCCTCTTCCAGGATACTTGTGAGAGTTGCTCTCCACTGATTTTCATTAACCTAATGTCCAACCTTAAGGTCAGGAATAGAGTAGTCAAGCATCATTAATTTGGAATCCACTATTTTGGAATAAGAAATAGTTCAGACAAGTAAACTTCAACCATACAGTTGCTTTCTTTGAAAGAAGGATTTGTCAAGCAAACTAATCATATATGCAAATCAAAAGGCAACTATTTAAAGCTACTCAAAAGAATAAACTGATTAAGCATTCTCAAGTACATACACCCTATATTAAAGCATCTTTACCCAACATATTTGTAGGCTCATTACAAATTGTCTATTAACCAGTCGTTCCCTCATGGGACTGTAGAAAGCCTTTCTTTGTTGACCTGTTTCCTGTCACTGTCAATACTTGAATGCAATGACATTGTATCTCTTTTAAAAGATTTCATAATTCAAACTTTTCACTAATTCAGACCAAGCTTCCACAAATTAGTCTGAATTAAAGAAGTTTGGCTGTACTAGGTTGACCCATATGAAATTGGTGCTATGCAACCATTTTTTACCTAAAAAATGACAATTTTATATGGTTCAATCTAATACATTTCTTTTCTGGTGCCCCTTTCCAAGGAACTAAAAGCATTCTTTATTCCCATGCTTTCCTCCTATGGTATTTTAAAAATAAAAGCAGAAGAGTGGGATTGACTGCCACAGCCCCCAACCACCTGCCCCTCAGTTCACAAGTACAGAAACTGGGAGATTTAACAGAAAGAAGAAAATCATTCAAAACACAACTTCTGCTTTCTTTGCTGTACAGAGCTTTTACATTCGATGTGGTCCTACCTGCTTACTTTCGTTTTTGTTGCCTGAGCTTTTGGTGTCATTTCCATATTATCATTGCCAAGAACTATGTCACAAAGCTTTCCTGTATGTGTTCTAGGAGTTTTAGGGTTTCAGGTTTCATGTTTAAGTCTTTAATCCATTTTGAGTTGATATTTATGTATGGTGTAAGATAAGGGTCCAATTTCATTCCCTTGCGTATGGATATCCTGTTTTCCCAATACCATTTATTCAAGAGACTATCCTTTCCCCCTTGTGTGACCTTCGCACCCTTGTGGAAAATCACTTGACCATATATATGTGGATTTATTTCTGGGCTCTCTGTTCTGTTCCATTGGTCTAGATGTCTGTCTTTATGCAAGTACAATACTGTTTTTATTACGCAGCTTTGTAATATATTTTGAAATCAGGAAGTATGATGCCTTCAATTTTGTTCTCCTTTCTCAAGATTAGTTTGGCTATTCATGGTCTTTTGTGGTTTTACATGAATTGTAGAATTTTGCCTCCATTTCTGAAAAAAATTTATTGGAATTTTTTATAGGTATTTGCATTGAATATGTAGATTGATTTGTGCAGTAGAAACATTTTAACAATATTAAATCTTTCAATCCATGAACATAGGTCTTTCTTGGTTGTGTCTTCTTTACCCTCTTTGTCACTATTTTAGAGTTTTCAATAGACAAGCCTTTCATCTCTTTAATGAAATTTATACCTAAGGCCGGGTGTGGTGGCTCATGCCTATAATCCCAGCATTTTGGGAGGCCAAGGCGGGCAGATCACCTGAGGTCAGGTGTTTGAGACCAGCCTGGCTAACATGGTGAAACCCCGTCTCCACTAAAAATACAGAAAAGTAGCTGAGAGTGGTAGTGTGCACCTGTAATCCCAGCTACTCGGGGGAGGGGGGCGGGGGGCTGAGACAGAAGAATTGCTAGAACCCAGGAGGCAGAGGTTGTGGTGAGCCAAGATCTCACCACTGCACTCCAGCCTGCGTGACAGAGTGAGACTCTGTCGCAAAAAAAAAAAAAAAAAAAAAAAAAAAAAAAAAAAATATATATATATATATATATATATATATATATACCTAAGCATTTTATTCCTTTTGGAGCTATTGTAGGTAGAATTGTTTTCCTAATTTCCTTTTCAGATAGTTCATTGTTAATGTATAGAAATGCAACAATCAACACAGTAAAAAGGCAACCCACGAAATGGGAGAAAATATTTGCAAACCATATCTCTGATATAGGGTTAATCTCCAAAATATATTAGGAACTCCTACAATTCAATCACTCAAAAAAACTAACAATACAATTTTTAAAAGGCTAAGGACTTGGATAGACATTCCTCCAAAAAAAACATACAAATCGTCAACAGATACATGAAAAATACTCAACTTTACCAATGACCGGTGAAATGCAAATCAAAACTACAATGAGACATCTATCTCCTCATATTTATCAGAATGGCTATTGTCTGAAAATAAAGATAAAAAAATACACAGTGCTAGTGAAAATGTAAGAGAATGTGAAACCCTTGCACACTTATTGGTGGGAATGCAAAATGGTACAACCACTACGAAGAACAGTATGGGGGTTCCTCACGAAATCAAAAATAAACTACTATATGGCTTAGCAATCCCACTTCTGATTATCTATTGAAAAGAATTAAAATCAAAATCTCAGCCGGGTGGGGTGGCTCACGCCTGTAATCCCAGCACTTTGGGAGGCCGAGGTGCACCGATCACGAGGTCTTGAGTTCGTGACCAGCCTGACCAACATGGTGAAACGCCGTCTCTACTAAAAATATAAACATTAGCTGGACATGGTGGCACATGCCTGTAGTCCCAGGTACTTGGGAGGCTGAGGCAGGAGAATTGCTTGAACCCGGGAGGTGGAGGTTGCAATGAGGCAAGATTGCGTCATCGTACTCCAGCCTGGGTGGCAAAGCGAGACTCTGTCTCAAAAAAAAAAAAAATAAAATAAAATCTCAAAGAGGTATTAGCACTCTCATGCTCATTATAGCATTATTCTCAATAATCAAGTTGTGGAAACAGCCTAAATGTCCATCTACAGATAAATGGATAAAGAAACAAGAAAGAAATACTATTTAGCCTTTAAAAAGAAGGAAACTCTGCAATATGCAACTGCAGCATGCAATATGGGTGAACCTTAAGGACATTATGCTACATGAAATAAGCCAGTCGCAGAAAGTACACAAATGATGTGTCCCTCCACTTACATGAAGTATCTAAAATAGTCAAATTCACAGAATCAGAGAATGCAGTGATGGTTGCCAGGGGCTGGAGTTGGTGGGGGTGGGGAGGAAGAAATGGGGAGTTACTAATAAGAGGCATAACATTTCAATTGAGCAAAATGAATAAGCTGTAGAGATCTGCTGTACGACAATGCACCTATAGTCAACAACACTGTACTGTACACTTAAAAATGTGTGAAGAAGGTAGATCTCATGTTAAGTGTTCTTACCACAGTGAAACAAAATTTTAAAAAGCACACACACAACTGCTGCAAACTGGGCATAAAAGAGTAATATATCCAGAATAAACAGAACTTAAAGCTGCTTCCCCATCGTCCACATTTGCACCCTCTGCTTTAGACCTGTTTTCCCTAAGAAGTCGGCTGGGCAATCTAAAACTCGCTTCAGGGACAAAATACATCCTGCCTGTCCATAAGTGTAATCTACTGGAGCCCAAGAGATTCTGACTGTGTAAAGTAAAATTCCAACCTAAGACTTCCTAAAGGACTGGGGATGAGAGGAGAGGAAATTAAAGTTTAATAGAATGGAAACTCGGAAAACGGACAAATGCAAATTAGGAGAGAGAAGCAGAAATTCTTCTCATTTTTAAAAGGCTCTTCATTAATTTATTTGACAGCATTCTGAGAATTTGTTTAAGGAATGCAGGGATGTGTAGATTCGAGAGTGCAAGAATGACTCTTCTCTGCTTCTGGGCAAGGAAACGGATTTGCACTGTAGCAAGAAGTATTACTGATGAGTACGAAAAACTTCCTGGATTGTGAAGGGGGGGATAGCATCACACCATGAAATGTCTTTGTCTGGAGGTATTATAGTAGAGGAGCCCACTTGGAGAGATCGGGATTAATTTTGTCTTTATTCGACATTGTCCTTCTCTGCCAGAGTCCCCTGTGCCTGGATGGTAGACTAGTCTCCATGGCCACATTGGGCCTCTTTGAAGTAGCTATGGCCACTGGGAAGAATGAAGATGAGCATTAGACAGTAGATTCCTCTGCAGAGCTGGGGCACTCCATCCAGCCAAGAAAACCCTTCTCCCATAAAGACCCCTTTTACGGGAGCCATCTGGTGTTGTCGCTTGCAACCTCTTCCGACACATATACTTCCTGAAACAGAGAGGGAGGAAGAGCTACCTGAAAAGGTCTCCTCCGCAGTGTGACGTGGGGGAATGGAGGAGGAGTGATGTATGCTTAGCTTATTTTTAAGCAAGTGATATACAGACATGGAGAATGAAAATGCAAGATAGTTTTGAAGCTGCGACCTTTCTCGGGGGATCTGCTAGGAGATGGGCTCTCTGCGGGGCAGCTCCATTTCCCTATGTTTTGTGTTACTGGGCGGTTGAGGGGGAGCATTTCCCACTCCTGTAAAGCCAGACAAACCTGCCACTTGAATCCCCATCTCCTGGTGACTTGGGTGCACAGTGGCAGTATATGGCAATAGAATTAATGTGGCTCTAAAGTAATTTGAAAATGGCAAGAGTAGTGAATTATCACATGAAAATGCAAATTGTTCCTTATCTGGACTGTTCCACAGATGCTATGATTCATCACTGAGTGTTCAGCTGTATTTCCAAGTAAGATCTCTTCAGTGAGAAGGTAGAAAGGCAGGGCTGAGGCACGTTCTGCCTGGAGAGATTTATAGCTCCTTTTATCCAGATGTAAAGTACATGAAGTTGGGAGGGAATATTAAACCTATAAAATCTCAATCTATCATGGAGTCCTTATTTGAGGAGGGCCAAAGGACACACAAGCATACACTTAAATCCTCCAAAATTTCCTCTCCCCAGACATGCATATACCTTGTAGGCAATTCACCCTTCACTTTACCTTCTTACCTGAGTCAAGCCAAATTCTTCTATCCATCCATCCACCCACCCATCCACCCACCTACACATCCATCCATCCAGAGTTTCTTTCATATATTTATTCATTTTTAGTGGGTATATTGGCGAATCCATTAAGCCCTCACTTCTGGCCACAGTCACAGTTTCTGATTAAGAAAAGAGATCCAAATGAGCTTTTTTTTTTTTTTTTCTCTTTCACTAACATTTGTAGTGGATGCTTGTTAAAGAGGAGATGCTAAACTTGAGAACTGGATCAGAGCCCAGTGTGTGAATGAAAAGCAATTGTCTAAAAGCTGGAACCCAAAGGAAGACATCCCTTAGCCAGGTCGGGAGGTAATACTCACATAGTGCTTTCCGGGTGCCAGTGCAGTTCTAAGTGTTTTATGAATACTAATTTATTTACTGAGATCAGAAGATGAGTGTCACCCTGAGTGAAAGCCACTGGCGGATCACACTTCCACTTTTGGCAACTATTAATATCATGGAGAAAAGTCCCTTAAGCTCAGGATATGTCCCGAGGGGGCCAAATCTAGGGTCTTTTGCAGAGTCTCTGTACCTCCTAGTGTAGGTCAAAGTAGGCTCCAGGAGACTGCCACAGAATGGGTAGCTTCCCCAACCTCCCTGTGTTCCCAGATATCCTTGTATCTCTTCCTGGCAATCTGGGAAGCCTGACCAGTAAGCAACCATCCAAAAGGCTGTTCCACAAATGATTTCCTGAGCAACAGTGCTGCTGAAACAAAGAGCTCCTGCATGGGAAGGGTGGGCAGCAACCCTGCAAAGGGAGCCTGGGGCTACTGCCAACTGGAGGCTTTAGAGCAAAGTTCCCCCACCCCCAGGCTGCAGACGGGTAAGAACCGGGCTGTACAGCAGGAGGTGAGTGGAGGGCAGGTGAGCAAGCATTACCTCCCAAGCTCTGCCTCCTGTCAGATCAGCAGCAGCATTAGATTCTCATAGGAAGGTGAGCTCTTTTGTGAACTCGGCTTCTCAGATTCCAAGGAAGAGATACAAGGATATCTAGGAATATGGGGAGGTCAGGGAAGCCACCCATTCTGTGGCAGTCTCCTGAAGCCTACTTTGACCAACACTAGAGGTCAAAACACTATCTATTCCAGGCCCCTCTCCTAGCTTCTGGCAGATCATTGGCTTGTGGAAGCCGAGCTCCAATCTTCGTATGGTGTTCTCACCTGACTCTAGCATGACTTCATCTTAACGAACTCATCTGCAAGGACTCTATTTCCAAATAAGGTGTCAGTCTCAAGTGCTGGGGGTTAGGACTTCCACTTATCAATGGGGACACAATGCAATCCCGTAACACAAGCTACGGGATTTGGACTTTACAACAAACTGTCAAAGGACTGCAGCCTCCAATTACAGGCCCCTCCATATAAAATTTGGCCTTCAAAAGCCCCCTACCGCCGATGTCTAAAAACGATAACGAGAGGCCATGTCAGAGGCCTCCCAACCCTGCTTCCTGTGAACATTTCAGCAGGGAAGACACCATAGCTGGTATTCCCAAAGCTCAGATGCCACTGTCAGAGTTGCTTCCAGCATCCTTGTCATACTTCTCACCTCTTGGTCCCTTTGATATGTAGTTTCAGGAGAGACACAGAATTGCTCTTTTTCCTAAACACACTAGCTGTCCTCCCAGAAGAAGCTGCATAGAGGGGTTTTGAGTGTTTGACCATCCTTCTCATGCAGACAGACACAACCCTCCCAGACTTCTGCATGTTCCACTTCAGCCCTCCACCCGCAAGGACTGCCCTGCAGATATCAATAGTTTTCTACAACATGAGAAGTGGAGAGCTGGGAGCGACCATATGTAGAAGGCCACGTAAGACTTAACAGCATCTAAACCAAGCAGAGGAGGCGCCTGTTTCAGATGCTGTTACAGATAAATTACCTTTAGTGAGATGTAATTTACATACAATAAATTTCATCAAATTTTAGCATATAACTCAGTGCATTTTGACAGATATACATGGGTGTGTAAACACCACTACAGTCATGACACATAGTATTTCTATTCCTTGTGCTTCTTTTCAGACTATCTTCTCCTCCTCCCTCCATGGCAACCACTGTTATGCTTTCTGCTGCCGTAGTTTTGGCTTTTTCAGAAGGTCACATAAATGAAATGATTAGCTATGGAGACTTTTGTGCCTGGCTTCCTTCACTTAGCACCATGTTTTTGAGATTCTTCATGTTGCTTATGCCAGTAGCTCATTTCTTTTCACTGCTGAATAGTATTCCATTATGTTCATTTGCCACAATTTGCTTATCCATTTATTTGTCATTAGACATGAGGGTTATTTCCAACTTGGGTCCAATAAGAATACAATTGCTATGAGCATTTGAGTATGTCTTTGGGCTGACCTAAGGTTTTCATTCCTCTCAAGTGAATACTTAGGAGTGGGATTTCTGGGTGGAATAGCAAACCTGTATTTAACTTTTTAAAAACTGCCGCTGGGCTCGATGACTCACACCTGTTATCCCAGCACTTTGGGAGGCTGAGGCGAACAGACCACTTGAAGTCAGGAGTTTGAGACCAGCCTGGCCAACATGGCGAAACCCCGTCTCTACTAAAAATAAAAAAAGTTAGCCAGGCATGTACCCGTAATCCCAGCTACTCGGGAGGCTGAGGCAGAAGAATTGCTTGAACCCGGAGGCGGAGGTTGCAGTGAGCTGAGTTCGTGCCACTGCACTCCAGCCTGGGTGACAGAGCGAGACTCCGTCTCAAAAAATAAAAAGAAAGAAAGAGACTGCCAAACTGCTTCCCAAAGTGGCTGTGCTGAGTGCTTTGCTGCACTGTGCTGAGTGCTGCTGCATTCTCAGCAGCAAGGTATGACAGTTCACATTGCTGCACATCTTCATCAAAACTTAAAATCATCAGTTCTTTAAATGTTAGTGATAGTGGTAGCTCACTGCAGCATTAATTTGCATTTCCCCAATGAGTAATAATGTTGATCATCTTTTCAGGTGCCCATTTGCTATTTATATGTCTTCTTTGGTGACATGACTGTTTAAATCTTTGCCCATTTTTTATCATGGTATTTGTCTTATTAATCAGTTTTAAGGATTCTGATCCATGAACATAATACATATCTCCATTTATTTAAGTCTTTCTTAGTCTCTTTCAGCAATGTTTTATATTTTTCAGTGTGAAGGCCTTGCACATTATTTCTTGCACTTGAAAAGAATATGCAGTCTGCTCTTGTTGGATAAAATGTTTTATAAATATTAATGAGATCAAGTTTGCTAATAGTGCTTATGACCTCTAGATACTTGCAGATTTTTTTTGTAGAATTGTTCAATAAATTTTTCGAGAGAGGACTATTGAAGTCTCCAACTGTAATTGTGGGTTTTTCTATTTCTTCTTTCAGTTCTATCTGTTTTGCTTTGTTTATTCTGAACCTTTATGTTTAGGTATATATGCATTAAGAAATTTTATGTCCGCTTGGTGACTTGACCCCTTTTATCATTATATAATGCCCTTCTTTATCTATGGTAATTTTTCTTATCCTGAAGTCTGATTTGTCTTATATTAATAAAGCCACATAAGCTTTCTTTGTCTCAGCATTAGCATAGCATATTTTTTCCATACTTTTACTTTTAGCCTATCTTTGTCTTTGTATTTGAAGTGGGTTTCTTACAGGTAATATGTAGTGGGTTTTGCCTTTTTATATCCTATCTGACAATTCTTTTATTTTGAATGTTTAGACAATTTACATTTAATGTAATCATTTGTATGATTAAATTTAAATCTACCATCTTATTATTTGTTTTCTTTCTTTCTTTTTTTTTTTTTTTTGAGATGGCGTCTCGCACTGTCGCCCAGGCTAGAGTGCAGTGGTGCGATCTCGGCTCACTGCAAGCTCCGCCTCCCGGGTTCACGCTATTCTCCTGCCTCAGCCTCCCGAGTAGCTGGGACTACAGGCTCCCGCCACCATGCCCGGCTAATTTTTTGTATTTTTAGTAGAGACGCGGTTTCACCGTGTTAGCCAGGATGGTCTCGATCTCCTGACCTCGTGATCCATCCACCTTGGCCTCCCAAAGTGCTGGGATTACAGGCTTGAGCCACCACACCCAGCCTTATTTGTTTTCTATTTATCTCATATTTTCATTTTTCCTTGTTTTTCCATTTTTTCTTACTGTATTTTTAGGACACCATTTTATCTCCAATATTAGCTACACTCTGTTTCATTTTTTTAGTGATTACTTTGGGGTCTGTTAAGTTATCCCAATCTGCCTTCCAACAATATAATATCTTCTCACATATAGTGTAAGAATCTTACAGTAGTATATTTCTATTTCTTCCTAGTATCTTTTTTGCTGTTGTCATACATTTATTTCACCCAATAAACCGTAAGTTACATTGCTATTATTTTTATGTAAAACAATTAATTATTAAGTCATGCATTTAAAAATGAGAAAGAATTTGTTTTATATCCATCCATATATTTAGTACTTGGAGAACTCTTCATTCCTCTGCATAGATCTAAACTTTCATCTGTTCTCATATTTCTTCTACCTAAAGAACTTACTTTTTTTTTCCAGTTCTGGTCTGCTGTGATATATTCACTCACCTTTTGTTTGTCTCGAAAAGTTTTCATTTCATCTTCATTTTAAAAGATATTTCTAACACTAATGAGAATGAGACTCTGTTTCAAAAAAAAAAAGAACTAATGAGCAATATGAAGTCTTTTGCTCTTATCTGATGTATCTGGGGAAAACGAATACATAAATAAATAAAATATATTTTTTGCTAGGGATAGAATTCTAGATGGAGAATTGCCTTTTTTTTTTTTTCTATCATACCTTAAAATGTTGCTCCGTTATCTTCTGGTTTGCTTAGTTTATGACAAGAAGTCTGCTATAATTTTATCTTTGCCACTTTGTACAGAGCATGTTTTTGGCTACTTTCACAATTTCCTGATTATCTCTGGCTTTTAACAATTTGATTATATCCTTCGTCCACTTTTTGATGGGGTTGTTTGTTTTTTTCTTGTAAATTTGTTTGAGTTCATTGTAGATTCTGGATATTAGCCCTTTGTCAGATGAGTAGGTTGTGAAAATTTTCTCCCATTTTGTAGGTTGCCTGTTCACCCTAATGGTAGTTTCTTTTGCTGTGCAGAAGCTCTTTAGTTTAATTAGATCCCATTTGTCAATTCTGGCTTTTGTTGCCATTGCTTTTGGTGTTTTAGACATGAAGTCCTTGCCCATGCCTATGTCCTGAATGATAATGCCTAGGTTTTCTTCTAGGGTTTTTATGGTTTTAGGTCTAATATTTAAGTCTTTAATTCATCTTGAATTAATTTTTATATAAGGTATAAGGAAGGGATCCAGTTTCAGCTTTCTACATATGGCTAGCCAGTTTTCCCAGCACCATTTATTAAATAGGGAATCCTTTCCCCATTGCTTGTTTTTCTCAGGTTTGTCAAAGATCAGATAGTTACAGATATGCAGCATTATTTCTGAGGGCTCTGTTCTGTTCCATTGATCTATATCTCTGTTTTGGTACCAGTACCATGCTGCTTTGGTTACTGTAGCCTTGTAGTATAGTTTGAAGTCAGGTAGCATGATGCCTCCAGCTTTGTTCTTTTGGCTTAGGATTGACTTGGCAATGCGGGCTCTTTTTTGGTTCCATATGAACTTTAAAGTAGTTTTTTCCAATTCTGTGAAGAAAACATTTATGCAGCCAAAAAACACATGAAAAAATGCTCACCATCACTGGCCATCAGAGAAACGCAAATCAAAACCACAATGAGATACCATCTCATGCCAGTTAGAATGGCAATCATTAAAAAGTCAGGAAACAACGGTGCTGGAGAGGATGTGGAGAAATAGGAACACTTTTACACTGTTGGTGGGACTGTAAACTAGTTCTACCATTGTGGAAGTCAGTGTGGCGATTCCTCAGGGATCTAGAACTAGAAATACCATTTGACCCAGCCATCCCATTACTGGGTATATACCCAAAGGACTATAAATCATGCTGCTATAAAGACACATGCACACGTATATTTATTGCGGCACTATTCACAATAGCAAAGACTTGGAACCAACCCAAATGTCCAAAAATGATAGACTGGATTAAGAAAATGTGGCACATATACACCATGGAATACTATGCAGCCATAAAAAATGATGAGTTCATGTCCTTTGTAGGAACATGGATGAAATTGGAAATCATCATTCTCAGTAAACTATCGCAAGAACAAAAAACCAAACACCACATATTCTCACTCATAGGTGGGAAATGAACAACGAGAACACATGGACACAGGAAGGGGAACATCACACTCTGGGGACTGCTGTGGGGTGGGGGGAGGGGAGAGGGATAGCTTTTGGAGATATACCTAATGCTAAAAATGATGAGTTCATGGGTGCAGCACACCAGCATGGCACATGTATACATATGTAACTAACCTGCACATTGTGCACATGTACCCTAAAACTTAAAGTATAATAAGAATAAAATAAAACAAAATAAAATAAAATAAAAACAATTTGATTATCATGTGCCTTGATGTAATTTTCTTTATGCTTTTTCAACTTTGGTATTGTTGATATTGTTGGATCTATAGGTTCAGAATTTTCATCAAATTTAGAAAATTTTTGGCAGTTATTTCTGGAAATATTTTTCTGTCCTACCCTTTTCTCCTCTCCTTCTGTAATTACAATTACATGCAATAGGCCACTTACTATTATACCACTAGTCACGCACAATTCTGTTTCTTTTTTTAAGTCTTTTTCTCCTGTGCCTAATTTTGAATTATTTGTTTGTTTGTTTGTTTGTTTGTTTGTTTTGAGATGGAGTCTTGCTCTGTCGCCCAGGCTGGAGTTCAGTGGCATGATCTCGGCTTACTGCAACCTCTGCTTCCCAGGTTCCAGCGATTCTCCTGCTTCACCCTCCTGGGTAGCTGGGATTACAGGCGCATGCCACCACCATGGCTAATTTTTGTATTTTTGGAGAGACAGGGTTTCACCATGTTGGTCAGGCAGGTCTTAAACTCCTGACCTCAGGTGATCCGCCCACCTCGGCCTCCCAAAGTGTTGGGATTACAGGCCTGAGCCACCATGCCCAGCCTATGCTATTACTTTAAGTTCACTGATATTCACTTCTGTAGCATCTTATCCACTGTCAATTCCACCCAGTGTATTTTTTCACTTCAGTTGTTGTGTTTTTCATCTCTAAAAGTTTCACTTGACCTTTTTTTATATCTTCTACATCTCTCCTCCTATTCATATGTTCTTTCTTGGATATACAGATCATTTTTATAATTCTTTTGATATATTTGTCTGCTAATTCCATCATCTTTGTAATGTCGGAGTCTATTTCTACAAATTGATTTTTCCCTCAGTTGTTCATCTTATTTTCTTGCTTCTTCCAATGCCTTATAGTTATATATGTATTGCATGTGCTCTCATACACAGTTAAGTTACTCAAAGTCCGTTGAATATTTTTGAGGCTTGCTTTGAAACTTTGTTAGGGCAGGTCCAGAACAACTATCAGTCTAGGGTTGTTTTGGCTCTACTACTGAGGAATGCTCTTCTGAGGATTCCACCCCATGCCTTATTTATCAGGAGCTCTTTCCACTCTAGCTGGTGGGAATATGAATTATTCCCACCCTTCTGTGAGCTCTAGCAATTGTTTAGTCTACTGCTTTCTGCTGGGTTTTCACCCGCCGTGGTGAGTTTCCTTTCATGCATGTGCTTATCAGTACTTAGCCCAAGCTTCAAGAAGACATTGCTACAGATCGCTAGAGATCGCTCTCTGGGCAAGTCCATACTCTGCCCTGCAAATTCAAGTTACCTTGTTCTCCCCAAAGTCTGATACTGTCTTCTCAACTGAACAAGATTAACAAGCCACATTTTTCTCCCCTCACCCTCACCTCACACTGTGGCTTAGAAACTGCCTCCAGGATTAAGCTGGTACAATCCTAGGACTCGCCTCTTTTGTTTTCTTTTTCTTAGAGCTCATATTCCTGTGCTATCTGCTGTCTGTAAACTATTGTTTCATGCATTTTGTTTTGATGGTTTAGTTGTTTAAAGTGAGAGCATAAATTCGATCCCAGTTACTCTATTGTGGCTGTTGCTGGAAGTCAGTATCTATAAGGAATTTTAAAGGATAGATTTCCACATTTTCCACGCTGATCTATCCTGTTATCCCATTTAACCTCACTATTATCCCTTCTGAACAGCCATATTTTAGATCTACTGGAAGGGGTTTGGCACAAATACAGTCTTCAGGATACTGCTAGGGCTTTACCAGCCTCAAGCATGCACTCTCCAGGCAACAGAAGAATGTAAACTCAGCTGCTCTTAATACAATGGTGCCTTAATTTCTTATCACAGAGAAATGTTTATTTGGCCAAATGACCTGAGCCTAATCAGTGGGGATGCCGAACAGAGCCCTGTATTGGAAGGAACCTAGTTATCAAGGTAGGAACAGATGCAGTGGGGAAGGAGTGATGCCCGTGACATCTGGAGAGGGGAAACTAGAACTAAATTCTAGTTCCATTCTGCTGCTTAGTGGCAGTGTTCATTTTGGGCATGTCACTGAGTTCAGTTTTCTCATCTGGATGACTTCGAAGTCTCCTTCTAATTTTAACAGTTTATGCTCCTAGAACCCGATCATGGTCTCTTTCCATCAGCTTTTCCACATAGGTAAGTTATGCACGCATTCTTCTCTATTCCGTGATCCTGAATACTGCCACCCATCAGTTCTCATTATTGCTGCAGAGGGTCTTCTGGGTTGAGGGGGCCCCCATATGACCTCAATGCTGGGCCATTATCTTCCTGGGCTCACCTCTTACTTTATTTCTTCAAAAGGACATATATGTGTCATCTCATGTGCCAGATTCTTCTTTCCCATTTGCCATCATATATAAATGCATGTTCCAAATCCCTGGTAACTCCAATCGTGACAACTGCAGTCTTCCCTCCCCTCCCCAAATGCAACAGGCATCACTCCTTCCCCATTCCATCTCTTCCTACCTTTACAACTACCTGCTGGATGCTATGATAGTCACTGCACAACATCTCTGGGCCTGGCATCAGGAGAAGAGGAACAGAGTAGGGTCCAACAAGAGCTGATAAGATTGCTGTAAAATAGCAATCCCTATATCAATGTGTCCATGGTCCAGCAATCAAGCCCAGAGAACTCATTCCATTCCCTGTGGAAATTTAGTGAAAAAACCCTTAGGATTTCACTTAGGGTGAAATTGGTAGGATACAGACATTCATCTCTGACTCTGACCACTCTATCCCTGGATAACCTTCCTTCCGTGGACCTTGTTTCTCTCCTATCTAAAATGGGGTGCACCATTGCTGGGCCCTCCATGACTCAGCGTTGCTGATAGGACCAATAAGATCATAATGGTGAGGACAGAGTATGCTGGATGCAAGAAGGCAGCAACAGTACTGAGATAATTAGCTTTTCTGTACTGATGAGCTGCAAATGCACACACAGGAACTTTCTTTTCAGGCTTTCAGGCTGTTAAAAGATACTGTGATTTCCCAGTTCACCCCTAGAATTTCTTTGTGTTGTCCTGAAGAAAAAGAGAGGGAAACAGAGGGAAGGTTTACTCCACAGTTGCTATTTTAGTATCCAGAAGAGTCAGCCTTGTTGCTTGCAGAGAGATTGTTATCTCTTTCAGGGCTCAGTGAAGGTCACCTTCAAATCTTTTTTGCTAAGCCAGAGGCTCCTTTTTCCCTTGTGCTCAATTGATGCAAAACCTGGGACAGTGGAGTGAAGAGCGGGTGGAAGGTGCACTGTGCAGCAGAAGCCCTGAGAGCTAAGAGAAGAACTCGGTTCTCTTGGTAGGAAAGAGGGAGGAAAAGGAACAGGTAAGAGGGATGTTTAATGCCACTCCCCGCCACTCCCAGCAGTACACTATAATAGATGTCTGGGAGGAATCTGAGAAGTCACTTTTAATAATGCAGATAAGGACATAATTAATGCCCTTATCTGCACCAGATCTCCCCCAGGAAGACAACAGGATAACTGGGAGGGAAGGGTTGTAGATTTGGAGTCACAGCTCTTCTATGGATGCCTGTGATTAGGATGCAGCTGCTGCCTGGGGGGCCGGGGCTAAGGAGGGGAAGGGAGCCACCAGAAGGATTCTCAGAGATGTGACACCAATGGCAGGAGCTACAGCTATTAAAAGAGTTGATAGATGTAATTCACTTAGCATACAGTCTAGCACATTCTCAACACTGCAGGAGCAGAAGCGAAGGGGGTATTCAAACACTGACTCAGCCCTTCATAGGTGTAGCAAGAGGGGCAGGGAGTGTATCACACAAGAGATACACAGAGATGCCTGTGTCCAGAATTGGTGGGTTCTTGGTCTCACTGACTTCAAGAATGAAGCCACGGACCCTCACCGTGAGTGTTACAGTTCCTAAAGATGGTGTGTCTGGAGTTTGTTCCTTCTGACGTTCGGACGTATTCGAAGTTTCTTCTGGTGGGTTCGTGGTCTCACTGGCTTCAAGAGTGAAGCTGCAGATCTTCCCGGTGAGTGTTACAGCTTTTAAGGTGTGGGGAGTTGTTCGTTCCTCCCGTGGGGAGTTGTTCATTCCTCCCCGTGGGTTCGTGGTCTTGCTGGCCTCAGGAGTGAAGCTGCAGACCTTCGCAGTGAGTGTTACAGCTCATAAAGACACTGTGGACCCAAACAACGAGCAGCAGCAAGATTTACTACAAAGAGCTAAAAAACAAAGCTTCCACCGTGTGCAAGAGGCCCCAAGCAGGTTGCCATTGTGCGTTTATTCCCTTATCTGGCCCCACCCACATCCTGCTGATTGGTCCATTTTACAGAGAGCTGATTGGTCCGTTTTACAGAGAGCTGATTGGTCTGTTTTGACAGGATGCTGATTGGTGCATTTACAATCCCTGAGCTCGACACAGAGTGCTGATTGGTGCATTTACAACCCTCTAGCTAGAAGTAAAAGTTCTCCAAGTCCCCACTAGATTAACTAGACACAGCACTGATTGGTGTGTTTACAAACCTTGAGCTAGACACAGAGTGCTGATTGGTGTATTTACAATCCTTTAGCTAGACATAAAGGTTCTCCAAGTCCCCACCAGATTAGCTAGATACACAGTGCTGATTAGTGCATATACAATCCTCCAGCTAGACATAAAAGTTCTCCAAGTCCCCACCCAACTCAGGAGCCCAGCTGGCTTCGCCTGGTGGATCCCGCACCAGGGCCAGGGCGGAGCTGCCTGCCAGTCCCGAGCTGTGCACCTGCACTCCTCAGCCCTTGGGCGGTCGATGGGACCGGGCGCCGCGGAGCACGGGGCAGCGCTCGTCGGGAAGGCTCTGGCCGCGCAGGAGCCCAAGGCGCGGGGGGAGACTCGGACATGGCGGGCTGCAGATCCCGAGCCCTGCCCCGCGGGAGGCAGCTGAGGCCCGGCGAGAATTCGAGCGAGGCGCCGGCCGGCCGGCACTGCTGGGGGACCCGGCGCACCCTCCGCAGCTGCTGGCCTGGGTGCTAAGTCCCTCACTGCCCGGGGCCGGCAGCGCCGGCCGGCCCCTCCGAGTGCGGGGCCCGCCGAGCCCGCACCTACCCGGAACTCAAGCTGGCCCGCGAGCGCCGCGCGCAGCCCCGGTTGCCGCCCGCGCCTCTCCCTCCACACCTCCCCGCAAGCAGAGGGAGCCGGCTCCGGCCCAGCGAGAGGCTTCCACGGTGCAGTGGTGAGCTGAAGGGCTCCTCAAGCGCCGCCAGAGTGGACGCCGAGGCCGAGGAGGCGCCGAGAGCGAGGGCTGCTAGCACGCTTGTCACCTCTCACCCCCACAGAGGAAAAGCTTCCTGAGACAAGAATCATCATCAGCCACCCTAGAATCCAGACCCTCATTTGAACACCTGTGTGAAACAAGAGACCAGAGTGGTGCTATCTCCAAGGACAATCTAAGCCAGCCTGCTCCTTGTAATCTGGTCTCATCCCTGCCCTTTGCCCCCTCTCCACATATCTCTGTTCTTCCTTTCCCAGGTTCCCTGGGTGTCGCCCACACCCACGCCTGCACCAAGACAAATCGCACGGGGCTAGGCTCTCCCGAGAAGGCCTTTGCAGACCGCTGCTGGCCTCCCAGCAAGTGCTGCATCTCTGCGAGCCACTAAGCATGCAGGGAGTCCCTGAAGAGACAGCTTTGAAATGGGATCATTTTCTTCCTGGAAGCAAAAGGGTGTTTCCTCAAGACACTATTTCTCCATTAAAGTATGAGAAATTCCATCTCTGAAGCTCCCAGTGGGGCCAGACATCGGGTTGGGGTGGGGACGGGACGTTGATAAGAGTCAAATCTAGAACACTGTGCTCTTACCCCCTCATTTCACCTGGTGTCTCTGGGCCTGGCTTCTGGGAGCTATTTGTGATGTGTGGTATGAGTGCATGTGCTGGAAAGTATTCTTGTATGAGTTCAAATTTATGTGCTCACCTTGCCCCTTGGGGTATTACTGGCCTTCAAGTTTGATGCTTTTGGAAGCTGAGTTCTCTCCCGTCCTTTCAATCAAACTCAACCCTTGCTGCAGTAATCTGTCTTTAACAACTCCCACTGCAAGTCAATAAAATGTCAATTTAATTCTCCTTTTGTTAAATCTTAAATCTGTGTAACGCCTCTCCTTTCCTTTGCTTGTTAAGTGCAGCTCATGTTGACCTCCCCCAGCATCTCCCAGCCTCCTCAGCAGGGGCACCTGCCCTTGAGCACAGGCGCAGACATCCTCACTCAGATGGGAGTCAGTAGAGGGGCCTTGGAGATAGGGAGACCTGAAAAATGGAACCACCAGCTTTCTCTAGTTTTCTTCTATTATCGGAAACCCTGAGCAAACTAGCCTTCTTTAGGACCACTAAGGTCCTTGATTTTCCCAAGCTTGCTTTTCAAGTGGGCAGTAGTGAAGTGGACAGTATTGCACAGGCATTAGGAATGAGACTTTGACTCAAAACCCAGCACCGCCACTTACTAGCTCTATGACCTAGGATAATTATTTAACTTTTCTGGATCTCAGTTTCCTTATCTGTCTAATGGGGTAACAATATCCTCATTGCCTACATAGGCTGATTAAAGGAGTTAATAGATGTAATGCTCTTAGCTCAGAGACTGGCACATTCTCAACACTGTATACCTGTTTGCCATGATTTATTATTTTCTGGTTTCTTACCCTCTATTTTCTCTTCAGCAATTCAGTTTCCTCCACTGGAACTACGTCTTCTCCATTGGGTACAGCCTGGGGGATAAGTAACTAGAACCTCTCCCTTTTCCAGACAATGAAAGGTTGACTAATGCAAGCGATGCCATAGGATGCCCCTTTCTGGAATTTGAATCTTGAGCATAGGCACAGAGACTGAAAACAATCAGCTGCAGCTGCATCTTGACCAGGCTCATCCTAATTGGCCACCACTATGTGGTAGCTGCTTCTGGGCCCCTGGATGCAGCCTTGGTTCTTGCCTGTCCCCCATCCCATTTCTCCCTTCCATACTGGGAGCTTCCTTTAGGAGAATTAACCAGTTTGTTTCCTTTGCTTGCAATCAAAGAATCTTCATCCATATGGAAGTTCAGGGTTCATGTGTCTTCATGAACCAGGGCTTCTATCCTACCGTCTCCTCCCTCCTTCCCTTTGCCCTCTCACTCTACCTGCTTTCTGACCCCTTATGTTCTGCAAGGAAAACAGAAGCTAAAGGAGAAGAAGAGAGAGAGTCCCAGGAAGTCTGGGCAAAGAGGAAGAAACATCAAGAATATCAAGCAGTGATTCTTTCCTTGGGCTTGGTGTGCCAGCCCTCCACCCGGCTCCACCCCACCCTGGCTCCATTTCCACTTCAGCAGCCTCCCTCCTCTCAGTGAAGAACTCCTTTGTGTTAATGGCCACAAATGCAGCAGAAAGAGAAGTGGGAAAAGGACAAGACAGCTCTGGCATCAGCCACAAACTGCAGGGCTCAGCGTCCAGCAATATCATGCTGAAAGCAAGCTGCTGCCTGCTTCTGCCCTTCATGCCACCTGAGCTGAGCATCTCACTAAACCTGCATTCCAATCAGCCCAGTCCACCTAGAGGATTCCTCTGGGAGGAAGGCTCACTTGCCAAAAGTAACTTGGCCAAGGTTTGATTGATTGGAAGCCAAATCACCATTTGGCAAGATGAAATTGATGAATGTACTTTCTGTGAATTGAGTTTTGGTGAATTTTCCCAGAGCCCCTGTGTCCAGAACCACATTCAGAGAATCACCGCTTAAAAAAAAAAAATTCAGGGTGTCCCAACAGTCTATTCCAAGGGGAAGGCTGGAGAGGTGGATAGGGAGGTCACCTGACATTTGGGAATCACGTACTCTGCTCCAGGAGTCTAATGGACACGATCTCATTTCATCCTCCACACCCAGCCCATGAGCTAGGACCAATTCACTTTATATGTGGGAAACCTAAAGCTTGAGAAGTAAGTGACTTGCCCACAGTTTCTGCCTTCAGAGGTATAGACCTTTCTTTACGTCCTTCAGTCTCATTCTTAGCCACCTCTTTCCCCACTTCAGGCCAGGCCAGGGAAGAGTGGTCCAGCCAGAGAGAAACCACTCTAGAGGCCCACAGAGGCATGCAGAAGCCAGCATTTGGGTGGTAATCCTGCAGCTCACCCATATTCAGTCCAGGCCCCCATCTCTTCCATTTGGCAACCAAACAGTGAAGAAGAAAACTGATGTTCTGAGAGGGTGTGCTGTGTGACAGACATTGTCACACATACTTGTTTATATAGTCTCTTCTCTTTGAGGCCAGGGCTCCCAGCAGTGCATAGCTCACCCAGGGTCACATAACTCCCAAGTGGTGCTAACAAGTTGCCCCAGCAGTAATATAACTTGCTTTCCTGCCAATAGCATTTGTGCCTACATTTTAAGACTTGTTTCAAGTCTGCACCTGTATGTTACAGATAAGTAAATTAAGGCTCAAAGAGGGGCAGGCCATGATTGGCTTGGTGTCCCAACAAAGCAAGCCTTTGAGTTCCCTGATGGAGCATGGGACCTTTGAGCCTTTGGTCTTCCTGGCCTAAGATGTGGTCTTTATCCCTGAAGTTCTAAGAACTGTGGGCTTGCCTGTTGCCAAATTACCCTCTAGGACCATGGATCCTCCAAGCCCACTACAGAATCCAGCTGAAGCTTTCAATTATGTCAGCCTGTGGAAGTATCTAAGGTGAGTGATTGATGGGCTGCTGTCAGGGAAAGCAGAATGGATCAAGCTCAAAGATCTGAGAGGCAGCTGTAGCACACTTTCCTGAAATGCAAACCCCACCCCCACGCCACCAGCCTCCAGATTTCAGCAGCATTACTACCCATCAAGGGCTGCTTAATTTGCCTTCAACGTCCGAAGGCTGTCAGCAGGGAGGGCACTGCCAATTAGTCCATCAGTGAGTGAGATCAGATGTAAGGTTGTAATTGCCCTGGGACCTATATGAAAGTATCAACACTCTGTAGGAGGGTGAGAGACCCAAGAGTTTGGAGCAAAGAGAGATTCTGACTCTAAGAGAAATGGCAGTCACAAGCTGAGAAGAGTAAATACATAATTATTTTAGCTCTTGGATGTCCTAGTATTAAGGAAACTGAGTCCTATAAATTCCTTCTCTTCAATACCTCCCAAATTCCTTATTTCCTTCCCTTTCCCATGGCCACCCCTTAGCTCTTGTCTACCTGGTGGTAATGCAGAGCAGGTGAGCCCCTAATGGGGCTTAGACAGGGAGGGTTCTTGGTTTTGCCCAGGAAAGAATTAAAGGGCAAGCTGCAGTAGATGAAAACAGCTTTACTGAAGCAGTGTTACAGTTGTGGTAGTTTTATAGTTCCGTGACTGCTCCTGCACAGCAGGGTGACCCCATAGGCAGAGAGTAGCATCTCAGGGCAGTTTTGCAGTCATATTTATACCTATTTAATTACATGTAGATTAAGAGGCAGTTTATGCAGAAATTTCTAGGGAAGGGGTAGTAACATTTGGGTCATTGGGTCGTTGCCATGGAAAGGGGCAATAACTCCAGGTGTTGCCATGGCAATGGTAAACCTACATAGCACACTGGGGGTGTGTCTTATGGAAAGCTGCTTTTGCCTCAGCCCTGTTTTAGCTAATCCTCAGTTTGGTCTGCTGTCTGAGCCCCGCTTCCAGAGTTGAGTCCCACTTCCTGCCTCAGCAAGAGTATATCAACAGCCTCCTAAAGGCTCTTTCTGTCTTGTCTACTGCCCCTTCCAGTTCATCTTTCACATGCCAACAGGGTGATCTGTCTAAAACTAAGTCCACCTAAAATGTCCTTCACTTAGGGCACAGGTCTCTAAATTGGCATGCATATACTCAAGAATACACAAGATGCATTGGGGTGTAGGAGATAAAAAAGACAACATATATTTTCATTCATTTTTCTAAAAACTAATTAAAAGAAATTCAGTTTTCCTAATATTAATATATGTAATATGCATCTTGACATTGGCAACCCTGTTCAGCCCAGGAGGTGTCATGAGGGGAAACTGGGGGCCCCACAACAAGGGGGTTGACAGCAGTGTCCTCATTCAATCTTTCAGGGTCAGATTTTTCTTCTCAGTGGACCTCAGTGGCACTGAATCAGGTTATTCAGAATTCTTGATGCATAACATGGCTTCTCATGGGTCATTTATTCATTTATGTATGTATCTACTTTTCACTATCTGATAAGCACCTGTGAATCTACCATCCAACCTGAAGACTGGGACCTTGGCAAAAACTTTCATCTCGCTACATGGCCATTCTCCTGCCCAGCCTCCTGTTTCCCCCACCCAAGGCAGCCACCATCCTGAACCACAAGTCCATTGTTCCCTTACTTCCTTTGAATATAGTGTTCACTCATCTATATGTATTCCTTAAAAGTAAACATTTTTATTTTAGTTGTTTTTACCATTATAAAAAGGGCTTATGCTGCATGTAATATTCTGAATCTTTTCTTCCCCGACTTAATAAAATTTTGCTAAGATTCATTCACATTGCTACATTGCATAGTTTCATTCATTTTTACTGCTATGTAATATTCCTTTGTGTGACTTTACCACAATTTATTCATCCACTCTCCTGTTCATAAACATTTGGGTGGTTTTTATTAATAGATAAAAATAAAAATGTATTTTAAAATTTAAATGGAAATGCAAAGATCCAAAAACAGCCAAGACAATCTTAAAATATATGTATATTCTCCAAAAAGACTCATATGCATAATTTAAAAGGAACATCAAAATTCAATAAGGATAAGACAAATAATCCAATAGAAAATAAGAAAGACTCAAACTTCATGAAAAAAATCTAAGTGGCCAATAAATATACAAAAAATGCTCAACCTCATTAATCTTCAAAGAAACATAAAATAATACCATAGTAAGATATGACCTCACACCTAATTTTTACAATGGTAAAAATTAGAATGACTGATAATACTAAGTGTTGGTGAGGATGTGGAGAAACTGGAGCTCTCAAACTTGCTGGTGAGAGTATAAATTGGTAGGACCACTTTGGAAAACTGGCATTATCTATCAAAGTTGAACATACACATCGTAGTCCCCCCTTACCCAAGGGTTTGGCTTTCCACAGTTTCACTTTCCACAATTTTAGTTACCCATGGTCAGCCAAGGTCTGAAAACAGGTGAGTATGGCACAATACAATAAGATATTTTGAGAAAGAAAGACTACATTTAGATAATTTTTATTACAGTATAGTGTTATAATTGTTCTTTTTTTTCATTAATTGTAGTTAATCTCTTACTATGACTAATTTATAAATTAAACTATACCATGGGTATGTAGGTATAGGAAAAAATATAGTATATATAGGGCTGGCTTTATCCATGGTTTCAGGCATCCACTGGGGGTCTTGGAACATACCCTCCACAGATAAGGAGGGACTACTACTGTATACTCTGTGATCCAGCAATTTTACTACTAGATATATAGCCAAAGGAAATGTATACATACATAAACAAAGACATATGTAAGAATGTTTATAGAAGCACTATTTATCATAGTTCAGTGCCAGTTATAAATTCAGCTCCAAGGACATACATACTATATGTATATATACACATACACATTCTTCAGCATACCTACATCAGGACTGGAATTCACCTCTCCTCAGCAAAGTGTATGGCAAAAGTATTTCTAAGTACAGTGGGCTATAGAGAGGCATTCCTATCCCCCATAGAAAAAAAATGATTGTGTTTCTAGAACTTCTACTTGGGGATCCAGTGCTAAATATTCACTCATCACCAGAATTTTCTTTAAATGAAAAAATTTGTATTTTGGATTTTAGGTATTCAGCATTGGATTAATCATAATCCTAGTTATGACTCAATGCCAACATTGTTTCGCATATGGCCCACTTTTTTACTCATTCGTTCATTTATTCATGCATTCATTCATTTTTTTTCACCATCTGTTTTAGTCCATTTGTGTTGCTATAAAGGAATGTTTGAGACTGGATAGTTTACAAAGAAAAGAGGTTTATCTGTCTTGCAGTTCTGCAGGCTGTACAAGAAGCATGGAGCCAGCATCTGCTTCTGGTGAGGGCCTCAGGCTACTTCCACTCATAGTGGAAGGGGAAGGGAAAGGGAAGCTGGCTTGTGCAGGGATTACATGGCTAGAGAGGAAGCAAAAGAGAGAGAGAGGGCAGGTGCCAGGCTCTTTTTAACAACCAGCTGTCATGGGAACTAATAGAGCAAGAGCTCGCTCACCCCATCCCCAGGAGGAGATTAATCTACTCATGAGGGATCCACCCCTATAACAAAAACACCTCCCATTAGGCCCCACCTCCAACACTGGGATCAAATTTCAACATGAGGTTTGTTGGGATGAACATCCAAGCTATAGCACCATCCAACTCAAAATCTAGAACAATATGAACAGCATGTCTGCATGTTCCTGTGCTATCCTGGCCCTCTGCCTTGGCTCTCACCACCTCTGCCAAGGGTAATCATTACACTAAACCTTTTGCTTTTCTTTCCTTTGCTTTATTTTTCAGTTGTATCACCTAGATATGTATGCCTACGTCACCTATTTCTTAGTTTTAATTTTGAAGTTTGATGTCTGTAGCCTTCTAGAACTTGCATTTTCCTACTCACTATATTCTAAGATTCACCCATATTGCTACACGTAGTTTACTAATTTCCATTTCCTGTGCTGTAAAATATTCCATTTGGTGAAGATGTCATTATTTATTTATTTATTCTTCTCTCCATGGACTTTTGGGTTGTGCTATGGACAGTCTTGTTCAAGTCCTAACCCCTCTCCCTTCTCACGCTGATTGTTATGGCTACATTAGGTTTGGGGGCATGAATTTTTGGAAAGGTGGTAAAAATATCATCATCATCATGTGATGGTGATAGCTGATATTTGTCTGTGGTGTTACCTGTTACAAGGAACTTATATCACCATTATCCAGTTGGACAGACTCCAAGAATGGGCAGGCCTATCACAGGGTTAGGAAACAACCAAATCCATGTCCTTTAGATCTTGTTTCGTGAGTTATTCTGACCCACTCTGGAGCCTTGGGCTTGATTGGCATTTCTCTCACTGTAAAGCCTAGTTTCATTGCAATACATCATTTAAAATGGGTGGGACATCTGAGAAAACTGAGACATAGAAAAAGGCTATCAGAGGGCAGCCAGACCTAGTATCACCCAAAGTTTTTTTTCCTAGGCTCCAGCCAAAAACCAGAGCCTCCATGACATGTGGGAGGCCAGGGGCTGCCCAGGAGATAGAATTTTCCCCACTACCATACACCACTGGTCCTCTCAGGATGAGAGCCAGTCATCTTTGACTCTTCCAGGCTGTCTGCCTCTCCCAGTTCCCATGTTACCCCTGGTGAAGCCAGGCTCACTTGGTGACACAATGCCAACATTCTCCACTCCCCATCCCTATCACTGAATAATGAATACCAGCTAAGTGTTGAGCAAGTGCCAGCAAACTTCTAGCAAATATTCCCCCTGGGGCTTGGATCAATAACACTTAGCTGCTCCTTTTCAGCCGGGAAAGGGGACAGCAGGAAACCCAGCCTGAACCTTTCCCTCAGGGACATGCTGTCTGACAACCCAAGCCCACCCTCATGGGCTCTTGATTTCCCAGTGCAGAAGTGAAGACTTGTGTCCACAGGAGACTAATTACCCTCCTTCCTCAGCCCCTGTTCCCCAAACATTCCCTTGGAATGTGATTATTAAGCTCCATCTCCAAGAAAGGGCTCTTTCCCTGGGAGCTCTGGCTTGGGTAGCCTATGAGAGCTAAGGGGACACTGTGTTCTGGATTCAGGAGTGGTCACCAGCCATCTCATAACCTCGAGCTGCATAGTTTGGGATTAGAGAGGAAGAGAAGAAAAGGGAAGGTGTTTCACACATGTACATCAATTCAGTGGCCTTGGCCATGCTCCGTATCTAGTCTAGGCACTGTCAACTCCAGCCTGGTTCTGAGAATCACGTCTTTTTTGTTCTTAGAAGTCTTGCAGAGTTGAGAGAATAATGAACCAGTACTCACAAAGTACCTCTTTTGTGCCAGACTCTGTTCCAAGCCCTTGGCTCTAACTCATTGTATCCCATAGTAACCTATGAGGTACATGCTATCATCTCCACTTTAGAGACAAGGACCTTGAGACATGATGAGGTGGAGTGACTTGTCCAGAGTTACAAGGGTAGGAAGCATGGAGCCAGGGGCTGGTCCCAGGCTACCTAGATCTAGAATACATTTTCTGGACCACTCCACCAAGCCACTTCCATGACACTTCACCCCTGGGCTAGGACAGGAGCTCTGGACGCAGATGTTCCTGGCTCTGAATCCAGCTGTTACTTACAAATGATGTGATAGGTAAGTTTCTCAACCTTTCTACTTTTCTGAGTCTCCCTTTCCTTATGTAAAAAACTGAGATAATACTTAGCTCAAAGTGTTGTTGTAAAAATAAAAATTCAATAAACTACAGAGCTGATGTTCAATAGGTATTTATTTCTTCATTGAGGGGCTGAGGCCCCTTACTCTTCACTGTAGAGGCAAGCTTCCTGGCCTGGGCAGGAAAGCATTGGCCCACATTTGAGGTTCTGGCATTATCTCCCTGGCCTGGTATCAGGTTGCTCTTCCAAGGTTCCTCTTCCTGACACTTCCCCAATATCCCAGCTCCCTTCAAGAGTGAAGGGTTAAACCACTTCCTTCCCCTGGCCCTGCTGGCCTCTACCACTCCTGCCAATCTCCCAGGCCACAGCTGACGCCTGCCAAGGTAGACTTTTAAAGCCATTCCCCAAATACTAGCAGGGGCTATGTACTCCTCAAGGAAGGCTTGACCACATCATCTGGAAACACTGCTTTGCTGATGGCACAGCTTAGATCTGTGGCCATATAAGCTTGTCAAAATGGCATTCCCCCCTCCGCCTGAGTTAAATGTCTCACTCCATCACAGCGGACCTGGAACACTGGTTATATATGGCTGCATAACAAACCACCCCAAGCCTAATGACATCATAAACAGTAATCATGTATCATCTCATGGTTTAGGTGAGTCAGGAATTCAGACGGGCACAGGGAGGATGTCTTACCTCTGCTCCATGATGTCTGGGGCCTCAACTGGAGCACATGAGGGCTGAGGGACTGAAGTCATCTGAAGGCTTGACCAGGGCTGGAGGATATGCTCTTAAGTTGGTTCACTCATATGCCTCATGAGTTAGTGCTGGCAATTTTGTTCCTCTCCATGTGGGCCTCTACACAGGGCTACTGGAGTGGTGTATGAGTTTGCTAGAACTGCCATAACAAAGCACCGCAGACCAGGTGGCTTAAACAATGGAAATATATTTTCTCACAGTACTGGAAGCTAGAAGTCTAAGATCAAGGTATCAGCAGAGTGTTCCTTGGCTTGCAGAGCACCACCTTTTCCCTGTGTCTGCTCACAGTCTTCCTTCTGTGCATGTCTGTATCCTAATCTTCTCTTCTTATACGAATACCAGTCATATTGGACTAGGGCAAATGCTAAAGACCTCATTTTATCTTAATCACCTCTCTAAAGGTCCTATCTCCAAATACAGTCACATTCTGAAAAACTGGGAATTAGGATTTCAACATATCAATTGGGGAGATACCATTTACCCCATAACAAGTATTCTCATGAAATGGTGGCTGGCTTCCCCCAGAATGAATGTTCCAAGAACATTGGGTGGCTGCTGTCATGTCTTCTATGAGTAGGTTCAGAAGCCACACAACACCAATTCTGTGCTATCCTATTGGCTTCACAGATCAACCCTCTTCAGTGTGGCAGGATGCCACAAGACAACGTTTGTTCTGGGAAGTGAGGATCTGGGAGGGCAGCCTAGAAATGAGCTACTACCACACGTGGGCACACAAATGCCTCCCACATTTACCACACACAGGAAGAGCAACCCGCCCTGAAAGAGAAAGCCCAGAAGGCACAAAGCCTCTTCTTGTGCTCAGCAGCAAGGCAGGTGGCTCCAGAGGCATATGGAGAAAGAAGGTGGCCACATACTTCTCAATCTACCATCTCTGGGGAAAAGAAGTTTTACTCCCTCCATGGAAACCTGGGGCTAGCATCCCAGATGTAAAGAGAGGTTCCAGTCTACTCCTGGGTTTGCTCCGCCTACCCTCTTGTACAACTGCACGGTGCCCCTACAGTGGACACCGCCGAGGGAACACAGATGGAAAAGATGAGTAAGATACCTGCCGTGCACAAGTAGCTTACAGTGCACATGGCACAGAACAAGTGCACAAAATAGTAACTCACAAGTTAGACTGTGATTGTTAATTCCTAGAGCATGTGAGACTATATTCGTAGCAGAGGAGGGGAAGGTTTCACTCCTTTGTTCTGAGTAGATGTGACTTAAAAGCAGAACCCTGGTATTCCTTCTCCCTTATCTGATTAATCTGCAGAAACAGAGAATCACAGTCAAGCCAGCATCTGCTACTGGTGATCATAGGGTCAAAGGTCTGTGTCTGGGACCCCAGATGATTTGCAGTTCATTTACTGAGTCCCCGCTGGGAGTGTGTCCATGAAGACATGGATCAGCTGGAGACTATGTGCCTGGTGACTGCCGGCCTTCTCAAAGCAGATGTGGCCTTCTGATAGGCCTAGTGCTGGGGTCCTAAAATACAGCTCTGGGTCCTGCCTTGGAGTCCTGAGCAGGGCTGCCTCTCCTCCCCTTATCATGTACTCCCCAGGTTACACACCAGAATAGCCAGTTCTCCTCATCCAGATTCCCCATCACCTTCCTCCTAAGCAAAAACTCACCTGGCCCAAGTTTTGGGGACAAAAGGGGAGAAGAGCTCATCCTGCAATGTTGTCTTCTCTTCCTCAGAATCTTTGGGACTGACTGAAAGTTCCTGCGTCCCCGCCCTACTAGACAGTGGGGGGATTCCTCCAGTCCCAGCTGGCCCCACCTCCCAGTCACCTCATCCATCATCCTGACAAGTGGGTCCTGGAGAGAAGCTATAAGCAGGACAGGGGTAATTAGGATCCATTAAGGAGATGAGGCTGAGCTGCAGGGGGGACCATTCATTCCACAGCGCCCTCTTCTAAATGGGGCTGTCAGCCATGCAGAGCTTGCTCCCACGAGTTCCTGGGGAGGCTGTGGCAACTGGGTAAACAAGCATCTTGAAGACATGGGGGCCTGGAGATGAGGCAGGGGCCATCAGCCAGCATTCCTGCAGAGAAGGCAGGGGGCAGAGAAGGGGATAACAGGACCCACCCCCGACCCCCACCAGCAGGGTCTCATGTAGGGCTTGTTTGTGAGCCAAGTCCTCAGCTTATGACTCAGCTTATGACTGTAGTCCAGGCTGCTTTCCATGGCCTCCCCACACAGCCCAGCCCAGGGCAAGACAACATCTTAAAAAAAAAAAAAAAAAAAAAAAGCTTTGCACCTAAGATAGGAACACTCCTCCCCTTGCTCTCTTGCTTTTGGGAACGCCCTGCCCTGCCCATGGAGTAGCCATTCCTTTGTTTCTTTACTTCTCCAATAAACTCGCTTTCACTTTATTCTGTGGACTCACCCCAAAATCTTTCTTGCATGAGATCCAAGAATCATCTCTTGGGGACTTTCCAGTAACATTTTGTGTATAATTTAGTGTACTTAATGTAGGCACAAATGTGATCTGAAATACATTGGTTGGGTCTTTAGTAGGATTTTTTTTTTGAAAGGGCTGGGGATACCCAGTTCCATTATGTCTGACCAGGTCATTTCTGAAAGGAACTAGAAAATTTCGTGGTTCACAACCCCACAGACAGCAGCCTAGGACCCTTGGGGAAGGCACCTATCTGCCTCCTCTTTTCCGGGACCCCTGCAGAGCAGAACCTTCTGTCTGGCCGGCCTACTGCAGGGTCTGCGCTTGCTTTGCCTTCATTGCTATTGTTTTCAGTCAAGGCAGCAGTTAAGCCCACGTTAAGACCAGATGAGAGAGGCCAATTGCTAATGTGCTGAGGGGAAGAAAAAAAAAAAAAGCAACATAAATAATTGTACTGAAGCTTGATGTTAAATATAAGGAGGACTAATAATTCAAACAGGCAGAAACTCCTGAATCTACCACAAAACTCCCCAAGGCAGAATGGCAGCGAATGGCCACACATTTGCATAATAGCTTTCTTGTTGTTCTCTTTGTTCTTTTTGTTGCTTCAACTAATTGCGTTTAAGCACCCTGTTATTTACCTCATTCCTCTGAAAGGAGCCAGCCCCAGTGATCCATAAAATGGTAACTTTCACCAGCATAATACTGTTGTTATACACTTATAAATTGAGAGATCTGAAAAGAAACAAAGCACTATAGCCAAATAGCCCCAGGAACCTCTCCTTCTTTGATTCAATTGGTTGTGGATGCTTTTCTCCAGGGCTGGATTCACAGGTGGGCCACCTGCACCCCTACGCAGCTGTCCCATGCTAGCTGGTGCCCTGTGGTTAGAAAGGCCCCGCTTGGTTTAATGCTGTCCCTGTCTAGAATTGCTCAATACTTTTTAACAAGGGGCCCCATGTTTTCATTTAGCACTGGCCTTGTAAATTATCTATGCTTCTCACTCTGAGTCAGGTCTGGCTGGGATAGTGCCTAACTCCAATGGCAAAGTAGACATCATGTGGTGAAGTCTCCCAAGAGTCATCACATTTCTGCCTCCTCTAGTATTCATTTATATAAGCCACCCAGCAATTCATGGCAATGACTCATGGAAAAAGGGTGAAGTCTCCCAAGAGCCATCACATTTCTGCCTCCTCTAGTATTCATTTATATAAGCCACCCAGCAATTGATGGCAATGACTCATGGAAAAAGGGAAAATTCATTTCCCCAGGATACAATCTGACACCAAACTTCCTGAGCTCAGCTTGAAATTTAGCTGGAACAAAGAAAAGCACAAAGATCTCTGTCTGGATGGGACTTTTAATTGTTGAAGTCACTTCCTTTGTGGAGAAGCCTGGATGAGTTGAAGAGGTGTTCCCCTGGTCCCAGGGATTCTAATGGTTCCACTAAAAGAAGCATGGGAATGCCCTACACCTGCTGTTATTCCTGCTTCCTTCCCACTTTTTCATCTTTCAAGGTAATCGTTAATCTAATCCCACAACAAACATCACCATATTACTCCAGGTTGTTCTGGGCATCAGGGATCCAAGTGTAAATGAGAGAGACTCAGTCTCTGCCATCATGGATCTCATGGTCACATCTCAAATGAGACCAAAATGCCATCCCCATGTCCACAGGCATGGGAGGACTAACTCTCGCACTCTAGCCTTGGAGCCTATTGCTATTCCACTAGGAATAGCTGCTCCTTCTTCCTACCAACCCATGTCTGGCTCACGTGATCGCCAGAGTCCAGCTTGAAGTAGATTTCTACCAGAGGTCCTTCCCTGATCACTGCCCTAGGCCACTCCACTTAGCTGCCTCTATGCTGCACCCACTGGGGATTCAAGTGTTTCCGGGACACACTGGGTCCTTCAGTTGCTATAATGATTGTAGGTTTCTTAGCTTGATAGGAGGTTCTAACAGACCTGAAATCTGTTTTGCTCCCTACCTTTATGACTGTGCCTGATGTAACAAGTACTGTTTGTTTGTTGCCCACACGAATCTATTGCCCTCTTCCTGGCCAGTAGAAACCAATTTTGTTTCCATATTGACACTTTCCTCTGAGGCCTTCTGCTGAGGACGGGTGACTTTATCTCTAGCCACTTCCCAGGAGGGTGAGGCATGGATATTGATTGGTCTATGGTGGTCCCATTCTCTTTCCTACCATTGCTTTAAGAACAGTCATGAGACCTCATCTTGATCAATGATATGTAAGAGAAATGATGGGATGGTTTCTACAGAAAAGATTTCCAATCGATAGAAAGAAACTCAGGGGAGGAAATGGTTCCTTCGCTTCAGTTGGATTAGTGTCATGTCCGCATGGGACACCTAGAACTATGGCAGCCACCTTGTGACCGCAAGAGACAACACCAACAGGTTGAAGCTGACAGTGAACAATGATGGTGTTCTTGATGAGGTGATTAGATAGACATTAACCAACCTGGTCCCACCCTACCTACTTCCAGGATTCTGGCCATGTAACTTTAATATTTTTATCACTTAATGTACATTTATTTCAGTTTTCTGCTCTTTGTAGCTGAAAGCTTTCTAAATGATAGAGTTTTGCCTGTAATAGGTGTGCTTTGTGGATTTTGTCAATTAAATGTTGGGAACAGGGTGTGCAGGGTCTGCCCTTGGAACAGGCTAACTAGACTGCCTGTAAGCAATGCGAGTGGTCTAACAGAAAAAGAACATAGGCATCCCAATGTTTCTGAGGTCCAGTTCTGATTTTATGCCTGACTATGACTTTGATAGTTGGGAATGTGAGAAATTAAGACATTAAAGAGTAAAGTCTTGACTTTGGTTGCATCACAAACTAAAGAAACTCAATCTAGAACACTGACTTGGTGTAGAAGTAAAATTCCAAGTAGACCTCCACCTACTTCCTCTGGCTGGGGGGCACTTGCTTCTTTCTGTAAGTGATCAAATTTAAATAAAATGTTGTTTCTTGGGTCTAAAAATCTGCTATTAGCCAGGTTACTGTGTTCTGTAATTAAGACCTGATCTTTTCCCCTGGGGAGTGCATGAGTGATGAATTCAGCAACTATGCATACCTTCTCCTCACCCAGCACCCAGTCCTCAAATTCAGCCAGCTTGGGCTGCTCTCTACCCAGTGAAATTTTAGGAATATCTGTGTAATCTAAAATTATACCATCTCAGGCTGATAAAATCTGGAATTCCATTATGAGAGATTCATTCTTTTGGCTATATGTCTATAAAAGTCACTGCAATTCAACCATCCCTATTTAGGAGTAGCCCCTTTTCTTGAGCACAAAATAGGATATAGAAAATGGGGCAGGGGACAATTTCCTGGGATGAGCTTATTGCTGAAGAGTTGAACAGATTTATACAGAAGAACCTTGGTGCACTAAAGACAAACTTTTCTTATGTCTCAATTTTACTGGAAATAATGACAATCTTCAGGGAAGGAGCAGCACATGCATTTGCCCACTGTAACATGAATCCATTCACGCCTGTGAAGATAGAAGGATATGAAGATCAGAAAGAATCAAGTGGCCCCCAGGCAGAGAAAGTAGATGGAGGTCTGAAGTCCAGGAGAGAATTCTGTGACAGTGCTTTAAGAGCCTATGCAGGCCAGACACATTGGCTCATGCCTATAATCCCAGCACTTTGGGAGGCTAAGGCGGGAGGGTCGCTTGAGCCCAGGAGTTCAAGACCAGCCTGGACAACATGGCAAAACCTCGCCCCTACTTTAAAAAATACAAAAATTAGCCAGGTGTGGTGGTGCACGCCTATGGTCCCAGCTACCCACAAGGTTGATGCTGCGGTAAGCCACTGCACTCCACCCTGGGCTACAGGAGTGAGACCCTGCTTCAAAAAAAAAAAAAAAAAACCTATGTGAAAGATCATTATTCCAATGGCCAAGGCTTCTGTATTGTTTATGCTAAAACAGACTGTTATTGCATGTATTGAAAGCCACCAGTTCCAGCCTAAAAACTTCTGGAATGATTGGAGATAACAGCAGAAGTCCACCATCAAACAACCTACAGCCCAGGTAGCTGAAGTGCTTAAAATTCAAGTTCATTATTATGAAGAGGGCAATGCGCCATTGGTCAGTCCTAAAGTTGTACAGGATTCACTAACTGGTTTGAATGAATTCCAAACTGTAAAGGAGTTTATTAAAATCAGAGAATGCAGGAAAGGAGTATCAAACAGCAATTAGTAAAAACTATCAAACAATGTCAGATGCCACATTCAAGGCCTTGCACCGGCAACTACCAGTTACCTGCACCAAAATTGATGGGAACAAGATACTCAGCTACAAGACTGGCAAAGAAATGCAGAAGACTTAAAGGCTGAATGTAGGATTCTTGTGTATGTGGAAAGACAAAGATTTGACGTGTGGTCGTGTGATAAATAAGTGATTTATAAACAAGAGTGATATTTTGCTAGGGCTTTCAAAGTTAATGGATTTTCTAGCCTCGTGGAATACTGTTGAACCTCTAGCATTGTCTTGATTCTTTTCTCTGCCTTGTAATTTTCTGTTATCCCTATATCCATGTGTGGATCTTTTGTTGTTGTTGTTAATTCTGCTACATTTAATGTTGGAAAGAGACATCTAATCTAGAGTCATTTATTGTTTAAAAAATTTTCCTAGCCGTGAAGCCCTGTTACTGATTTAGACAAGGTGTGATGTTCATTACTTTTCTACTGCTATTCTTCCAAGAACTTCTGGGACTTCAGAGGTTTCCACTGCTCCACCAACAGCTAAAGAAGTATTGCTACAAGCTGTAGCTAAATGGAAGACACATTCATCCTTCTCCTTCTGCTTTCATCTTCATTTATAGCATCTCATAACTGTTGTTTCCCAAAGTTTGGATTGGGGCTTTTCAGGTCCTTTTTGGAGGGCAAAGGAAGTTTTCTGGAAAATCTATTATAGCCAGCTTCTCTGGGAAACTTGTTTTTAAATCCAAAGACTTGAACCACCTTCCCTGCAAACAGAAATGTCTGCTTTCTTCCCCTCTGCTTTCTTTCCTTCCCATCTAGTACCATTGTAGTTATAGACGTCTGCACTCTTAGAAGAGTTTTATTCACTTATTATTTTTTTAAAGCTCAAGAACTGCTGACATACTGTGGATGTAGAAGTATAAAACTTGAAAAATCCAGATGTTGAAGGGAAAATGGATATCTTCTGCTTTAATGCTTTGTGGCAGGATTGTACCATAAGCAAAATAATCAAACAACTATGTAAATCATGAACAAAAAATAAAAATTAACCAAAGTGAAAAGGGTAGCTTCCAGGTAGTATCTTCCTATTGTAACCTGTTGTTTAAGGGAATACTAGTGATTTCTTTCAAATAGGATGTAAAACGTTCTAAATTACTCTTCCTCAGTCCTGCCTGCCAAGAACTCAAATGTAACTGTGATACAGCAACCCTTCCCAGGTATTTTGGCAGGTACATGTATGATCTCAGAATACACAAGTAACATAGATATGATATAACAATTGGCAATGGTGAATTCATTTACATTGTTTACACCTCTATGACCAAGCCTTAAGGGAAAGTCAGTTTAAGAAAAAAAAAAAACAAGTAGTGTCTTCCTACCTATCTCCAAATGCATGTCAAAAAAGAAGGGTATTTTTGTTTCAACTTCACTTTTGCTCAGTAATACAGTCAAGCCAGAGTTTGTTTCCAAGTAACCCATCGAGCTGTGTAAGCATTTTTGTTTATTTCAAATACAATATGTTTACATTATTTGTCATTCACACTATCCATCCATACTACACTATCTTCTGTATCAGGTAGTCCAATAGAAACATATGTGTTTTGTTCTAAAGAAAAGAAATTTTCACTGTCAGTAGCTGCCAATTTCTCCTGCTTGAAGGCCTCACTCTTGCCTTACTCTGCCATGAATATTCTGCCTTTCTCAGTTGTCATGAACATTGGCCTGTTCTCTGCCTTACTGACTCTACTGTCCAGTGTACATTTTTTTTGCCCAATTAAAAGGTTCTGAGTTGGTGAAGGTGAAAGAGAGGGCATAAGGAGGCCTGCAAGTATGGGCCTGGCAGTGAATAAGACCCATTTCTTGCCAGGCACCATGGCTCATGCCTATAATCCCAGCACTTTGGGAGGCCAAGGCGGGCAGATCACTTGAGGGCAGGAGTTTGGGACTAGCCTGGCCAACATGGCAAAACCCCGTCTCTACAAAAAAAAAAAAAAAAAAAAAAAAAAAAAAAAATTAGCTGGGTGTGGTGGCGGGTGCCTGTAATCCCAGCTACACAGGAGGCTGAGGTGTGAGAATTAGCTTGAACCAGGGAGGCAGAGGTTGCAGTGAGCCAAGATCATACCACTACACTCCAGCCTGGGTGACAAAGCAAGACTCCGTTAAAAAAAAAAAAAAAAAAAATTCTTCTCTTCTCTCAGAAAGAGGAAGAACACCACCACCAACAAAATCACATTGACTAACGCAATGGAGTGCCCAAAATACTGTGGGCTGCCCAGAAGGAAGGAGAAGTTCACAAATGTAGCAGCCTTCTTCAGCATCCCTCTAGCTGCAGAAAAACAAGGAGGCCTTTGGCTGTGGGTTGTATTTCTTCCGCATTTCCACGTCTCACTCATGGCTTTCTGCCAAGAAAGTCTAGCCACAAAAGACCTGGGAGAGGGGCTCACTGAAGGGGCATGACTGTTGCCAAGGAGACCGAAGGACAGTGAGGGGAGACACAGGCTCCTCTGTCCACCGTTAAACCTTCATAGGAGAAGGAAAGATGGAGAGAAAGTGCAGGCAGTGGACCACTCCACCCTCCATCCAGGGAGGCCACAGACAGGTCCCTTCATGGAGACTTTCCCATACCAAATTGCCACCCAATTCACCTCAGTGGCCTGTCCCCAAAGTGGTATTCATGCTGTATCTAGACTCAATTCAGCTTGTGGAATGTATTTTAAAGGTAGAGAAACCAAAGCCTGGCAGTGATTTGACCGTAGTGAGTCAGTGACTGCTGTGCTTCTCTCAATGGCGGCTTTTCAGAGACCACAGAGCAGGGGGGAAGGGCTTGGCAAGCAGGTGCCCCTATGCTAGGAGACCAGCCTCAATAGTGAGCCAGAGGTCTGGCTAGGCCACCTGTACATTCCCAAACTCTGGCGGCACTTTCTGTGTTGGAGAAAGCTGCTGGAACCCACGCTGCAGGGAGCTACCTCAGGGGGTCACTTTTCCTATTTTAGCTCCATGAGACTGAGTGCCCCTGGCTCCTTGCCCAGTCCCTATATAGCACCCATGAGGTCCCTGGGGGTTGTGGCCTTCCTGCCCTCTTCCTAACCTAAGGTCTCTGGTGGATTTCCAGCCTCTAAGAAGCACAACTTGAGAGTAGAAGGATCCTGGGTCCTATAGCTTTCAAGTAATATCTGGGGGTGTTGTGATAAAACAGTGCTGTCCAGTAGAACTCTCTGTGATGACAGAAATATTCCCTGTCTACGCTGTCCAATACATAGCCACTAGCCACATGTGGCCATGGAACACTTACAATGTGGCTAGTGCCACTGAGAAACTGAATTTTTAACTTTATTGAATTTTAGTTAATTAAAATGTAAACTCGAGAGCTGCATGTGGCCAATGGCTAAGGCACTGGACAGAGCAGGGAAGGATAAGGCCTCCCACAGGTGGTATGCATGGATACCAAGCAATAGCGGATAATGTGATCTCCCTTCCCCACAAGCCCCTCCTTGAGAGGAAAACACTGAGGGAAGATGGCACTTCTTGGGGGAAATCAGAATTTCCTCTCCACTACGCGTCCTTTTCCTGCTAAAAGTTCCACGCATCAGTGAGCTATACAAACCCAGAAATGTGTAGAGAAAGCAATGCCTATGCACCTGTGTCAGCACAACAGACAGGAAGGGGGCCACAGGGCTGGGGGAACACTCTCCGCAGGTCTAGAGAACTGAGAGCCTGGAACCCCACCATTTTCCAGTAAAGTCTTGCAGAGATTTGATGTTGTAGGAGAGATGGAGGTAATAATTAAGCTCCCGTGTATACATACTTTGGGGTGTATATGACCTGAAACTGTGCTCACTCTCTGTTTTGGGGAGCCCTGCTGTGGGGCCGTCTTCCAGGTTGAAGCTTGTGGTAATAAGTTTCTTCTGTTTTTTTCTAAGTGCCTGGGCTGGGGTCCAAGTCTGACTTTCCTTCTGTCGCACCACGTCAAGGTAGAGAGAGGATCCAGCATATTTGTGTCTAGGCAGTTCTGTAATCTTCAGAGCAGAGTGATCAGCTTCTTATTTTCACCGAGCTCAGGTCATCATCTTTATGATTTTAGGAGATTGTTTCAGGAAGAAGCCGGGGTATTTGGCAGACAATAAATGTGAGGCACACATTCCAGGCAAACAGAGCTGCTAGGATGCACCATGATTGCTGAGGGAGCCAGGCAGCATGACTGGACTCATCACTTCTCTACCCTAAACCTGTTCCTTGTTTGTACTCCCCCATCTCTAGAAGATAACCTACTATCCACTCACTATAGAGAGAAACCTGGGAGGGATCACCACAGATACCCTTTTCCCTTATCCCACATCAAATTAGTCACCAAGACCTGTTGATTCTAAGCTAGAAATGTCTCCAAGTTCCCCTCATCCTGGCGTTCACTGTCACCATGGGGGCCCTTGCTGCTTCTCACCTGGGGCCCCATCTGTGTCAGATCCCCATATCTCCCCACTCAGAATGTCCTCCGTCACTGGCCAGAAGCACCAAGCTAAAAATCAAGCTATATGGTGCCTATCACTCCTCTGCTAAATCTGGGTTCCATTTAGCCTAAAGGATAATGTCAGCACTACTCTGTGTGACAGGAAAGGACTCTAAGGAGCTGTCTCCAGGGTCTCTGTCCATTCTTACCTCAAGCAGGTCTGCCTGCATGGATTCACACTGCAGTGGACTCTGCCTGCTCAAGCCTGGTCTTGGCACATGCCATCCCCTCTGTTCAGGGGCTCTTTTCCCAACAAACTCCCATTCAATCTTCAATAAGTAGCTCTAGCACCCTCTCCATCATGAACTGTTTTGGGGATGCAAGTGGAATTGGATGCTCCCTCCTCTCTGCTCCACAAACCTCCAGTGTAGATTGTGCTTTGCTTTTTTGTTCCAAAGTCTGTCTCCCTTGTAGACTGTGAGCTCCAAGCTCCACAATGCCTATGACTATGGCATCTAAGTCATTTCTATCCCCCTGTTGCTCTGCACGTGCCTAGGATATAAAGGGACTAGATGGATGGATGGATGAGTGGATGCGTAGGGAGTTGGAGGGGTGGATGGGTGGATGGATGGATGGACAAACAAATGAACAAAAAATAGGTTCCACAGACTAAAACCAGGCAGGAGACTCTAAAGGTTAACTTGTGTTAGGAGCAGGGTGAGGGAAAGCCAGATGGTCAGGAAGCTGAGCCAGATTCCTGGAGTCCCAGGTGACTAACGGAGAGCCCACAGGGAGATACAAGCCTTCAGCCTGACTCAGGCAAAGAGAAGACATGGCATGAGGAGGAATCCCCCTAAGAGGATGGAAATGAAGGGGATGGGAAGAAAATGGCAGCCAAACAATAAACTGTGATGCTGAAGAGTCAGCTATGGGGTCTGTTAACGCAAGAGGGGCTGTATGCCAAGAAGTTGAAGAACTGTGTAGATTGGAGACAACCAGGACCACTGCCCACCCCCCAGAGGAGCTGAAACCAAGTCCTAGAGTGTTGAAGCCCTGTGTGTACCCCAAAACCATTCAGAGGAGAGAGTTTTGCCAGATTCCCCAGGAAAGAAAAGTGCTGAGGAGAGAGGGTGGCGACTGAGTGAAGGAACACCTGAGGGAAAATATCTGAGGGTGGAAGTTGTTGAATAGCAAGACACTTACATGGTTTCGATGTATCTCCCCAACAGGTTACTTGTCAATTACAAAAGAAAAGAAAACCATAACAGCAGAGTAATCTGGCAGATGCCAATTTAACCAAGGGATTGAAGCTGATGTCTTCAACAATGAGACTAACCCCCATCTTTGCTTCCTGATGTGAGACTTCCCCATGGCGCAACAGTCCTAACCCAGCAGAAACCTCAGACAAGTCCAAACCCAGGGACATTATGCAAATTGACTGGCCTGTACTCTTCAAAAATGTCAAGGTCATGAAAAACAAGAAAAGGCTGAGGAACTATTTTAAATTAAAGGATAATAAAGAAACACCATAACAACAGCAATGTGTGATCCTGGATTGGATTCTGAACAACCCCCAAAATTGCTATAATGGACATTATTGGGACCACTGGTGAAGCTGGACTGTGGACTGTAGATTAACTGACAATAATCAAATCAGTGTGAAATGCCTTGATTTCAATACTTGTAACAAGGTTTTGGAAGAGAATGTCCTTGCTCTTAGGAAATACATACTAAATTATTAAAGGGTAAAGGGACTTTATGTGGGGAAGTTACTCTCAAGGGGTTCAGAAAACCAATGATATCTTTAGAGAGAGAATAATACAGCAAATGAGGTGAAATACTAACAATAAGTGAATCTAGACAGGTAGCATAAGGGCATTCTTTGTACTTTTCTTTTAAAAATCTTTAAGTTTGAAATTCTTTCAAAATAAAAAGTGAAAATGAAAAAGGATCTGAAGGAAGAGCATTTGACCTCAAGGGAGAATTGTAAAGGACCAACCCAAATTCCTCTTGCAGTAACTGGGATCAAGACTTCAGTTTAGGCCCTCAACAAGGGATGACAAAAGAACAAAGCTGTTTTTCCTAAACTGCACTTCCTCCAGAATCTGAAAAACACTTGTTTTTATCTCTTTGCCTGCTGCCTCCCCATATTTCAGAATCTCCTGCAGAGCCAGTTTCCATTTAGACAGGAAGCCAGTATTGAAATCTGTCTCCCTACAAGTCACTCCATGAGGCTCTGGGATGTAAAGATGAAAAAGAAACTGACTGTTCTGCAGGATTCAGATGTCTGATGGGAGAGAAGGAAATGTGAGTAGCTAGTCTCATAAAATGCTGAGACAGCTGCACACGGTACCATGGGGAAACAGAGGCACAAACTCTGGAAAGTTGACTCCAGGAAGAGGTATGAGGGGTGACACTACAGCTAGGTATGAAAGTGGGAGGAGTTTGCCAGTTAGGTGGGAGAGAAAGGAGGCTAAGGGGCAGCAGCATTTTCTAAAGGTTCAAAATGAGAAAAACCTCAGGATTCCAGGGCCAGGCTTGTTCTGGGAATACCCAGTATCTAGTGGAAATGGAGGGTATAAGTAGCAGGAATAGTAAAACCATAGGTAGGGGCCAGACCACAGAGGTTTTATCTACATGCCAGTGCCTGGGCAAAGGACAGCCCACGATGCAAGAGAGTAATGTGATCAGATGTGATTTGCTCTAGAAAATTCTTGTTGCCATATGAAAAATGTATTGGTTGGAGGCAAGACAGGAGACAGGGAGCATAGTTAGGAGGCAGTGACAGTGATGAGGCCTGCAAGGAGGAGGCAGGCCAGGACTTACACAATCCCTGGGTGTGAGTGTCTCCATAAATTTTACACCCTGGGCATCTCATTTACCTCATCCCAGTCTAGCCCTGGGGAGCAGAAGAGCCATTTATGCAAGTGGTAGAATCCTCAGGATGCAATGATTGTGGGTATGGGGATGACGTGGAGGGAGAGAGGGGATAGTTTAGGGAGACTTCTTGGTCCTGGAGACAAGGGTTTGCACAGTGTGAAGTACAAAGGAGATATAATAATGTTCAATTAATGGCAGAGTGGGAGAAGATATCACCTTCCTCTGGGCAAAGGCCAGGGCTAGCACTCCTGAGCTGACTGGATTCCCCTACTAATGAGGATGCTAACCAGGGCACCTCTCCCTCCCTGTAGGGGTCAGTCTAGTTGGCCTGCCTAGTGCAGTGTTTGCCAGTTGGCCAATTATTGTTGAACAAAGAGGAACTTCCAGGGGTCTGATTTTCTGGCACCCCTGCCCTTGTAGGACAGCAGTCAAGAAGTGCTCCCAGGCCCCCTGGGAGGTTGGCCCTAATCCTGGTCCAATGACCAGCCCCAAGCACAGCCCTTAGCTTTTGGTGTAAGCACAACTGTTGTGAAAGGCCCAAATCTCCCTTCCCCCAAGGGATAGAGAGGTGGAGATAATGCTTTTTATTCCACAGATGGGACACCTGAAAATAAAGGGATGTCTTAGTCTGTTCTGGCTGCTATAACAAAATATTGTAAACTGGGAGGATTATTAACAACAGAACTATTGTTCACAGTTCCGGAGGCTGAGAAGTCCAAGATCAAAGAAGATTCAGCATCTGGTGAGGGCTCATTTTCTGGTTCATAGAAGGCACCTTTTTGTGGGGTCCTACATGACAGAAGGAGTGAATGAGCTCTCTGGGGCTTCTTTTATATGAGCACTAATCCCATTCATGAGGTTTCTACCCTAAAGGCCTAATCACTTCACAAAGGCTCCACCTCCTAGTACCATCGCCTTGGGGGTTAGGATTTCAACAAATCCATTCTAGGGGTGGGGTACATAAACATCCAGCCCATTGCAAGAACTTACTCAGAGTCCTACAGGACATTTTCCTTCTAGTTTTTTGTTTCCGGTACTTAAGCTTTGACCATAGAGTGGCTTGTTACATTAGTTAATATTTTTTAGCTATCTTATGTCTTATAATCGTGTGTATATTGTTTCTCTGATCAGGACACCTGTCCTTCAAAATTAGGGACACTGTTGTCATTATTTATCCTTAACTCTATATCACAGGGGAGAGAGGAAGAGCTTCTAGAAGCTCTGATTGAATGCAAATTACTAATGAAAGAAAGCTTGAAATGTTTTTTCTGACATATTATTTTACATAAGACTAGTGCTTGTAACATTGAAGAGGACATTCAGGCCCCTAAATGTTGCATGGATTACCCAAGTTCACATAATTGACAAGTTCAGGACCTGGGTCTGCTGATTTCTACTCAAGGGCTCTTCCCATCACAGCAGGGGCCGTGGGGAGGCACACAGAGCCCTTGGGAAGTGCAGGGACTCTGGCTTCAAGCCACCTGTTTCGCTTGCCCAGCTTTGTGACCTTGGGCAGGTAGCTGAAGCTCTCTGTGCCTCAGTTTCCAACATCTCAACCAAAGCAGGGAAGGTGATGACATTTGCCTCAGAAAGCTATTTTGAGAATCAGAGGAGCTAATATAGAACTCAGTAACATTTGTGTTCATATTTCCTGGGCACACAGCTGAACTGGCGCTTCTCAAACTTTTTTTTTTTTTTTTTTTTTTGAGATGGAGTCTCACTCTGTTGCCCAGGCTGGAGTGCAGTGGTGCAATCTCAGCTCACTGCAACTTCTGCCTCCTGGGTTCAAATGATTCTCCCACCTCAGCCTCCCGAGTAGCAGGGATTACAGGCGCACGCCACCACACCCGGCCACTTTTTGTATTTTTAGTAGATATGGGGTTTTGCCATGTTGGCCAGGCTGGTCCCGAACTCCTGACGTCAGGTGATCCACCCACCTCAGCCTCCCAAAGTGCTGGGATTATAGGCATGAGCCACCACGCCCAGCCTCTCAGCCCCTCATGTACATGAGTCACCTGGGAATCTTGTTAAAATGCACATTCCCTCTCAGCAGATTGGGGTGGGGGCCTGAGATTTTGCATTTCTATCAAGCTCACAGATTATGTTGATGCTGCTGGTTGGGGGACCACGCTTTGAGTGCAAGGAGGAAAAATAACAGAAAAACTTGCCCATCCTTCAGCCATATAACAGAACACTTTTCTGGGGCTTAAATGATGCTCCATTTGTTGATGTGGAAGTATGCTAACTGAGCAGATGTAGAAAAGATGTAGAATAGAATTTCATATTGTTTAAATATAGCTAGATAAACAGAATAATAGGATTTATCAGATAGGAGAAAGAGAAAGGGAGGGAGAATGAGATGGGGAAAGGCGAGGGAGAGGGAAGGAGAGGGAGGAAGGAGAGGAGAATGAAAAAGTTGCATAAAAAGTCTTGACAATGGTTATCTCTGGGGGATGGAATTGCAGCTCTTATTTTTTTTTTCCTTATAAGTATTTGAATTTTCCCATTTTCTACTATAGCCATGCATTTTTTTAATAATGTGAAAAAAGTTATTTTCCTCTTTAAATGAACTCTAAATATGCGTTCATTTATCTGCCTAAAATGCATTCATTTATAGCACTCCCTATAAACAAGGTGGTAGCTCCAGTTGGGTGGTCCTTGGGTGCCCCATAGGGAGTTAGTCATTGGCCCTTTGGAAAGGGATGTGATGAGGGTCAGGCAACAGCTGAGAAAAGCCTCAGCCCAGGCTCCTCAGAAAGATGCTCTGAGTATCCAGGGTCACTTGAGCTGTCCATCCTAGCCACTGGCCATGCACCTTGTGGGCCACAGGCAACAGGACAAGAGGTAACCCTGAGCCCTGGGATGGGGCCAAACACTGTAGCTGAGATAACCATGTGACTTGGGGGAGGGAGCAGCACCTGCTGACATCCCTGACTGACAGTCCCCTTCAATCTGATCAGTGTTCCTGCCATGTCCCCTGGCTTCTCCCCAGGGCTCTTTCTCTTTGTACCACATTGTTTCACTCTCTCTCCTCTAAATAAAATTTAAGTCCTTAAGACACTGTCCTTAATAAGTCCTCCCTTCTTATCCCACAGGGATACACAGCACCCTGATTATTTTAGCTTTTCAAATGGGAAAACAAGTAGGGTAGAATAGGGACCCACAGTGGGCCCCACAGCAGACAGCATCAGAGTCAGACTAACAGCCTGGGGATCTGGTTTCTGGGAAGGAATTCCCTAACCTTATTTCTCTTATGCCTTTGAGAAACAGAACCCAGCCCCTGCTGCAAGGGTCTTGTAGGCAGAGGTCTAAAGGAGTGAAACATGCATCCAAGAGCATATGGGCTCTCTGCCCAATCCCGCACCACAGCTCCATGAACTCACAGCCTTCCACTGTGAGTCCAGGGTGACCAACCAGGCCCATGGCCACATGGGGAGTATCACTTGGGGGAGGCAGAGCTGTAAGAACAGACACAAGGCATTCAGTGGCCTGAAGAATAAGAAGTCTATTTCCCTTTTATGTGATAGTCTAGATGGGTTTCCAGGTTGAAAGCACAGCTCTGCTCCATGTAGTTATTCAGAGCTCAAGCCACCAGCTGCTCTGCCATCTTCAGTGTGTGAATTC